>NC_000017.11:43185980-43810980 GCF_000001405.40 Homo sapiens
ACAAGAGCAAAACTCCGTCTCAAAAATAAATAAATAAATAAATAAATAAATAAATAAATAAATAAATAAATTTCTAGTTAACATTCTTACCAAAGAAATAGCAAGTTGAGTGTAAACATTACATTTGTTGTTGGATTTAATAAAGCAAACACAAATCCTAGTATTTTCTAGCATAACTTACCACACTCTTCTGTTTTGATGTCTTTGAAATGTTATTTAGGAGAAGATAATCACGTCGCATGTTTTTGTTTCATAATGTATGCTCTTAGATGGCAGTTAAACAGGGAAACCAACTGCAGATGCAAGTCCACGAAGGGCACCATGTCGTTGATGAAGCCCCACCCCCAGTTGTAGGAGCAAAACGACTAGCTGCCAGGGCAGGGAAGAAGCCACTTGCACATTACTCTTCACTGGTGAGAGTCTTGGGATCAGACATGAAGACCCCAGAGGATCCTGCAGTGCAGGTATGAAGGGTATGGCCCAGTCTATCCAATATCGTTTCTTTTTTCTTTTTTAAATAAAGCTGAACAGGTTTCTTTATTTTATTTTTTTATTATACTTTAAGTTCTGAGATACATGTGCAGAATGTGCAGGTTTGTTATATAGGTATACATGAGCCATGGTGGTTTGCTGCACCCATCAACCTATCATCTACCTTAGGTATTTCTCCTAATGCTATCCCTCCCCTATCACCCCACCCCCTGACAGGCCCCCGTGTGTGATGTACCCCTCCCTGTGTCCATGTGTTCTCATTGTTCAACTCCCACATATCAGTGAGAACATGCTGTGTTTGGTTTTCTGTTCCTGAGTTAGTTTGCTAAGAATGATGGTTTCCAGCTTCATCCATGTCCCTGCAAAAGACATGAACTCATCCTTTTTTATGGCTGCGTATTATTCCATGGTGTACATGTGCCACATTTTCTTTATCCAGTCTATCATTGATAGGCATTTGGGTTGGTTCCAAGTCTTTGCTATTGTGAATAGTGCTGCAATAAACATACGTTTGCATGTGTCTTTATAGCAGAATGATTTATAACCCTTTGGGTATATACCCGGTAATGGGATCGCTGGGTCAAATGGTATTTCTGGTTCTAGATCCCTGAGGAATCGCCACACTGTCTTCAACAATGGTTGAACTAATTTACACTCCCACCAACAGTGTAAAAGCATTCTATTTCTCCACATCCTCTCCAACATCTATTATTTCTTTTTTTTTGAAACGGAGTCTCACTCTGTTGCCCAGGCTGTGGAGTGCAGTGGCGCGATCTCGGCTTATTGCAAGCTCTGCCTCCCGGGTTAACACCATTCTCCTGCCTCAGTCTCCTGAGTAGCTAGGACTATAGGCACCTGCCACTACGCCCAGCTAATTTTTTTTATTTTTAGTAGAGACAGGGTTTCACCGTGTTAGCCAGGATGGTCTCGATCTCCTGACCTCATGGTCCGCCCGCCTTGGCCTCCCAAAGTGCTGGGATTACAGGCGTGAGCCACCGCGCCCGGCCTCCAACATCTATTATTTCCTGACTTTTTTTTTTTTTTTTTTTTTTTTGAGACAGAGTCTTGCACCTTCGCCCTGGCTGGAGTACAGTGGCGTGATCTTGGCTCACTGCAACCTCTGCCTCCCAGGTTCACGTGATTCTCCTGCCTCAGCCTCCCGAGTAGCTGGGATTACAGGCACACACCACCACACCTGGCTAATTTTTTGTATTTTTAGCAGTGACAGGGTTTCAGTATGTTGGTGAGACTGGTCTGGAACTCCTGACCTTGTGATCCGCCCACCTCGGCCTCCCAAAGTGCTGGGAGTACAGGTGTGAGCCACCATGCCCAGCCCTGTTTCCTGACTTTTTAATGATTGCCATTCTAACTGGTGTGAGATGGTATCTCATTGCGGTTTTGATTTGCATTTCTCTTTTTTTTTTTTTTTTTTTTTTGAGATGGAGTCTCACTCTGTCGCCCAGGCTGGAGTGCAGTGGTGCAATCCGGGCTCACTGCAAGCTCTGTCTCCCGGGTTCACGCCATTCTCCTGCCTCAGCCTCTCGAGTAGCTGGGATTACAGGCGCCCACTACCACGCCTAGCTATTTTTTTGTATTTTTAGTAGAGATGGGGTTTCAACATGTTAGCCAGAATGGTCTTGATCTCCTGACCTCGTGGTCCACCCGCCTCAGCCTCCCAAAGTGCTGGGATTACAGGCGTGAGCCACTGCGCCCGGCCTGATTTGCATTTCTCTAATGACCAGTGATGATGAGCTTTTTTTCATAGGTTTGTTGGCCGAATAAATGTCTTCTTTTGAGAATTGTCTGTTCATATCCTTTACCCACTTTTTGATGGGGTTGTTTTTTTCTTGTAAATTTGTTTAAGTTCCTTATAGATTCTGGATATTAGCCCTTTGTCAGATGGATGGATTGCAAAAGTTTTCTCTCATTGTGTAGGTTGCCCGTTCACTCTGATGATAGTTTCTTTTGCTGTGCAGAAGCTCTTTAGTTTAATTAGATCCCATTGTCAATTTTGGCTTTTGTTGCCACTGCTTTTGGTGTTTTAGTCATGAAGTCTTTGCCCCTGCCTATGTCCTAAATGGTATTGCCTAGGTTTTCTTCTAGGGTTTTTATGGTTTTAGATCTTATGTTTAAGTCTTTAATCCACCTTGAGTTAATTTTTGTATAAGGTGTAAGGAAGGGGTCCAGTTTCAGTTTTCTACATATGGCTAGCCAGTTTTCCCAGCACCGTTTATTAAATAGGGAATCCTTTCCCCATTGCCTGTTTCAGTCTATCCAATTTCTAGATTTATTTCTCATTGTCTTTGTTGTAAGATTTGCACATTTATCAGAGATTTGGGAATTAGTGTGCTCCTCTCTCTGACTTTTGAAACTGGTAATAGTTTACTTCTGTAGAAGGGGAGCAGGCTAGAGACTTTGTTTTCCTTTAGTACGCCTTCATACTGTGACTTTTTAAAAAATTATATACTTGTATGATTTCACAAAAGAAACCTCAAAATAATACACTCCAGGAAAAGTATTTTAAATAGAAAAAGTAACCTCTAACATCTCGGCTTGTGTTTTCTCCCAGTCGTTTCCACTTGTTCCATGTGACACAGACCAGCCTCAAGACAAGCCCCCAGACTGGTTCACAAGCTACCTGGAGACGGTGAGTGTTCTGTCTCGCTTGGGTTTTAACTGCGGTGTTGGCACAGGTGGAATGTGGAAGAAATAGAAAACTGAACCCAGGTGGCTGCTGCCTCTAGTACCGGTGAAGAGTGGTAGCTTATAATTTCCAAACTTAGAACAGTTCCAGTCGAGAAAGCTCTAACCTTTGCAGTGAAGTGTCAGAAAAAGAGGGAGTCTAATTCTAAGCATGTAAGGGAGAGGGACAACTCTCTGCTTGAGAAAAAGTTAGAAATTTACTTATCAAAAGGATGTTTTGATATTTTCTTCGAACCAGTTTAGCTGTGGAAGGAATAGACCTTTTGCTATGTTTCTGTCTATTCAGTAGCAGTTGTTTATTGTGTTTTTGTATTATACCAGAGACAGTTAGGTTTCAGATCTATTGATATCTTCACATTTTTTTCTGATATTGGAACTGAGTTTTTTCCCTACCTTCTGCTCCATATTCTAGTTCAGAGAACAAGTGGTTAACGAAACGGTTGAGAAGCTTGAACAGAAATTACATGAAAAGCTTGTCCTCCAGAACCCATCCTTGGGTTCTTGTCCCTCAGAAGTCTCAATGCCTACTTCAGAAGAAACATTGTTTTTGCCAGAAAACCAGTTCAGCTGGCATATTGCTTGCAACAACTGCCAAAGAAGGATTGTTGGTGTCCGCTACCAGTGTAGGTAAGCAGTTGCTTGGGAGTAGCTAGCTAGTGATAGACCTTACAGCTTTTACCTCCCTGGCTTTCTGTGTAGGTAAAGGGAAATTAATTGTACCCTGTTTCTGAGCATTAGATGTTGTAGCTGTGAGTTGGAAGCACAAGCTACTCTTCACCCACATGCTTTGTATGTTGTAACTATTCAGATTGTTGTGTTCAAATGTGCATTTGGATTAGCAAAGCCAGGCAAAATTATGTTCCCCTGAACGGACAAAATTAGATCACTAAGGGTAGTTCCTCGGTTGTTCCAAATGCCTTTTTTTTTTTTTTTTTGGTGACAGGGTCTCTGTCACCCAGGCTGGAGTGCAGGGTGCAATCATGGTTCACTGCAGCCTCACCCTCCCAGGCTCAGACAATCCTCCCACTTCAGCCTGCCAAGTAGCTGGGATCACAGACTGCCTTTTAATTATTTTTTTGGAGATGGGGTCTCCCTATATTGCCCAGGCTAGTCTCAAACTACTGGACTCAAATGATCCTCTTCTCCATGGCCTCCCAAAGTGCTGGGATTACAGACATGAGCCACTGTGCCTGGCCCCATGTACTTTCACATCTTACCTTCCTCCCATAGATTTTCATTTAAAATGGATATGGGTTAAGTGTTATTATCCTCATTTTATTAATGAGGAAAATTGAGGCATGGCATAGTCAGATGGCATGCTCAGGTTACCTGCTAGTTGGTACTGGAGCAAACATAGAAGTATGGTCTTATATCTCCCTACCCCAGGTACTTCCTATTCTGCCATTGTGTATTGTGCCATTCTTTCCCCACAGCCTATGCCCATCCTACAATATCTGTGAAGATTGTGAAGCAGGGCCATATGGCCATGACACTAACCACGTCCTGCTGAAGTTGCGGAGACCTGTTGTGGGCTCCTCTGAACCGTTCTGTCACTCAAAGTACTCTACTCCTCGTCTTCCTGCTGCTCTGGAACAAGTCAGGTAAAACCCTCTACATGGAGATGCTTATTCTCTGATTGACTTCTTGGTTCTGGTGACAGGGTATGAATCACAAAACTACAGATAGTCTCCTTAGTTCTGCTCATTTTCAATTGATGTGCAATAATGAAGACAGTTATCCAAAGTTAGTGAAATAGAAATAATAGCTATAAAAAGAAATTAAGAAACTAAAGTAGGCTGGGCACAATGGCCCATAACTGTTATCTCAGCAACTTGAGGGGCTAAGGTGGGAGGAGTGCTTGAAGCCAAATATTTGAGACCAGCCTGGGCAACATAGCAAGATCCCGCCTCTACAAAAAAAATTTAAAAATTAGCCAGGCGTGGTGGTGCGTACCTATAGTTTCAGCTACTTGGGAGTCTGAGGTGAGCAGATTGCTTGAGCCCAGGAATATGAGGTGGAAGGGAGCCATGATTAGACCACTGTACTCCAGCCTACATGACAGAGTGAGACCCTAATTCTAAAACAAAAAAAGAAATTAAACTGGAAGCTGACACTGATGGAAATTGCAATTGGCTCCACATAGCTTCAGAATTTATTTGTGACTTTCTTTTAAGACTTGCTTTTATTATCTCACAGGCTCCAGAAACAGGTTGATAAGAACTTTCTTAAAGCAGAAAAGCAAAGGTTGCGAGCTGAGAAGAAACAACGTAAAGCAGAGGTCAAGGAACTTAAAAAGCAGCTTAAACTCCATAGGAAAATTCACCTGTGGAATTCAATCCATGGACTCCAGAGCCCCAAGTCTCCTTTAGGCCGACCTGAGAGCTTGCTCCAGTCTAATACCCTGATGTAAGCCCAGGACTGGGGTGGGAGCCAAAACTTTAGGCCCAGCTCTCTGAAACTGGAACTTCAACCAATTTCCGTCTTATTTATTGGTAGCCCTTAACACCTAAATCTTTAAAACTTTCCATTATCTGGTCTTAGTATTTTTTGTTTGTTTGTTTTTTGAGACAGAGTCTTGCTCTGTCACCCAGGCGGTAGTGCAGTGGTGCGATCTCGGCTCACTGCCAGCTCTGCTTTCGGGTTCACGCCATTCTCCTGCCTCAGCCTCCTGAGTAGCTGGGACTACAAGCACCCGCCACCACGCCTGGCTAATTTTTTGTATTTTTAGTAGAGATGGGGTTTCACCGTGTTAGCCAGGATGGTCTCGATCTCTTGACCTCGTGATCCGCCCGCCTTGGACTCCCAAAGTGTTGGGATTACAGGCATGAGCCACACAGCACCCGGCTTTTTTTTTTTTTTTTTTGAGATGGAGTCTCGCTCTGTCGCCCAGGCTGGAGTGCAGTGGCATGATCTAGGCTCACTGCAACCTCTGCCTCCCGGGTTCAAGTGATTCTCCTGCCTCAGCCTCCTGAGTAGCTAGGATTACAGGTGCATGCCACCATGCCCGGCTAATTTTTGTATTTTTTCAGTAGAGATGGGGTTTCATCCTGTTGGTCAGGCTGGTCTCGAACTCCTGACCTCATGAATCCGCCCGCCTTGGCCTCCCAAAATGGTGAGATAACAGGTGTGAGCCACTGCGCCTGCCTGGCGTGGTCTTAGTATTATTAAAGGGTGGTTTGGTAGTTTTTTGTTTGTTTTGTTTTTGAGACGGAGTCTTGGAGTCTCGCCTGTTGCCCAGGCTGGAGTGCAGTGGCGCGATCTCGGCTCACTGCAAGCTCCACCTCCTGGGTTCACGCCATTCTCCTGCCTCAGCCTCCCGAGTAACTGGGACTACAGGTGCCCGCCACCACACCCAGCTAATTTTTTGTATTTTTTAGTAGAAACAGGGTTTCACCGTGTTAGCCAGGATGGTCTCGATCTCCTGACCTCGTGATCTATCTGCCTTGGCCTCCCAAAGTGCTGGGATGACAGGCGTGAGCCACCGCGCCTGGCCAAGTTTCGTAGTTATTTTTGACACTTGTTTTGTTTCCTTCTTCAGAAAGATAGAAACCACTAAAGTTCAAAATGGCGGGGTCCCTCTCTTCATTGGAGGCAATCTGGAATTGAAGCAAAAGGAACAAATGTGTTAAAAGCCTGACTCTCTAGGTGTTGTATTTATAGGCCCTTTTAATTACTCTTACCATGACTTTTTTAGCTCAGGAGTGAGACCTATCCTCTGTTTTGTTTTATTGTTTTAAGTTTGTCAGAAAATTTATTGTTTCTAATATGTGGTCCTATACTAGTAATATCAGTATTATTTTTAAGGCAAATGGGTTAGCACATTTTCAAGAGTCACAGTCAGACTCTCAAGCTAGTGTGAGGTATTCAGAAGCCTTCACACCCAACAGCAAGTGACTAAGCATCTGAATTTCTGTTCAGGCTCCCTTTGCAGCCCTGTACCTCCGTTATGCCAATGCTCAGTGCAGCATTTGTGGATGAGAATTTGCCTGATGGGACTCACCTTCAGCCAGGAACCAAGTTTATCAAACACTGGAGGATGAAAAATACAGGAAATGTAAAGTGGAGTGCAGACACAAAGGTAATTTTTCCCACAAAATGCAAAGATGAGGTGATTTGAAGTGGCAGAGTGCTCAGCTGACAAGCTTGCTTTCTCTTCTTACTGTTCTTTTCAGCTCAAGTTCATGTGGGGAAACCTGACTTTGGCTTCCACAGAAAAGAAGGATGTTTTGGTTCCCTGCCTCAAGGCCGGCCATGTGGGAGTTGTATCTGTGGAGTTCATTGCCCCAGCCTTGGAGGGAACGTATACTTCCCATTGGCGTCTTTCTCACAAAGGCCAGCAATTTGGGCCTCGGGTCTGGTGCAGTATCATAGTAGATCCTTTCCCCTCCGAAGAGAGCCCTGATAACATTGAAAAGGGCATGATCAGCTCAAGCAAAACTGATGATCTCACCTGCCAGCAAGAGGTGAGCATTGACTGACAGGCTTTGGCCTAGTATCCAAATCTTAGTTAGAGAGGAGATGGCTAAAACTAAAAGAACCCACTCATAGCTGGTTGTTTTCCAGAAACCTTGAAAGGTTAGCATCTCCCCCCGCCCCAACACATCTCTATGCTGATATTTGGCCTCTTCCTTAGGGTGTTTGTTTTAGCGTCTTTAGGGTCTTGCTGCATACTGAATACTTTTGTACCTCTTTGTGATGTTGCATGGTCAGCCTGTTGGCTGCACAAGGGAAAAAGGGACTCCTGGCCTGGGCTGGCCTGTGGAACTGCTGAACTGATAGCTTTACTCCTTAACATCCATCTCTCCTGAAATACCCTGTGTATGTTCCCTAAATACTAATGAAGTCTTGCCCTGGTTGCTACTTAGTGAACAGTTTTTTAATGCAATTTCTCTGTATTAGTGGGGCAGAGTGTTTACTGCTTAAAGTTATCCAATGTTAATTTTCTGGTTTTGACTATTATAGTTAATATAAGTTATCGTCATTAGGGGAAGCTGGGGAATGTGAATTCTCTCTGCTGTTTTTACAACTTTTTCTATAACTGTAAAAATATATCAAAAACATTGTTTTTTAAAATATGGAGGTACAGCAGCGTTTTTATTTTTGGGGGCATTGTCAGCCTGCCTCTTCAGTTCTGTTGAAGGCCTAAAATTTGTCTCAATGGTTTGTCTCTATAGGAAACTTTTCTTCTGGCTAAAGAAGAAAGACAGCTTGGTGAAGTGACTGAGCAGACAGAAGGGACAGCAGCCTGCATCCCACAGAAGGCAAAAAATGTTGCCAGTGAGAGGGAGCTCTACATCCCATCTGTGGATCTTCTGACTGCCCAGGTGGAAGATTCAGCACTTTGAAGGGCAAGGGACAGAGGGAGAGAGCACAGGAGAGAAGGTGGTAGAGCCATAGGCAGTAATCAGGAAATCAGAGATATGCCCACTTTGATCTAGTCAGGTATATTTAATGGGAAGGAGATCACCCATGGAAGCAAGTTTGTAAACTAGATGTTTCCTCTTTGAATTGGGAACTCAATCCTGTACTTCCCCACAAACTCCCTTTAGTTGCCTCTTCACCTTGGCCTAGCTAATTCTCCTTCATACCTGCTGCATTTTCTCTTTCCTGCTATTGGGTTATTTCAACATCTAATTCCCATTTAACTCTTCTTGTTTTCACTTGTCTGGGGACAGGCATGAATTTGAACAGAGTTGAATACGAAATGATGTGGAAATGGTCTACAGGTCCCATCAAGACATGGCTCCAGCATGCACTCCAAACAGCCTAACATTGTCTTTTTTTATAGGACCTGCTGTCCTTTGAGCTGTTGGATATAAACATTGTTCAAGAGTTGGAGAGAGTGCCCCACAACACCCCTGTGGGTAAGAATGTCACTCATTTCATCTTGTTCGTCTTACTAATAGGCACAAAAGTACCACAGCCTAGACACTGGTAGTGTTTTATTCTGAGGAAATGGCAAGGATTTCTCCCACAGTAGGATAGTAAAGCAGCAATCATGGATCCGTTTTTCTTCTTTCCTGTCCTTTGTCAAAAGTAACAACATGCTGGGCATGGTGGCTCGTGTCTATAATCCCAGCTCTTTGGGAGGCCAAGGCAGGAGGATCACTTGAGGCCAGGGTTTGAGACCAGCCTGGGCAACATGGTGAAACCCCCATCTCTACAAAAATTACTTTTAAAAATTAGCTGGGTGTGGCCAGGCACGGTGGCTCACGCCTGTAATCCCAGCACTTTGGGAGGCTGAGACGGGCAGATCACCTGAGGTCGGGAGTTTGAGACCAGCCTGACCAACATGGAGAAACCCCTTCTCTACTAAAAATACAAAATTAGCTGGGCATGGTGGCACATGCCTGTAATCCGAACTACTCGGGAGGCTGAGGCGGGAGAATTGCTTGAACCCAGAAGGCGGAGGTTGTGGTGAGCTGAGATTGCACCATTGCACTCCAGCCAGGACAACAAGAGCAAAACTCCGTCTCAAAAAAAAAAAAAAAAAAAATTAGCTTGGCATGGTGGCCTGCACCTGTGGTCCCAGCTACCAGGGAGACTGAAGTGGGAGAATCTCCTGATCCCAGGAGGCAGAGGCTGCAGTGAGCCAGGATTGTGCCATTGCTCTCCAGCCTGGATGACAGAGTGAAACCCAATCTCAAAAAACAAACAAAAAAAAGAGGCTGGGCACGGTAGCTCACGCCTGTAATCCCAGCACTTTGGGAGGCCAAGGCTGGTGGATCACAAGGTCAGAAGTTCAAGACCAGCCTGGCCAAGATGGTGAAACCCCATCTCTACTAAAAATACAAAAATTAGCCAGGCATGGTGGCAGGTGCCTGTAATCCCAGCTACTCGGGAGGCTGAGGCAGAGAGTTGCTTGAACCTGGGAGGCGGAGGTTGCAGTGAGCCGAGATTGTGCCACTGCATTCTAGCCTGGGTGACAGAGCAAGACTGCATCTCAAAAAAAAAAAAAAAAGCAATAAAACAAGTTCGTGCAAGGCTTTTCCACTATAAAGGAATCCTCTTCTCTTTTTTCCCTCTAGATACTTGTGTCCTTTTGTTCCTTTATGTTCATGGTTTTGTGTCTTGGCCACAGCTTTCCAGGCTAAATAACTGTGATTCTTCCTGCATTGATTGATCTGAGATATTTTGCTTACTTATTGGTCTGGAGAAATTTTTTGTAACAGACCTCAAAGCATATCTTGGTTTATTTTAGCCCTGCGGGAGGCAAGAAGCCTACAAACTGCTACTTCTGGACACTGACTGTTGATGATATGATGCTTTCTCTTGATTGATGGTTCTCCTGTCTTCATTCTCCAGATGTGACTCCCTGCATGTCTCCTCTGCCACATGACAGTCCTTTAATAGAGAAGCCAGGCTTGGGGCAGATAGAGGAAGAGAATGAAGGGGCAGGATTTAAAGCACTTCCTGGTAAGGGATTAAACATTTGTAAAGTATTTGCATCCTCCCTTTCCATATCATACCCTATTTTACAGCTATCCCCTACTGACCCTACCTTAGCATGTAAATGGGCTTGCTTTCTGTAGCATCTCATGTTTTGAAGTCTCCTCACCTTCACATGGCACAGATAGCAGCTATTCCTTGGTTTAGTTTTAGCATGGGTAATGACTGGTGAATGTTCTTCAGCACTTTAAACACCAAGTGCAGACAAAGTTTAGATAGCAGCTATTCCTTGGTTTAGTTTTAGCATGGGTAATGACTGGTGAATGTTCCTCAGCACTTTAAACACCCAGTGCAGATAAGGTTCGTGTGTCTTTCAGATTCTATGGTGTCAGTAAAGAGGAAGGCTGAGAACATTGCTTCTGTGGAGGAAGCAGAAGAAGACCTGAGTGGGACCCAGTTTGTGTGTGAGACAGTAATCCGATCCCTTACCTTGGATGCTGCCCCAGACCACAACCCTCCTTGCAGACAGAAGTCCTTGCAGAGTGAGTGTCCTTGCATTTCCCCTACCTAGCAGGGTGGCACCTGAATTGTGACTGCCAGACTTGACTAGTTAGATGTGCTCTTCTTCACTGAGACTGAAGGGAGAGTGATCTTAGTTAGAAGTTCTGATCTTGGCGGGGCGTGGTGGCTCAAGCCTGTAATCCCAGCACTTTGGGAGGCCAAGGCAGGCGGATCACAAGGTCAGGAGATCAAGTCCATCCTGGCTAACATGGTGAAATCCCATCTCTACTAAAAATACAAAAAATTAGCCTGGCGACGTGGCGGGTGCCTGTAGTCCCAGCTACTCGGGAGGCTGAGGCAGGAGAATGGCATGAACCCGGGAGGCGGAGCTTGCAGTGAGCCAAGATTGCGCCACTGCACTCTAGCCTGGGCGACAAAGCGAGACTCCATCTCAAAAAAAAAAAAAGAAATTCTGATCTTGTTTGTGTCTTTAGACTCTACGTATGCTACCTGACTGTTCTAATTAGAGCATCAGGAGTAAAGAAGCCATCATACTCATTTCTCCATCTTCTCAGGGGCAGAATTACAGCTGCATTCCACAGTGGAATAGCAGCCAGTTGTGCTGCCTGGATTCTGCAGTAAGGAATCTTCCTGTAATTTGACAGAGCTCCTTAGCAGAGACCCCTATGGGTAGCTGAGTTGTCTGCTTTCTCCAAGGGCAGCAGTCCCAGAAACAGTGGATAGAAGCAGGAGTACCAACAAAGTTTCTCAAGGTTAAATTCTGCTGTAATAAATACCTTTATAGGCCGGGCACAGTGGCTCACCCTTGTAATCCTAGCACTTTATGAGGCTGAGGCGGGTGGATCACCTGAGGTTGGGAGTTCGAGACCAGCCTGACCGACATGGAGAAACCCCATCTCTACTAAAAATACTAAAAATTAGCCAGGTGTGGTGGCTACATGCCAAGGATTACATGCCTGTAATCCCAGGTACTTGGGAGGCTGAGGCAGGAGAATCACTTTAACCCGGGAGGCGAAGGCTGTGGTTAGCCGAGATGGCGCCATTGCACTCCAGCCTGGCAACAAGAGTGAAACTCCGTCTCAAAAAAAAAAAAAGGAATAAATACCTTTATAACAGAAACTTCTAGGTATCAGATAGATAGAACCAATAGCATATATTTTAAGAAGTATCCAAAAATTCAAATATACTATGTCAAAATAATATTGGAGAATCTCTTTATTATAATCAAATTTGACCTATATCTTTAAATATTATTTATCTTACTTTTGTTTAAAGTATACATGTAAGGCCAGGCGCAGTGGCTCACGCCTGTAATCCCAGCACTTTGTGAGGCCGAGGCGGACAGATCACAAGCTCAGGAGTTTGAGACCAGCCTGACCAACATGGAGAAACCCCATTTCTACTAAAAATACAAAAATTAGCTGGGCGTGGTAGCGTGTGCCTGTGATCCAGCTACTCAAGACGCTGAGGCAGGAGAACTGCTTGAACCCGGGAAGCCAAGGTTGCAGTGAGCTGAGATCGCACCACTGCACTCCAGCCTGGGTGACAGAGCGAGACTCCGTCTAAAAAAAAAAAATAATAAAGTGTACATGTGGCCAGGTGCGGTGGCTCATACCTGTAATCCCAGCACGTTGGGAGGCCGAGGTGGGCGGATCATGAGGTCAGGAGATGAAGACTATCCTGGCTAACACGGTGAAACCCCATCTCTACTAAAAATACAAAAAATAAGCTGGGTGTGGTGGCGGGCGCACCTGTAATCCCAGCTACTCGGGAGGCTGAGGCAGGAGAATGGCGTGAACCTGGGAGGTGCAGCTTGCAGTGAGCTGAGATCATGCTACTGCACTTCAGCCTGGGCAACAGAGTGAGACTCCATCTCAAATCAATCAGTCATGTATATCTTTATATTTTTTTCCACATGTGTGTACAAATACATAACAAAAAGGTCTGGAAAGACAGTACCAAAATGTTCACAGCTGTTATTCTGATAGGATTTATGGGTAATTTTTTTTTTTTTTTTGAGATAAGGTCTCACTCGCCCAGGCTAAAGTGCGAGTAGCAAGTTTATGGCTCATTGCAGCCACAACATCCTGGGGTCCCCCTACCTCTGTTTCCCAAGCAACTGGGACCACAGCCACATGCTACCACAATGAGCTAAATTTTTTTTTTTTTGTAGAGATGGGATTTCGCCACGTTGCCCAGGCTGGTCCCAAACTTCTGAGCTCAAGCAGTCTGCCTGCCTTGGCCTCCCAACGTGCTGGGATTTTAGGCGTAAGCCACCACACCTGGCCTGGGTAGCTTTTTTTTTTTTTGGGACACAGTCTCTGTCACCCAGGCTGGAGTGCAGCAGCGCGGTCTCGGCTGACTGCAACCTCCGCCTTCCCAGGTTCACACCATTCTCCTGCCTCAGCCTCCCGAGTAGCTGGCACTACAGGCGCCCGCCACCATGCCCGGGTAATTTTTTTGTATTTTTAGTAGAGATGGGGTTTCACCGTGTTAGCCAGGATGGCCTTGATATCCTGACCTCATGATCTGCCCACGTTGGCCTCCCAAAGTGCTGGGATTACAAGCGTGAGCCACCGTGCCTGGCCCTGGGTAGCTTTTTTCTATCCTTTTTTACCCTCTCAAACATGATTGGCCAGTTTTCTCCCATGACTGCATCATCTTTGTAAAGAAGAGGAGGAGATAGACATATAATCCTGCAATACTCATCTCCTAACTTTTTCTCTTTTTATAGCACTGTTAGTGTATCAGTTTTGGTTTAAACTCTACTCAGTATATTAACCATCACATAAAAAGGAAAAAAGGGATGGAGCTGCCTCCTTTTATGATTCATAGAGCTTCTTGGAAACCTGAGTGTTTCTGCCTACCTTGTTTCTGTGAGCTTTGATTCTATTTTGTTTTGCATAGTCTTCAAACTTAGAATATGGTCATAGTTCCAGAACCAGCCCTTCCCTTTAGTTCTTCCCTCTCCTCTGGCTTTCATAATTCTAGCTTATGATCCACAAGGCTTTACCAAGTAAGGATAGTACTTAGGCCTGCTTTTAGCTTCCACCTTAAAATTGGTTGCTTTCATCCTTTAGTGACATTTGCCTTGCCTGAAGGACCACTTGGAAATGAGAAGGAGGAGATTATCCATATCGCTGAGGAAGAAGCTGTCATGGAGGAGGAGGAGGATGAGGAGGATGAGGAGGAGGAGGATGAGCTCAAAGATGAAGTTCAAAGTCAGTCCTCTGCTTCCTCAGAGGATTACATCATCATCCTGCCTGAGTGCTTTGATACCAGCCGCCCCCTGGGGGATTCTATGTACAGCTCTGCGCTCTCACAGCCAGGCCTGGAGCGAGGTGCTGAAGGCAAGCCTGGGGTTGAGGCTGGGCAGGAACCAGCTGAGGCTGGGGAAAGACTCCCTGGAGGGGAGAACCAGCCACAGGAGCACAGCATAAGTGACATCCTCACGACCTCACAGACTCTGGAAACAGTGCCCCTAATCCCAGAGGTAGTGGAGCTTCCACCGTCACTGCCCAGGTACCACTCACAGCCCCCTCAGCTGGGGTGTTCTTCAGAGGTGAAATAAAGAGAGGAATCGACCTGATCTCAAAACCTGTTTTTTCCTCAGTATGGAAAGAGACTATTTTCCATAGCAAAGTCTGAATTTAGATGAATAAAAGTTGTATTTCCCAGTATTTGTGGATTCTGGATTTAAAGAAATATTTGTTTTAGTTGGCCTTAAATTATCTGAGTATAGTCTGTCTGCTTATATTTTGATTATTGAGAGCTGGTTGTGTTTTTTTTTTTTTTTTTTTGAGACAGGGTCTCAGTCTGTTGCCCAGGCTGGAGTGCAGTGGCACAATCTTGGCTCACTGCCACCTCTGCCTCTGAGGCTCAAGCAATCTTCCCACCTCAGCCCCCTGAGTAGCTGGGACTATAGGCATGGGCCACCACACCTAGCTAATTTTTGTATTTATTGTAGAAGCGGGGTTTTGCCACGTTGTCCAGGCTGGTCTTGAACTCCTGGCCTTAAGCGATCCAACTGCCTGGGTCTCCCAAAATGCTGGAATTACAGGTGTGAGCCACTATGCCTGGCTGAGAGCCAGTTTTTAAACACAAACATCCCTGGACCTTCCCTCCTTGTTTTATTGACTCTTCAGTAAAGGCAGCAAAAACTCAACCCAAACAGTCATAATTAGGAAGTTAAATCCATTATGGGAAAAAACACTATAAAACCAAACTAATTATTTTTAATTCTCTGGTGAATCTATCTGAATCATTCTTGTCTCCTAATAGTAGGGAAAATGCTGGAGCCTTGACTATAATGTAAACCATTCTCCCCAAAAGCTAGACATTTCCGTTTATTGACACCACTTGATATAGGTGGGGACATGACCAGACTGAAGCCAACATTTCTAGCTTGCCTGTGGCTAAAGAGGAAAATGGGGTAGAATGTAGCCCTTATGATGGAACCCTAAATCCAGACATGTGATCTGGATCAGAAATGTGAAGCCTCTGTAGAGAATTTGGCACTGCTGTGCTGTGTTTACTATTTCTCCACTGTTGCCATAAGTGCCTTTTCAATTTACTTTCCATATTGTGTCTTTCTGAAAGGAGCTCTCCTTGTGTACATCATCATGGTTCCCCAGGAGTGGATTTACCAGTTACCATACCAGAAGTTTCTTCAGTCCCTGATCAGATCAGAGGAGGTAATGATCAGCCTAAGCTTTTTCTCTTTTTCTCTGCTCCTGTCTAATGGAAACCAGGTATAAATAGCCTCTCTCTCTTCGTGATTCTTGGTGGTTTTTTGAAACTTGCCCTTCACAGGCCAGGCGTGGTGGCTCACACCTGTAATCCCAACACTTTGGGAGGCCAAGGCAGGCGGATCATAGGGTCAGGAGTTCGAGACCAGCCTGGCCAACATAGTGAAACCCTGTCTCTACTAAAAAATAGCAAAAATTAACCAGGCATGGTGGCGGGCACCTGTAATCCCAGCTACTTGGGAGGCTGAGGCAGGAGAATCACATGAACCTGGGAGGCGGAGGTTGGAGTGAGCCGAGATCGCACCATTGCTCTCCAGCCCGGGCAACAGTGCGAGACTCCGTCTGAAAAAAAAAAAAAAAAAACTTGCCCTTCACTCTCTCCATGCTCCTCCTGCATACTCTAATTTCTATTCTCTGGCTGAATATATTGTTAGACCTCATAGAGGTAGTGGAAAGAACACAGGCTTTGGAGCCAAACAATCTAGGTTCCAGCTCCATCTCCCCCTTTCCTGACTAGCAGTTCAGCAGGTTTCTAATGGCTGTGAGTCTGTTTTCTTACTACAAAATATATCAGTGTGTTAGGATTATAGAGTTGATTTTTCTGATTCAATAAACAATCATCTTGCATTGCATTTCTGGACAGTTTCTCCTTATCACTTAAACTACCCTTAAAACTTCCCAAATACTTTAAAAAAAAAAAAAAAAGACTTCAAACACTGTGATCAGATTGCCACCTGCCTCAATAATAGCCTTGCTGTGAGTTAGGAAACAGTAGGTGCTTATGGATGCTGCATCTAACCAACAGCTCTTTTGCTTTTAGAGCCCAGAGGCTCATCAGGACTTGTAAACAGCAGACAGAAGAGCTATGACCACTCAAGGTAACAACCTTGTGCAGTCTCTTTTTTCAGAAGCAGGTGGATATTCTTGTATTCCTTCTGCTTAAAAGAGCCTCTCACAGTATGTACCCATCTTCAGAGAGCAGAGAAGGGGAGCCTTTGTTCCGTCTTATTCTTGTTTCTTCTAAAGGCTTTGAGCAACACTGAACAAACGGCTAAAGCTGATGTTTAAGAGTGTTCTGTTTGGGAGGCCGAGGCGGGTGGATCATGAGGTCAGGAGTTCAAGATCAGCCTGGCCAACATAGCGAAACCCCATGTCTACTAAAAATACAAAAATTAGCCAGGCATGGTGGCGGGCACCTGTAATCCCAGCTACTCAGGAGGCTGAGGTGGGAGAATTGCTTGAACCCAGGAGGCGGAGGTTGCAGTGAGCTGAGATTGCACCATTGCACTCCAGCCTGGCTGACAAGTGAAACAACATCAAAAAAAAAAAAGAGTGTTTTATGTTTCAGACAAGGAAATAGTGTCCACAAATTACCTCACTCTTAGCACTGGGGAAAAGGTAGAAAGGTTAAGCCCAGTATACATTTAAATAATTTTTTCTTGGACATACCTGGTTCTCTGCTTCCACTCATATTAGGCCAGTGTCCAGAAAATCACATTTCCTTTGCAAGGTGTTTTCTCTGAGAGAATAATTGAGCAGACAAACTGTTGATATCCTTGTGTGTCCTCGATCACATTAATTTTCAGCTAGGAGTGAGAGCCATCATGGTTACCAGAGTGGTGTGTTTCCTGCAGTGCCCCTATCTTGCTTGCACCAGTAGAGCTGGGCCCTCCATCAAACCATGATCTGTAGCTATAAAGCTGATAATGAAAGCAATTGTGTTCTCTTTTTCCATCTAATTTTTTCTCTTAAGGAAATCTTATTCCAAGGATTAGAGCCCAGATTATCTTGTAAAAAGGTAATGATTTGTGTTTGTTTGGGGAGATAATTTGGTTTTCCTCTGCAGGCACCATCATGGGAGCAGCATTGCTGGAGGACTGGTGAAGGGGGCTTTGTCTGTTGCTGCCTCTGCATACAAGGCCCTGTTTGCTGGGCCACCAGTCACTGCACAGGTCAGTGTGTGTGTTTTATTTTCCTGAATCTCAACTCCATGTCACCAGTGAAAGTGATGGCATCTGTCTGGGTTGAAGAGTAACATGGCATTGTGGAAAGGGCATAGGCTTTAGATTTAGTCTTTAGTTAACACACAACACAACTCTGCCACTTTTTTTTTTTTTTTTTGAGACGAAGTCTCGCTCTGTTGCCCAGGCTGGGGTGCAGTGGCGCGATCTCGGCTCACTGCAAGCTCCACCTCCTGGGTTCACACCATTCTCCTGACTCAGCCTCCCGAGTAGCTGGGACTACAGGCGCCTGCCACTACACCCGGCTAATTTTTTGTATTTTTTAGTAGAGACGATGTTTCACCGTGTTAGCCAGGATGGTCTCAATCTCGTGACTTCATGATCTTCCCGCTTCAGCCTCCCAAAGTGCTGGGATTACAGGTGTGAGCCACCGCACCTGGCCAACTCTGCCACTTTCTAACTATATGACTTTAGCCAAGTTACTTAAGGGAAGAAAAGAGAAGAATGTATTATTGATGATCTATTAATATTTTCTATAGAGAGAAGCTATTCCAGGTGTTGGCACTATGGCATGAATAAAACACCAGTTCTTGGCCGGGTATGGTGGCTCTTACCTGTAATCCTAGTACTTTGGGAGGCCAAGGTGGGAGGATTGCTTGAGCCCAGGAGTTTGAGACCAGCCTGGGCAACATAGTGAGACCCCCATCTCTACAAAAAAATTTAAAAATTAGATAAGTATGGCCGGTACAGTGGCTCACACCTGTAATCCCAGCACTTTGGGAGGCCGAGGCAGGCCGGATCACAAGGTCAGGAGATCGAGACCATCCTGGCCAACATGGTGAAACCCTGTCTCTACTAAAAATACAAAAATTAGCTGGGCGTGGTGGCAGGCACCTGTAGTCCCAGCTACTCGGGAGGCTGAGGCAGGAGAATTGCTTGATCCAGGGAGTCAGAGCTTGCAGTGAGCCGAGATGGCACCACAGCACTCCAGCCTGGCGACAGAACAAGACTCCATCTTAAAAAAAAAAAAAAAAAAGTATGATGGCATGCACCTACAGTCCCAGTTACTTGGGAAACTAAGGTGGGAGGATCACTTGAGCACCGGAGGTTGAGGCTGCCGTAGTGAGCCACAATGGAGCCACTGCACTCCAGCTTGGGTGACTGAGCGAGACCCTGTCTCAAAAAACAACAACAAAAAAGACACTGAGTCTTGCCCAGAAACTATGGGAAACAAGTGAGGTGCATGGATACTTAAAGTACATAGTAAGATACTATGCTGGCCGGGTGTGGTGGCTCATGCCTGTAATCCCAGCACTTTGGAAGGCTGAGGCGGGCGGATCGTGAGGTCAGGAGTTCGAGACCATCCTGGCCAACATGATGAAACCCCGTCTCTACTAAAAATACAAAAATTAGCCAGGCATGGTGATGTGTGCCTGTAATCCCAGCTACTTGGGAGGCTGAGGCAGGAGAATCACTTGAACCTGGGAGGTGGAGGTTGCAGTGAGCTGAGATTGTGCTACTGCACTCCAGCCTGGGCAACAGAGTGAGACTCCATCTCAAAAAAAAGAAAGATACTATGCCAGTGCTATCAGACAGATGAAACACTTCAGCCTGGTGTGCCCAAGTAAGGCTTTCTGGTAGATGATGCCTGAACTGAGTCCTAAAGGACGGAGTAAATGTTCATCAGGAAAGAGGGAGGGAAAGGGTATTGTAGACAGTGTAGCCAGTAAAAAAGACTTGGAAATGTGAGCATGGAGTGTGAATCCGGTCTAAGAAGAGGAGTAAGACGAAAAAAGACTGGCTGGGCTTGGTGGCTCACACCTGTAATCCCAACAGGTTGGGAGGCCAAGGCTGGTCGATTATTTGCGTCCAGGAGTTCAAGACCAGTTTGGGCAACAGGGCAAAACCCTGTCTCTACTAAAAACATAAAAAATTAGCTGGGCATGGTGGTATACGCCTGTGGTCCCAGATACTCAAGAGGCCGAGGTGGGAAGATCACTTCAGCCCGGGAGGCAGAGGTTGCAGTGAGCTGAGATCACACCACTGAACTCCAATGTGGGTGACAGAGTGAGACCATGTCTCAAAAAAAAAAAAAAAAAAAAGGCTGGGTGTGGTGGCTCACGCCTGTAATCTCAACACTTTGGGAGGCTGAGGCGGGTGGATCATGAGGTCAGGAGTTCGAGACCAGCCTGACCCACATGGTGAAACCCCATCTCTACTAAAAATACAAAAATTAGCTAGGCGTGGTGACGTGCCTGTAATCCCAGCTACTCAGGAGGCCGAGGCAGGAGAATCGCTTTAACCTGGGAGGCGGATGTTGCAGTGAGCCGAGATTGCGCCACTGCACTTCAGCCTGGGTGACAGAGCGAGACTCTGTCTCAAAAAAAAAAAAAAAGAAAAAGAAAAACAGACCAAATATGTAGGCAGGATGCTGTGTTATGAGGTTTGGATTTTATTTTAAGGCTAATTAATAGGAGGAGCAATTGAAGGGTTTTAAGGAAGTGATTGACATGATGAGATCTGTTTTTAGTAAGATTACCGGCTACATTGTAGAGGCTGGTAGAGCCAGTAAAGAAATCCAGTTGGGCGTGGTGGCTCATGCCTGTAATCCCAGCACTTTGGGAGGCCGAGGCGGGCAGATCACGAGGTCAGGAGTTCAAGACCAGCCTGGCCAATATGGTGAAACCACATCTCTACTAAAAATACAAAAATTGCCGGGCGTGGTGGCACGTGCCTGTAGTCCTAGCTACTCGGGAGTCTGAGGCAGAAGAATTGCTTGAACCTGGGAAGCAGAGGTTGCAGTGAGCTGAAATCATGCCACTGCACTCCAGCCTGGGTGACAGAGCGAGACTCCGTCTCAAAAAAAAAAAAAGGAAATCCCTAAGAGAATCCATGTATTGGTGGAAAGGAAGGGTAGAAAAGATAATTAAGAGATGGAAATGGCATAACTTTGAGATGATGATTAAGTGGCTAAAAAGAAGGATAGGCTGGGCACGGTGGCTCACATCTGTAATTTCAGCACTTTGGGAGGCCAAGGTGGGCAGATCACTTGAGTTCAGGAGTTTGAGACCAGCCTGGGCAACATAGTGAAACCTTATCTCTACAAAAAATACAAAGAAATTAGCCGGACTTGGTGGCGCACACCTGTAGTCCCAGCTACTTGGGGGGCTTAGGTGGGAGAATAGCTTGAGCCCCAGAGGCAGAGGCTGCAGTGAGCTGAGGTCATGCCACTGCACTCCAGCCTGGGCAACAAAGCCAGACACTATCTTGGGGTGGAGGGGAAAAAGTCAAGGATAAATCCCAAGTTTCTGGCTTAGTACCATTCATTAAGAGCAGAAGAAGAGAACTAGGTCAGTTTTGCTGGACAGTGTTGAGTTTGTGGCATATCCAGGTAAAGGTAAAGATATCCAGAGTGCAGCTGGATATATAGTTGTCCCTCAGTATCTATGACGGTTGGCTCCAGGACCCCCTGTGGGATACTGAAATCCATAGATGCTTAAGTCCCTTATATAAAATAGTGTAGTATTTATATATAACCTAGGCACATCTTCTTGCTTGCTTGTTTAGTTTTAGTTTTTTAGATACAGGGTCTTGCTCTGTCATCCAGGCTGGAGTGCAATAACTAGATTGTAGCTCACTGCAGCCTAGAACTCTTGGATTCAAGCAATCCTCTCACCTCAGCCTCTTGAGTAGCAGGGACTACAGGTGGGCACCACCATGCCTAGCTAGTTTTTTAAAAATCTTTTTGAAGAGATGGGGTTTCACTGTGTTGCCTAGGGCAACTAACTCCTGGCCTCAAAACAATCCTCCCACTTCAGCCTCCCAAATTGCTGGGATGAGAAACTTGAGCCGCTGCACCCAGCCCATCTCATATACTTCATCTCTACATTACTTACAATACCCAATACAATGTAAATGCTATCTGAATAGTTGTTATACGGTATTCGGGAATAATGACAAAAAAGTTTGTACGTGTTCCTTTTTTTCTCCCCAAATATTTTCAGTCCTTTGGTGACTGATCCATAGATGAGGAACCCACAGATAATGGCAAGCCAACGGTATCCATCCAGATCACAGGGGAGGGATTTGGCCTGGTGATACATGCTTGAGAGTCACTTGCCTACAGATTATAGCAGAAGCCATCTGATGGAATGAGATGATCCAGGAATAATGGGGAAAGCAAGAAGCAACCTTTAAGGATCAGGGAAAGGAATACTCTGAAAGAAAGCTGGGAACTAGGAGGAAAATGAAGAGAGAGAGTTCTATGCTGGAACTTAAGGAAGGGTGTTTTAATAAGGGGGACATGGTCAACGGTGTTAGATGCTACAGAGAGATATGAACTGGTGGTGAGGAATTTGAGAGTAGAAGTATGCCACACTTTCAAATAGACAGGCTACAACAGGCAGAAGCTAGGATACATAAGACAAGAGGAAGCATTTTTAAAGTTGGGTGAGACTTTAGAGATGGGCAAGCCAGCAGTGAAAGAGGTTAATGATAAAGATGAGAAGACAGATTGGAGATGGAGAAAGATTTCTGAAGTGGTGAGAGGTAATAAGATACAATGCAAGGTACATTCCATTAACCTGCAAAGGAGGATGGATAATCTATTCTGAAATAAGAAGGTAGAATGGAACAGTGGAATCAGGTTTGGAGGGAAATGCTTAACATGTTTGCATACTGTTCTCATCTTTACATACTTTTTCAACAACCCTGCAAAGTAGGAGGTATGATATATCTTCAGTTCATAAAGGAATTGATAGCACAGTTGGTAAGTAAATGGAAGATTAGGGTTTGAGTCTAAGCCTATCTGCCTCCCAAGTTAATAATCTTTCTGCTGCACAGTTTCAGTATCCCCAGTCTGTGAAATTGGGATAATAACAGAACCAGAGGCCAGGCGAGGTGGCTCACATCTATAATCCCAGCATTTTGGGAGACCAAAGTTCAAGGATCACTTGGGCCCAGAAGTTCAAGACCAGCCTGGGCAACATAGGGAAACCTCATCTCTAGTAAAAAATTTAAAAATTTGCCGGGCGTGGTAGCGCAGACCAGTGGTCCCAGCTATTTGGAAGGCTGAGGCAGGAGGATCACTTGAGCCCAGGAGGTTGAGGCTGCAATGAGCTGTGTTCACACCACTGCACACCAGCCTGGGGAACAGAGTGACACCCTGTCTCAAAAAACAAACAAAACAACAACAACAACAAAACAAGCGTTTAAGGATTTAGGAAGGTAATGCTTCCACCACAGGGCTTGAATGAATGAATGTTAACTTCCTCTTACCTATTCTTGTTTTTTTTTTTTTGAGATGGAGTCTCGCTCTGTCACCCAGGCTGGAGTGCAATGGCGCGATCTCGGCTCACTGCAAGCTCCACCTCCTGGGTTCACGCCGTTGTCCTGCCTCAGCCTCCCGAGTAGCTGGGACTACAGGCGCCTGCCACCACGCCTGGCTAATTTTTTGTATTTTTAGTAGAGATGGGGTTTCACTGTGTTAGCCAGGATGGTCTCAATCTCCTGACCTCATGATCCGCCCGCCTCAGCCTCCCAAAGTGCTGGGATTACAGGTGTGAGCCACCGCACCCAGCCCCTCTTACCTATTCTTTTGGAGGAGAAAAAATCAAGAAGCCTTCCCAGGTTGTAATTTCCCAAGCTGTTTTTTTTGTCCAGCTCCTCTGCATATCTGACAAAATTTCCCATAGCATCTTTCAGTAACACTTTTATCTTGCTCATACTTCCCCCATCATCACAATTACACTTATGTTCACAGGGTCTCTGGGGCTTGCTGTCATTCCTTCATCTGGCCAAAAAATGCTTCTTCCTGAAAGCCCCGAGTGAAGCATTCTCCTGGTTCTAAGTACAGTTCATTAGCTCCCCGGTTTCCCTTTTCTCCTCCTTCAAGTACACAGATAACTAATCTAAAATAGGGCCTTCCCAGTCCGAACCGTTGGTATCAAGTACACAGGAGTGCCATAGCCTTGAATCTAATTACCTAGTACTTTGAATAAATCTGGAAAGACTAGTATGCTTGCAAGATGATACAAATGTATAAAATAAACATTTAAATTATACAGAATTTTTTTTTTTTTTTTTGCTTTGCTTGTCTCTACACAGCCAATAATTTCTGAAGATCAGACAGCAGCCCTGATGGCCCATCTCTTTGAAATGGGATTCTGTGACAGGCAGCTGAACCTACGGCTGCTGAAGAAACACAATTACAATATCCTGCAGGTTGTGACAGAACTTCTTCAGTTAAACAACAACGACTGGTACAGCCAACGCTATTGAGGAGTGACCTTGTATTAAATAACTGCCTGCTGCTCAGAGATGATCTTTATTCTGTCATTGGGGTATGGGATAGAAGCCCTTGCTTATTTTTAATCTGATGAATCTGTATAGAGCCCATCGTTGAGTTACCAAGACAATACCTGCTACAGTATTTTGGGGAGCAAACTAAAGACCAGAACTTAAATTTTCACTTTAGACATTGGATGAATAGTATGAAGACAGTTTTTCAGTTGATTTGGATAAAACTATTTTAGTGCATTGACAAGTGTAACTTCAACTTCATATAGAACCATTTTTCTTTCTGCTTTTATTGAAACTGAGTATTTTTCTTTGGCTAATGTGGATTTTTTATGGGGATATCTGTTAATTTTCAGGTTTTGAAAGACATTAACCTCGGAAGTTGTTTTTAAGAATTATTCTCATAATTCTTATTCTCATAATTTCTGTAATCCACCTCAAGCTTCATAGTTATTTGGCATTGAAATAACACCCAGAGCATGATAGAAATGTTGTTACTCTTCCTCTCTCAAGGAGAAAGTAATTTTCCTGCAATACTTAATAATTGGCACCGTTGCTTTCTAAAGACTCCATGGTGCATTCAAGAGTATCCAACTTCAAGGGAATCTCCGCATTTCAATGAAAGGAGGAAGAGTGTGCTGATAAACCTACCAGCACCTATTGAGCAATGTCTATTATAGTAATTTTGCATACATTTTTATTTAAGGGAAAAAATATAGGTATTGTGAAATATTTTGCTAATCTTATAGAAAAGGAAAAAATCCCGTTATTTAAAGGGAAAAGTAAATTTAACAGTTGCCTTTTTTCTTAATGTCAGGGCAGATCTTATTTTACAGTACAGTGGGGGAAATAGAAACATGTGAAAGGCAAAAGGCAGGCTCCTAAATTAATGTCAGTGAAGTTCAGGGTGGGCAAATGAGTGTGTGTGAGGTATAGGAAATGCTGATGACTTCTTTAATGCTTGAAGTCCGTTCACAGGTATCTAGCCCTAGAATGCCTAGAACAGGAAGAGGCAGCTGGTGTTCTGCAAAACTTGGACAGGGGCAAAGTTGCTGAAAAAGTTTTGGTTTAACCCGAAGATAAGTGGAAAAGAGCTTGTCCATGAACCCAGGTTCTCACTCTGTTTACAGAAGTGTGTTGAGTACAGTTGGTGAAGGAAGAGGTAACAAAAAATGCTAAATATTTTATCCATGAAAATGACTTCCAGAAAAGGAAGAATATGAACCCCAGACCGAAGGGGAAAAGATAGTTAATAGTATTATCTAACCTGGTTGGTATTTGTAATGAATGGTGATTTTAATTAGTCATTAGCCATAATGATGTTTATTTACAGTATAACTCCTGAATGCTACTTAAATAAACCAGGATTCAAACTGCAAGCCAGCCAGGCCGTTCATTATTTAAAACGTTTTAATCGGGGCTTCCGGGTAGAAGGTGGAGCGGCAGGGTGTAATTGGGTTGATGGGTGGGACCTGTCTTGACCATCGGAGTTTTATAATCGAGGGCCAGGAGGGCCCGGGTTGCTCTCCTGGTTATGTATGTACTTGTACATAACCACCTAAAGAATGGTGAAATAAATGTTCTTGGAAATTCCTACCCGGACTGGCTAGTCCTTGCGGAAGCAGCGTCCGGGCCCTCGGGTAACGTTTGAAGAGCTGGCAGCGTCTCAGGCTGCTGCGTGGCGAAGGGGCGGACCGGGGGACGGGGGGGTGGGCCCTTAGGGGCTGGGGCGGGACTTCCCTGGGCACTGAGTCAAAGCTTGAGGGGAGTGTTCGCTCCCGCATTTTCGATTCCACTCTCTTCCGTTTCTGTCGCTGCAGTCGTCCGCGGGTAAGGCCCTCCCTAGACCCTTTATACCTACTTTACCTTTCGGAGGTCAAGACACCTCCTGTTGCCGCCTCCTCGCCCAACACACAGGCGCCCCCCGCACGGGTACCAAGCTTGACTAACGGCCTCTAGGGGTGTGTGGTGGGACTTGAAATCCTCCCTTAATGAAGTCACACCTTCTCCGTCCGCTTCCACCCGGTCGGCCCATGGCAGAGCCCCCATGTAGCCCAGGAATCGGCTTGGCCCTTCGGGGAGGTCAGCGTCCTTACTATCCCCACTCTCCAGTGCGGCACATTCGTTCCCCTAGGACTCCGGCCGGTTGCCGGCCCCAGGCGGTGCTTCTCCCCACCACCGCCCAGCTCAGCTCAGCCCAGCCCAGCCCACTCTGCCCTTAGAGGCCCTTCTCCCCAAAGACGCACTCCAGAAGTCTCGCCCTCGTGCGGCTGAGGAGCCTGGGATCCCAGACCTGAACAAGGTGAGCATCCCTATATTTTAGCCCAGAAAGATCTGTGTGGCTCACTTGCCGGCCTCGTTCTGTCACACAGAGTCCAGATTTAGCCTTGAGTTTTCCTAGTGAAAGACAGACCCTGGTATCACTATGACCCTCCTCAGGCTTTCTTACCCCGCCTCAGAAAGCAGTGAGGTGTCTGCTTTCTCCCAGGGCTTCTTTAGATAGGGGTCTTAACCACACCTGTGACCAGTCTGGCCTCCTCTCTCCTTGATTCAAAGAATCTCTTTTCTGCCCTATCCAACTTCCTTCCCTTAAACTGAATGACAGCTCAGCAACTTTTCCAGAGAAAAATTAAATGCTCTGACAATCACTTATGGAAGTTCCTTAAAGTGAAGTAACTTCTGCTTTTCTTTTGTTTTCCCTTTTGTAGGCAGATTGGTCTCTTTTAAAATAATGAAAGGAGTCGAAATGCATTGAGACTTCTGAGAGTCCCATGTGACCACCCAGTTTTTCACATCCTATCTTCCTTAGGCTTGAGCTTGCTTAAACTGTGGTGAAGCTCCTTGCCAGTCTTGAGAACTTCAAACCAAAATTACATCTGGCGTCAGTGCTAACAAGCTTAGCACTGAACTTTGGTCTTTTCTCATTAGTGAAACCCCCGCCCCTGAAGAATGGGTAAGACGTTTTCCCAGCTGGGCTCTTGGCGGGAGGATGAGAACAAGTCAATCCTGTCCTCCAAACCAGCCATTGGCAGCAAGGCTGTCAACTACTCCAGCACCGGTAGCAGCAAGTCTTTTTGTTCCTGTGTGCCTTGTGAAGGAACTGCTGATGCCAGCTTCGTGACTTGTCCCACCTGCCAGGGCAGTGGCAAGATTCCCCAAGGTGAGTGGCCCAAGGCTCTGGAAATAGCCTGGAATCCAGGGAAAGTTCTTAGCCTGTTGGCCTGGGGCAGCCCCTCTGAGTCTCCTTGGATGGGGTTAGATCTGCTCCCAGCTCTTGACCTCCCAGTCTCAGGCTGGCCAGGGAGATACTTAACTATCCTTGGGTTCCCTGCAAAAACCTGCCCTCCTTCCCTGGTTGTATTCTCCAGCCCCTTGTGGGAAAGAAGGATTCTAGCCACTGTGCTTCTGAGCAACACTGTGTGTCCTAGGATTCATTCAGTTCAGGAAGTTACAAATGAACTTTCCAAAGATGCTGGGCATCTCTGATTTGCTGGTGACTTTCAGAGATTCTTCATACCTATTAGTGGAAATCTCACTTCCATTCTAGAGATGGCAAAGCTGAGCTGCCAACTTTGGTAGCAGAGTCCAGTGCTTCCAGTCCTGCTCTGGGGCAGATGTGGCATGTTTCTAACATTGCTCTATGGTGTGGGTGGAGGCGTGCTTCTGGGAAGCTGGCACAGTAAATATTTGTCACAGTTGCATCTTGGCCCTCCCTCTCACCTTCTCTCTCTCTAGAGCTGGAGAAGCAGTTGGTGGCTCTCATTCCCTATGGGGACCAGAGGCTGAAGCCCAAGCACACGTAAGCCCCCCTTCCTCCCCTAGCTTCACAAGCCATTGCCCCTGGGGGCTGCTCCCTTTGTCTCCCCTGTTTTGATCTCCCTTAATTTCTTCCTATTAGTTCTTCCATAGAAAGCCTGAGCCTCAGAGGTACCAGCTCCTTACGTCCAAGGATTTTTTCCTGATTTAGAAGCTCCTGGACCGGGTGTGGTGGCTCATGCCTGTAATCCCAGCACTTTGGGAGGCCAAGGCAGGCAGATTACTTGAGCTCAGGAGTTCAAGACCAGCCTGGGCAACATGGTGAAACCCCATCTCTATCAAAAAAAAAAAAAAAAAGAAAAAAAAAAAGAAAAGAAAGAAAGAAAGAAAAAAGCAGCAGCTGTGGGCACAGCAGATGTCACTTGAGGCCACCTGGTGGGCTTCCTTAAGCATCACTGCTTCCAGAAAGCATGGCCCCCTCTCCAAGACAGGAAGGATCTGGTAGCTCTGCAAGTCCTCCCAGGAAGGAGGGAACAAGCATGTGGCCCTGGCTGCAATTGATTTGAAAATGTTATTTTTCTTAAGCACCTCCCTTGCTGAGGCAGTTCAGATTTGCTTGTTTTTCTTCTAGTAGAGATGAAAAACCTATTGTCCGCTGTTCTGGGATACTTCAGAACCTCAGGCAGACCTGGGGCCTACTGTGTTTGTGATCTGAGTCCATCTGACATGGAGCTCCCTCAACCTCCTCCCAAGGTCCTGGTGTCAACCTGGGAGTCACCACCAAGCCGAACCCTCTCCGCCACCCCACTATACCAGAATTAGAAATCAGGCTGGGCGTGGTGGTTTATGCCTGTAATCCCAGCACTTTGGGGAGGCCAAGACAGGCGGATCACCTGAGGTTAGGAGTTCAAGACCAGCCTGGCCAACATGGCGAAACCCTGTCTCTACTAAAAATAGAAAAATTATCTGGGCGTGGTGGCAGACACCAGTAATCCTAGCTACTTGGGAGGCTGAGGCAGGAGAATTGTTTGAACCCAGGAGGTGGAGGCTTCAGTGAGCCAAGATCATGCCACTGCACTCCAGCCTGAGCAACAGAGCGAGGCCTCATCTGAAAAAAAAAAAAAAACAAAAAAAAACCCTGTAATCCCAGCACTTTGGGAGGCCAAGGCGGGCAGATCACGAGGTCAGGAGTTTGAGACCAGCCTGACCAACATGGCAAAACCGCCTCTACTAAAAATACAAAAATTAGCCGGGCATAGTGGCAGGCACCTGTAATCCCAGCTACTCAGGAGGCTGAGGCAGGAGAATGGCGTGAACCCGGGAGGTGGAGGTTGCAGTGAGCCGAGATCGTGCCACTGCACTCCAGCTTGGGCGACACAGCAAGACTCCATCTCAAAAAAAAGAAAAAAAAAAGAAATTAGCAGTGCACATCATAAGATACTAACAAAGTACTATCTCTTTAATGCATATCTGAATTTTGAATTGGATGGATGGTGTCCTGTTCTGAATGTTAAAATTCAGAACTTCCAAATATGGACTTATTTCTTCTAGTGATAATAACTAGCATTCATTGTGCTTTTGCCATGTGCAGGGACCTGTGATTAGTATTTTTTCATATATTAGCCGATAACAAATTCTGTGAGGTCAGTACAATTATCTGCCTTTTACCAACAAGGAAACTGAGACTTAAGGAGGCTAAGTGGGCTGCTCCATGTTATTGGGTCAATGGGAACAGAGATCTGGGAGTGGAAACCAGGCTGCCTGCCTGCCAATCCTGTGCTCCTACTCATTCCGGGCCACATCTGGGGAGCTAAATGTTGTTGGGGTAGTGTGCAGGGGAAAGCTTTGTATATGGAGAGGAGTGTCTGAACCCCCTCTCCGAGTTTCCTTGGTGTTCAGACTTTTCCATTCCTCCATCCTGGGTCCTGCTTTCCCACAGGAAGCTCTTTGTGTTCCTGGCCGTGCTCATCTGCCTGGTGACCTCCTCCTTCATCGTCTTTTTCCTGTTTCCCCGGTCCGTCATTGTGCAGCCTGCAGGCCTCAACTCCTCCACAGTGGCCTTTGATGAGGCTGATATCTACCTCAACATAACGGTGGGTGGGTGCCCTTGGCTCCAAACCCCCCTTCCTAGCAATACTTCGCTGTAACCTTTGTCCAGTGTTATGACCCTGGGCATGGGAAGCCAGAGATCTTATGGCACCCAGAGGGTGTTGGGAGCCTGAAGAGAAGTAGGAGCAACCATGAGCTCCATGACAGATGGTAAGGATTGGGACTCTACACAGTAAGGGGTCAGAATCCGGGCCAGATAAGTAAACCACAGGGGTGGAGTGGGGTGACAGTGCCTGAGACTCTCTGGATGGACAGGACTGAATGGAAAGAAGCTGTACAGGATGGACCTGGATCCTGAGGCAGCTTAACTTCGTAAAGTTGACCCCTCACCATTCAATGCCCCTCCAAGGGGCTCCCAGTTTTCATCCTCTGCACCTGAAGCTTGTCATGGTAGATGGGGCTCAGGCCAGACAGCCAGGCTTTTGCAACTGTTTGGCTTTTCCTAAGGATGGGCCATCTTCACTCCTCCCTTCCCTTGTCTTCATCCCCAGAATATCTTAAACATCTCCAATGGCAACTACTACCCCATTATGGTGACACAGCTGACCCTCGAGGTTCTGCACCTGTCCCTCGTGGTGGGGCAGGTTTCCAACAACCTTCTCCTACACATTGGCCCTTTGGCCAGTGAACAGGTGACTCCCCTCTCCCTGGCCAGCCCTGCCCACTGGTGTGTGGATGTGTGGTAGTGGGAAAGGGGCAGCTGGAGTTGGGGCTAACCCTGTGCCCATTTGGTTGACAGATGTTTTACGCAGTAGCTACCAAGATACGGGATGAAAACACATAGTGAGTACCCCTTGATCTCTTCTCCCCTAGCCACTTGCCTGGCTTAGGGACCCAATTAATACCCACCAGCTTTCCTGATTGCTTAGCAAATTCTTCAGCCAGCATCTGGCCTGCCCTCCCATGGCCGAGAATGTAATAAGCAAGGGTTCAGGGTCCCCAGCCTCTGCTTGTTTGGACCTTGATTAGAATGAAAAACAGGCTGGAATTTGGTTAATCTTTACAATATGTGACCTTGGGCTCTTCAGCCTGCATTGCTGAGGAAGAAGAATGTTTTGTCTGTCTCCTGAATGGGGGTCCAGCATGTGCCTGGGCCAAGTGAGTGGAGGTCAGAGTGATAGTGCAGCCATGCTGCTACACTCACCTGAAGGGTGGGAAGGGGTGGGAGTGACATTTTGGGGGCACCTGATGGAAGGAAAGAGTTCTGTGGGGTAAGGAAACTGGGACCTGCAGGCATCTTCTGAGCTGACAGGCTGCTCCATGTGACACGTGGTCCCACGTTCTCTTTTCTTCTCTCTCAGCAAAATCTGTACCTGGCTGGAAATCAAAGTCCACCATGTGCTTTTGCACATCCAGTAAGTAGAGCTTGGAGCTCTGGTATCCCTGCTCTCACTTCTGACTTCATTCTCACTCAGCTACACCTCATGGGCAGAGAGTCTTCCAAGCTGACCCCATGAATCTTTGTTGGCTCTTGGGAATAGCAAGTCTAGCCCCTTTTCTGAGTCTCACCTTGCCTATAAGTTATTAGGGGCAACAGGCATAGGGCTGTCTGGAAGCTGCTGGAAAACAGGTGGGGCAGCTGTCCCAGGTACCTTGGCAGAGTGGGGAGCCAGAGGGAAGGGCAAATGAGGGAGCTCCCCGCTCCCCACCCCCAGACAGTATAATGGGGCCAGAGCTTTCCTTTTCCTCCCAGCCATGGCAACAAGGCCTGCTTCCTCTCCAGGGGCACCCTGACCTGTTCATACCTGAGCCATTCAGAGCAGCTGGTCTTTCAGAGCTATGAATATGTGGACTGCCGAGGAAACGCATCTGTGCCCCACCAGCTGACCCCTCACCCACCATGACCTGTCTGCTGTCCCTGTACTCCAGGCACCTGCAACCCTGGTCTATATCTCCCACAACTCCCTGGTGACTAAGGAAGGACTACAGAGGCTTTGCCAAAGGAGAAGCCCTGCCTCATCACACCCTTACCTCCCACCCCCTCAGCACAGGAAGCTTGCTTTGAAGTTAACTTCATACACACACACTCATATCCTCCAGTTTCCCCCAGATTCTTTCAGGGGCTGCCATCAGATTCTGCCCTTGGTTAGTTTTTTGTTTTTTTTTTGGTAGAGACAGAGTCTCACTGTTGGTCCAGGTTGGTTTTGAACTCCTGGGCTCAAGCGATCCTCCCTTCTTGGCCTCCCAAAGCACTTGGATTACAGATGTGAGCCTGTGCCTGGCTGGTCTTTCTTGAGGAAAATCTGACCTGGCATTTTCTTGAGGCACCTTAGATTCCCTGGAGTGGCACCTGGCCTTTCTGTACTGAGCACCTGGTCAGTCTGAAGGGGGCATTTCACCCCAGCTCCATCAGGGCTGGCTGTCCCGTCTGAATGTGGAGAGAGCTGTAGTTTTATCTGGCTTTTAAAACATGGACCTGCCGGCTGGGCGCAGTGGCTTACACCTGTAATCCCAGTACTTTGGGAGGCCGAAGTGGGTGGATCACTTGAGGGCAGGAGTTCGTGACCAGCCTGGTCAACATGGTGAAACCTTGTCTCTACTAAAAATACAAAAATTAGCTGGGTGTGGTGGCATGCGCCTGTAATCCCAGCTACTCGGGAGGCTGAGGCAGCAGAATCACTTGAAACCGGAAGGCAGAGGTTGCAGTGAGCCAAGATCGTGCAACTGCACTCCAGCCTGGGCAAAAGAGCAAAACTTTGTCTCAAAAAAAGACTCTTTTCAAGTTTTCTACCCTCTGATAAGAAAATTTGGGGATATCCAGTGCCATCTCCAAGGACTTTCAGGGGATCATAGATGCTTTTCTGTGCCTATCTGCTTTGACCATGTGAAAAAGTGATAGTCTGCTTCTCTCTGGTAACTTGTCTGCCACCCATCTGATAGTAAGATTAGCCAAGGCCCTTTAGCCCTCTGTCCTTTCTGGTTATTGACTGTCCCTGGTTCCTAGGAAGACAGAGTTGTTCTCCAGCTAAAGCGTCTCCTCTCTATAAAGTAGTTTTACTATTCTTTTCATAGCAGGAGCCAAAATAGTAGAGGAGGGGAGAGAGGCACCTGGCACTCTGCGGGCCTGCACAGGAAAAACAGAGCCAAAGACAGAATCATTGTATAAGATATTTATTAAAGGAGAGCCTCTAAGTCCACATCCTGAGCCCATGTGAGTGGACACAGGTAGGTAAAACGGTGGGTCCAGCTGCTGTCATCTGAAAGCCTTCAGGAGATGAAGCTATCAGTATCCAGCTGAAGGCTGCTGGGTTCTGTTCCACCACCACCTTAGCACCAGGGCCCTCTCTGGTCCCAGAGGCCTCATCTCTCCTTGGGCTTTGACAATGTGGAGCAGCACATCAGCAGGGACTGGTCTAGACCCTCCCTTTCCTGTCACTTAGCTGGAGCTAAGCTCCAGATAACCCCTAGGTTCCCACTGGCTCCTAGTAGAAATAGTTTCTGTACTTTAGCAGAACAGGAAGGATATTTGTTCATTAAAGGTGGCTTGGTCTTACAGCTGGGTGCAGTGGTATATACCTGTAGTCCCAGCTACTCAGGAAGCTGAGGTGAGAGGATCTCTAGAGCCCAGGAATTCAAGTTTAACATGAGCAGCAACATTAGCAAGACCCCGTTTAAAAAAAAAAAAAGAGCTGGGCGTAATGGCGCACACCTGTAATCCCACCTACTCAGGAGGCTGAGGCAGGAGAATCACTTGAACCTGGGAGGCAGAGGTTGCAGTGAGCCAAGATCGCACCACTGCACTCCAGCCTGGGCAACAAGGGCGAGACTCTGTCTCAAAAAAAAAAAAAAAAAAAGATGGCTGTCTCTTTATCATTCAGACAGAACGATGAACACAGGTGAGCAGGGAAAGCTAATTTTGAAGTAGGATGCATGGAGAGGGAGAAGTGGTGACAGAACTTGGTAACTAGCTGGCTGGGGGAACGAGGGGAAGGAAGGAGACTGCTGTCTCCAAGCTGAGGTCAGGGTGGTGTTGGCAAGAGCGCAAAAGTCCAGGGAAGCCAGGCTGGAGCTGCTGTGTATAGACTGCCAAATGTGAAGTATTTATATTGTATTCAATAAACTATACTTAAGAGTGTTCAAAAAAGTCTCCTGGGAGTGGGAAGGGAGCTAGTGGATACTCCCTATTTCACAAACTTTTCTTTTTTTTTTTTTTTGAGACAGTTTCGCTCTGTTACCCAGGCTAGAGTGCAATGGCATGATCTTGGCACAGTGCAACCTCTGCCTCCTGTGTTCAAGTGATTCTCGTGCCTCAGACTCCCTGAGTAGTTGGGGTTACAGACATGCACCACCACACCAAATTAATTTTTGTATTTTTAGTAGAGACAGTGTTTTATCATGTTAGCCAGGCTGGTCTCAAACTCCTGGCCTCAAGCGATCTGCCCGCCTCGGCCTCCCAGAGTGCTGGGATTACAGGCATGAGCCACTGCACCTGGCAGAAACTGTTTCCTTAATGTTCTAACGGGCAGCAAGGTTTCTTCCCCAGGCCTCTGAGCCACTGATGACATATCCTGCCCTTCTGTTTTCCGTGAGATTGCTCACAGGACCTCACTCTCCCTCTTGCTCCCATTGTGTATCTCTAAAGTCTCTTCCAATTTTACTATTCCTGTTCTGTGCCACCACCATCCCGTTATCTTCCCCAGCTGCTCTCATCAGGAAATTTCGTGGGTTGCACTGAAACGGCCCCTTCAGACCAAAGGCAATGCTATGTAGGCTAAAATGAAATACGCAGCTGATGCCTCGGACGGGGCTTGTGATTGAGGTGACTGAGGCAGCCTTTCTCAGCATGGAGGAAGAAAGGCTTTCCCAGGGCTTGCACCTTCCTGAAGTCTAACACCCAGGGCCCCCAGCCCTACCCACTCCTTCACCTTGGGCTGGTGAACCTCTGGGTTGTCTCTGCTAGATGGAGAGGCTGAGAGCCAGGAAGGGAGAGGGCTGTGGGTTTTAGAAGGCAAGACTCCCTCCCCTTCCCAGGGTCAGGTGTCATGTTCCTGAGGCTATAGCCTCCGTTTCCTCCAAGCTCTTTCGCTCCATCCCTGCCTCCATTGTCCATTTGACAGCTGAGTGCCCACTGTAGGCCAGCCATTGCACTGGGCTTGGAGGTGGGGAGCATCACTGCCTGCCACCACTTTCTGCTGCTGCAGGCCTGCTCTGATGTGATGCGACCCCTCCTTCCCCAGGCTATATCTCAGTAAGCATGGGCTTGGGGGAATGGGTGATGGCTCCAGTGACAGTCATAAACTGAAGCCCCCCACAGACTTATCACTGCTGAATGAGGGCAGGTAGTGATAGTAGTAGGAGTTGCATACTTGGGGGGGACCCAAGACCCAGTTCTCCCATTGGCTTTGCCTAGAGAAGCATAAACTTGCCTTCCACTCTCTTTCCACCCTCTCCATCCCCTTCGTGAGTCCTCCTGCCCTCTTCCTCTCATCCCTGTCTCATAAAGCTGTCCGGTCCCGTGATTCTTCCCAGGAAAAAAATTACATTTTATTCCTGGCAGCCTCCTCTTCTAGAGTGGGTGGCTTTTGGAGTGGAGATATTGCTGGATGCTGAGAAGATGTGGTTGCTCATCTGCATTTTGGGGATGGCCATGGGGTCCTGGGTTCAATCTCTGGATCACCACTGCTGTATGTAATTGGTAGACTGAGAAGAGGGAGAGACAGGAAACAAAACAAGTTAGCAGCTTCTGGTTTCAGAACATTGTGTGAAATCCCTTGAGTCCAGAGGAATCAAAGTGAAATGTAGCAGCCCACTCTTCATCCTAGAAGTGCTAGCATCAGTTTCTTTCATCTGTTGCACCTCTGTCAGAGACACCTTTCCAATGCCTTGCACAATTGCACAATTATATATTCTTGTTAAGAGTTGCCATCCAGGCCAGGCGTGGTGGCTCACACCTGTAATCCCAGCACTTTGGGAGGCCAAGACGGGTAGATCTTTTGAGACCAGCCTGGCCAACATAGCAAAACCCCATCTCTACTAATAATATAAAAATTAGCTGGGCGTGGTGGTACATGCCTGTAATCCCAGCTACTCGGGAGGCTGAGGCAGGAGAATCATTTGAACCCGGGAAGTGGAGGTTGCAGGTGGAGTGCAGCTGAGATCCAGCCTGGGTAACAGAGTGAGACTGTGTCTCAAAAAAAAAGAAAAAGGTTGCCATCCTGAGTTTGATAGCCTACAATGAGCTGGACTCCAAGCTAAGTGCTTTTAATGCTCTTTCCTCTGTCTGTCTGTCTGTCTATCTCACTCTTTTACCCAGGCTGGAGTGCAGTGGTGTCATCCTGGCTCACTGCAACCTCCACCTCCAGGGGTCAAGTGATTCTCCTGCCTCAGTCTCCCGAATAGCTGGGACTACAGATGCGCCCTACCACACCTGGCTAATTTTTTGTATTTTTAGTAGAGATGGCATCTCAGCATGTTGCCCAGGCTGTTCTCAAATTCCTGAGCTCAGGCAATCTGCTCACCTCGGCCTCCCAAAGTGCTGGGATTTCAGGCATGGGCCCCTGCGCCTGGCCCCTTTCCTTTATTAATAATTGCCATATTCAGTCCTCATGCCACCTCTGTTGAGGAAGTTGTATCATCTATCATTTTATGGATAGCGCTGAGCAATAGGCCATCCATACCCAGGCATTTTTTCCTTTTTTTTTTTTTTTCTTTCAGGGAGGGTCTCACTCTGTTGCACAGGCTGGAGTGCAGTGGTGTGATCACCACTTACGGCAGCCTCAACCTCTGGTGCTCAAGCGATCTTCACCTTAGCCTCCCAAGTAGCTTGGACTCCAGGTATGTGCCACCATGCCCAGCTAGTTTTGTTTTTTTTTTTCGTTTTTTTTTTTTTTTTAAACGAAGTCTCGCTCTGTCACCAGGTTGGAGTGAAGTGGCACGATCTTGGCTCACTGCAACCTTTTCCTCCTGGGTTCAAGTGATTCTCCTGCCTCAGCCTCCCGAGCAGCTGGGACTACAGGCACATGCCACCCACCCAGCTAATTTTTGTATTTTTAGTAGAGATGGGGTTTCGCCATGTTGGCCAGGATGGTCTTGATCTCTTGACCTCATGATCTGCCTGCCTCAGCCCCTCAAAGTGCTGGGATTACAGGTGTGAGCCACCGTGCCTGGCTACCCAGCTAGTTTTTAAAATTTTTTGTTGTTGTTGAGATGGAGTCTCACTCTGTTGCCCAGGCTGGTCTCAAACTTCTGGGCTCAAGCGATCCTCTCACCTTGATCTCCCAAAGTGCTGGGATTATAGGCATGAGCCCCACACACTTGGCTTTTTTTCAATTTTTTTCAATTTTTTTCAATTTTTTTTTTTTTTTGGAGATGTCTGAACCTGAACTCCTGGGCTCAAGCAATACTCCTGCCTCAGCTTCCCAAGTAGCCAAGACTACTGCACCCAGCTTCCTACCCAAACATTTTTAATGGTGGCAAAGAATAGAGGAATAGACCATCCAGAAGTAATTTGAAATAATTCTAGTCTCCTCCCCTTACTCCTGCTAAGGAGGTTTCTCTGGACTACACACACACACACACACACTCACACTCTCTCTCTCTCTCTCTCTTTCTTTCTGTCACCCAGAGTCTGTCTTTCACAGTCTGTGTCCCTATCTTACCTTGAGTTGTGAATACCCAGTGTTTCTGATGGGGCTAGATTGGCATGGGTTCATGAGACCTGATGATGAAACAAAGTACAGGTTACTCATCCAGCAGTTTTCCAAGGATGGAATACTGCAAGCCTGGAGTGCTTGTGTCTGGTGACCCAGGGGGTGATGGGGGTGCAGTGAGGACAGGCTCCTACCTGGGACAGGGCACAGACTGAGCCCTTCCTGAAGATTCTCAACTAGGAAGCTGTGCTGTGGTTCCCTGTTCCAGACCTCACGGGGCTCAGTATATCTGTTAATAAGCCTACAACTCATGTCCCACCCTCTGATCACCCCCACCTCCTCTGTCACGCTTACTCTGGAAGAAGGGCCGACAGCTTCTCAACCACTCTCTGCAGAAGTTGGAAGGCTCCTTTGCAGCCGTAGGTTGGCATTAACCCACCCAGGGGGAGTTGACCAGCAAGGCATTAAAGGCCGAGGGTACTTGGGAGAGTCAGAGAGGGTAGGGTGGTAGATATGGATTCTACACTACAGGGCCGGGATGGAAGCAAAGGGCTCCTCTCCTTACCACCTCCCACTCCCAGGCTCCAGTCCAGAGTCTGTAAGGATTTTCTGCCCACCCTGGAATCTGTTGTTGATACAGAGATTGCCCTCCAGCTTAGTAGATCCCCGCTGAAGTAGGCTGGTGACCTGGCCTTTGGGAATCCTGGAGATTGCATTTGGAGGTGTGCTGAGTACAACGGGCTTGAGCACTTGGTTGTGTTGGCTGAGGTGGTGGCTGTGGTTGTGGTGGCTGTGGCCCTGGCCACACCTGTGCCTGTGGCAATGTTGATGGCTGTGGTGGTGGCTGTGATGGTGGCTGCACTGATGGCTGCTGCTGTGATGGCTGTGGTTGCTCCTGTGATGTCCACAATTTCGCCACTGGTGGTTGCGGCACATTTAACTTCTTATGTGGCTGGAGTTTTTCCTCCGATTGTTGTTCTTCCTCCTGGTGATTCTTCAGTTCCTGGCAAGAAGCCCCCGGGCAAGTGGCATCATCCTCTCCCCACCCAATCACCCATCTGCCAGAGAAACTTCAGGGAACAAGGCAAGTGAGTAGAGAAGTATAGGTGGCAGTGGTCTCTGTTCCCTAGAGCTGGAGGCTGAAATTGGGCCTACGCTGTCTGCCTCACCCACTGTGACACCCAAGAACGATTTCTGGGTGGCACAGCCCCAGCCCAGGAAATAGCACTCTCTCTGAGCACCTGCTTCCTCACTTGAGAGCTCAGCACTGAAAGCAGTTTTTAGTGCTGGAGGATAAAGAGTAATTCCCTGCAAATGTCTTGTGTTTTGTTTTTTAGAGATAGGTTCCCACTCTGTCACCCAGGCTGGAGTGCAGTAGCACTTTTATGACTCACTGTAATCTGGAACTACTGGGCTCAAGTGATTCTCCTGCCTCAGCTTCGCAAGTAGCTAGGACTACAGGTGCACACCACCATGCCCGGTTAATTTTTTTTTTTTAATAGAGACAGGGACTCATTATGTTGCCCAGGCTGGAGTGCAGTAAGTGGTGCAATCTTGGCTCACTGCTGCCCCAACCTCCCAGGCTCAAGCGATCCTTCCACCTCAGCCTCCTGAGCAGCTTGGACTAAATGCATGTGCCACCATGCCTTGCTAATTTTTAAATTTTCTGTAGAGACAGGGTCCCCCTATGTTGCCTAGGTTGGTTTGGAACTCCTAGCCTCAAGCGATCCTCCCACCTCAGCCTCCCAAAGTGATTTTTTTAATAGCCCAAGGGTGCTTCTAAACCTTACAAGTGCTTTGAAATAGCAGTGTCAAATAAAAATATAATTCATGCTGGGCCGGACGCGGTGGCTCACGCCTGTCATCCCAGCACTTTGGGAAGCCGAGGCGGGCGGATCACGAGGTCAGGAGTTCGAGACCAGCCTGACCAACATGGTGAAACCCCGTCTCTACTAAAAATACAAAAATTAGTTGGGCTTGGTGGCAGGCACCTGTAATCCCAGCTACTCAGGAGGCTGAGGCAGGAGAATTGCTTAAACCCAGGAGGCGGAGGTTGCAGTGAGCCAGGATCATGCCACTGCACTCCAGCCTGGGCGACAGAATGAGACTCCGTCTAAAAAAAAAAAAAAAAAAGTATATATATATATTGCATGCTACATGTGTAATTTTAAATTCTCTTTCTTTTTTTCTTTTTTTTTTTTGTTTGAGACAGAGTCTCGTTCTGTCCCCCAGGCTGGAGTGCAATGGCCTGATCTTGGCTCATTGCAACCTCTGCTTCCTGAGTTCAAGCGATTCTCCTGCCTCAGCCTCCTGAGTAGCTGGGATTATAGGCATGTGCCACCACGCCAAGCTAATTTTTGTATTTTTAGTAGAGGCGGGGTTTCACCATGTTGGCCAGGATGGTCTCGAACTCCTGACCTTGTGATCCACCCGCCTCGGCCTCCCAAAGTGCTGGGATGACAGGCGTGAGCCACTGCATCCAGCCACTAAATTTTCTAATAGCCACATAGAAGAAGAAATAGGGCCAGGCACAGTGGCACATGCCTGTAATCCACGCTTTGTGGCACTGAGACAGGAGGATTGTTTGAAGCTAGGAGTTTGAGGCCAGCCTGGGCAACATAGTGAGACCTGGTCTTTACAAAAAATTAGCTAGGCATGGTGGTGCATGCCTGTAGTCCCAGCTACTCAGGAGGCTGAGGCTGGAGGATGGCTTGAGCCCAGGAGATCAAGGCTGCAGTGAGCTATGAATGGGCCGTCACACTCCAGGTTTGGTGACAGAGGAAGACCTTGTCTCAAAAAAAGAAGAAGAAGAAAAAACAAGTGAAACTAATTTTAATTACTTGTATTTATTTATTTTTTTGTGTGCAACAGGGTCTCACTTTGTCTCGCAGGCTGGAATATAGTGGCGTGATCACAAGGCTTACCGTAGCCCTTGACCTCCCAGGCTCAAGTGATTCTCCCACTGCAGCCTCCCGAGTAGCTGGGACTATGGGTGCACACTACCATGCCTGGCTAATTTTTCTATTTGTTTTAGAGACGGATTTCACCATGATACCAGGCTGGTCTGAAACTCCTGGGCTCAAAGGATCAGCCCGCCTTGGCTCCCAAAGAGCTGGGATTACAGGCGTGAGCCACTGCACCCAGCCTAATAATATATTTTACTTAACCCCATGCATCCAAAACATCAATATGAACATATCAGTGAAGTATTTTATATTCTTTGTTTTCATACTAAGTCTTCAAAACCTAGCTTGAATTTGAAACAACAGCACATCTTAATTTGGACACTAAATTTTCATCAAAAATATTTCATTGATTTAGATTTCATAAATTTACAGTTGAAAAAGTAGATGTACATATCCAAATTGTCCCAAACATGCTTAAAATTTTTCCAGTATGTATGTTGTTTTAAAATATTTATATTTTTGTTGTTGTTGTTGTTGTTTTTTAAGATGGATTTTTGCTCTTGTCACCCAGGCTGGAGTGCAACGGCGCGATCTTGGCTCACTGCAACCTCCACCTCCCAGGTTCAGGCGATTCCCCTACCTCAGCCTCCCGAGTAGCTGGGATTACAGGTGCGCGCCACCACGCCCGGCTGATTTTTGTATTTTTAGTAGAGATGGGGTTTCACCATGTTGGTCAGGCTGGTCTCGAACTCCTGACCACAGGTGATCCACCTGCCTTGGCCTCCCAAAGTGCTGGGATTACAGGTGTGAGCCACTGTGCCCGGCTGGGAGCAAGACTGGAGCAAGACTCCATCTCAAAAAAAAAATAAAATAAATAAGTGAATTAATTAATTAAAGGCCAGGCATGGTGGTTCACACTTGTCAACATTTTGGGAGGCTGAGGTGGGAGGATTGCTTGAGTCCAGGAGTTCCAGACCAGCCAGGGCAACATAGTGAGACCCTGTCTGTATTACAATAATAAAATCAAATAAAGTTTTTAATTTTTTTTTTGAGACAGAGTCTCACTCTGTCACTCAGGTCAGAGTGCAGTGGCACTATCTTGGCTCACTGCAACCTCCACCTCACTGATTCAAGTGATTCTCATGCCTCAGTCTCCCCAGGTAGCTGGAATTCCAGGCAAGCGCCACCATGCCTAGCTACTTTTTGTACTTTTAGTAGAGACCAGGTTTCGCCATGTTGGCCAGGCTGGTCTTGAACTCCTGACCTCAACTGATCCACCCACCTTGGCCTCCCAAAGTGCTGGATTACAGGTGTGAGCCACCATGCCCGGCCAAAATAACATTTTTAAAAACTAAATTAAATTTATATAACACTGACCGGGCATCATGGCTCATGCCTGCAATCCCAGCACTTTGGGAGGCTGAGGTGGGTGGATCACCTGAGGTCGGGAGTTTGAGACCAGCCTCACCAACATGGAGAAACCGTGTCTCTACTAAAAATACAAAATTATCTGGGCGTGGTGGCGCATGCCTGTAATACCAGCTACTCGGGAGGCTGAGGCAGGAGAATCACTTGAACCCGGGAGGCAGAGGTTGTGGTGAGCCAAGATTGCACCATTGCACTCCAGCCTGGGCAACAAGAGCAAAACTCCATCTCAAAAAAAAAAAAAAAAATTTGGTTCCTCAGTCACACTCCAAGGCTCAATATAGCATACAGGCTGGGGGTTACCCTATTGGACAGAACATCTTTAAACCTCCCAGGCCTAGTACCCTTGCCTTCCCCTAGACTATTACAAGAGGGAAATTGAGTCAGCTGATAGTGGTCCCCCCAACACAGACACAGTCTATCTGAGAGAACGCCAAATGACCTTGCTTTCCTCCTACCCCCAGCAAACAGCATTCACCAAATAGTAGGCAGCTTCCTAGGGATCTCTCTCCATTCTCCATTCCCTTCCTGCTCCAGAGAGGACCCTGAAGAACCCAGCCTATCCCATGCACCTGTTCTTTCTGCTGCAGCTCCTGCTGCTGCTGGGCCATCAGCCATCTCCTTCGGTCCAAAGCCATCTGCCGGCGCCGGGCCTCCCAGTGGTAGGCACTACCCATGATAGTGGGATGGTATGAGGCCCCAGGTGGGGGTGGGGACAGGCAGAGCCCACTGCTCCCACCACCTCTGTCTCTTCCCACTCAGACCCCTCTGCCTATAACTGGAACCACCTCACAATGTGGTTACTGCCAGGGCAACTGGGCAGGCCCCGCCTGCTTTGTTGAGAGAGGGAGGCATTTTTCCCAAGGCTCCCAGGGAACATCTGCAAAGTACCTTTCTCTCCTGGGTCCTGATCAGATAGAAGACCTTCCCACCTTAGCTTTGAGTCTCAATGGGCCCCATGGACAATTCAGCAGTAAAGTCTTTTCTCTCTGGCTTCTTTCCCCCATTCTTCCTCAGAGGGTTCCAGCATCATCATCTGACCCTTCCTCTGCTCATCTCTCCCCACTTAGGTCTCCGGAATTACCTTTTTCTCCTTAATCTCTCCTCTCTCCATCTCCCCCATAAATGTCTGTGCTGAGTCAGAATGAAAGAAAATACAAAATCCTACTAAGCCTCACTGAGGTCTGAGCCCCCAGAACGCAAAGGGGCTTCTTAGAAAACACCCTAGCTCTGGAGATTTCTAATTCTGGACTCAAGCCTAGCGTCTACCTCTTAATTTTATTTTCATTTTATTTTTTATTTTTTGAGATGGAGTTTCACTCTTGTTGCCCAGGCTGGAGTGCAATGGCGCAATCTCGGCTCACTGCAACCTCCGCCTCCCAGGTTCAAGAGATTCTCCTACCTCAGCCTCCCAAGTAGCTAGGATTACAGGCATGCACCACCATGCCCGGATAATTTTTGTATTTTTAGTAGAGACAGGGTTTCTCCACGTTGGTCAGGCTGATCTCAAACTCCAGACCTCAGGTGATCCGCCCGCCTCAGCCTCCCAAAGTGCTGGGATTACAGGTGTGAGCCACCACGCCCAGCCTGGGACTGTGCATTTAAGATCACCCCAAGTGGCTGGGCACAGTGGCCTCTGCCTCCTGGGTTCAAGCAAACAAAAAGAAAGAGCCTAGGCAACCTAGTGAAACCCTGTTCGGGCTGCGGCCTATCTGTACCCCAGCTATTCCAGAGGCTGAGGCAGGAGGGTGGATGGATGCTGGGAGGTGGATGCTGCAGTGAGCAGTGATTGCACCACTGCACTCCAGCCTGGGTGACAGAGCCAGACCCCGTCCCAAATAAATAAAAATAAAGGAACCAGTTTGTAGAAAGCAGGAGAGGGTCCCATTGAACTTCAAGCCTTCAAGCTACAGCTGTGGCTGGACAGGTTGGACCAGCAGGCTGGAGCAGTCGCCATCTTGGCAGGGATCATTGACCCTGATCTATCATCGGGAGGAAGAAGAGCTGATCTTATGCAGGGAGGGCAGGTGGACTATGTGTGGACTCTGGTGATCTGTTTGGGTGCCAGGTGTTACTCCCAGGGCCACCCATAACTGTGAATGTGCAGGAACCCTGACTTAGGTTCCTGGGGAATGAGAGTTTGGTTCCCGGTACCCAGGGAAACCACCAGCATCGGCAGAGGTGATAGCTGGGGAGGAGCGGGGATTTGGACGAGAGACACAGGATGAGTACCGGGGGCAGCCCTGTGATCAACAACTGCTGCAAGAGGGGCCGTTTGTTCGACTCACTAGTCTTCTGTGGCTCTATGCGGTACTAAAGAGCAGAAGACAGAAGATACAAAAACCACAAAAATTAGCCGGGCGTGGTGCTGCGCGTCAATAATCCCAGCTACTCGGGAGGCTGAGATGGGAGAATCGCTTGAATCCGGGAGGTGGAAGTTTCAGCGAGCTGAGATCACGCCATTGCAGTCCAACCTGAGCGTCCGAGCGAGACTATCTCAGAAAGTAAAGACAGAATTAAAGTGCCCAGCGCAGTGGCTCACGCCTGTAATCCCAGCGCTTTGGGAGGCCGAGGCGGGCAGATCACCTGAAGTCAGGAGTTCGAGACCAGCCTGGCCAACTTGGCGAGACCTCCTTAAAAATACAAAAATTAGCTGGGCGTGGTGGCAAACACCTGTAATCCCAGCTACCCAAGGAGGCTGAGGCAGGAGAATCACTGGAACCCGGGAGGCAGAGGCTGCAGTGAGCCGAGATCGCGCCACTGCACTCCAGCCTGGGTGACAGAGCAAGACTTTGTCTCTGAAAAAAAAAAAAAAAAAAAAGCATGGGCGCGGTGGCTCATGCCTGTAATCCCAGCACTTTGGGAGGCTGAGGCGGGCAGATCATGAGGTCAGGAGATCGAGACCATCCTGGCTAACACGGTGAATCCCCGTCTCTACTAAAAGTACAAAAAAATTAGCCAGACGTAGTGGCAGGTGCCTGTCGTCCCCGCTACTTGGGAGGCTGAGGCAGAAGAATGGCGCGAACCCAGGAGGTGGAGCTTGCAGTGAGCCGAGATGCGCCACTGCACTCCAGCCTCAGCGACAGAGTGAGACTCCGTCTCAAAAAAAAAAAAAAAAAAGCTTGGGCCAGTGGCTCACACCTGTAATCCCAGCACTTTGGGAGGCGGCAGGCAGGCGGATCACCAGAGGCTGGGAGTTGGAGACCAGCCTGACCAACATGGAGAAACCCCAATCTGTACTAAAAAGCCTCTGAGGAAGAGTGGGGGAAAGATGCCACAGAGAAAAGACTTTACTGCTGAATTGTCCATGGGGCCCACTGAGACTCAAAGCTAAGGTGGGAAGGTCTTCTATCTGATCAGGACCCAGGAGAGAAAGATACTTTGCAGATGTTTCCTGGGAGCCTTGGGAAAAATGCCTCCCTCCCTCAACAAAGCAGGCGGGGCCTGCCCAGTTGCCCTGGCAGTAACCACATTGTGAGGTGGTTCCAGTTATAGGCAGAGGGGTCTGAGTGGGAAGAGACAGAGGTGGTGGGAGCAGTGGGCTCAGCCTTTACTTCGCCGCCCGAGGGCGGGGAGACCGGCCCCGTACCCGAGGGGACGAGGGGCCCATGCCCAGTCAGGGAAGCCGAAGGCCTGGAGGGGCTTCCGGGAGCAGGGGCTGGAGTTCCTCTGCCAGGCAGGAGGCTGGCACCAGACACCCGGCAGAGGGAGGCGGCGAGGGCCCAGCAAGGATTCTCCCCAGCCCCTGTGCCTGCGTCTCCTGCGGCTTCTGTGCGCGGACCGTGTCCTGTGCTGTGTAGGGAATGCTGCCTCTCTGCTCGGGACGTGGATTCCTTTCCCCTCCTCCTCGCCTGGCTACTTCTGACGCAGGTCGTCAGGACTCCGCTTGGGTGTCACCCGTGCAGGAAGCCTCCCTTAGTCAAGGGCCCTCGGCACCCGCCCCATATGTGACTAGCAGCCCTCCTGTGTATTTCATCGCGTCCCCGTTGTTTATATCAGCTATTCCACTCACCACCCTTCTGGGCAACCCTTTATCTCCCGCTCTGAAATCCCATCGCTGAGGGCTGGGACCCCTCCTCAGTGCTTATCCCTGTTTCCCCGCGCGAGTCTGGCGCCTGGCGTGTGGAAGGCGCTCAGTAAACGTTTGTGGAGCGAAGAAACGACGCAAAGGTGATGAGCACGACGCAGTTAGGAGGCTATTGGCCCGGCGCGGGGGAAAAGGGGGAAGGTCGGGCTCGGGGTGGCAGGACCCCAGAGGGCAGGGGTGACTGCCGGGGTGCTCTTGGGGCAAGGTGGGCGTCAAGGCCCCCAGCAAGGTTGGGATAAAGTTTCTCTCCGAGGCACAGACTGCCGCCTGCGGGCTCAGCATTTACCTCTCCCTTCCTCCTTCCTAACGCAACTTCAGCGGAGGGCTGAGGGCTCTACTGCGCATTACCTGGAAAACTTATTTCACTCCACGGCCCTAAGAGGTGGGCCTTATTATTAGCCACGGCCAGGGTTAGGGTGAGGCCACTCCTCCAGGGCAGAATTTCAGGGGGTGCCCACCCCCCCGCCCTAAATCATTCAGCAATCAACATAAATTATAGTTCAACGCAATATATCTTATCTTGTGGGCCGCAAGCCACCCAGGTGCCCAGGCAAGAGCCTGAAGGCACAAGCTGTTCCAGTACAGCAAAGAAAATAATTAGAATAAGAAAAGTTTTACTAGAGATAGGAAACGGATAGGATTATATCTGACTATTATTAATCATTAGTTTGTAGCATCACTCTTTGTTCTATTACCATAATGATCTCTGTTCTATTATGATTACCTTGGGGGAAACCAGGCCACACAGAGTTAGGAGCTGAAGGGCCACAGTGAGAGGTGACCAGAAGACAAGAGTGTGAGCCCTCATTCACGCCCAGAGAAGGGCCGCTGGAGGGCTCCTTGGCCTAGCGGTAATGCCAGTGCCTGGGAAGGCCCTGGTTACTTAGCAGGCCTTGGTCTAGCGGTGGCCCCAGTGCCTGGGAAGGCACCCGTTACTTAGCAGAATTACTACGCAGCCATAAAAAAGGATGAGTTCATGACCTCTGCGGGAACGTGGAGGGAGGAAAAGGCCTCATTCTCAGCAAACTGACACAGGAAGCGAAAACAAACACCGCATGTTCTCGCTCCTAAGTGGGAGTTGAACAGCGAGAACACATGGGACACAGGGAGGGGAACATCACACGCCGGGCCCTGACGGGGCGTGGGGGGCAAGGGGAGAGAGAGCATTAGGACAAATAGCCAACGCATGCGGGGCTTCAAACCTAGACGACTGGTGGATAGGTGCAGCAAAGCACCGTGGCACACGTGTACCTATGTTCCAAACCTGCACGTCCTGCACATGTACCCCAGAACTTGGGAGGGGGTGGGGGAAACCAAAAGAGCGAGGGAGAGGCGGGGGGGGGGAAGAGAGAGAGAGAGGGAAAGAGAGAGAGAGACAGAGAGAGGAGAGAGAGAGAGAGAGAGAGACAGAGAGAGAGAGAGAGAGACAGAGAGAGAGACAGAGAGACGGAGAGACAGAGAGAGAGAGAGAGAAAGAGAGAGAGAGAGAGAGAGAGAGAGAGAGAGAGACAGGAGAAAGAAGAACTCCGGGTGGGTCCCATTCCTTTAAAAGGTCGCCACCCACTCGACTGCCAAGCTGAGATCCTAAGGACCTCCCCAAAGGAGGAGGTCGTGGCCTTCCCAAAGCGCAGTAGCCACGGTGGAAACGACAGCGTGCCGCATAAGCCTACCGTCTACCGCCCGCACATCAGGAACCTCAAGGTACTTCAGGGAAGCAGTTAAGTTAAGCCGGCGCGTCACAGGCACTCGGCGTGCAAGCCGCCCCGCAGGTGCTACCGTCTCTTACCTCCCTCTACTTTTAGGAAACACGTTGTATCCCCGGAGGGGGTGCACCGTTCCTGGAGGTACTGCAATACCAGGTCGATGCGTGGAGTGGACGGAGCAAGCTCCTATTCCATCTCCCTGCTCCAAAAATCCATTTAATATATTGTCCTCGGATAGAGGACGTATCAGATATTAAACTGATAAGAACAGATACTACACTTGATCTTAGCCAAAAGGCCGAGAAGCGATGCGCTCGCCTTCGCGCCCGCCGTCACCGTCCCACTCTCATCCACATTCAAGTCGCGGTGAGAGCCCCAGCCTCGCTCCTTGCCCCATTCCCTCTGTCTCGTCCACAGCGCTATTGACGCCCTTACACTCTCGGGCTGATTTCTTATTCTCTGCCTTTGAAAAGGGAAATCTTACACCCGTGCTTCTTCCGGCGTTCCCGGGCTTTCATTTCGAATTTGCATGCCCCGCCCTTTCACAGAGGGCGTGGCCTCCGCCGTTGACTCCGCCCCCGGGGCCGCCTCTGCCTGGGGGAGCCGGGGCTCCGCTGGGGGCGACTTCCTTGTTCGTATCGAGCCAGCGAAAAGACAGAACCGGAAGAGACCGGGGGCGAAGGCGACAGGGGTCTGTGGAAGAGACCTGTCGGCGGAGAGCGGTCCACGTTTTCCTGGAGAAAGACGAGGCTCCAGGGCAGGAGCGCGGGCTGCGCTGGGCCTTTACTTCGCCGCCCGCGGGCGGGGAGACCGGCCCCGTACCCGAGGGGACGAGGGGACGAGGGGCCCATGCCCAGTCAGGGAAGCCGAAGGCCTGGAGGGGCTTCCGGGAGCAGGGGCTGGAGTTCCTCTGCCAGGCAGGAGGCTGGCACCAGACACCCGGCAGAGGGAGGCGGCGAGGGCCCAGCAAGGATTCTCCCCAGCCCCTGTGCCTGCGTCTCCTGCGGCTTCTGTGCGCGGACCGTGTCCTGTGCTGTGTAGGGAACGCTGCCTCTCTGCTCGGGACGTGGATTCCTTTCCCCTCCTCCTCGCCCGGCTACTTCTGACGCAGGTCGTCAGGACTCCGCTTGGGTGTCACCCGTGCAGGAAGCCTCCCTTAGTCAAGGGCCCTCGGCACCCGCCCCATATGTGACTAGCAGCCCTCCTGTGTATTTCATCGCGCCCCCGTTGTTTATATCAGCCATTCCACTCACCACCCTTCTGGGCAACCCTTTATCTCCCGCTCTGAAATCCCATCGCTGAGGGCTGGGACCCCTCCTCAGTGCTTATCCCTGTTTCCCCGCGCGAGTCTGGCGCCTGGCGTGTGGAAGGCGCTCAGTAAACGTTTGTGGAGCGAAGAAACGACGCAAAGGTGATGAGCACGACGCAGTTAGGAGGCTATTGGCCCGGCGCGGGGGAAAAGGGGGAAGGTCGGGCTCGGGGTGGCAGGACCCCAGAGGGCAGGGGTGGCTGCCGGGGTGCTCTTGGGGCAAGGTGGGCGTCAAGGCCCCCAGCAAGGTTGGGATAAAGTTTCTCTCCGAGGCACAGACTGCCGCCTGCGGGCTCAGCATTTACCTCTCCCTTCCTCCTTCCTAACGCAACTTCAGCGGAGGGCTGAGGGCTCTACTGCGCATTACCTGGAAAACTTATTTCACTCCACGGCCCTAAGAGGTGGGCCTTATTATTAGCCACGGCCAGGGTTAGGGTGAGGCCACTCCTCCAGGGCAGAATTTCAGGGGGTGCCACCCCCCCGCCCTAAATCATTCAGCAATCAACATAAATTATAGTTCAACGCAATGTATCTTATCTTGTGGGCCGCAAGCCACCCAGGTGCCCAGGCAAGAGCCTGAAGGCACAAGCTGTTCCAGTACAGCGAAGAAAATAATTAGAATAAGAAAAGTTTTACTAGAGATAGGAAACGGATAGGATTATATCTGACTATTATTAATCATTAGTTTGTAGCATCACTCTTTGTTCTATTACCATAATGATCTCTGTTCTATTATGATTACCTTGGGGGAAACCAGGCCACACAGAGTTAGGAGCTGAAGGGCCACAGTGAGAGGTGACCAGAAGACGAGAGTGTGAGCCCTCATTCACGCCCAGAGAAGGGCCGCTGGAGGGCTCCTTGGCCTAGCGGTAATGCCAGTGCCTGGGAAGGCCCTGGTTACTTAGCAGGCCTTGGTCTAGCGGTGGCCCCAGTGCCTGGGAAGGCACCCGTTACTTAGCAGACCCGGAAAGGGAATCTCCCTCTCTCCAGGGGAGACAGAGAACGCTCCGCTCCACCACCTCTTGTGGGAGGTCTGACATTAGCCAGGCCGGCCCGCAGTCATCCGGAGGCTCCAACGTCTGTCTCCCTGTGATGCTGTGCTTCAGTGGTCACGCTCCTTGTTCACTTTCATGTTCAGCCTGTACACCTGGCTCCTCCTTTTAAGTTCTTAGAAGACAGCAGTAGCAGAACTAGTAGGAGTACCACAGTCTTCGATCTTTCTGATAAGTGCATAGAAGAAACGCTGACGTTTGCTGTCCTCCCTCTCCACCTCGGCTACCACAAAGGGAAAGGCCCCCTGTCCAGTGGACACGTGACTCGCGTGACCTATCGATCATTGGAGATGACTGGCACTCCTTACCCTGCCCCCTTGCCTTGACTACAATAAATAGCAGCGCCTCCAGGCACTCGGGGCCACTACCTGTCTGTCTCCGCGCTTTGGTGGCAGTGGTCCCCCGGGCCCAGCTGTCTTTCTTCCTATCTCTTTGTCTTCTGTCTTTATCTCTTCGATCTCTCGTCTCCGCACACACGCGAAGAGAAAACCCACAGACCCGGTAGGGGTGGACCCTACATTATCTCAGCTACAACATAATCAGGATATTCACGTGGACTACTGAGTCTTTCGGTGCCCCCTTGCTGTTTTAGTTTTGTCCTGCGGCCGAGTGTTTCCCTCGCTTCACGCCAACACAATCTCCGCCGCCCTGTCTTGTCATCCCCATTCTACAGCCCAGCACGGTGTAGTATGGCAGCCGCTAGCCACAGGTATCTAGGGAGCCCTGGAAATGTGGTCAGTTCTAATGGAGCTGTGCTGTAAGTGTGAAATACACGTGGGATTTTGACGGCAGTGGGAGCAAAATTCTCCCAATTTTTTTTTTTTTTTTTTTTTTTTCAGACGGAGGTTCCGCTCTTGTTACCCAGCCTGGAGTCCAATGGCGCGATCTAGGCTCTCTGCAACCTCCGCCCCCCGGGTTCAAGCAATTCCCCTGCCTCATCCTCCCAAGCATTGGGACTACAGGTATGTGCCACCACGCTCGGCTAAGTTTGTATTTTTAAAAGTATGGGGGGGGGCCACGTTGGCTTGCTGTTCTCCAACTCCCGACCTCCGGTGATCTGCCCAGCTGCCGCCTCCCCAAAGTGTTGCTTGCGATTACAGGCTTGAGCCACCGCTCACCCTGGCTTTTTTTTTTTTTTTTTCCAGACAAACTCTCGCTCTGTCGCCCAGGCTGGAGTGCAGTGGCGCGATCTCGGCTCACTGCAGCCTCTACCTCCCGGGTTCCAGCGATTCTCCTGCCTCAGCCTCCTGGGTAGCTGGGATTACAGGCGCAGGCCACCACGCCCGGCTAATTTTTGTATTTTTAGGGGGTTTCGCCATGTCGGCCAGGCTGGTCTCGAGCTCCTGACCTCAGGCGATCCGCCCGCCTCGGCCTCCCAAAGCGCTGGGATTACAGGCGTAAGCCACCGCGCCGGGCTCTTTCATTCTGTCTTTATTTTCTGAGATAGAGTCTCGCTCGGACGCTCAGGTTGGACTGCAACGGCGTGATCTCGGCTCGCTGAAACTTCCGCCTCCCGGGTTCAAGCGATTCTCCTGTCTCAGCCTCCCGAGTAGCTGGGATTATTGACGGGCAGCACCACGCCCGGCTACTTTTTGTGGTTTTTGTATCTTCTGTCTTCTGCTCTTTAGTACCGCATAGAGCCGCAGAAGACTAGCGAGTCGAACAAACGGCCCCTCTTGCAGCAGTTGTTGATCACGGGGCTGCCCCCCGGGTACTCATCCTGTGTCTCTCGTCCAAATCCCCGCTCCTCCTCAGCTATCACCTCTGCCGATGCTGGTGGTTTCCTGGGTACGGGAACAAACTCTCATTCCCCAGGGGCCTAAGCCTCGTGGCCAGGCCTTCTCAAGTCAGGGTTCTGCACATTCACAGTTACGGGTGGCCTGGGAGTAACACCTGGCACCAAACAGGTCACCAGAGTCACACATAGTCACCTGCCCTCCTGCGTAAGATCAGCTCTTCCTCCTCCCGACGATAGATCAGGGTCAATGATCCCTGCCAAGATGGCGACTGCTCCAGCCTGCTGTCCAACCTGTCCAGCCACAGCTGTTGCTCGAAGGCTTGAAGTTCAATGGGACCCTCTCCCGCTTTCTACAAACTGGTTCCTTTATTTTTATGTTTATTTATTTGGGACGGGGTCTGGCTCTGTCACCCAGGCTGGAGTGCAGTGGTGCAATCACTGCTCACTGCAGCATCCACCTCCCAGCGTCCACCCATCCTCCTGGCCTCAGCCTCCGGAACAGCTGGGGTACAGGTACGCCCCAGCCCGAACAGGTTTTCACTAGGTTGCCTGGGCTCTTTCTTTCTTTGTCTGTGTTTGTTTGTTGGTTGGTTGGTTGGTTGGTTGGTTTTTGTTTGTTTGTTTCGAGACGGGGCTCCGGCTCTGCCGCCGGGGGCTGCAGTGCAATGGCGCGATCTCACCTCACTGCGGCCTTCTGGGCTCAAGCGATCCTCCCACTGTGCCCGGCCTGAAGACAGCCTTTAGAGAAAGAAGCAGGGGGAGTTCTTCCGAGGACAGACAAGATTTCTGGAGTTTGGAAAGGGTGAGAGACTGGGTCAGCGAAAGGAACATTCCGGTCTTTATGTTGGGATGCAACGTATAGATACAGGGATGAGACCCAAAAGAGCCGGCAGAGGTTTGTCATCGTGCTCGCAAGGCAACTGCGTATGGCTGATCCCGTAAAGGATACACATACCTAGAGCGGCACGTAAAGATGCATCCAGCATGACGGGTGGAGCACGATGCTTGGACTCGAGCTCTGCTCCTGTGCGTTCCGTGATCAATGGCTTATACTACCTGCACCTCAGTTTTTCCCGGGCAAAAAAGGAAGCTTGCTGCCGGTGCGTTGGCACCTGCCTTAAAGTGCCAGCTACTCAGCGGGCTGAAGAGGAAGAAGTTCCTACTAGGAAGACACGTGGACACGTATGTTTACTGCAGCACTATTTACAATAGCAAAGACTTGGAACCAACTCGAATGCCCATGAATGATAGGCTGGATAAAGAAAGTGTGGCACGTATACAGCATGGAATTACTACGCAGCCATAAAAAAGGATGAGTTCATGACCTCTGCGGGAACGTGGATGAAGCTGGAAGGCCTCATTCTCAGCAAACTGACACAGGAAGCGAAAACCAAACACCGCATGTTCTCGCTCCTAAGTGGGAGTTGAACAGCGAGAACACATGGGACACAGGGAGGGGAACATCACACGCCGGGCCCTGACGGGGCGTGGGGGGCAAGGGGAGAGAGAGCATTAGGACAAATAGCCAACGCATGCGGGGCTTCAAACCTAGACGACTGGTGGATAGGTGCAGCAAAGCACCGTGGCACACGTGTACCTATGTTCCAAACCTGCACGTCCTGCACATGTACCCCAGAACTTGGGAGGGGGTGGGGGAAACCAAAAGAGCGAGGGAGAGGCGGGGGGGGGGAAAGAGAGGGAGAGAGGGAAAGAGAGAGAGAGACAGGAGAGAGGAGAGAGAGAGAGAGAGAGAGAGAGAGAGACAGAGAGAGAGACAGAGAGACAGAGACAGACACAGAGAGACGGAGAGACAGAGAGAGAGAGAGAGAGAGAGAGAGAGACAGGAGAAAGAAGAACTCCGGGTGGGTCCCATTCCTTTAAAAGGTCGCCACCCACTCGACTGCCAAGCTGAGATCCTAAGGACCTCCCCAAAGGAGGAGGTCGTGGCCTTCCCAAAGCGCAGTAGCCACGGTGGAAACGAAAGCGTGCCGCATAAGCCTACCGTCTACCGCCCGCACATCAGGAACCTCAAGGTACTTCAGGGAAGCAGTTAAGTCAAGCCGGCGCGTCACAGGCACTCGGCGTGCAAGCCGCCCCGCAGGTGCTACCGTCTCTTACCTCCCTCTACTTTTAGGAAACACGTTGTATCCCCGGAGGGGGTGCACCGTTCCTGGAGGTACTGCAATACCAGGTCGATGCGTGGAGTGGACGGAGCAAGCTCCTATTCCATCTCCCTGCTCCAAAAATCCATTTAATATATTGTCCTCGGATAGAGGACGTATCAGATATTAAACTGATAAGAACAGATACTACACTTGATCTTAGCCAAAAGGCCGAGAAGCGATGCGCTCGCCTTCGCGCCCGCCGTCACCGTCCCACTCTCATCCACATTCAAGTCGCGGTGAGAGCCCCAGCCTCGCTCCTTTGCCCCATTCCCTCTGTCTCGTCCACAGCGCTATTGACGCCCTTACACTCTCGGGCTGATTTCCTTATTCTTCCGCCTTTTGAAAAGGGAAATCTTACACCCGCGCTTCTTCCGGCGTTCCCGGGCTTTCATTTCCAATTTGCATGCCCCGCCCTTTCACAGAGGGCGCTCTGCGGGACGTGGATGATGCTGGAAGGCCTCATTCTCAGCAAACTGAAAGGAAGCGAAAACCAAACACCGCATGTTCTCGCTCCTAAGTGGGAGTTGAACAGCGAGAACACATGGGACACAGGGAGGGGAACATCACACGCCGGGCCCTGACGGGGCGTGGGGGGCAAGGGGAGAGAGAGCATTAGGACAAATAGCCAACGCATGCGGGGCTTCAAACCTAGACGACTGGTGGATAGGTGCAGCAAAGCACCGTGGCACACGTGTACCTATGTTCCAAACCTGCACGTCCTGCACATGTACCCCAGAACTTGGGAGGGGGTGGGGGAAACCAAAAGAGCGAGGGAGAGGCGGGGGGGGGGAAGAGAGAGAGAGAGGGAAAGAGAGAGAGAGACAGAGAGAGGAGAGAGAGAGAGAGAGACAGAGAGAGAGACAGAGAGACAGAGACAGACACAGAGAGACGGAGAGACAGAGAGAGAGAGAGAGAGAAAGAGAGAGAGAGAGAGACAGGAGAAAGAAGAACTCCGGGTGGGTCCCATTCCTTTAAAAGGTCGCCACCCACTCGACTGCCAAGCTGAGATCCTAAGGACCTCCCCAAAGGAGGAGGTCGTGGCCTTCCCAAAGCGCAGTAGCCACGGTGGAAACGAAAGCGTGCCGCATAAGCCTACCGTCTACCGCCCGCACATCAGGAACCTCAAGGTACTTCAGGGAAGCAGTTAAGTCAAGCCGGCGCGTCACAGGCACTCGGCGTGCAAGCCGCCCCGCAGGTGCTACCGTCTCTTACCTCCCTCTACTTTTAGGAAACACGTTGTATCCCCGGAGGGGGTGCACCGTTCCTGGAGGTACTGCAATACCAGGTCGATGCGTGGAGTGGACGGAGCAAGCTCCTATTCCATCTCCCTGCTCCAAAAATCCATTTAATATATTGTCCTCGGATAGAGGACGTATCAGATATTAAACTGATAAGAACAGATACTACACTTGATCTTAGCCAAAAGGCCGAGAAGCGATGCGCTCGCCTTCGCGCCCGCCGTCACCGTCCCACTCTCATCCACATTCAAGTCGCGGTGAGAGCCCCAGCCTCGCTCCTTGCCCCATTCCCTCTGTCTCGTCCACAGCGCTATTGACGCCCTTACACTCTCGGGCTGATTTCTTATTCTCCGCCTTTGAAAAGGGAAATCTTACACCCGTGCTTCTTCCGGCGTTCCCGGGCTTTCATTTCCAATTTGCATGCCCCCGCCCCTTTCACAGAGGGCGTGGCCTCCGCCGTTGACTCCGCCCCCCGGGGCCGCCTTCTGCCTGGGGGAGCCGGGGCTCCGCTGGGGGCGACTTCCTTGTTCGTATCGAGCCCAGCGAAAAGACAGAACCGGAAGAGACCGGGGGCGAAGGCGACAGGGGTCTGTGGAAGAGACCTGTCGGCGGAGAGCGGTCCACGTTTTCCTGGAGAAAGACGAGGCCCCAGGGCAGGAGCGCGGGCTGCGCTGGGCCTTTACTTCGCCGCCCGCGGGCGGGGAGACCGGCCCCGTACCCGAGGGGACGAGGGGACGAGGGGCCCATGCCCAGTCAGGGAAGCCGAAGGCCTGGAGGGGCTTCCGGGAGCAGGGGCTGGAGTTCCTCTGCCAGGCAGGAGGCTGGCACCAGACACCCGGCAGAGGGAGGCGGCGAGGGCCCAGCAAGGATTCTCCCCAGCCCCTGTGCCTGCGTCTCCTGCGGCTTCTGTGCGCGGACCGTGTCCTGTGCTGTGTAGGGAACGCTGCCTCTCTGCTCGGGACGTGGATTCCTTTCCCCTCCTCCTCGCCCGGCTACTTCTGACGCAGGTCGTCAGGACTCCGCTTGGGTGTCACCCGTGCAGGAAGCCTCCCTTAGTCAAGGGCCCTCGGCACCCGCCCCATATGTGACTAGCAGCCCTCCTGTGTATTTCATCGCGCCCCCGTTGTTTATATCAGCCATTCCACTCACCACCCTTCTGGGCAACCCTTTATCTCCCGCTCTGAAATCCCATCGCTGAGGGCTGGGACCCCTCCTCAGTGCTTATCCCTGTTTCCCCGCGCGAGTCTGGCGCCTGGCGTGTGGAAGGCGCTCAGTAAACGTTTGTGGAGCGAAGAAACGACGCAAAGGTGATGAGCACGACGCAGTTAGGAGGCTATTGGCCCGGCGCGGGGGAAAAGGGGGAAGGTCGGGCTCGGGGTGGCAGGACCCCAGAGGGCAGGGGTGGCTGCCGGGGTGCTCTTGGGGCAAGGTGGGCGTCAAGGCCCCCAGCAAGGTTGGGATAAAGTTCCTCTCCGAGGCACAGACTGCCGCCTGCGGGCTCAGCATTTACCTCTCCCTTCCTCCTTCCTAACGCAACTTCAGCGGAGGGCTGAGGGCTCTACTGCGCATTACCTGGAAAACTTATTTCACTCCACGGCCCTAAGAGGTGGGCCTTATTATTAGCCACGGCCAGGGTTAGGGTGAGGCCACTCCTCCAGGGCAGAATTTCAGGGGGTGCCCACCCCCCCGCCCTAAATCATTCAGCAATCAACATAAATTATAGTTCAACGCAATGTATCTTATCTTGTGGGCCGCAAGCCACCCAGGTGCCCAGGCAAGAGCCTGAAGGCACAAGCTGTTCCAGTACAGCGAAGAAAATAATTAGAATAAGAAAAGTTTTACTAGAGATAGGAAACGGATAGGATTATATCTGACTATTATTAATCATTAGTTTGTAGCATCACTCTTTGTTCTATTACCATAATGATCTCTGTTCTATTATGATTACCTTGGGGGAAACCAGGCCACACAGAGTTAGGAGCTGAAGGGCCACAGTGAGAGGTGACCAGAAGACGAGAGTGTGAGCCCTCATTCACGCCCAGAGAAGGGCCGCTGGAGGGCTCCTTGGCCTAGCGGTAATGCCAGTGCCTGGGAAGGCCCTGGTTACTTAGCAGGCCTTGGTCTAGCGGTGGCCCCAGTGCCTGGGAAGGCACCCGTTACTTAGCAGACCCGGAAAGGGAATCTCCCTCTCTCCAGGGGAGACAGAGAACGCTCCGCTCCACCACCTCTTGTGGGAGGTCTGACATTAGCCAGGCCGGCCCGCAGTCATCCGGAGGCTCCAACGTCTGTCTCCCTGTGATGCTGTGCTTCAGTGGTCACGCTCCTTGTTCACTTTCATGTTCAGCCTGTACACCTGGCTCCTCCTTTTAAGTTCTTAGAAGACAGCAGTAGCAGAACTAGTAGGAGTACCACAGTCTTCGATCTTTCTGATAAGTGCATAGAAGAAACGCTGACGTTTGCTGTCCTCCCTCTCCACCTCGGCTACCACAAAGGGAAAGGCCCCCTGTCCAGTGCACACGTGACTCGCGTGACCTATCGATCATTGGAGATGACTGGCACTCCTTACCCTGCCCCCTTGCCTTGACTACAATAAATAGCAGCGCTCCAGGCACTCGGGGCACTACCTGTCTGTCTCCGCGCTTTGGTGGCAGTGGTCCCCCGGGCCCAGCTGTCTTTCTTCCTATCTCTTTGTCTTCTGTCTTTATCTCTTCGATCTCTCGTCTCCGCACACACGCGAAGAGAAAACCCACAGACCCGGTAGGGGTGGACCCTACATTATCTCAGCTACAACATAATCAGGATATTCACGTGGACTACTGAGTCTTTCGGTGCCCCCTTGCTGTTTTAGTTTTGTCCTGCGGCCGAGTGTTTCCCTCGCTTCACGCCAACACAATCTCCGCCGCCCTGTCTTGTCATCCCCATTCTACAGCCCAGCACGGTGTAGTATGGCAGCCGCTAGCCACAGGTATCTAGGGAGCCCTGGAAATGTGGTCAGTTCTAATGGAGCTGTGCTGTAAGTGTGAAATACACGTGGGATTTTGACGGCAGTGGGAGCAAAATTCTCCCAATTTTTTTTTTTTTTTTTTTTTTTCAGACGGAGGTTCCGCTCTTGTTACCCAGCCTGGAGTCCAGTGGCGCGATCTAGGCTCTCTGCAACCTCCGCCTCCCGGGTTCAAGCGATTCCCCTTAGATACAGGGATGAGACCCAAAAGAGCCGGCAGAGGTTTTTCATCGTGCTCGCAAGGGCAACTGCCCGGTGGCTGATCCCGTAAAGGATACACATACCTAGAGCGGAGCCTAAAGATGCATCCAGCATGACGGGTGGAGCCACGATGCTTGGACTCGAGCTCTGCTCCTGTGCGTTCCGTGATCAATGGCTTATACTACCTGCACCTCAGTTTTTCCCGGGCAAAAAAGGAAGCTTGCTGCCGGTGCGTTGGCACCTGCCTTAAAGTGCCAGCTACTCAGCGGGCTGAAGAGGAAGAAGTTCCTACTAGGAAGACACGTGGACACGTATGTTTACTGCAGCACTATTTACAATAGCAAAGACTTGGAACCAACTCGAATGCCCATGAATGATAGGCTGGATAAAGAAAGTGTGGCACGTATACAGCATGGAATTACTACGCAGCCATAAAAAAGGATGAGTTCATGACCTCTGCGGGAACGTGGATGAAGCTGGAAGGCCTCATTCTCAGCAAACTGACACAGGAAGCGAAAACCAAACACCGCATGTTCTCGCTCCTAAGTGGGAGTTGAACAGCGAGAACACATGGGACACAGGGAGGGGAACATCACACGCCGGGCCCTGACGGGGCGTGGGGGGCAAGGGGAGAGAGAGCATTAGGACAAATAGCCAACGCATGCGGGGCTTCAAACCTAGACGACTGGTGGATAGGTGCAGCAAAGCACCGTGGCACACGTGTACCTATGTTCCAAACCTGCACGTCCTGCACATGTACCCCAGAACTTGGGAGGGGGTGGGGGAAACCAAAAGAGCGAGGGAGAGGCGGGGGGGGGGGAAGAGAGAGAGAGAGGGAAAGAGAGAGAGAGACAGAGAGAGGAGAGAGAGAGAGAGAGAGAGAGAGAGACAGAGAGAGAGACAGAGAGACAGAGACAGACACAGAGAGACGGAGAGACAGAGAGAGAGAGAGAGAAAGAGAGAGAGAGAGAGAGAGAGAGAGAGAGAGACAGGAGAAAGAAGAACTCCGGGTGGGTCCCATTCCTTTAAAAGGTCGCCACCCACTCGACTGCCAAGCTGAGATCCTAAGGACCTCCCCAAAGGAGGAGGTCGTGGCCTTCCCAAAGCGCAGTAGCCACGGTGGAAACGACAGCGTGCCGCATAAGCCTACCGTCTACCGCCCGCACATCAGGAACCTCAAGGTACTTCAGGGAAGCAGTTAAGTCAAGCCGGCGCGTCACAGGCACTCGGCGTGCAAGCCGCCCCGCAGGTGCTACCGTCTCTTACCTCCCTCTACTTTTAGGAAACACGTTGTATCCCCGGAGGGGGTGCACCGTTCCTGGAGGTACTGCAATACCAGGTCGATGCGTGGAGTGGACGGAGCAAGCTCCTATTCCATCTCCCTGCTCCAAAAATCCATTTAATATATTGTCCTCGGATAGAGGACGTATCAGATATTAAACTGATAAGAACAGATACTACACTTGATCTTAGCCAAAAGGCCGAGAAGCGATGCGCTCGCCTTCGCGCCCGCCGTCACCGTCCCACTCTCATCCACATTCAAGTCGCGGTGAGAGCCCCAGCCTCGCTCCTTGCCCCATTCCCTCTGTCTCGTCCACAGCGCTATTGACGCCCTTACACTCTCGGGCTGATTTCTTATTCTCCGCCTTTGAAAAGGGAAATCTTACACCCGTGCTTCTTCCGGCGTTCCCGGGCTTTCATTTCGAATTTGCATGCCCCGCCCTTTCACAGAGGGCGTGGCCTCCGCCGTTGACTCCGCCCCCGGGGCCGCCTCTGCCTGGGGGAGCCGGGGCTCCGCTGGGGGCGACTTCCTTGTTCGTATCGAGCCAGCGAAAAGACAGAACCGGAAGAGACCGGGGGCGAAGGCGACAGGGGTCTGTGGAAGAGACCTGTCGGCGGAGAGCGGTCCACGTTTTCCTGGAGAAAGACGAGGCCCCAGGGCAGGAGCGCGGGCTGCGCTGGGCCTTTACTTCGCCGCCCGCGGGCGGGGAGACCGGCCCCGTACCCGAGGGGACGAGGGGACGAGGGGCCCATGCCCAGTCAGGGAAGCCGAAGGCCTGGAGGGGCTTCCGGGAGCAGGGGCTGGAGTTCCTCTGCCAGGCAGGAGGCTGGCACCAGACACCCGGCAGAGGGAGGCGGCGAGGGCCCAGCAAGGATTCTCCCCAGCCCCTGTGCCTGCGTCTCCTGCGGCTTCTGTGCGCGGACCGTGTCCTGTGCTGTGTAGGGAACGCTGCCTCTCTGCTCGGGACGTGGATTCCTTTCCCCTCCTCCTCGCCTGGCTACTTCTGACGCAGGTCGTCAGGACTCCGCTTGGGTGTCACCCGTGCAGGAAGCCTCCCTTAGTCAAGGGCCCTCGGCACCCGCCCCATATGTGACTAGCAGCCCTCCTGTGTATTTCATCGCGCCCCCGTTGTTTATATCAGCCATTCCACTCACCACCCTTCTGGGCAACCCTTTATCTCCCGCTCTGAAATCCCATCGCTGAGGGCTGGGACCCCTCCTCAGTGCTTATCCCTGTTTCCCCGCGCGAGTCTGGCGCCTGGCGTGTGGAAGGCGCTCAGTAAACGTTTGTGGAGCGAAGAAACGACGCAAAGGTGATGAGCACGACGCAGTTAGGAGGCTATTGGCCCGGCGCGGGGGAAAAAGGGGAAGGTCGGGCTCGGGGTGGCAGGACCCCAGAGGGCAGGGGTGGCTGCCGGGGTGCTCTTGGGGCAAGGTGGGCGTCAAGGCCCCCAGCAAGGTTGGGATAAAGTTTCTCTCCGAGGCACAGACTGCCGCCTGCGGGCTCAGCATTTACCTCTCCCTTCCTCCTTCCTAACGCAACTTCAGCGGAGGGCTGAGGGCTCTACTGCGCATTACCTGGAAAACTTATTTCACTCCACGGCCCTAAGAGGTGGGCCTTATTATTAGCCACGGCCAGGGTTAGGGTGAGGCCACTCCTCCAGGGCAGAATTTCAGGGGGTGCCCAACCCCCCGCCCTAAATCATTCAGCAATCAACATAAATTATAGTTCAACGCAATGTATCTTATCTTGTGGGCCGCAAGCCACCCAGGTGCCCAGGCAAGAGCCTGAAGGCACAAGCTGTTCCAGTACAGCGAAGAAAATAATTAGAATAAGAAAAGTTTTACTAGAGATAGGAAACGGATAGGATTATATCTGACTATTATTAATCATTAGTTTGTAGCATCACTCTTTGTTCTATTACCATAATGATCTCTGTTCTATTATGATTACCTTGGGGAAACCAGGCCACACAGAGTTAGGAGCTGAAGGGCCACAGTGAGAGGTGACCAGAAGACGAGAGTGTGAGCCCTCATTCACGCCCAGAGAAGGGCCGCTGGAGGCTCCTTGGCTAGCGGTAATGCCAGTGCCTGGGAAGGCCCTGGTTACTTAGCAGGCCTTGGTCTAGCGGTGGCCCAGTGCCTGGGAAGGCACCCGTTACTTAGCAGACCCGGAAAGGGAATCTCCCTCTCTCCAGGGGAGACAGAGTCAGACGCTCCACCACCTCTTGTGGGAGGTCTGACATTAGCCAGGCCGGCCCGCAGTCATCCGGAGGCTCCAACGTCTGTCTCCCTGTGATGCTGTGCTTCAGTGGTCACGCTCCTTGTTCACTTTCATGTTCAGCCTGTACACCTGGCTCCTCCTTTTAAGTTCTTAGAAGACAGCAGTAGCAGAACTAGTAGGAGTACCACAGTCTTCGATCTTTCTGATAAGTGCATAGAAGAAACGCTGACGTTTGCTGTCCTCCCTCTCCACCTCGGCTACCACAAAGGGAAAGGCCCCCTGTCCAGTGCACACGTGACTCGCGTGACCTATCGATCATTGGAGATGACTGGCACTCCTTACCCTGCCCCCTTGCCTTGACTACAATAAATAGCAGCGCCTCCAGGCACTCGGGGCCACTACCTGTCTGTCTCCGCGCTTTGGTGGCAGTGGTCCCCCGGGCCCAGCTGTCTTTCTTCCTATCTCTTTGTCTTCTGTCTTTATCTCTTCGATCTCTCGTCTCCGCACACACGCGAAGAGAAAACCCACAGACCCGGTAGGGGTGGACCCTACATTATCTCAGCTACAACATAATCAGGATATTCACGTGGACTACTGAGTCTTTCGGTGCCCCCTTGCTGTTTTAGTTTTGTCCTGCGGCCGAGTGTTTCCCTCGCTTCACGCCAACACAATCTCCGCCGCCCTGTCTTGTCATCCCCATTCTACAGCCCAGCACGGTGTAGTATGGCAGCCGCTAGCCACAGGTATCTAGGGAGCCCTGGAAATGTGGTCAGTTCTAATGGAGCTGCGCTGTTAAGTGTGAAATACACGTGGGATTTTGACGGCAGTGGGAGCAAAATTCTCCCAATTTTTTTTTTTTTTTTTTTTTTTTTCAGACGGAGGTTCCGCTCTTGTTACCCAGCCTGGAGTCCAATGGCGCGATCTAGGCTCTCTGCAACCTCCGCCTCCCGGGTTCAAGCGATTCCCCTGCCTCAGCCTCCCGAGCAGCTGGGACTACAGGCATGTGCCACCACGCCCGGCTAACTTTGTATTTTTAGTACAGATGGGGTTTCTCCACGTTGCTCAGGCTGGTCTCCAACTCCCGACCTCCGGTGATCTGCCCAGCTGCCGCCTCCCAAAGTGTTGCTTGCGATTACAGGCTTGAGCCACCGCTCACCCTGGCTTTTTTTTTTTTTTTTCCAGACAAACTCTCGCTCTGTCGCCCAGGCTGGAGTGCAGTGGCGCGATCTCGGCTCACTGCAGCCTCTACCTCCCGGGTTCCAGCGATTCTCCTGCCTCAGCCTCCTGGGTAGCTGGGATTACAGGCGCAGGCCACCACGCCCGGCTAATTTTTGTATTTTTAGGGGGTTTCGCCATGTCGGCCAGGCTGGTCTCGAGCTCCTGACCTCAGGCGATCCGCCCGCCTCGGCCTCCCAAAGCGCTGGGATTACAGGCGTAAGCCACCGCGCCGGGCTCTTTCATTCTGTCTTTATTTTCTGAGATAGAGTCCTGCTCGGACGCTCAGGTTGGACTGCAACGGCGTGATCTCGGCTCGCTGAAACTTCCGCCTCCCGGGTTCAAGCGATTCTCCTGTCTCAGCCTCCCGAGTAGCTGGGATTATTGACGGCAGCACCACGCCCGGCTACTTTTTGTGGTTTTTGTATCTTCTGTCTTCTGCTCTTTAGTACCGCATAGAGCCGCAGAAGACTAGCGAGTCGAACAAACGGCCCCTCTTGCAGCAGTTGTTGATCACGGGCTGCCCCCCGGTACTCATCCTGTGTCTCTCGTCCAAATCCCCGCTCCTCCTCAGCTATCACCTCTGCCGATGCTGGTGGTTTCCCTGGGTACCGGGAACCAAACTCTCATTCCCCAGCGCTAAGCCCCCCGTGCCAGGCCCTTCTCAAGTCAGGGTTCCTGCACATTCACAGTTACGGTGGCCCTGGGAGTAACACCTGGCACCCAAACAGGTCACCAGAGTCCACACATAGTCCACCTGCCCTCCCTGCGTAAGATCAGCTCTTCCTCCTCCCGACGATAGATCAGGGTCAATGATCCCTGCCAAGATGGCGACTGCTCCAGCCTGCTGGTCCAACCTGTCCAGCCACAGCTGTTGCTCGAAGGCTTGAAGTTCAATGGGACCCTCTCCCGCTTTCTACAAACTGGTTCCTTTATTTTTATGTTTATTTATTTGGGACGGGGTCTGGCTCTGTCACCCAAGGCTGGAGTGCAGTGGTGCAATCACTGCTCACTGCAGCATCCACCTCCCAGCGTCCACCCATCCTCCTGGCCTCAGCCTCCGGAACAGCTGGGGTACAGGTACGCCCCAGCCCGAACAGGTTTTCACTAGGTTGCCTGGGCTCTTTCTTTCTTTGTCTGTGTTTGTTTGTTGGTTGGTTGGTTGGTTGGTTGGTTTTTGTTTGTTTGTTTCGAGACGGGGCTCCGGCTCTGCCGCCGGGGGCTGCAGTGCAATGGCGCGATCTCACCTCACTGCGGCCTTCTGGGCTCAAGCGATCCTCCCACTGTGCCCGGCCTGAAGACAGCCTTTAGAGAAAGAAGCAGGGGGAGTTCTTCCGAGGACAGACAAGATTTCTGGAGTTTGGAAAGGGTGAGAGACTGGGTCAGCGAAAGGAACATTCCGGTCTTTATGTTGGGATGCAACGTATAGATACAGGGATGAGACCCAAAAGAGCCGGCAGAGGTTTGTCATCGTGCTCGCAAGGCAACTGCCGGTGGCTGATCCCGTAAAGGATACACATACCTAGAGCGGAGCCTAAAGATGCATCCAGCATGACGGGTGGAGCCACGATGCTTGGACTCGACTCTGCTCCTGTGCGTTCCGTGATCAATGGCTTATACTACCTGCACCTCAGTTTTTCCCGGGCAAAAAAGGAAGCTTGCTGCCGGTGCGTTGGCACCTGCCTTAAAGTGCCAGCTACTCAGCGGGCTGAAGAGGAAGAAGTTCCTACTAGGAAGACACGTGGACACGTATGTTTACTGCAGCACTATTTACAATAGCAAAGACTTGGAACCAACTCGAATGCCCATGAATGATAGGCTGGATAAAGAAAGTGTGGCACGTATACAGCATGGAATTACTACGCAGCCATAAAAAAGGATGAGTTCATGACCTCTGCGGGAACGTGGATGAAGCTGGAAGGCCTCATTCTCAGCAAACTGACACAGGAAGCGAAAACCAAACACCGCATGTTCTCGCTCCTAAGTGGGAGTTGAACAGCGAGAACACATGGGACACAGGGAGGGGAACATCACACGCCGGGCCCTGACGGGGCGTGGGGGGCAAGGGGAGAGAGAGCATTAGGACAAATAGCCAACGCATGCGGGGCTTCAAACCTAGACGACTGGTGGATAGGTGCAGCAAAGCACCGTGGCACACGTGTACCTATGTTCCAAACCTGCACGTCCTGCACATGTACCCCAGAACTTGGGAGGGGGTGGGGGAAACCAAAAGAGCGAGGGAGAGGCGGGGGGGGGAAAGAGAGAGAGAGAGGGAAAGAGAGAGAGAGACAGAGAGAGGAGAGAGAGAGTGAGAGAGAGAGAGAGAGAGAGAGAGACAGAGAGAGAGACAGAGAGACAGAGACAGACACAGAGAGACGGAGAGACAGAGAGAGAGAGAGAGAAAGAGAGAGAGAGAGAGAGAGACAGGAGAAAGAAGAACTCCGGGTGGGTCCCATTCCTTTAAAAGGTCGCCACCCACTCGACTGCCAAGCTGAGATCCTAAGGACCTCCCCAAAGGAGGAGGTCGTGGCCTTCCCAAAGCGCAGTAGCCACGGTGGAAACGAAAGCGTGCCACATAAGCCTACCGTCTACCGCCCGCACATCAGGAACCTCACGGTACTTCAGGGAAGCAGTTAAGTCAAGCCGGCGCGTCACAGGCACTCGGCGTGCAAGCCGCCCCGCAGGTGCTACCGTCTCTTACCTCCCTCTACTTTTAGGAAACACGTTGTATCCCCGGAGGGGGTGCACCGTTCCTGGAGGTACTGCAATACCAGGTCGATGCGTGGAGTGGACGGAGCAAGCTCCTATTCCATCTCCCTGCTCCAAAAATCCATTTAATATATTGTCCTCGGATAGAGGACGTATCAGATATTAAACTGATAAGAACAGATACTACACTTGATCTTAGCCAAAAGGCCGAGAAGCGATGCGCTCGCCTTCGCGCCCGCCGTCACCGTCCCACTCTCATCCACATTCAAGTCGCGGTGAGAGCCCCAGCCTCGCTCCTTGCCCCATTCCCTCTGTCTCGTCCACAGCGCTATTGACGCCCTTACACTCTCGGGCTGATTTCTTATTCTCCGCCTTTGAAAAGGGAAATCTTACACCCGTGCTTCTTCCGGCGTTCCCGGGCTTTCATTTCGAATTTGCATGCCCCGCCCTTTCACAGAGGGCGTGGCCTCCGCCGTTGACTCCGCCCCCGGGGCCGCCTCTGCCTGGGGGAGCCGGGGCTCCGCTGGGGGCGACTTCCTTGTTCGTATCGAGCCAGCGAAAAGACAGAACCGGAAGAGACCGGGGGCGAAGGCGACAGGGGTCTGTGGAAGAGACCTGTCGGCGGAGAGCGGTCCACGTTTTCCTGGAGAAAGACGAGGCCCCAGGCAGGAGCGCGGGCTGCGTGGGCCTTTTACTTCGCCGCCCGGGTAAGTAACCGGGCCCCGTACCCGAGGGGACGGGGGAACCCCCAGCAAGCTGGATAAAGTTCTTTCCGAGCACAGACTGGCGCCTGCGGGCTCAGCATTTACCTCTCCCGTCCTTCCCTAACGCAACTTCAGCGGAGGGCTGAGGGGCTCTACTGCGCATTACCTGGAAAACTTATTTCACTCCACGGCCCTAAGAGGTGGGCCTTATTATTAGCCACGGCCAGGGTTAGGGTGAGGCCACTCCTCCAGGGCAGAATTTCAGGGGGTGCCCACCCCCCCGCCCTAAATCATTCAGCAATCAACATAAATTATAGTTCAACGCAATGTATCTTATCTTGTGGGCCGCAAGCCACCCAGGTGCCCAGGCAAGAGCCTGAAGGCACAAGCTGTTCCAGTACAGCGAAGAAAATAATTAGAATAAGAAAAGTTTTACTAGAGATAGGAAACGGATAGGATTATATCTGACTATTATTAATCATTAGTTTGTAGCATCACTCTTTGTTCTATTACCATAATGATCTCTGTTCTATTATGATTACCTTGGGGGAAACCAGGCCACACAGAGTTAGGAGCTGAAGGGCCACAGTGAGAGGTGACCAGAAGACGAGAGTGTGAGCCCTCATTCACGCCCAGAGAAGGGCCGCTGGAGGGCTCCTTGGCCTAGCGGTAATGCCAGTGCCTGGGAAGGCCCTGGTTACTTAGCAGGCCTTGGTCTAGCGGTGGCCCCAGTGCCTGGGAAGGCACCCGTTACTTAGCAGACCCGGAAAGGGAATCTCCCTCTCTCCAGGGGAGACAGAGAACGCTCCGCTCCACCACCTCTTGTGGGAGGTCTGACATTAGCCAGGCCGGCCCGCAGTCATCCGGAGGCTCCAACGTCTGTCTCCCTGTGATGCTGTGCTTCAGTGGTCACGCTCCTTGTTCACTTTCATGTTCAGCCTGTACACCTGGCTCCTCCTTTTAAGTTCTTAGAAGACAGCAGTAGCAGAACTAGTAGGAGTACCACAGTCTTCGATCTTTCTGATAAGTGCATAGAAGAAACGCTGACGTTTGCTGTCCTCCCTCTCCACCTCGGCTACCACAAAGGGAAAGGCCCCCTGTCCAGTGCACACGTGACTCGCGTGACCTATCGATCATTGGAGATGACTGGCACTCCTTACCCTGCCCCCTTGCCTTGACTACAATAAATAGCAGCGCCTCCAGGCACTCGGGGCCACTACCTGTCTGTCTCCGCGCTTTGGTGGCAGTGGTCCCCCGGGCCCAGCTGTCTTTCTTCCTATCTCTTTGTCTTCTGTCTTTATCTCTTCGATCTCTCGTCTCCGCACACACGCGAAGAGAAAACCCACAGACCCGGTAGGGGTGGACCCTACATTATCTCAGCTACAACATAATCAGGATATTCACGTGGACTACTGAGTCTTTCGGTGCCCCCTTGCTGTTTTAGTTTTGTCCTGCGGCCGAGTGTTTCCCTCGCTTCACGCCAACACAATCTCCGCCGCCCTGTCTTGTCATCCCCATTCTACAGCCCAGCACGGTGTAGTATGGCAGCCGCTAGCCACAGGTATCTAGGGAGCCCTGGAAATGTGGTCAGTTCTAATGGAGCTGTGCTGTAAGTGTGAAATACACGTGGGATTTTGACGGCAGTGGGAGCAAAATTCTCCCAATTTTTTTTTTTTTTTTTTTTTTTTTTCAGACGGAGGTTCCGCTCTTGTTACCCAGCCTGGAGTCCAATGGCGCGATCTAGGCTCTCTGCAACCTCCGCCTCCCGGGTTCAAGCGATTCCCCTGCCTCAGCCTCCCGAGCAGCTGGGACTACAGGCATGTGCCACCACGCCCGGCTAACTTTGTATTTTTAGTACAGATGGGGTTTCTCCACGTTGCTCAGGCTGGTCTCCAACTCCCGACCTCCGGTGATCTGCCCAGCTGCCGCCTCCCAAAGTGTTGCTTGCGATTACAGGCTTGAGCCACCGCTCACCCTGGCTTTTTTTTTTTTTTTTCCAGACAAACTCTCGCTCTGTCGCCCAGGCTGGAGTGCAGTGGCGCGATCTCGGCTCACTGCAGCCTCTACCTCCCGGGTTCCAGCGATTCTCCTGCCTCAGCCTCCTGGGTAGCTGGGATTACAGGCGCAGGCCACCACGCCCGGCTAATTTTTGTATTTTTAGGGGGTTTCGCCATGTCGGCCAGGCTGGTCTCGAGCTCCTGACCTCAGGCGATCCGCCCGCCTCGGCCTCCCAAAGCGCTGGGATTACAGGCGTAAGCCACCGCGCCGGGCTCTTTCATTCTGTCTTTATTTTCTGAGATAGAGTCTCGCTCGGACGCTCAGGTTGGACTGCAACGGCGTGATCTCGGCTCGCTGAAACTTCCGCCTCCCGGGTTCAAGCGATTCTCCTGTCTCAGCCTCCCGAGTAGCTGGGATTATTGACGGGCAGCACCACGCCCGGCTACTTTTTGTGGTTTTTGTATCTTCTGTCTTCTGCTCTTTAGTACCGCATAGAGCCGCAGAAGACTAGCGAGTCGAACAAACGGCCCCTCTTGCAGCAGTTGTTGATCACGGGGCTGCCCCCCGGTACTCATCCTGTGTCTCTCGTCCAAATCCCCGCTCCTCCTCAGCTATCACCTCTGCCGATGCTGGTGGTTTCCCTGGGTACCGGGAACCAAACTCTCATTCCCCAGGGGCCCTAAGCCCCCCCGTGGCCAGGCCCTTCTCAAGTCAGGGTTCCTGCACATTCACAGTTACGGGTGGCCCTGGGAGTAACACCTGGCACCCAAACAGGTCACCAGAGTCCACACATAGTCCACCTGCCCTCCCTGCGTAAGATCAGCTCTTCCTCCTCCCGACGATAGATCAGGGTCAATGATCCCTGCCAAGATGGCGACTGCTCCAGCCTGCTGGTCCAACCTGTCCAGCCACAGCTGTTGCTCGAAGGCTTGAAGTTCAATGGGACCCTCTCCCGCTTTCTACAAACTGGTTCCTTTATTTTTATGTTTATTTATTTGGGACGGGGTCTGGCTCTGTCACCCAGGCTGGAGTGCAGTGGTGCAATCACTGCTCACAGCAGCATCCACCTCCCAGCGTCCACCCATCCTCCTGGCCTCAGCTCCGGAACAGCTGGGGTACAGGTACGAGTAGCATACTAGTAGGAGTACCACAGTCTTCGATCTTTCTGATAAGTTGTTTCAGCTTGCGCTGACGTTTGCTGTCCTCCCTCTCCACCTCGGCTACCACAAAGGGAAAGGCCCCCTGTCCAGTGCACACGTGACTCGCGTGACCTATCGATCATTGGAGATGACTGGCACTCCTTACCCTGCCCCCTTGCCTTGACTACAATAAATAGCAGCGCCTCCAGGCACTCGGGGCCACTACCTGTCTGTCTCCGCGCTTTGGTGGCAGTGGTCCCCCGGGCCCAGCTGTCTTTCTTCCTATCTCTTTGTCTTCTGTCTTTATCTCTTCGATCTCTCGTCTCCGCACACACGCGAAGAGAAAACCCACAGACCCGGTAGGGGTGGACCCTACATTATCTCAGCTACAACATAATCAGGATATTCACGTGGACTACTGAGTCTTTCGGTGCCCCCTTGCTGTTTTAGTTTTGTCCTGCGGCCGAGTGTTTCCCTCGCTTCACGCCAACACAATCTCCGCCGCCCTGTCTTGTCATCCCCATTCTACAGCCCAGCACGGTGTAGTATGGCAGCCGCTAGCCACAGGTATCTAGGGAGCCCTGGAAATGTGGTCAGTTCTAATGGAGCTGTGCTGTAAGTGTGAAATACACGTGGGATTTTGACGGCAGTGGGAGCAAAATTCTCCCAATTTTTTTTTTTTTTTTTTTTTTTCAGACGGAGGTTCCGCTCTTGTTACCCAGCCTGGAGTCCAGTGGCGCGATCTAGGCTCTCTGCAACCTCCGCCTCCCGGGTTCAAGCGATTCCCCTGCCTCAGCCTCCCGAGCAGCTGGGACTACAGGCATGTGCCACCACGCCCGGCTAACTTTGTATTTTTAGTACAGATGGGGTTTCTCCACGTTGCTCAGGCTGGTCTCCAACTCCCGACCTCCGGTGATCTGCCCAGCTGCCGCCTCCCAAAGTGTTGCTTGCGATTACAGGCTTGAGCCACCGCTCACCCTGGCTTTTTTTTTTTTTTTTTCCAGACAAACTCTCGCTCTGTCGCCCAGGCTGGAGTGCAGTGGCGCGATCTCGGCTCACTGCAGCCTCTACCTCCCGGGTTCCAGCGATTCTCCTGCCTCAGCCTCCTGGGTAGCTGGGATTACAGGCGCAGGCCACCACGCCCGGCTAATTTTTGTATTTTTAGGGGGTTTCGCCATGTCGGCCAGGCTGGTCTCGAGCTCCTGACCTCAGGCGATCCGCCCGCCTCGGCCTCCCAAAGCGCTGGGATTACAGGCGTAAGCCACCGCGCCGGGCTCTTTCATTCTGTCTTTATTTTCTGAGATAGAGTCTCGCTCGGACGCTCAGGTTGGACTGCAACGGCGTGATCTCGGCTCGCTGAAACTTCCGCCTCCCGGGTTCAAGCGATTCTCCTGTCTCAGCCTCCCGAGTAGCTGGGATTATTGACGGGCAGCACCACGCCCGGCTACTTTTTGTGGTTTTTGTATCTTCTGTCTTCTGCTCTTTACTACCGCATAGAGCCGCATAAGACCCCCCAGCAAGGTGGGATAAAGTTTTCTCCGAGGCACAGATCTGGCCCTGCGGGCTCAGCATTTACCTCTCCCTTCCTCCTTCCAACGCAACTTCAGCGGAGGGCTGAGGGCTCTACTGCGCATTACCTGGAAAACTTATTTCACTCCACGCCCTAAGAGGTGGCCTTATTATTACCACGGCCAGGGTTAGGGTGAGGCCACTCCTCCAGGGCAGAATTTCAGGGGTGCCACCCCCCCGCCCTAAATCATTCAGCAATCAACATAAATTATAGTTCAACGCAATGTATCTTATCTTGTGGCCGCAAGCCACCCAGGTGCCCAGCAAGACCTGAAGGCACAAGCTGTTCCAGTACAGCGAAGAAAATAATTAGAATAAGAAAAGTTTTACTAGAGATAGGAAAACGGATAGGATTATATCTGACTATTATTAATCATTAGTTTGTAGCATCACTCTTTGTTCTATTACCATAATGATCTCTGTTCTATTATGATTACCTTGGGGGAAACCAGGCCACACAGAGTTAGGAGCTGAAGGGCCACAGTGAGAGGTGACCAGAAGACGAGAGTGTGAGCCCTCATTCACGCCCAGAGAAGGGCCGCTGGAGGGCTCCTTGGCCTAGCGGTAATGCCAGTGCCTGGGAAGGCCCTGGTTACTTAGCAGGCCTTGGTCTAGCGTGGCCCCAGTGCCTGGGAAGGCACCCGTTACTTAGCAGACCCGGAAAGGGAATCTCCCTCTCTCCAGGGGAGACAGAGAACGCTCCGCTCCACCACCTCTTGTGGGAGGTCTGACATTAGCCAGGCCGGCCCGCAGTCATCCGGAGGCTCCAACGTCTGTCTCCCTGTGATGCTGTGCTTCAGTGGTCACGCTCCTTGTTCACTTTCATGTTCAGCCTGTACACCTGGCTCCTCCTTTTAAGTTCTTAGAAGACAGCAGTAGCAGAACTAGTAGGAGTACCACAGTCTTCGATCTTTCTGATAAGTGCATAGAAGAAACGCTGACGTTTGCTGTCCTCCCTCTCCACCTCGGCTACCACAAAGGGAAAGGCCCCCTGTCCAGTGGACACGTGACTCGCGTGACCTATCGATCATTGGAGATGACTGGCACTCCTTACCCTGCCCCCTTGCCTTGACTACAATAAATAGCAGCGCCTCCAGGCACTCGGGGCCACTACCTGTCTGTCTCCGCGCTTTGGTGGCAGTGGTCCCCCGGGCCCAGCTGTCTTTCTTCCTATCTCTTTGTCTTCTGTCTTTATCTCTTCGATCTCTCGTCTCCGCACACACGCGAAGAGAAAACCCACAGACCCGGTAGGGGTGGACCCTACATTATCTCAGCTACAACATAATCAGGATATTCACGTGGACTACTGAGTCTTTCGGTGCCCCCTTGCTGTTTTAGTTTTGTCCTGCGGCCGAGTGTTTCCCTCGCTTCACGCCAACACAATCTCCGCCGCCCTGTCTTGTCATCCCCATTCTACAGCCCAGCACGGTGTAGTATGGCAGCCGCTAGCCACAGGTATCTAGGGAGCCCTGGAAATGTGGTCAGTTCTAATGGAGCTGTGCTGTAAGTGTGAAATACACGTGGGATTTTGACGGCAGTGGGAGCAAAATTCTCCCAATTTTTTTTTTTTTTTTTTTTTTTCAGACGGAGGTTCCGCTCTTGTTACCCAGCCTGGAGTCCAATGGCGCGATCTAGGCTCTCTGCAACCTCCGCCTCCCGGGTTCAAGCGATTCCCCTGCCTCAGCCTCCCGAGCAGCTGGGACTACAGGCATGTGCCACCACGCCCGGCTAACTTTGTATTTTTAGTACAGATGGGGTTTCTCCACGTTGCTCAGGCTGGTCTCCAACTCCCGACCTCCGGTGATCTGCCCAGCTGCCGCCTCCCAAAGTGTTGCTTGCGATTACAGGCTTGAGCCACCGCTCACCCTGGCTTTTTTTTTTTTTTTTCCAGACGGAGGTTCCGCTCTTGTTACCCAGCCTGGAGTCCAGTGGCGCGATCTAGGCTCTCTGCAACCTCCGCCTCCCGGGTTCAAGCGATTCCCCTGCCTCAGCCTCCCGAGCAGCTGGGACTACAGGCATGTGCCACCACGCCCGGCTAACTTTGTATTTTTAGTACAGATGGGGTTTCTCCACGTTGCTCAGGCTGGTCTCCAACTCCCGACCTCCGGTGATCTGCCCAGCTGCCGCCTCCCAAAGTGTTGCTTGCGATTACAGGCTTGAGCCACCGCTCACCCTGGCTTTTTTTTTTTTTTTTTCCAGACAAACTCTCGCTCTGTCGCCCAGGCTGGAGTGCAGTGGCGCGATCTCGGCTCACTGCAGCCTCTACCTCCCGGGTTCCAGCGATTCTCCTGCCTCAGCCTCCTGGGTAGCTGGGATTACAGGCGCAGGCCACCACGCCCGGCTAATTTTTGTATTTTTAGGGGGTTTCGCCATGTCGGCCAGGCTGGTCTCGAGCTCCTGACCTCAGGCGATCCGCCCGCCTCGGCCTCCCAAAGCGCTGGGATTACAGGCGTAAGCCACCGCGCCGGGCTCTTTCATTCTGTCTTTATTTTCTGAGATAGAGTCTCGCTCGGACGCTCAGGTTGGACTGCAACGGCGTGATCTCGGCTCGCTGAAACTTCCGCCTCCCGGGTTCAAGCGATTCTCCTGTCTCAGCCTCCCGAGTAGCTGGGATTATTGACGGGCAGCACGATCATTGGAGATGACTGGCATACCTTACCTGCCCCCTTGCCTTGACTACAATAAATAGCAGCCCTCCAGGCACTCGGGGCACTACCTGTCTGTCTCCGCGCTTTGGTGGCAGTGGTCCCCCGGGCCCAGCTGTCTTTCTTCCTATCTCTTTGTCTTCTGTCTTTATCTCTTCGATCTCTCGTCTCCGCACACACGCGAAGAGAAAACCCACAGACCCGGTAGGGTGGACCCTACATTATCTCAGCTACAACATAATCAGGATATTCACGTGGACTACTGAGTCTTTCGGTGCCCCCTTGCTGTTTTAGTTTTGTCCTGCGGCCGAGTGTTTCCCTCGCTTCACGCCAACACAATCTCCGCCGCCCTGTCTTGTCATCCCCATTCTACAGCCCAGCACGGTGTAGTATGGCAGCCGCTAGCCACAGGTATCTAGGGAGCCCTGGAAATGTGGTCAGTTCTAATGGAGCTGTGCTGTAAGTGTGAAATACACGTGGGATTTTGACGGCAGTGGGAGCAAAATTCTCCCAATTTTTTTTTTTTTTTTTTTTTTTTCAGACGGAGGTTCCGCTCTTGTTACCCAGCCTGGAGTCCAATGGCGCGATCTAGGCTCTCTGCAACCTCCGCCTCCCGGGTTCAAGCGATTCCCCTGCCTCAGCCTCCCGAGCAGCTGGGACTACAGGCATGTGCCACCACGCCCGGCTAACTTTGTATTTTTAGTACAGATGGGGTTTCTCCACGTTGCTCAGGCTGGTCTCCAACTCCCGACCTCCGGTGATCTGCCCAGCTGCCGCCTCCCAAAGTGTTGCTTTCGATTACAGGCTTGAGCCACCGCTCACCCTGGCTTTTTTTTTTTTTTTTTCCAGACAAACTCTCGCTCTGTCGCCCAGGCTGGAGTGCAGTGGCGCGATCTCGGCTCACTGCAGCCTCTACCTCCCGGGTTCCAGCGATTCTCCTGCCTCAGCCTCCTGGGTAGCTGGGATTACAGGCGCAGGCCACCACGCCCGGCTAATTTTTGTATTTTTAGGGGGTTTCGCCATGTCGGCCAGGCTGGTCTCGAGCTCCTGACCTCAGGCGATCCGCCCGCCTCGGCCTCCCAAAGCGCTGGGATTACAGGCGTAAGCCACCGCGCCGGGCTCTTTCATTCTGTCTTTATTTTCTGAGATAGAGTCTCGCTCGGACGCTCAGGTTGGACTGCAACGGCGTGATCTCGGCTCGCTGAAACTTCCGCCTCCCGGGTTCAAGCGATTCTCCTGTCTCAGCCTCCCGAGTAGCTGGGATTATTGACGGGCAGCACCACGCCCGGCTACTTTTTGTGGTTTTTGTATCTTCTGTCTTCTGCTCTTTAGTACCGCATAGAGCCGCAGAAGACTAGCGAGTCGAACAAACGGCCCCTCTTGCAGCAGTTGTTGATCACGGGGCTGCCCCCCGGTACTCATCCTGTGTCTCTCGTCCAAATCCCCGCTCCTCCTCAGCTATCACCTCTGCCGATGCTGGTGGTTTCCCTGGGTACCGGGAACCAAAACTCTCATTCCCCAGGGGCCTAAAGCCCCCCCGTGGCCAGGCCCCCTGTGGAAGGCGCTCAGTAAACGTTTGTGGAGCGAAGAAACGACGCAAAGGTGATGAGCACGACGCAGTTAGGAGGCTATTGGCCCGGCGCGGGGGAAAAAGGGGAAGGTCGGGCTCGGGGTGGCAGGACCCCAGAGGCATGGGGTGGCTGCAGGGGTGCTCTTGGGGCAAGGTGGGCGTCAAGGCCCCAGCAAGGTTGGGATAAAGTTTCTCTCCGAGGCACAGACTGCCGCCTGGGCTCAGCATTTACCTCTCCCTTCCTCCTTCCTAACGCAACTTCAGCGGAGGGCTGAGGGCTCTACTGCGCATTACCTGGAAAACTTATTTCACTCCACGGCCCTAAGAGGTGGGCCTTATTATTAGCCATGCCAGGGTTAGGGTGAGGCACTCCTCCAGGGCAGAATTTCAGGGGGTGCCAACCCGCGCCCTAAATCATTCAGCAATCAACATAAATTATAGTTCAACGCAATGTATCTTATCTTGTGGGCCGCAAGCCACCCAGGTGCCCAGGCAAGAGCTGAAGGACAAGCTGTTCCAGTACAGCGAAGAAAATAATTAGAATAAGAAAAGTTTTACTAGAGATAGGAAACGGATAGGATTATATCTGACTATTATTAATCATTAGTTTGTAGCATCACTCTTTGTTCTATTACCATAATGATCTCTGTTCTATTATGATTACCTTGGGGGAAACCAGGCCACACAGAGTTAGGAGCTGAAGGGCCACAGTGAGAGGTGACCAGAAGACGAGAGTGTGAGCCCTCATTCACGCCCAGAGAAGGGCCGCTGGAGGGCTCCTTGGCCTAGCGGTAATGCCAGTGCCTGGGAAGCGCCTGGTTACTTAGCAGGCCTTGGTCTAGCGGTGGCCCCAGTGCTGGGAAGCACCGTTACTTAGCAGACCCGGAAAGGGAATCTCCCTCTCTCCAGGGGAGACAGAGAACGCTCCGCTCCACCACCTCTTGTGGGAGGTCTGACATTAGCCAGGCCGGCCCGCAGTCATCCGGAGGCTCCAACGTCTGTCTCCCTGTGATGCTGTGCTTCAGTGGTCACGCTCCTTGTTCACTTTCATGTTCAGCCTGTACACCTGGCTCCTCCTTTTAAGTTCTTAGAAGACAGCAGTAGCAGAACTAGTAGGAGTACACAGTCTTCGATCTTTCTGATAAGTGCATAGAAGAAACGCTGACGTTTGCTGTCCTCCCTCTCCACCTCGGCTACCACAAAGGGAAAGGCCCCCTGTCCAGTGGACACGTGACTCGCGTGACCTATCGATCATTGGAGATGACTGGCACTCCTTACCCTGCCCCCTTGCCTTGACTACAATAAATAGCAGCGCCTCCAGGCACTCGGGGCCACTACCTGTCTGTCTCCGCGCTTTGGTGGCAGTGGTCCCCCGGGCCCAGCTGTCTTTCTTCCTATCTCTTTGTCTTCTGTCTTTATCTCTTCGATCTCTCGTCTCCGCACACACGCGAAGAGAAAACCCACAGACCCGGTAGGGGTGGACCCTACATTATCTCAGCTACAACATAATCAGGATATTCACGTGGACTACTGAGTCTTTCGGTGCCCCCTTGCTGTTTTAGTTTTGTCCTGCGGCCGAGTGTTTCCCTCGCTTCACGCCAACACAATCTCCGCCGCCCTGTCTTGTCATCCCCATTCTACAGCCCAGCACGGTGTAGTATGGCAGCCGCTAGCCACAGGTATCTAGGGAGCCCTGGAAATGTGGTCAGTTCTAATGGAGCTGTGCTGTAAGTGTGAAATACACGTGGGATTTTGACGGCAGTGGGAGCAAAATTCTCCCAATTTTTTTTTTTTTTTTTTTTTTTCAGACGGAGGTTCCGCTCTTGTTACCCAGCCTGGAGTCCAATGGCGCGATCTAGGCTCTCTGCAACCTCCGCCTCCCGGGTTCAAGCGATTCCCCTGCCTCAGCCTCCCGAGCAGCTGGGACTACAGGCATGTGCCACCACGCCCGGCTAACTTTGTATTTTTAGTACAGATGGGGTTTCTCCACGTTGCTCAGGCTGGTCTCCAACTCCCGACCTCCGGTGATCTGCCCAGCTGCCGCCTCCCAAAGTGTTGCTTGCGATTACAGGCTTGAGCCACCGCTCACCCTGGCTTTTTTTTTTTTTTTTCCAGACAAACTCTCGCTCTGTCGCCCAGGCTGGAGTGCAGTGGCGCGATCTCGGCTCACTGCAGCCTCTACCTCCCGGGTTCCAGCGATTCTCCTGCCTCAGCCTCCTGGGTAGCTGGGATTACAGGCGCAGGCCACCACGCCCGGCTAATTTTTGTATTTTTAGTACCTCCCTCCCCTCCCCCCCCGTTGCTCAGGCTGGTCTCCAACTCCCTTCTTGGGAGAGATCTGCCCAGCTGCCGCCTCCCAAAGTGTTGCTTGCGATTACAGGCTTGAGCACCGCTCACCCTGGCTTTTTTTTTTTTTTTTTCCAGACAAACTCTCGCTCTGTCGCCCAGGCTGGAGTGCAGTGGCGCATTCTCGGCTCACTGCAGCCTCTACCTCCCGGGTTCCAGCGATTCTCCTGCCTCAGCCTCCTGGGTAGCTGGGATTACAGGCGCAGCGCACCACGCCCGGCTAATTTTTGTATTTTTAGGGGGTTTCGCCATGTCGGCCAGGCTGGTCTCGAGCTCCTGACCTCAGGCGATCCGCCGCCTCGGCCTCCCAAAGCGCTGGGATTACAGGCGTACAGCCGCGCCGGGCTCTTTCATTCTGTCTTTATTTTCTGAGATAGAGTCTCGCTCGGACGCTCAGGTTGGACTGCAACGGCGTGATCTCGGCTCGCTGAAACTTCCGCCTCCCGGGTTCAAGCGATTCTCCTGTCTCAGCCTCCCGAGTAGCTGGGATTATTGACGGGCAGCACCACGCCCGGCTACTTTTTGTGGTTTTTGTATCTTCTGTCTTCTGCTCTTTAGTACCGCATAGAGCCGCAGAAGACTAGCGAGTCGAACAAACGGCCCCTCTTGCAGCAGTTGTTGATCACGGGGCTGCCCCCCGGTACTCATCCTGTGTCTCTCGTCCAAATCCCCGCTCCTCCTCAGCTATCACCTCTGCCGATGCTGGTGGTTTCCCTGGGTACCGGGAACCAAACTCTCATTCCCCAGGGGCCTAAGCCCCCCGTGGCCAGGCCCTTCTCAAGTCAGGGTTCCTGCACATTCACAGTTACGGGTGGCCCTGGGAGTAACACCTGGCACCCAAACAGGTCACCAGAGTCCACACATAGTCCACCTGCCCTCCCTGCGTAAGATCAGCTCTTCCTCCTCCCGACGATAGATCAGGGTCAATGATCCCTGCCAAGATGGCGACTGCTCCAGCCTGCTGGTCCAAACCTGTCCAGCCACAGCTGTTGCTCGAAGGCTTGAAGTTCAATGGGACCCTCTCCCCGCTTTCTACAAACTGGTTCCTTTATTTTTATGTTTATTTATTTGGGACGGGGTCTGGCTCTGTCACCCAGGCTGGAGTGCAGTGGTGCAATCACTGCTCACTGCAGCATCCACCTCCCAGCGTCCACCCATCCTCCTGGCCTCAGCCTCCGGAACAGCTGGGGTACAGGTACGCCCCAGCCCGAACAGGTTTTCACTAGGTTGCCTGGGCTCTTTCTTTCTTTGTCTGTGTTTGTTTGTTGGTTGGTTGGTTGGTTGGTTGGTTTTTGTTTGTTTGTTTCGAGACGGGGCTCCGGCTCTGCCGCCGGGGGCTGCAGTGCAATGGCGCGATCTCACCTCACTGCGGCCTTCTGGGCTCAAGCGATCCTCCCACTGTGCCCGGCCTGAAGACAGCCTTTAGAGAAAGAAGCAGGGGGAGTTCTTCCGAGGACAGACAAGATTTCTGGAGTTTGGAAAGGGTGAGAGACTGGGTCAGCGAAAGGAACATTCCGGTCTTTATGTTGGGATGCAACGTATAGATACAGGGATGAGACCCAAAAGAGCCGGCAGAGGTTTGTCATCGTGCTCGCAAGGCAACTGCCGGTGGCTGATCCCGTAAAGGATACACATACCTAGAGCGGAGCCTAAAGATGCATCCAGCATGACGGGTGGAGCCACGATGCTTGGACTCGAGCTCTGCTCCTGTGCGTTCCGTGATCAATGGCTTATACTACCTGCACCTCAGTTTTTCCCGGGCAAAAAAGGAAGCTTGCTGCCGGTGCGTTGGCACCTGCCTTAAAGTGCCAGCTACTCAGCGGGCTGAAGAGGAAGAAGTTCCTACTAGGAAGACACGTGGACACGTATGTTTACTGCAGCACTATTTACAATAGCAAAGACTTGGAACCAACTCGAATGCCCATGAATGATAGGCTGGATAAAGAAAGTGTGGCACGTATACAGCATGGAATTACTACGCAGCCATAAAAAAGGATGAGTTCATGACCTCTGCGGGAACGTGGATGAAGCTGGAAGGCCTCATTCTCAGCAAACTGACACAGGAAGCGAAAACCAAACACCGCATGTTCTCGCTCCTAAGTGGGAGTTGAACAGCGAGAACACATGGGACACAGGGAGGGGAACATCACACGCCGGGCCCTGACGGGGCGTGGGGGGCAAGGGGAGAGAGAGCATTAGGACAAATAGCCAACGCATGCGGGGCTTCAAACCTAGACGACTGGTGGATAGGTGCAGCAAAGCACCGTGGCACACGTGTACCTATGTTCCAAACCTGCACGTCCTGCACATGTACCCCAGAACTTGGGAGGGGGTGGGGGAAACCAAAAGAGCGAGGGAGAGGCGGGGGGGGGGAAGAGAGAGAGAGAGGGAAAGAGAGAGAGAGACAGAGAGAGGAGAGAGAGAGAGAGAGAGAGAGAGAGAGAGAGACAGAGAGAGAGACAGAGAGACAGAGACAGACACAGAGAGACGGAGAGACAGAGAGAGAGAGAGAGAAAGAGAGAGAGAGAGAGAGAGAGAGAGAGAGAGACAGGAGAAAGAAGAACTCCGGGTGGGTCCCATTCCTTTAAAAGGTCGCCACCCACTCGACTGCCAAGCTGAGATCCTAAGGACCTCCCCAAAGGAGGAGGTCATGGCCTTCCCAAAGCGCAGTAGCCACGGTGGAAACGAAAGCGTGCCGCATAAGCCTACCGTCTACCGCCCACACATCAGGAACCTCAAGGTACTTCAGGGAAGCAGTTAAGTCAAGCCGGCGCGTCACAGGCACTCGGCGTGCAAGCCGCCCCGCAGGTGCTACCGTCTCTTACCTCCCTCTACTTTTAGGAAACACGTTGTATCCCCGGAGGGGGTGCACCGTTCCTGGAGGTACTGCAATACCAGGTCGATGCGTGGAGTGGACGGAGCAAGCTCCTATTCCATCTCCCTGCTCCAAAAATCCATTTAATATATTGTCCTCGGATAGAGGACGTATCAGATATTAAACTGATAAGAACAGATACTACACTTGATCTTAGCCAAAAGGCCGAGAAGCGATGCGCTCGCCTTCGCGCCCGCCGTCACCGTCCCACTCTCATCCACATTCAAGTCGCGGTGAGAGCCCCAGCCTCGCTCCTTGCCCCATTCCCTCTGTCTCGTCCACAGCGCTATTGACGCCCTTACACTCTCGGGCTGATTTCTTATTCTCCGCCTTTGAAAAGGGAAATCTTACACCCGTGCTTCTTCCGGCGTTCCCGGGCTTTCATTTCGAATTTGCATGCCCCGCCCTTTCACAGAGGGCGTGGCCTCCGCCGTTGACTCCGCCCCCGGGGCCGCCTCTGCCTGGGGGAGCCGGGGCTCCGCTGGGGGCGACTTCCTTGTTCGAATCGAGCCCCCGAAAAAACAGACCCGGAAGAGACCGGGCGCGAATGCGACCGGGTTCTGTGGAAGATAACTGTCGACAGAGAGCGGACCCCGTTTTCCTGAAGAAAGACCAAGCCCCAATGCAGGAGCGCGGGCTGCGCTGGACCTTTACATCGCCACCCGCTGTCGGAGAGACCGGCCCCGTACCCGAGGGGACGAGGGGACGAGGGGCCCATGCCCAGTCAGGGAAGCCGAAGGCCTGGAGGGGCTTCCGGGAGCAGGGGCTGGAGTTCCTCTGCCAGGCAGGAGGCTGGCACCAGACACCCGGCAGAGGGAGGCGGCGAGGGCCCAGCAAGGATTCTCCCCAGCCCCTGTGCCTGCGTCTCCTGCGGCTTCTGTGCGCGGACCGTGTCCTGTGCTGTGTAGGGAACGCTGCCTCTCTGCTCGGGACGTGGATTCCTTTCCCCTCCTCCTCGCCCGGCTACTTCTGACGCAGGTCGTCAGGACTCCGCTTGGGTGTCACCCGTGCAGGAAGCCTCCCTTAGTCAAGGGCCCTCGGCACCCGCCCCATATGTGACTAGCAGCCCTCCTGTGTATTTCATCGCGCCCCCGTTGTTTATATCAGCCATTCCACTCACCACCCTTCTGGGCAACCCTTTATCTCCCGCTCTGAAATCCCATCGCTGAGGGCTGGGACCCCTCCTCAGTGCTTATCCCTGTTTCCCCGCGCGAGTCTGGCGCCTGGCGTGTGGAAGGCGCTCAGTAAACGTTTGTGGAGCGAAGAAACGACGCAAAGGTGATGAGCACGACGCAGTTAGGAGGCTATTGGCCCGGCGCGGGGGAAAAGGGGGAAGGTCGGGCTCGGGGTGGCAGGACCCCAGAGGGCAGGGGTGGCTGCCGGGGTGCTCTTGGGGCAAGGTGGGCGTCAAGGCCCCCAGCAAGGTTGGGATAAAGTTTCTCTCCGAGGCACAGACTGCCGCCTGCGGGCTCAGCATTTACCTCTCCCTTCCTCCTTCCTAACGCAACTTCAGCGGAGGGCTGAGGGCTCTACTGCGCATTACCTGGAAAACTTATTTCACTCCACGGCCCTAAGAGGTGGGCCTTATTATTAGCCACGGCCAGGGTTAGGGTGAGGCCACTCCTCCAGGGCAGAATTTCAGGGGGTGCCCACCCCCCCGCCCTAAATCATTCAGCAATCAACATAAATTATAGTTCAACGCAATGTATCTTATCTTGTGGGCCGCAAGCCACCCAGGTGCCCAGGCAAGAGCCTGAAGGCACAAGCTGTTCCAGTACAGCGAAGAAAATAATTAGAATAAGAAAAGTTTTACTAGAGATAGGAAACGGATAGGATTATATCTGACTATTATTAATCATTAGTTTGTAGCATCACTCTTTGTTCTATTACCATAATGATCTCTGTTCTATTATGATTACCTTGGGGGAAACCAGGCCACACAGAGTTAGGAGCTGAAGGGCCACAGTGAGAGGTGACCAGAAGACGAGAGTGTGAGCCCTCATTCACGCCCAGAGAAGGGCCGCTGGAGGGCTCCTTGGCCTAGCGGTAATGCCAGTGCCTGGGAAGGGCCCTGGTTTACTTAGCAGGCCTTGGTCTAGCGGTGGCCCCAGTGCCTGGGAAGGCACCCGTTACTTAGCAGACCCGGGAAAGGAAATCTCCCCTCTCTCCAGGGGAGACAGAAGAACGCTCGGCTCAACACTCTTGTGGGGAGGTCTGACATTAGCCAGGCCGGCCCGCAGTCATCCGGAGGCTCCAATTTAAGGTTCAGTGTGATGCTGTGCTTCAGTGGTCACGCTCCTTGTTCACTTTCATGTTCAGCCTGTACACCTGGCTCCTCCTTTTAAGTTCTTAGAAGACAGCAGTAGCAGAACTAGTAGGAGTACCACAGTCTTCGATCTTTCTGATAAGTGCATAGAAGAAACGCTGACGTTTGCTGTCCTCCCTCTCCACCTCGGCTACCACAAAGGGAAAGGCCCCCTGTCCAGTGGACACGTGACTCGCGTGACCTATCGATCATTGGAGATGACTGGCACTCCTTACCCTGCCCCCTTGCCTTGACTACAATAAATAGCAGCGCCTCCAGGCACTCGGGGCCACTACCTGTCTGTCTCCGCGCTTTGGTGGCAGTGGTCCCCCGGGCCCAGCTGTCTTTCTTCCTATCTCTTTGTCTTCTGTCTTTATCTCTTCGATCTCTCGTCTCCGCACACACGCGAAGAGAAAACCCACAGACCCGGTAGGGGTGGACCCTACATTATCTCAGCTACAACATAATCAGGATATTCACGTGGACTACTGAGTCTTTCGGTGCCCCCTTGCTGTTTTAGTTTTGTCCTGCGGCCGAGTGTTTCCCTCGCTTCACGCCAACACAATCTCCGCCGCCCTGTCTTGTCATCCCCATTCTACAGCCCAGCACGGTGTAGTATGGCAGCCGCTAGCCACAGGTATCTAGGGAGCCCTGGAAATGTGGTCAGTTCTAATGGAGCTGTGCTGTAAGTGTGAAATACACGTGGGATTTTGACGGCAGTGGGAGCAAAATTCTCCCAATTTTTTTTTTTTTTTTTTTTTTTTCAGACGGAGGTTCCGCTCTTGTTACCCAGCCTGGAGTCCAATGGGCGCGATCTAGGCTCTCTGCAACCTCCGCCTCCCGGGTTCAAGCGATTCCCCTGCCTCAGCCTCCCGAGCAGCTGGGACTACAGGCATGTGCCACCACGCCCGGCTAACTTTGTATTTTTTAGTACAGATGGGGTTTCTCCACGTTGCTCAGGCTGGTCTCCAACTCCCGACCTCCGGTGATCTGCCCAGCTGCCGCCTCCCAAAGTGTTGCTTTCGATTACAGGCTTGAGCCACCGCTCACCCTGGCTTTTTTTTTTTTTTTTCTTATGTTAGTATACAGCGTATAGATACAGGTATTATACCCAAAAGAGCCGACAGAGGTTTGTCATCGTGCGCGCAAGGCAACTACCGGTGGCTGATCCCGTAAAGGATACACATACCTAGAGCGGAGCCTAAAAATGCATCCAGCATGACGGGTGGAGCCACGATGCTTGGACTCGAGCTCTGCTCCTGTGCGTTCCGTGATCAATGGCTTATACTACCTGCACCTCAGTTTTTCCCGGGCAAAAAAGGAAGCTTGCTGCCGGTGCGTTGGCACCTGCCTTAAAGTGCCAGCTACTCAGCGGGCTGAAGAGGAAGTAGTTCCTCTTAGGAAGACACGTGGACAGGTTTGTCACTGCAGCATTATTTTCAATAGCAAAGTCTGGGTCCCCACTGGAATGCCCATGAATGATAGGCTGGATAAAGAAAGAGTGGCAGGTATACATCATGGAAAAACTAAGCAGCCCATAAAAAAAGGGATGAGTTCATGACCTCTGCGGGAACGTGGATGAAGGCTGGAAGGCCTCATTCTCAGCAAACTGACACAGGAAGGGAAAAACCAAACACCGCATGTTCTCGCTCTTAGTGGGAGTTGAACAGCGAGAACACATGGGACACAGGGAGGGGAACATCACACGCCGGGCCCTGACGGGGCGTGGGGGGCAAGGGGAGAGAGAGCATTAGGACAAATAGCCAACGCATGCGGGGCTTCAAACCTAGACGACTGGTGGATAGGTGCAGCAAAGCACCGTGGCACACGTGTACCTATGTTCCAAACCTGCACGTCCTGCACATGTACCCCAGAACTTGGGAGGGGGTGGGGGAAACCAAAAGAGCGAGGGAGAGGCGGGGGGGGGGGAAGAGAGAGAGAGAGGGAAAGAGAGAGAGAGACAGAGAGAGGAGAGAGAGAGAGAGAGAGAGAGAGAGAGAGAGACAGAGAGAGAGACAGAGAGACAGAGACAGACACAGAGAGACGGAGAGACAGAGAGAGAGAGAGAGAAAGAGAGAGAGAGAGAGAGAGAGAGAGAGAGAGACAGGAGAAAGAAGAACTCCGGGTGGGTCCCATTCCTTTAAAAGGTCGCCACCCACTCGACTGCCAAGCTGAGATCCTAAGGACCTCCCCAAAGGAGGAGGTCATGGCCTTCCCAAAGCGCAGTAGCCACGGTGGAAACGAAAGCGTGCCGCATAAGCCTACCGTCTACCGCCCGCACATCAGGAACCTCAAGGTACTTCAGGGAAGCAGTTAAGTCAAGCCGGCGCGTCACAGGCACTCGGCGTGCAAGCCGCCCCGCAGGTGCTACCGTCTCTTACCTCCCTCTACTTTTAGGAAACACGTTGTATCCCCGGAGGGGGTGCACCGTTCCTGGAGGTACTGCAATACCAGGTCGATGCGTGGAGTGGACGGAGCAAGCTCCTATTCCATCTCCCTGCTCCAAAAATCCATTTAATATATTGTCCTCGGATAGAGGACGTATCAGATATTAAACTGATAAGAACAGATACTACACTTGATCTTAGCCAAAAGGCCGAGAAGCGATGCGCTCGCCTTCGCGCCCGCCGTCACCGTCCCACTCTCATCCACATTCAAGTCGCGGTGAGAGCCCCAGCCTCGCTCCTTGCCCCATTCCCTCTGTCTCGTCCACAGCGCTATTGACGCCCTTACACTCTCGGGCTGATTTCTTATTCTCCGCCTTTTGAAAAGGGAAATCTTACACCCGTGCTTCTTCCGGCGTTCCCGGGGCTTTCATTTTCGAATTTGCATGCCCCCGCCCTTTCACAGAGGGCGGTGGGCCTCCGCCGTTGACTCCGCCCCCAAAGAGCCCGGCAGAGGGTTTTGTCATCGTGCTCGCAAGTGCAACTGCCGGTGGCTGATCCCCGTAAAGGATACACATGCCTTGAGCGGAGCCTAAAGATGCATCCAGCATGACGGGGTGGAGCCCACGATGCTTGGGACTCGAGCTTTGGCTCCTGTGCGTTCCGTGATCAATGGCTTATACTACCTGCACCTCAGTTTTTCCCGGGCAAAAAAAGGAAGCTTGCTGCCGGTGCGTTGGCACCTGCCTTAAAGTGCCAGCTACTCAGCGGGCTGAAGAGGAAGAAGTTCCTACTAGGAAGACACGTGGACACGTATGTTTACTGCAGCACTATTTACAATAGCAAAGACTTGGAACCAACTCGAATGCCCATGAATGATAGGCTGGATAAAGAAAGTGTGGCACGTATACAGCATGGAATTACTACGCAGCCATAAAAAAGGATGAGTTCATGACCTCTGCGGGAACGTGGATGAAGCTGGAAGGCCTCATTCTCAGCAAACTGACACAGGAAGCGAAAACCAAACACCGCATGTTCTCGCTCCTAAGTGGGAGTTGAACAGCGAGAACACATGGGACACAGGGAGGGGAACATCACACGCCGGGCCCTGACGGGGCGTGGGGGGCAAGGGGAGAGAGAGCATTAGGACAAATAGCCAACGCATGCGGGGCTTCAAACCTAGACGACTGGTGGATAGGTGCAGCAAAGCACCGTGGCACACGTGTACCTATGTTCCAAACCTGCACGTCCTGCACATGTACCCCAGAACTTGGGAGGGGGTGGGGGAAACCAAAAGAGCGAGGGAGAGGCGGGGGGGGGGAAAGAGAGGGAGAGAGGGAAAGAGAGAGAGAGACAGGAGAGAGGAGAGAGAGAGAGAGAGAGAGAGACAGAGAGACAGAGACAGACACAGAGAGACGGAGAGACAGAGAGAGAGAGAGAGAGAGAGAGAGACAGGAGAAAGAAGAACTCCGGGTGGGTCCCATTCCTTTAAAAGGTCGCCACCCACTCGACTGCCAAGCTGAGATCCTAAGGACCTCCCCAAAGGAGGAGGTCGTGGCCTTCCCAAAGCGCAGTAGCCACGGTGGAAACGAAAGCGTGCCGCATAAGCCTACCGTCTACCGCCCGCACATCAGGAACCTCAAGGTACTTCAGGGAAGCAGTTAAGTCAAGCCGGCGCGTCACAGGCACTCGGCGTGCAAGCCGCCCCGCAGGTGCTACCGTCTCTTACCTCCCTCTACTTTTAGGAAACACGTTGTATCCCCGGAGGGGGTGCACCGTTCCTGGAGGTACTGCAATACCAGGTCGATGCGTGGAGTGGACGGAGCAAGCTCCTATTCCATCTCCCTGCTCCAAAAATCCATTTAATATATTGTCCTCGGATAGAGGACGTATCAGATATTAAACTGATAAGAACAGATACTACACTTGATCTTAGCCAAAAGGCCGAGAAAGCGATGCGCTCGCCTTCGCGCCCGCCGTCACCGTCCCACTCTCATCCACATTCAAGTCGCGGTGAGAGCCCCAGCCTCGCTCCTTGCCCCATTCCCTCTGTCTCGTCCACAGCGCTATTGACGCCCTTACACTCTCGGGCTGATTTCTTATTCTCCGCCTTGAAAAGGGAAATCTACACCCGTGCTTCTTCCGGCGTTCCCGGGCTTTCATTTCGAATTTGCATGCCCCGCCCTTTCACAGAGGGCGTGGCCTCCGCCGTTGACTCCGCCCCCGGGGCCGCCTCTGCCTGGGGGAGCCGGGGCTCCGCTGGGGGCGACTTCCTTGTTCGTATCGAGCCAGCGAAAAGACAGAACCGGAAGAGACCGGGGGCGAAGGCGACAGGGGTCTGTGGAAGAGACCTGTCGGCGGAGAGCGGTCCACGTTTTCCTGGAGAAAGACGAGGCCCCAGGGCAGGAGCGCGGGCTGCGCTGGGCCTTTACTTCGCCGCCCGCGGGCGGGGAGACCGGCCCCGTACCCGAGGGGACGAGGGGACGAGGGGCCCATGCCCAGTCAGGGAAGCCGAAGGCCTGGAGGGGCTTCCGGGAGCAGGGGCTGGAGTTCCTCTGCCAGGCAGGAGGCTGGCACCAGACACCCGGCAGAGGGAGGCGGCGAGGGCCCAGCAAGGATTCTCCCCAGCCCCTGTGCCTGCGTCTCCTGCGGCTTCTGTGCGCGGACCGTGTCCTGTGCTGTGTAGGGAACGCTGCCTCTCTGCTCGGGACGTGGATTCCTTTCCCCTCCTCCTCGCCCGGCTACTTCTGACGCAGGTCGTCAGGACTCCGCTTGGGTGTCACCCGTGCAGGAAGCCTCCCTTAGTCAAGGGCCCTCGGCACCCGCCCCATATGTGACTAGCAGCCCTCCTGTGTATTTCATCGCGCCCCCGTTGTTTATATCAGCCATTCCACTCACCACCCTTCTGGGCAACCCTTTATCTCCCGCTCTGAAATCCCATCGCTGAGGGCTGGGACCCCTCCTCAGTGCTTATCCCTGTTTCCCCGCGCGAGTCTGGCGCCTGGCGTGTGGAAGGCGCTCAGTAAACGTTTGTGGAGCGAAGAAACGACGCAAAGGTGATGAGCACGACGCAGTTAGGAGGCTATTGGCCCGGCGCGGGGGAAAAGGGGGAAGGTCGGGCTCGGGGTGGCAGGACCCCAGAGGGCAGGGGTGGCTGCCGGGGTGCTCTTGGGGCAAGGTGGGCGTCAAGGCCCCCAGCAAGGTTGGGATAAAGTTTCTCTCCGAGGCACAGACTGCCGCCTGCGGGCTCAGCATTTACCTCTCCCTTCCTCCTTCCTAACGCAACTTCAGCGGAGGGCTGAGGGCTCTACTGCGCATTACCTGGAAAACTTATTTCACTCCACGGCCCTAAGAGGTGGGCCTTATTATTAGCCATGGCCAGGGTTAGGGTGAGGCCACTCCTCCAGGGCAGAATTTCAGGGGGTGCCCACCCCCCCGCCCTAAATCATTCAGCAATCAACATAAATTATAGTTCAACGCAATGTATCTTATCTTGTGGGCCGCAAGCCACCCAGGTGCCCAGGCAAGAGCCTGAAGGCACAAGCTGTTCCAGTACAGCGAAGAAAATAATTAGAATAAGAAAAGTTTTACTAGAGATAGGAAACGGATAGGATTATATCTGACTATTATTAATCATTAGTTTGTAGCATCACTCTTTGTTCTATTACCATAATGATCTCTGTTCTATTATGATTACCTTGGGGGAAACCAGGCCACACAGAGTTAGGAGCTGAAGGGCCACAGTGAGAGGTGACCAGAAGACGAGAGTGTGAGCCCTCATTCACGCCCAGAGAAGGGCCGCTGGAGGGCTCCTTGGCCTAGCGGTAATGCCAGTGCCTGGGAAGGCCCTGGTTACTTAGCAGGCCTTGGTCTAGCGGTGGCCCCAGTGCCTGGGAAGGCACCCGTTACTTAGCAGACCCGGAAAGGGAATCTCCCTCTCTCCAGGAGAGACAGAGTGTGAGCCACTGTGCCCGGCTGGGAGCAAGACTGGAGCAAGACTCCATCTCAAAAAAATAAAATAAAATAAATAAGTGAATTAATTAATTAAAGGCCAGGCATGGTGGTTCACACTTGTCAACATTTTGGGAGACTTAGGTGGGAGGATTGCTTGAGTCCAGGAGTTCCAGACCAGCCAGGGCAACATAGTGAGACCCTGTCTGTATTACAATAATAAAATCAAATAAAGTTTTTAATTTTTTTTTGAGACAAGAGTCTCACTCTATCACTCAGGTCAGAGTGCAGTGGCACTATCTTGGCTCACTGCAACCTCCACCTCACTGATTCAAGTGATTCTCATGCCTCAGTCTCCCCAGGTAGCTGGAATTCCAGGCAAGCGCCACCATGCCTAGCTACTTTTTGTACTTTTAGTAGAGACCAGGTTTCGCCATGTTGGCCAGGCTGGTCTTGAACTCCTGACCTCCTCTGATCCACCCACCTTGGCCTCCCAAAGTGCTGGATTAACTTTAACCACCATGCCCGGCCAAAATAACATTGTAAAAACTAAATTAAATTATATAATGACGTTTGCTGTCCTCCCTCTCCACCTCGGCTACCACAAAGGGAAAGGCCCCCTGTCCAGTGGACACGTGACTCGCGTGACCTATCGATCATTGGAGATGACTGGCACTCCTTACCCTGCCCCCTTGCCTTGACTACAATAAATAGCAGCGCCTCCAGGCACTCGGGGCCACTACCTGTCTGTCTCCGCGCTTTGGTGGCAGTGGTCCCCCGGGCCCAGCTGTCTTTCTTCCTATCTCTTTGTCTTCTGTCTTTATCTCTTCGATCTCTCGTCTCCGCACACACGCGAAGAGAAAACCCACAGACCCGGTAGGGGTGGACCCTACATTATCTCAGCTACAACATAATCAGGATATTCACGTGGACTACTGAGTCTTTCGGTGCCCCCTTGCTGTTTTAGTTTTGTCCTGCGGCCGAGTGTTTCCCTCGCTTCACGCCAACACAATCTCCGCCGCCCTGTCTTGTCATCCCCATTCTACAGCCCAGCACGGTGTAGTATGGCAGCCGCTAGCCACAGGTATCTAGGGAGCCCTGGAAATGTGGTCAGTTCTAATGGAGCTGCGCTGTTAAGTGTGAAATACACATGGGATTTTGACGGCAGTGGGAGCAAAATTCTCCCAATTTTTTTTTTTTTTTTTTTTTTTTTCAGACGGAGGTTCCGCTCTTGTTACCCAGCCTGGAGTCCAATGGCGCGATCTAGGCTCTCTGCAACCTCCGCCTCCCGGGTTCAAGCGATTCCCCTGCCTCAGCCTCCCGAGCAGCTGGGACTACAGGCATGTGCCACCACGCCCGGCTAACTTTGTATTTTTAGTACAGATGGGGTTTCTCCACGTTGCTCAGGCTGGTCTCCAACTCCCGACCTCCGGTGATCTGCCCAGCTGCCGCCTCCCAAAGTGTTGCTTGCGATTACAGGCTTGAGCCACCGCTCACCCTGGCTTTTTTTTTTTTTTTTTTCCAAACAAACTCTCGCTCTGTCGCCCAGGCTGGGAGTGCAGTGGCGCGATCTCGGCTCACTGCAGCCTCTACCTCCCGGGTTCCAGCGATTCTCCTGCCTCAGCCTCCTGGGTAGCTGGGATTACAGGCGCAGGCCACCACGCCCGGCTAATTTTTGTATTTTTAGGGGGTTTCGCCATGTCGGCCAGGCTGGTCTCGAGCTCCTGACCTCAGGCGATCCGCCCGCCTCGGCCTCCCAAAGCGCTGGGATTACAGGCGTAAGCCACCGCGCCGGGCTCTTTCATTCTGTCTTTATTTTCTGAGATCGAGTCTCGCTCGGCCGCTCAGGTTGGACTGCAACGGCGTGATCTCGGCTCGCTGAAAAGGCCTCATTCTCAGCAAACTGACACAGGAAGCGAAAACCAAACACCGCATGTTCTCGCTCCTAAGTGGGAGTTGAACAGCGAGAACACATGGGACACAGGGAGGGGAACATCACACGCCGGGCCCTGACGGGGCGTGGGGGGCAAGGGGAGAGAGAGCATTAGGACAAATAGCCAACGCATGCGGGGCTTCAAACCTAGACGACTGGTGGATAGGTGCAGCAAAGCACCGTGGCACACGTGTACCTATGTTCCAAACCTGCACGTCCTGCACATGTACCCCAGAACTTGGGAGGGGGTGGGGGAAACCAAAAGAGCGAGGGAGAGGCGGGGGGGGGGGAAAGAGAGGGAGAGAGGGAAAGAGAGAGAGAGACAGGAGAGAGGAGAGAGAGAGAGAGAGAGAGAGAGAGAGAGAGAGACAGAGAGAGAGACAGAGAGACAGAGACAGACACAGAGAGACGGAGAGACAGAGAGAGAGAGAGAGAGAGAGAGAGACAGGAGAAAGAAGAACTCCGGGTGGGTCCCATTCCTTTAAAAGGTCGCCACCCACTCGACTGCCAAGCTGAGATCCTAAGGACCTCCCCAAAGGAGGAGGTCGTGGCCTTCCCAAAGCGCAGTAGCCACGGTGGAAACGAAAGCGTGCCGCATAAGCCTACCGTCTACCGCCCGCACATCAGGAACCTCAAGGTACTTCAGGGAAGCAGTTAAGTCAAGCCGGCGCGTCACAGGCACTCGGCGTGCAAGCCGCCCCGCAGGTGCTACCGTCTCTTACCTCCCTCTACTTTTAGGAAACACGTTGTATCCCCGGAGGGGGTGCACCGTTCCTGGAGGTACTGCAATACCAGGTCGATGCGTGGAGTGGACGGAGCAAGCTCCTATTCCATCTCCCTGCTCCAAAAATCCATTTAATATATTGTCCTCGGATAGAGGACGTATCAGATATTAAACTGATAAGAACAGATACTACACTTGATCTTAGCCAAAAGGCCGAGAAGCGATGCGCTCGCCTTCGCGCCCGCCGTCACCGTCCCACTCTCATCCACATTCAAGTCGCGGTGAGAGCCCCAGCCTCGCTCCTTGCCCCATTCCCTCTGTCTCGTCCACAGCGCTATTGACGCCCTTACACTCTCGGGCTGATTTCTTATTCTCCGCCTTTGAAAAGGGAAATCTTACACCCGTGCTTCTTCCGGCGTTCCCGGGCTTTCATTTCGAATTTGCATGCCCCGCCCTTTCACAGAGGGCGTGGCCTCCGCCGTTGACTCCGCCCCCGGGGCCGCCTCTGCCTGGGGGAGCCGGGGCTCCGCTGGGGGCGACTTCCTTGTTCGTATCGAGCCAGCGAAAAGACAGAACCGGAAGAGACCGGGGGCGAAGGCGACAGGGGTCTGTGGAAGAGACCTGTCGGCGGAGAGCGGTCCACGTTTTCCTGGAGAAAGACGAGGCCCCAGGGCAGGAGCGCGGGCTGCGCTGGGCCTTTACTTCGCCGCCCGCGGGCGGGGAGACCGGCCCCGTACCCGAGGGGACGAGGGGACGAGGGGCCCATGCCCAGTCAGGGAAGCCGAAGGCCTGGAGGGGCTTCCGGGAGCAGGGGCTGGAGTTCCTCTGCCAGGCAGGAGGCTGGCACCAGACACCCGGCAGAGGGAGGCGGCGAGGGCCCAGCAAGGATTCTCCCCAGCCCCTGTGCCTGCGTCTCCTGCGGCTTCTGTGCGCGGACCGTGTCCTGTGCTGTGTAGGGAACGCTGCCTCTCTGCTCGGGACGTGGATTCCTTTCCCCTCCTCCTCGCCCGGCTACTTCTGACGCAGGTCGTCAGGACTCCGCTTGGGTGTCACCCGTGCAGGAAGCCTCCCTTAGTCAAGGGCCCTCGGCACCCGCCCCATATGTGACTAGCAGCCCTCCTGTGTATTTCATCGCGCCCCCGTTGTTTATATCAGCCATTCCACTCACCACCCTTCTGGGCAACCCTTTATCTCCCGCTCTGAAATCCCATCGCTGAGGGCTGGGACCCCTCCTCAGTGCTTATCCCTGTTTCCCCGCGCGAGTCTGGCGCCTGGCGTGTGGAAGGCGCTCAGTAAACGTTTGTGGAGCGAAGAAACGACGCAAAGGTGATGAGCACGACGCAGTTAGGAGGCTATTGGCCCGGCGCGGGGGAAAAGGGGGAAGGTCGGGCTCGGGGTGGCAGGACCCCAGAGGGCAGGGGTGGCTGCCGGGGTGCTCTTGGGGCAAGGTGGGCGTCAAGGCCCCCAGCAAGGTTGGGATAAAGTTTCTCTCCGAGGCACAGACTGCCGCCTGCGGGCTCAGCATTTACCTCTCCCTTCCTCCTTCCTAACGCAACTTCAGCGGAGGGCTGAGGGCTCTACTGCGCATTACCTGGAAAACTTATTTCACTCCACGGCCCTAAGAGGTGGGCCTTATTATTAGCCACGGCCAGGGTTAGGGTGAGGCCACTCCTCCAGGGCAGAATTTCAGGGGGTGCCCAACCCCCCGCCCTAAATCATTCAGCAATCAACATAAATTATAGTTCAACGCAATGTATCTTATCTTGTGGGCCGCAAGCCACCCAGGTGCCCAGGCAAGAGCCTGAAGGCACAAGCTGTTCCAGTACAGCGAAGAAAATAATTAGAATAAGAAAAGTTTTACTAGAGATAGGAAACGGATAGGATTATATCTGACTATTATTAATCATTAGTTTGTAGCATCACTCTTTGTTCTATTACCATAATGATCTCTGTTCTATTATGATTACCTTGGGGGAAACCAGGCCACACAGAGTTAGGAGCTGAAGGGCCACAGTGAGAGGTGACCAGAAGACGAGAGTGTGAGCCCTCATTCACGCCCAGAGAAGGGCCGCTGGAGGGCTCCTTGGCCTAGCGGTAATGCCAGTGCCTGGGAAGGCCCTGGTTACTTAGCAGGCCTTGGTCTAGCGGTGGCCCCAGTGCCTGGGAAGGCACCCGTTACTTAGCAGACCCGGAAAGGGAATCTCCCTCTCTCCAGGGGAGACAGAGAACGCTCCGCTCCACCACCTCTTGTGGGAGGTCTGACATTAGCCAGGCCGGCCCGCAGTCATCCGGAGGCTCCAACGTCTGTCTCCCTGTGATGCTGTGCTTCAGTGGTCACGCTCCTTGTTCACTTTCATGTTCAGCCTGTACACCTGGCTCCTCCTTTTAAGTTCTTAGAAGACAGCAGTAGCAGAACTAGTAGGAGTACCACAGTCTTTCGATCTTTCTGATAAGTGCATAGAAGAAACGCTGACGTTTGCTGTCCTCCCTCTCCACCTCGGCTACCACAAAGGGAAAGGCCCCCTGTCCAGTGGACACGTGACTCGCGTGACCTATCGATCATTGGAGATGACTGGCACTCCTTACCCTGCCCCCTTGCCTTGACTACAATAAATAGCAGCGCCTCCAGGCACTCGGGGCCACTACCTGTCTGTCTCCGCGCTTTGGTGGCAGTGGTCCCCCGGGCCCAGCTGTCTTTCTTCCTATCTCTTTGTCTTCTGTCTTTATCTCTTCGATCTCTCGTCTCCGCACACACGCGAAGAGAAAACCCACAGACCCGGTAGGGGTGGACCCTACATTATCTCAGCTACAACATAATCAGGATATTCACGTGGACTACTGAGTCTTTCGGTGCCCCCTTGCTGTTTTAGTTTTGTCCTGCGGCCGAGTGTTTCCCTCGCTTCACGCCAACACAATCTCCGCCGCCCTGTCTTGTCATCCCCATTCTACAGCCCAGCACGGTGTAGTATGGCAGCCGCTAGCCACAGGTATCTAGGGAGCCCTGGAAATGTGGTCAGTTCTAATGGAGCTGTGCTGTAAGTGTGAAATACACGTGGGATTTTGACGGCAGTGGGAGCAAAATTCTCCCAATTTTTTTTTTTTTTTTTTTTTTTTCAGACGGAGGTTCCGCTCTTGTTACCCAGCCTGGAGTCCAATGGCGCGATCTAGGCTCTCTGCAACCTCCGCCTCCCGGGTTCAAGCGATTCCCCTGCCTCAGCCTCCCGAGCAGCTGGGACTACAGGCATGTGCCACCACGCCCGGCTAACTTTGTATTTTTAGTACAGATGGGGTTTCTCCACGTTGCTCAGGCTGGTCTCCAACTCCCGACCTCCGGTGATCTGCCCAGCTGCCGCCTCCCAAAGTGTTGCTTGCGATTACAGGCTTGAGCCACCGCTCACCCTGGCTTTTTTTTTTTTTTTTTCCAGACAAACTCTCGCTCTGTCGCCCAGGCTGGAGTGCAGTGGCGCGATCTCGGCTCACTGCAGCCTCTACCTCCCGGGTTCCAGCGATTCTCCTGCCTCAGCCTCCTGGGTAGCTGGGATTACAGGCGCAGGCCACCACGCCCGGCTAATTTTTGTATTTTTAGGGGGTTTCGCCATGTCGGCCAGGCTGGTCTCGAGCTCCTGACCTCAGGCGATCCGCCCGCCTCGGCCTCCCAAAGCGCTGGGATTACAGGCGTAAGCCACCGCGCCGGGCTCTTTCATTCTGTCTTTATTTTCTGAGATAGAGTCTCGCTCGGACGCTCAGGTTGGACTGCAACGGCGTGATCTCGGCTCGCTGAAACTTCCGCCTCCCGGGTTCAAGCGATTCTCCTGTCTCAGCCTCCCGAGTAGCTGGGATTATTGACGGGCAGCACCACGCCCGGCTACTTTTTGTGGTTTTTGTATCTTCTGTCTTCTGCTCTTTAGTACCGCATAGAGCCGCAGAAGACTAGCGAGTCGAACAAACGGCCCCTCTTGCAGCAGTTGTTGATCACGGGGCTGCCCCCCGGTACTCATCCTGTGTCTCTCGTCCAAATCCCCGCTCCTCCTCAGCTATCACCTCTGCCGATGCTGGTGGTTTCCCTGGGTACCGGGAACCAAACTCTCATTCCCCAGGGGCCTAAGCCCCCCGTGGCCAGGCCCTTCTCAAGTCAGGGTTCCTGCACATTCACAGTTACGGGTGGCCCTGGGAGTAACACCTGGCACCCAAACAGGTCACCAGAGTCCACACATAGTCCACCTGCCCTCCCTGCGTAAGATCAGCTCTTCCTCCTCCCGACGATAGATCAGGGTCAATGATCCCTGCCAAGATGGCGACTGCTCCAGCCTGCTGGTCCAACCTGTCCAGCCACAGCTGTTGCTCGAAGGCTTGAAGTTCAATGGGACCCTCTCCCGCTTTCTACAAACTGGTTCCTTTATTTTTATGTTTATTTATTTGGGACGGGGTCTGGCTCTGTCACCCAGGCTGGAGTGCAGTGGTGCAATCACTGCTCACTGCAGCATCCACCTCCCAGCGTCCACCCATCCTCCTGGCCTCAGCCTCCGGAACAGCTGGGGTACAGGTATGCCCCAGCCCGAACAGGTTTTCACTAGGTTGCCTGGGCTCTTTCTTTCTTTGTCTGTGTTTGTTTGTTGGTTGGTTGGTTGGTTGGTTGGTTTTTGTTTGTTTGTTTCGAGACGGGGCTCCGGCTCTGCCGCCGGGGGCTGCAGTGCAATGGCGCGATCTCACCTCACTGCGGCCTTCTGGGCTCAAGCGATCCTCCCACTGTGCCCGGCCTGAAGACAGCCTTTAGAGAAAGAAGCAGGGGGAGTTCTTCCGAGGACAGACAAGATTTCTGGAGTTTGGAAAGGGTGAGAGACTGGGTCAGCGAAAGGAACATTCCGGTCTTTATGTTGGGATGCAACGTATAGATACAGGGATGAGACCCAAAAGAGCCGGCAGAGGTTTGTCATCGTGCTCGCAAGGCAACTGCCGGTGGCTGATCCCGTAAAGGATACACATACCTAGAGCGGAGCCTAAAGATGCATCCAGCATGACGGGTGGAGCCACGATGCTTGGACTCGAGCTCTGCTCCTGTGCGTTCCGTGATCAATGGCTTATACTACCTGCACCTCAGTTTTTCCCGGGCAAAAAAGGAAGCTTGCTGCCGGTGCGTTGGCACCTGCCTTAAAGTGCCAGCTACTCAGCGGGCTGAAGAGGAAGAAGTTCCTACTAGGAAGACACGTGGACACGTATGTTTACTGCAGCACTATTTACAATAGCAAAGACTTGGAACCAACTCGAATGCCCATGAATGATAGGCTGGATAAAGAAAGTGTGGCACGTATACAGCATGGAATTACTACGCAGCCATAAAAAAGGATGAGTTCATGACCTCTGCGGGAACGTGGATGAAGCTGGAAGGCCTCATTCTCAGCAAACTGACACAGGAAGCGAAAACCAAACACCGCATGTTCTCGCTCCTAAGTGGGAGTTGAACAGCGAGAACACATGGGACACAGGGAGGGGAACATCACACGCCGGGCCCTGACGGGGCGTGGGGGGCAAGGGGAGAGAGAGCATTAGGACAAATAGCCAACGCATGCGGGGCTTCAAACCTAGACGACTGGTGGATAGGTGCAGCAAAGCACCGTGGCACACGTGTACCTATGTTCCAAACCTGCACGTCCTGCACATGTACCCCAGAACTTGGGAGGGGGTGGGGGAAACCAAAAGAGCGAGGGAGAGGCGGGGGGGGGGAAGAGAGAGAGAGAGGGAAAGAGAGAGAGAGACAGAGAGAGGAGAGAGAGAGAGAGAGAGAGAGAGAGAGACAGAGAGAGAGACAGAGAGACAGAGACAGACACAGAGAGACGGAGAGACAGAGAGAGAGAGAGAGAAAGAGAGAGAGAGAGAGAGAGAGACAGGAGAAAGAAGAACTCCGGGTGGGTCCCATTCCTTTAAAAGGTCGCCACCCACTCGACTGCCAAGCTGAGATCCTAAGGACCTCCCCAAAGGAGGAGGTCGTGGCCTTCCCAAAGCGCAGTAGCCACGGTGGAAACGAAAGCGTGCCGCATAAGCCTACCGTCTACCGCCCGCACATCAGGAACCTCAAGGTACTTCAGGGAAGCAGTTAAGTCAAGCCGGCGCGTCACAGGCACTCGGCGTGCAAGCCGCCCCGCAGGTGCTACCGTCTCTTACCTCCCTCTACTTTTAGGAAACACGTTGTATCCCCGGAGGGGGTGCACCGTTCCTGGAGGTACTGCAATACCAGGTCGATGCGTGGAGTGGACGGAGCAAGCTCCTATTCCATCTCCCTGCTCCAAAAATCCATTTAATATATTGTCCTCGGATAGAGGACGTATCAGATATTAAACTGATAAGAACAGATACTACACTTGATCTTAGCCAAAAGGCCGAGAAGCGATGCGCTCGCCTTCGCGCCCGCCGTCACCGTCCCACTCTCATCCACATTCAAGTCGCGGTGAGAGCCCCAGCCTCGCTCCTTGCCCCATTCCCTCTGTCTCGTCCACAGCGCTATTGACGCCCTTACACTCTCGGGCTGATTTCTTATTCTCCGCCTTTGAAAAGGGAAATCTTACACCCGTGCTTCTTCCGGCGTTCCCGGGCTTTCATTTCGAATTTGCATGCCCCGCCCTTTCACAGAGGGCGTGGCCTCCGCCGTTGACTCCGCCCCCGGGGCCGCCTCTGCCTGGGGGAGCCGGGGCTCCGCTGGGGGCGACTTCCTTGTTCGTATCGAGCCAGCGAAAAGACAGAACCGGAAGAGACCGGGGGCGAAGGCGACAGGGGTCTGTGGAAGAGACCTGTCGGCGGAGAGCGGTCCACGTTTTCCTGGAGAAAGACGAGGCCCCAGGGCAGGAGCGCGGGCTGCGCTGGGCCTTTACTTCGCCGCCCGCGGGCGGGGAGACCGGCCCCGTACCCGAGGGGACGAGGGGACGAGGGGCCCATGCCCAGTCAGGGAAGCCGAAGGCCTGGAGGGGCTTCCGGGAGCAGGGGCTGGAGTTCCTCTGCCAGGCAGGAGGCTGGCACCAGACACCCGGCAGAGGGAGGCGGCGAGGGCCCAGCAAGGATTCTCCCCAGCCCCTGTGCCTGCGTCTCCTGCGGCTTCTGTGCGCGGACCGTGTCCTGTGCTGTGTAGGGAACGCTGCCTCTCTGCTCGGGACGTGGATTCCTTTCCCCTCCTCCTCGCCCGGCTACTTCTGACGCAGGTCGTCAGGACTCCGCTTGGGTGTCACCCGTGCAGGAAGCCTCCCTTAGTCAAGGGCCCTCGGCACCTGCCCCATATGTGACTAGCAGCCCTCCTGTGTATTTCATCGCGCCCCCGTTGTTTATATCAGCCATTCCACTCACCACCCTTCTGGGCAACCCTTTATCTCCCGCTCTGAAATCCCATCGCTGAGGGCTGGGACCCCTCCTCAGTGCTTATCCCTGTTTCCCCGCGCGAGTCTGGCGCCTGGCGTGTGGAAGGCGCTCAGTAAACGTTTGTGGAGCGAAGAAACGACGCAAAGGTGATGAGCACGACGCAGTTAGGAGGCTATTGGCCCGGCGCGGGGGAAAAGGGGGAAGGTCGGGCTCGGGGTGGCAGGACCCCAGAGGGCAGGGGTGGCTGCCGGGGTGCTCTTGGGGCAAGGTGGGCGTCAAGGCCCCCAGCAAGGTTGGGATAAAGTTTCTCTCCGAGGCACAGACTGCCGCCTGCGGGCTCAGCATTTACCTCTCCCTTCCTCCTTCCTAACGCAACTTCAGCGGAGGGCTGAGGGCTCTACTGCGCATTACCTGGAAAACTTATTTCACTCCACGGCCCTAAGAGGTGGGCCTTATTATTAGCCACGGCCAGGGTTAGGGTGAGGCCACTCCTCCAGGGCAGAATTTCAGGGGGTGCCCACCCCCCCGCCCTAAATCATTCAGCAATCAACATAAATTATAGTTCAACGCAATGTATCTTATCTTGTGGGCCGCAAGCCACCCAGGTGCCCAGGCAAGAGCCTGAAGGCACAAGCTGTTCCAGTACAGCGAAGAAAATAATTAGAATAAGAAAAGTTTTACTAGAGATAGGAAACGGATAGGATTATATCTGACTATTATTAATCATTAGTTTGTAGCATCACTCTTTGTTCTATTACCATAATGATCTCTGTTCTATTATGATTACCTTGGGGGAAACCAGGCCACACAGAGTTAGGAGCTGAAGGGCCACAGTGAGAGGTGACCAGAAGACGAGAGTGTGAGCCCTCATTCACGCCCAGAGAAGGGCCGCTGGAGGGCTCCTTGGCCTAGCGGTAATGCCAGTGCCTGGGAAGGCCCTGGTTACTTAGCAGGCCTTGGTCTAGCGGTGGCCCCAGTGCCTGGGAAGGCACCCGTTACTTAGCAGACCCGGAAAGGGAATCTCCCTCTCTCCAGGGGAGACAGAGAACGCTCCGCTCCACCACCTCTTGTGGGAGGTCTGACATTAGCCAGGCCGGCCCGCAGTCATCCGGAGGCTCCAACGTCTGTCTCCCTGTGATGCTGTGCTTCAGTGGTCACGCTCCTTGTTCACTTTCATGTTCAGCCTGTACACCTGGCTCCTCCTTTTAAGTTCTTAGAAGACAGCAGTAGCAGAACTAGTAGGAGTACCACAGTCTTCGATCTTTCTGATAAGTGCATAGAAGAAACGCTGACGTTTGCTGTCCTCCCTCTCCACCTCGGCTACCACAAAGGGAAAGGCCCCCTGTCCAGTGGACACGTGACTCGCGTGACCTATCGATCATTGGAGATGACTGGCACTCCTTACCCTGCCCCCTTGCCTTGACTACAATAAATAGCAGCGCCTCCAGGCACTCGGGGCCACTACCTGTCTGTCTCCGCGCTTTGGTGGCAGTGGTCCCCCGGGCCCAGCTGTCTTTCTTCCTATCTCTTTGTCTTCTGTCTTTATCTCTTCGATCTCTCGTCTCCGCACACACGCGAAGAGAAAACCCACAGACCCGGTAGGGGTGGACCCTACATTATCTCAGCTACAACATAATCAGGATATTCACGTGGACTACTGAGTCTTTCGGTGCCCCCTTGCTGTTTTAGTTTTGTCCTGCGGCCGAGTGTTTCCCTCGCTTCACGCCAACACAATCTCCGCCGCCCTGTCTTGTCATCCCCATTCTACAGCCCAGCACGGTGTAGTATGGCAGCCGCTAGCCACAGGTATCTAGGGAGCCCTGGAAATGTGGTCAGTTCTAATGGAGCTGCGCTGTTAAGTGTGAAATACACATGGGATTTTGACGGCAGTGGGAGCAAAATTCTCCCAATTTTTTTTTTTTTTTTTTTTTTTTTTCAGACGGAGGTTCCGCTCTTGTTACCCAGCCTGGAGTCCAATGGCGCGATCTAGGCTCTCTGCAACCTCCGCCTCCCGGGTTCAAGCGATTCCCCTGCCTCAGCCTCCCGAGCAGCTGGGACTACAGGCATGTGCCACCACGCCCGGCTAACTTTGTATTTTTAGTACAGATGGGGTTTCTCCACGTTGCTCAGGCTGGTCTCCAACTCCCGACCTCCGGTGATCTGCCCAGCTGCCGCCTCCCAAAGTGTTGCTTGCGATTACAGGCTTGAGCCACCGCTCACCCTGGCTTTTTTTTTTTTTTTTCCAGACAAACTCTCGCTCTGTCGCCCAGGCTGGAGTGCAGTGGCGCGATCTCGGCTCACTGCAGCCTCTACCTCCCGGGTTCCAGCGATTCTCCTGCCTCAGCCTCCTGGGTAGCTGGGATTACAGGCGCAGGCCACCACGCCCGGCTAATTTTTGTATTTTTAGGGGGTTTCGCCATGTCGGCCAGGCTGGTCTCGAGCTCCTGACCTCAGGCGATCCGCCCGCCTCGGCCTCCCAAAGCGCTGGGATTACAGGCGTAAGCCACCGCGCCGGGCTCTTTCATTCTGTCTTTATTTTCTGAGATAGAGTCTCGCTCGGACGCTCAGGTTGGACTGCAACGGCGTGATCTCGGCTCGCTGAAACTTCCGCCCTCCCGGGTTCAAGCGATTCTCCTGTCTCAGCCTCCCGAGTAGCTGGGATTATTGACGGGCAGCACCACGCCCCGGCTACTTTTTGTGGTTTTTGTATCTTCTGTCTTCTGCTCTTTAGTACCGCATAGAGCCGCAGAAGACTAGCGAGTCGAACAAACGGCCCCTCTTGCAGCAGTTGTTGATCACGGGGCTGCCCCCCGGTACTCATCCTGTGTCTCTCGTCCAAATCCCCGCTCCTCCTCAGCTATCACCTCTGCCGATGCTGGTGGTTTCCCTGGGTACCGGGAACCAAACTCTCATTCCCCAGGGGCCTAAGCCCCCCGTGGCCAGGCCCTTCTCAAGTCAGGGTTCCTGCACATTCACAGTTACGGGTGGCCCTGGGAGTAACACCTGGCACCCAAACAGGTCACCAGAGTCCACACATAGTCCACCTGCCCTCCCTGCGTAAGATCAGCTCTTCCTCCTCCCGACGATAGATCAGGGTCAATGATCCCTGCCAAGATGGCGACTGCTCCAGCCTGCTGGTCCAACCTGTCCAGCCACAGCTGTTGCTCGAAGGCTTGAAGTTCAATGGGACCCTCTCCCGCTTTCTACAAACTGGTTCCTTTATTTTTATGTTTATTTATTTGGGACGGGGTCTGGCTCTGTCACCCAGGCTGGAGTGCAGTGGTGCAATCACTGCTCACTGCAGCATCCACCTCCCAGCGTCCACCCATCCTCCTGGCCTCAGCCTCCGGAACAGCTGGGGTACAGGTACGCCCCAGCCCGAACAGGTTTTCACTAGGTTGCCTGGGCTCTTTCTTTCTTTGTCTGTGTTTGTTTGTTGGTTGGTTGGTTGGTTGGTTGGTTTTTGTTTGTTTGTTTCGAGACGGGGCTCCGGCTCTGCCGCCGGGGGCTGCAGTGCAATGGCGCGATCTCACCTCACTGCGGCCTTCTGGGCTCAAGCGATCCTCCCACTGTGCCCGGCCTGAAGACAGCCTTTAGAGAAAGAAGCAGGGGGAGTTCTTCCGAGGACAGACAAGATTTCTGGAGTTTGGAAAGGGTGAGAGACTGGGTCAGCGAAAGGAACATTCCGGTCTTTATGTTGGGATGCAACGTATAGATACAGGGATGAGACCCAAAAGAGCCGGCAGAGGTTTGTCATCGTGCTCGCAAGGCAACTGCCGGTGGCTGATCCCGTAAAGGATACACATACCTAGAGCGGAGCCTAAAGATGCATCCAGCATGACGGGTGGAGCCACGATGCTTGGACTCGAGCTCTGCTCCTGTGCGTTCCGTGATCAATGGCTTATACTACCTGCACCTCAGTTTTTCCCGGGCAAAAAAGGAAGCTTGCTGCCGGTGCGTTGGCACCTGCCTTAAAGTGCCAGCTACTCAGCGGGCTGAAGAGGAAGAAGTTCCTACTAGGAAGACACGTGGACACGTATGTTTACTGCAGCACTATTTACAATAGCAAAGACTTGGAACCAACTCGAATGCCCATGAATGATAGGCTGGATAAAGAAAGTGTGGCACGTATACAGCATGGAATTACTACGCAGCCATAAAAAAGGATGAGTTCATGACCTCTGCGGGAACGTGGATGAAGCTGGAAGGCCTCATTCTCAGCAAACTGACACAGGAAGCGAAAACCAAACACCGCATGTTCTCGCTCCTAAGTGGGAGTTGAACAGCGAGAACACATGGGACACAGGGAGGGGAACATCACACGCCGGGCCCTGACGGGGCGTGGGGGGCAAGGGGAGAGAGAGCATTAGGACAAATAGCCAACGCATGCGGGGCTTCAAACCTAGACGACTGGTGGATAGGTGCAGCAAAGCACCGTGGCACACGTGTACCTATGTTCCAAACCTGCACGTCCTGCACATGTACCCCAGAACTTGGGAGGGGGTGGGGGAAACCAAAAGAGCGAGGGAGAGGCGGGGGGGGGGAAGAGAGAGAGAGAGGGAAAGAGAGAGAGAGACAGAGAGAGGAGAGAGAGAGAGAGAGACAGAGAGAGAGACAGAGAGACAGAGACAGACACAGAGAGACGGAGAGACAGAGAGAGAGAGAGAGAGAAAGAGAGAGAGAGAGAGAGAGACAGGAGAAAGAAGAACTCCGGGTGGGTCCCATTCCTTTAAAAGGTCGCCACCCACTCGACTGCCAAGCTGAGATCCTAAGGACCTCCCCAAAGGAGGAGGTCGTGGCCTTCCCAAAGCGCAGTAGCCACGGTGGAAACGAAAGCGTGCCGCATAAGCCTACCGTCTACCGCCCGCACATCAGGAACCTCAAGGTACTTCAGGGAAGCAGTTAAGTCAAGCCGGCGCGTCACAGGCACTCGGCGTGCAAGCCGCCCCGCAGGTGCTACCGTCTCTTACCTCCCTCTACTTTTAGGAAACACGTTGTATCCCCGGAGGGGGTGCACCGTTCCTGGAAGTACTGCAATACCAGGTCGATGCGTGGAGTGGACGGAGCAAGCTCCTATTCCATCTCCCTGCTCCAAAAATCCATTTAATATATTGTCCTCGGATAGAGGACGTATCAGATATTAAACTGATAAGAACAGATACTACACTTGATCTTAGCCAAAAGGCCGAGAAGCGATGCGCTCGCCTTCGCGCCCGCCGTCACCGTCCCACTCTCATCCACATTCAAGTCGCGGTGAGAGCCCCAGCCTCGCTCCTTGCCCCATTCCCTCTGTCTCGTCCACAGCGCTATTGACGCCCTTACACTCTCGGGCTGATTTCTTATTCTCCGCCTTTGAAAAGGGAAATCTTACACCCGTGCTTCTTCCGGCGTTCCCGGGCTTTCATTTCGAATTTGCATGCCCCGCCCTTTCACAGAGGGCGTGGCCTCCGCCGTTGACTCCGCCCCCGGGGCCGCCTCTGCCTGGGGGAGCCGGGGCTCCGCTGGGGGCGACTTCCTTGTTCGTATCGAGCCAGCGAAAAGACAGAACCGGAAGAGACCGGGGGCGAAGGCGACAGGGGTCTGTGGAAGAGACCTGTCGGCGGAGAGCGGTCCACGTTTTCCTGGAGAAAGACGAGGCCCAGGGCAGGAGCGCGGGCTGCGCTGGGCCTTTACTTCGCCGCCCGCGGGCGGGGAGACCGGCCCCGTACCCGAGGGGACGAGGGGACGAGGGGCCCATGCCCAGTCAGGGAAGCCTAAGGTCTGGAGGGGCTTCCGGGAGCAGGGGCTGGAGTTCCTCTGCCAGGCAGGATGCTGGCACCAGACACCCGGCAGAGGGAGGCGGCGAGGGCTCATAAGGAATTCTCCCCAGCCCCTGTGCTTGCGTCTCCTGCGGTTTCTGTGCTCGGACCGTGTCCTGTGCTGTGTAGGGAACGCTGCCTCTCTGCTCGGGACGTGGATTCCTTTCCCCTCCTCCTCGCCCGGCTACTTCTGACGCAGGTCGTCAGGACTCCGCTTTGTGTCACCCGTGCAGGGAAGCCTCCCTTAGTCAAGGGCCCTCGCACCCGCCCCATATGTGACTAGCAGCCCTCCTGTGTATTTCATCGCGCCCCCGTTGTTTATATCAGCCATTCCACTCACCACCTTCTGGGCAACCCTTTATCTCCCGCTCTGAAATCCCATCGCTGAGGGCTGGACCCCTCCTCAGTGCTTATCCCTGTTTCCCCGCGCGAGTCTGGCGCCTGGCGTGTGGAAGGCGCTCAGTAAACGTTTGTGGAGCGAAGAAACGACGCAAAGGTGATGAGCACGACGCCAGTTAGGAGGCTATTGGCCGGCGCGGGGAAAAGGGGAAGGTCGGGCTCGGGGTGGCAGGACCCCAGAGGCAGGGGTGGCTGCCGGGTGCTCTTGGGGCAAGGTGGGCGTCAAGGCCCCCAGCAAGGTTGGGATAAAGTTTCTCTCCGAGGCACAGACTGCCGCTGCGGGCTCAGCATTTACCTCTCCCTTCCTCCTTCCTAACGCAACTTCAGCGGAGGGCTGAGGGCTCTACTGCGCATTACCTGGAAAACTTATTTCACTCCACGGCCCTAAGAGGTGGGCCTTATTATTAGCCATGGCCAGGGTTAGGGTGAGGCCACTCCTCCAGGGCAGAATTTCAGGGGGTGCCCACCCCCCCGCCCTAAATCATTCAGCAATCAACATAAATTATAGTTCAACGCAATGTATCTTATCTTGTGGGCCGCAAGCCACCCAGGTGCCCAGGCAAGAGCCTGAAGGCACAAGCTGTTCCAGTACAGCGAAGAAAATAATTAGAATAAGAAAAGTTTTACTAGAGATAGGAAACGGATAGGATTATATCTGACTATTATTAATCATTAGTTTGTAGCATCACTCTTTGTTCTATTACCATAATGATCTCTGTTCTATTATGATTACCTTGGGGGAAACCAGGCCACACAGAGTTAGGAGCTGAAGGGCCACAGTGAGAGGTGACCAGAAGACGAGAGTGTGAGCCCTCATTCACGCCCAGAGAAGGGCCGCTGGAGGGCTCCTTGGCCTAGCGGTAATGCCAGTGCCTGGGAAGGCCCTGGTTACTTAGCAGGCCTTGGTCTAGCGGTGGCCCCAGTGCCTGGGAAGGCACCCGTTACTTAGCAGACCCGGAAAGGGAATCTCCCTCTCTCCAGGGGAGACAGAGAACGCTCCGCTCCACCACCTCTTGTGGGAGGTCTGACATTAGCCAGGCCGGCCCGCAGTCATCCGGAGGCTCCAACGTCTGTCTCCCTGTGATGCTGTGCTTCAGTGGTCACGCTCCTTGTTCACTTTCATGTTCAGCCTGTACACCTGGCTCCTCCTTTTAAGTTCTTAGAAGACAGCAGTAGCAGAACTAGTAGGAGTACCACAGTCTTCGATCTTTCTGATAAGTGCATAGAAGAAACGCTGACGTTTGCTGTCCTCCCTCTCCACCTCGGCTACCACAAAGGGAAAGGCCCCCTGTCCAGTGGACACGTGACTCGCGTGACCTATCGATCATTGGAGATGACTGGCACTCCTTACCCTGCCCCCTTGCCTTGACTACAATAAATAGCAGCGCCTCCAGGCACTCGGGGCCACTACCTGTCTGTCTCCGCGCTTTGGTGGCAGTGGTCCCCCGGGCCCAGCTGCCTTTCTTCCTATCTCTTTGTCTTCTGTCTTTATCTCTTCGATCTCTCGTCTCCGCACACACGCGAAGAGAAAACCCACAGACCCGGTAGGGGTGGACCCTACATTATCTCAGCTACAACATAATCAGGATATTCACGTGGACTACTGAGTCTTTCGGTGCCCCCTTGCTGTTTTAGTTTTGTCCTGCGGCCGAGTGTTTCCCTCGCTTCACGCCAACACAATCTCCGCCGCCCTGTCTTGTCATCCCCATTCTACAGCCCAGCACGGTGTAGTATGGCAGCCGCTAGCCACAGGTATCTAGGGAGCCCTGGAAATGTGGTCAGTTCTAATGGAGCTGTGCTGTAAGTGTGAAATACACGTGGGATTTTGACGGCAGTGGGAGCAAAATTCTCCCAATTTTTTTTTTTTTTTTTTTTTTTCAGACGGAGGTTCCGCTCTTGTTACCCAGCCTGGAGTCCAATGGCGCGATCTAGGCTCTCTGCAACCTCCGCCTCCCGGGTTCAAGCGATTCCCCTGCCTCAGCCTCCCGAGCAGCTGGGACTACAGGCATGTGCCACCACGCCCGGCTAACTTTGTATTTTTAGTACAGATGGGGTTTCTCCACGTTGCTCAGGCTGGTCTCCAACTCCCGACCTCCGGTGATCTGCCCAGCTGCCGCCTCCCAAAGTGTTGCTTGCGATTACAGGCTTGAGCCACCGCTCACCCTGGCTTTTTTTTTTTTTTTTTCCAGACAAACTCTCGCTCTGTCGCCCAGGCTGGAGTGCAGTGGCGCGATCTCGGCTCACTGCAGCCTCTACCTCCCGGGTTCCAGCGATTCTCCTGCCTCAGCCTCCTGGGTAGCTGGGATTACAGGCGCAGGCCACCACGCCCGGCTAATTTTTGTATTTTTAGGGGGTTTCGCCATGTCGGCCAGGCTGGTCTCGAGCTCCTGACCTCAGGCGATCCGCCCGCCTCGGCCTCCCAAAGCGCTGGGATTACAGGCGTAAGCCACCGCGCCGGGCTCTTTCATTCTGTCTTTATTTTCTGAGATAGAGTCTCGCTCGGACGCTCAGGTTGGACTGCAACGGCGTGATCTCGGCTCGCTGAAACTTCCGCCTCCCGGGTTCAAGCGATTCTCCTGTCTCAGCCTCCCGAGTAGCTGGGATTATTGACGGGCAGCACCACGCCCGGGCTACTTTTTGTGGTTTTTGTATCTTCTGTCTTCTGCTCTTTAGTACCGCATAGAGCCGCAGAAGACTAGCGAGTCGAACAAACGGCCCCTCTTGCAGCAGTTGTTGATCACGGGGCTGCCCCCCGGGTACTCATCCTGTGTCTCTCGTCCAAATCCCCGCTCCTCCTCAGCTATCACCTCTGCCGATGCTGGTGGTTTCCCTGGGTACCGGAACCAAACTCTCATTCCCCGAGCCTAAGCCCCCCGTGCCAGGCCCTTCTCAAGTCAGGGTTCCTGCACATTCACAGTTACGGGTGGCCCTGGGAGTAACACCTGGCACCCAAACAGGTCACCAGAGTCCACACATAGTCCACCTGCCCTCCCTGCGTAAGATCAGCTCTTCCTCCTCCCGACGATAGATCAGGGTCAATGATCCCTGCCAAGATGGCGACTGCTCCAGCCTGCTGGTCCAACCTGTCCAGCCACAGCTGTTGCTCGAAGGCTTGAAGTTCAATGGGACCCTCTCCCGCTTTCTACAAACTGGTTCCTTTATTTTTATGTTTATTTATTTGGGACGGGGTCTGGCTCTGTCACCCAGGCTGGAGTGCAGTGGTGCAATCACTGCTCACTGCAGCATCCACCTCCCAGCGTCCACCCATCCTCCTGCCTCAGCCTCCGGAACAGCTGGGGTACAGGTACGCCCCAGCCCGAACAGGTTTTCACTAGGTTGCCTGGGCTCTTTCTTTCTTTGTCTGTGTTTGTTTGTTGGTTGGTTGGTTGGTTGGTTGGTTTTTGTTTGTTTGTTTCGAGACGGGGCTCCGGCTCTGCCGCCGGGGGCTGCAGTGCAATGGCGCGATCTCACCTCACTGCGGCCTTCTGGGCTCAAGCGATCCTCCCACTGTGCCCGGCCTGAAGACAGCCTTTAGAGAAAGAAGCAGGGGGAGTTCTTCCGAGGACAGACAAGATTTCTGGAGTTTGGAAAGGGTGAGAGACTGGGTCAGCGAAAGGAACATTCCGGTCTTTATGTTGGGATGCAACGTATAGGTACAGGGATGAGACCCAAAAGAGCCGGCAGAGGTTTGTCATCGTGCTCGCAAGGCAACTGCCGGTGGCTGATCCCGTAAAGGATACACATACCTAGAGCGGAGCCTAAAGATGCATCCAGCATGACGGGTGGAGCCACGATGCTTGGACTCGAGCTCTGCTCCTGTGCGTTCCGTGATCAATGGCTTATACTACCTGCACCTCAGTTTTTCCCGGGCAAAAAAGGAAGCTTGCTGCCGGTGCGTTGGCACCTGCCTTAAAGTGCCAGCTACTCAGCGGGCTGAAGAGGAAGAAGTTCCTACTAGGAAGACACGTGGACACGTATGTTTACTGCAGCACTATTTACAATAGCAAAGACTTGGAACCAACTCGAATGCCCATGAATGATAGGCTGGATAAAGAAAGTGTGGCACGTATACAGCATGGAATTACTACGCAGCCATAAAAAAGGATGAGTTCATGACCTCTGCGGGAACGTGGATGAAGCTGGAAGGCCTCATTCTCAGCAAACTGACACAGGAAGCGAAAACCAAACACCGCATGTTCTCGCTCCTAAGTGGGAGTTGAACAGCGAGAACACATGGGACACAGGGAGGGGAACATCACACGCCGGGCCCTGACGGGGCGTGGGGGGCAAGGGGAGAGAGAGCATTAGGACAAATAGCCAACGCATGCGGGGCTTCAAACCTAGACGACTGGTGGATAGGTGCAGCAAAGCACCGTGGCACACGTGTACCTATGTTCCAAACCTGCACGTCCTGCACATGTACCCCAGAACTTGGGAGGGGGTGGGGGAAACCAAAAGAGCGAGGGAGAGGCGGGGGGGGGAAAGAGAGAGAGAGAGGGAAAGAGAGAGAGAGACAGAGAGAGGAGAGAGAGAGAGAGAGACAGAGAGAGAGACAGAGAGACAGAGACAGACACAAGAGACGGAGAGACAGAGAGAGAGAGAGAGAGAAAGAGAGAGAGAGAGAGAGAGACAGGAGAAAGAAGAACTCCGGGTGGGTCCCATTCCTTTAAAAGGTCGCCACCCACTCGACTGCCAAGCTGAGATCCTAAGGACCTCCCCAAAGGAGGAGGTCGTGGCCTTCCCAAAGCGCAGTAGCCACGGTGGAAACGAAAGCGTGCCGCATAAGCCTACCGTCTACCGCCCGCACATCAGGAACCTCAAGGTACTTCAGGGAAGCAGTTAAGTCAAGCCGGCGCGTCACAGGCACTCGGCGTGCAAGCCGCCCCGCAGGTGCTACCGTCTCTTACCTCCCTCTACTTTTAGGAAACACGTTGTATCCCCGGAGGGGGTGCACCGTTCCTGGAGGTACTGCAATACCAGGTCGATGCGTGGAGTGGACGGAGCAAGCTCCTATTCCATCTCCCTGCTCCAAAAATCCATTTAATATATTGTCCTCGGATAGAGGACGTATCAGATATTAAACTGATAAGAACAGATACTACACTTGATCTTAGCCAAAAGGCCGAGAAGCGATGCGCTCGCCTTCGCGCCCGCCGTCACCGTCCCACTCTCATCCACATTCAAGTCGCGGTGAGAGCCCCAGCCTCGCTCCTTGCCCCATTCCCTCTGTCTCGTCCACAGCGCTATTGACGCCCTTACACTCTCGGGCTGATTTCTTATTCTCCGCCTTTGAAAAGGGAAATCTTACACCCGTGCTTCTTCCGGCGTTCCCGGGCTTTCATTTCGAATTTGCATGCCCCGCCCTTTCACAGAGGGCGTGGCTCCGCGTTGACTCCGCCCCCGGGCGCGCCTCTGCCTGGGGGAGCCGGGGCTCGCTGGGGGCGACTTCCTTGTTCGTATCGAGCCAGCGAAAAGACAGAACCGGAAGAGACCGGGGGCGAAGGCGACAGGGGTCTGTGGAAGAGACCTGTCGGCGGAGAGCGGTCCACGTTTTCCTGGAGAAAGACGAGGCCCCAGGCGAGGAGCGCGGGCTGCTGGGGCCTTTACTTCGCCGCCCGCGGCAGACCCGGCCCCGTACCCGAGGGACGAGGGACGAGGGGCCCATGCCCAGTCAGGGAAGCCGCACGTGGAGGGGCTTCCGGGAGCAGGGGCTGGAGTTCCTCTGCCAGGCAGGAGGCTGGCACCAGACACCCGGCAGAGGGAGGCGGCGAGGGCCAGCAAGGATTCTCCCCAGCCCCTGTGCCTGCGTCTCCTGCGGCTTCTGTGCGCGGACCGTGTCCTGTGCTGTGTAGGGAACGCTGCCTCTCTGCTCGGGACGTGGATTCCTTTCCCCTCCTCCTCGCCCGGCTACTTCTGACGCAGGTCGTCAGGACTCCGCTTGGGTGTCACCCGTGCAGGAAGCCTCCCTTAGTCAAGGGCCCTCGGCACCCGCCCCATATGTGACTAGCAGCCCTCCTGTGTATTTCATCGCGCCCCCGTTGTTTATATCAGCCATTCCACTCACCACCCTTCTGGGCAACCCTTTATCTCCCGCTCTGAAATCCCATCGCTGAGGGCTGGGACCCCTCCTCAGTGCTTATCCCTGTTTCCCCGCGCGAGTCTGGCGCCTGGCGTGTGGAAGGCGCTCAGTAAACGTTTGTGGAGCGAAGAAACGACGCAAAGGTGATGAGCACGACGCAGTTAGGAGGCTATTGGCCCGGCGCGGGGGAAAAGGGGGAAGGTCGGGCTCGGGGTGGCAGGACCCCAGAGGGCAGGGGTGGCTGCCGGGGTGCTCTTGGGGCAAGGTGGGCGTCAAGGCCCCCAGCAAGGTTGGGATAAAGTTCCTTTCCGAGGCACAGACTGCCGCCTGCGGGCTCAGCATTTACCTTTCCCTTTCTCCTTCCTTACCTCCCTCTCCACCTCGGCTACCACAAAGGGAAAGGCCCCCTGTCCAGTGCACACGTGACTCGCGTGACCTATCGATCATTGGAGATGACTGGCACTCCTTACCCTGCCCCCTTGCCTTGACTACAATAAATAGCAGCGCCTCCAGGCACTCGGGGCCACTACCTGTCTGTCTCCGCGCTTTGGTGGCAGTGGTCCCCCGGGCCCAGCTGTCTTTCTTCCTATCTCTTTGTCTTCTGTCTTTATCTCTTCGATCTCTCGTCTCCGCACACACGCGAAGAGAAAACCCACAGACCCGGTAGGGGTGGACCCTACATTATCTCAGCTACAACATAATCAGGATATTCACGTGGACTACTGAGTCTTTCGGTGCCCCCTTGCTGTTTTAGTTTTGTCCTGCGGCCGAGTGTTTCCCTCGCTTCACGCCAACACAATCTCCGCCGCCCTGTCTTGTCATCCCCATTCTACAGCCCAGCACGGTGTAGTATGGCAGCCGCTAGCCACAGGTATCTAGGGAGCCCTGGAAATGTGGTCAGTTCTAATGGAGCTGTGCTGTAAGTGTGAAATACACGTGGGATTTTGACGGCAGTGGGAGCAAAATTCTCCCAATTTTTTTTTTTTTTTTTTTTTTTCAGACGGAGGTTCCGCTCTTGTTACCCAGCCTGGAGTCCAATGGCGCGATCTAGGCTCTCTGCAACCTCCGCCTCCCGGGTTCAAGCGATTCCCCTGCCTCAGCCTCCCGAGCAGCTGGGACTACAGGCATGTGCCACCACGCCCGGCTAACTTTGTATTTTTAGTACAGATGGGGTTTCTCCACGTTGCTCAGGCTGGTCTCCAACTCCCGACCTCCGGTGATCTGCCCAGCTGCCGCCTCCCAAAGTGTTGCTTGCGATTACAGGCTTGAGCCACCGCTCACCCTGGCTTTTTTTTTTTTTTTTCCAGACAAACTCTCGCTCTGTCGCCCAGGCTGGAGTGCAGTGGCGCGATCTCGGCTCACTGCAGCCTCTACCTCCCGGGTTCCAGCGATTCTCCTGCCTCAGCCTCCTGGGTAGCTGGGATTACAGGCGCAGGCCACCACGCCCGGCTAATTTTTGTATTTTTAGGGGGTTTCGCCATGTCGGCCAGGCTGGTCTCGAGCTCCTGACCTCAGGCGATCCGCCCGCCTCGGCCTCCCAAAGCGCTGGGATTACAGGCGTAAGCCACGCGCCGGGCTCTTTCATTCTGTCTTTATTTTCTGAGATAGTCTTCGTCGGACGCTCAGCTCTGCGGGACGTGGATGAAGCTGGAAGGCCTCATTCCCAGCAGAACCACACAGGAAGCGAAAACCAAACACCGCATGTTCTCGCTCCGAAGTGGGAGTTGAACAGCGAGAACACATGGGACACGGGGAGGGGAACATCACACGCCGGGCCCTGACGGGGGCGTGGGGGGCAAGGGGAGAGAGAGCATTAGGACAAATAGCCAACGCATGCGGGGCTTCAAACCTAGACGACTGGTGGATAGGTGCAGCAAAGCACCGTGGCACACGTGTACCTATGTTCCAAACCTGCACGTCCTGCACATGTACCCCAGAACTTGGGAGGGGGTGGGGGAAACCAAAAGAGCGAGGGAGAGGCGGGGGGGGGGGAAGAGAGAGAGAGAGGGAAAGAGAGAGAGAGACAGAGAGAGGAGAGAGAGAGAGAGAGAGAGAGAGAGAGAGAGACAGAGAGAGAGACAGAGAGACAGAGACAGACACAGAGAGACGGAGAGACAGAGAGAGAGAGAGAGAAAGAGAGAGAGAGAGAGAGAGAGAGAGAGAGAGACAGGAGAAAGAAGAACTCCGGGTGGGTCCCATTCCTTTAAAAGGTCGCCACCCACTCGACTGCCAAGCTGAGATCCTAAGGACCTCCCCAAAGGAGGAGGTCGTGGCCTTCCCAAAGCGCAGTAGCCACGGTGGAAACGAAAGCGTGCCGCATAAGCCTACCGTCTACCGCCCGCACATCAGGAACCTCAAGGTACTTCAGGGAAGCAGTTAAGTCAAGCCGGCGCGTCACAGGCACTCGGCGTGCAAGCCGCCCCGCAGGTGCTACCGTCTCTTACCTCCCTCTACTTTTAGGAAACACGTTGTATCCCCGGAGGGGGTGCACCGTTCCTGGAGGTACTGCAATACCAGGTCGATGCGTGGAGTGGACGGAGCAAGCTCCTATTCCATCTCCCTGCTCCAAAAATCCATTTAATATATTGTCCTCGGATAGAGGACGTATCAGATATTAAACTGATAAGAACAGATACTACACTTGATCTTAGCCAAAAGGCCGAGAAGCGATGCGCTCGCCTTCGCGCCCGCCGTCACCGTCCCACTCTCATCCACATTCAAGTCGCGGTGAGAGCCCCAGCCTCGCTCCTTGCCCCATTCCCTCTGTCTCGTCCACAGCGCTATTGACGCCCTTACACTCTCGGGCTGATTTCTTATTCTCCGCCTTTGAAAAGGGAAATCTTACACCCGTGCTTCTTCCGGCGTTCCCGGGCTTTCATTTCGAATTTGCATGCCCCGCCCTTTCACAGAGGGCGTGGCCTCCGCCGTTGACTCCGCCCCCGGGGCCGCCTCTGCCTGGGGGAGCCGGGGCTCCGCTGGGGGCGACTTCCTTGTTCGTATCGAGCCAGCGAAAAGACAGAACCGGAAGAGACCGGGGGCGAAGGCGACAGGGGTCTGTGGAAGAGACCTGTCGGCGGAGAGCGGTCCACGTTTTCCTGGAGAAAGACGAGGCCCCAGGGCAGGAGCGCGGGCTGCGCTGGGCCTTTACTTCGCCGCCCGCGGGCGGGGAGACCGGCCCCGTACCCGAGGGGACGAGGGGACGAGGGGCCCATGCCCAGTCAGGGAAGCCGAAGGCCTGGAGGGGCTTCCGGGAGCAGGGGCTGGAGTTCCTCTGCCAGGCAGGAGGCTGGCACCAGACACCCGGCAGAGGGAGGCGGCGAGGGCCCAGCAAGGATTCTCCCCAGCCCCTGTGCCTGCGTCTCCTGCGGCTTCTGTGCGCGGACCGTGTCCTGTGCTGTGTAGGGAACGCTGCCTCTCTGCTCGGGACGTGGATTCCTTTCCCCTCCTCCTCGCCCGGCTACTTCTGACGCAGGTCGTCAGGACTCCGCTTGGGTGTCACCCGTGCAGGAAGCCTCCCTTAGTCAAGGGCCCTCGGCACCCGCCCCATATGTGACTAGCAGCCCTCCTGTGTATTTCATCGCGCCCCCGTTGTTTATATCAGCCATTCCACTCACCACCCTTCTGGGCAACCCTTTATCTCCCGCTCTGAAATCCCATCGCTGAGGGCTGGGACCCCTCCTCAGTGCTTATCCCTGTTTCCCCGCGCGAGTCTGGCGCCTGGCGTGTGGAAGGCGCTCAGTAAACGTTTGTGGAGCGAAGAAACGACGCAAAGGTGATGAGCACGACGCAGTTAGGAGGCTATTGGCCCGGCGCGGGGGAAAAGGGGGAAGGTCGGGCTCGGGGTGGCAGGACCCCAGAGGGCAGGGGTGGCTGCCGGGGTGCTCTTGGGGCAAGGTGGGCGTCAAGGCCCCCAGCAAGGTTGGGATAAAGTTTCTCTCCGAGGCACAGACTGCCGCCTGCGGGCTCAGCATTTACCTCTCCCTTCCTCTCCTACGCTACTTCAGCGGAGGGCTGAGGGCTCTACTGCGCATTACCTGGGAAAACCTTTATTTTATTATATCTGACTATTATTAATCATTAGTTTGTAGCATCACTCTTTGTTCTATTACCATAATGATCTCTGTTCTATTATGATTACCTTGGGGGAAACCAGGCCACACAGAGTTAGGAGCTGAAGGGCCACAGTGAGAGGTGACCAGAAGACGAGAGTGTGAGCCCTCATTCACGCCCAGAGAAGGGCCGCTGGAGGGCTCCTTGGCCTAGCGGTAATGCCAGTGCCTGGGAAGGCCCTGGTTACTTAGCAGGCCTTGGTCTAGCGGTGGCCCCAGTGCCTGGGAAGGCACCCGTTACTTAGCAGACCCGGAAAGGGAATCTCCCTCTCTCCAGGAGAGACAGAGTGTGAGCCACTGTGCCCGGCTGGGAGCAAGACTGGAGCAAGACTCCATCTCAAAAAAATAAAATAAAATAAATAAGTGAATTAATTAATTAAAGGCCAGGCATGGTGGTTCACACTTGTCAACATTTTGGGAGACTTAGGTGGGAGGATTGCTTGAGTCCAGGAGTTCCAGACCAGCCAGGGCAACATAGTGAGACCCTGTCTGTATTACAATAATAAAATCAAATAAAGTTTTTAATTTTTTTTTGAGACAAGAGTCTCACTCTATCACTCAGGTCAGAGTGCAGTGGCACTATCTTGGCTCACTGCAACCTCCACCTCACTGATTCAAGTGATTCTCATGCCTCAGTCTCCCCAGGTAGCTGGAATTCCAGGCAAGCGCCACCATGCCTAGCTACTTTTTGTACTTTTAGTAGAGACCAGGTTTCGCCATGTTGGCCAGGCTGGTCTTGAACTCCTGACCTCAACTGATCCACCCACCTTGGCCTCCCAAAGTGCTGGATTACAGGTGTGAGCCACCATGCCCGGCCAAAATAACATTTTTAAAAACTAAATTAAATTTATATAACACTGACCGGGCATCATGGCTCATGCCTGCAATCCCAGCACTTTGGGAGGCTGAGTTGGGTGGATCACCTGAGGTCGGGAGTTTGAGACCAGCCTCACCAACATGGAGAAACCGTGTCTCTACTAAAAATACAAAATTATCTGGGCGTGGTGGCGCATGCCTGTAATACCAGCTACTCGGGAGGCTGAGGCAGGAGAATCACTTGAACCCGGGAGGCAGAGGTTGTGGTGAGCCAAGATTGCACCATTGCACTCCAGCCTGGGCAACAAGAGCAAAACTCCATCTCAAAAAAAAAAAAAAAAATTTGGTTCCTCAGTCACACTCCAAGGCTCAATATAGCATACAGGCTGGGGGTTACCCTATTGGACAGAACATCTTTAAACCTCCCAGGCCTAGTACCCTTGCCTTCCCCTAGACTATTACAAGAGGGAAATTGAGTCAGCTGATAGTGGTCCCCCCAACACAGACACAGTCTATCTGAGAGAACGCCAAATGACCTTGCTTTCCTCCTACCCCCAGCAAACAGCATTCACCAAATAGTAGGCAGCTTCCTAGGGATCTCTCTCCATTCTCCATTCCCTTCCTGCTCCAGAGAGGACCCTGAAGAACCCAGCCTATCCCATGCACCTGTTCTTTCTGCTGCAGCTCCTGCTGCTGCTGGGCCATCAGCCATCTCCTTCGGTCCAAAGCCATCTGCCGGCGCCGGGCCTCCCAGTGGTAGGCACTACCCATGATAGTGGGATGGTATGAGGCCCCAGGTGGGGGTGGGGACAGGCAGAGCCCACTGCTCCCACCACCTCTGTCTCTTCCCACTCAGACCCCTCTGCCTATAACTGGAACCACCTCACAATGTGGTTACTGCCAGGGCAACTGGGCAGGCCCCGCCTGCTTTGTTGAGAGAGGGAGGCATTTTTCCCAAGGCTCCCAGGGAACATCTGCAAAGTACCTTTCTCTCCTGGGTCCTGATCAGATAGAAGACCTTCCCACCTTAGCTTTGAGTCTCAATGGGCCCCATGGACAATTCAGCAGTAAAGTCTTTTCTCTCTGGCTTCTTTCCCCCATTCTTCCTCAGAGGGTTCCAGCATCATCATCTGACCCTTCCTCTGCTCATCTCTCCCCACTTAGGTCTCCGGAATTACCTTTTTCTCCTTAATCTCTCCTCTCTCCATCTCCCCCATAAATGTCTGTGCTGAGTCAGAATGAAAGAAAATACAAAATCCTACTAAGCCTCACTGAGGTCTGAGCCCCCAGAACGCAAAGGGGCTTCTTAGAAAACACCCTAGCTCTGGAGATTTCTAATTCTGGACTCAAGCCTAGCGTCTACCTCTTAATTTTATTTTCATTTTATTTTTTATTTTTTGAGATGGAGTTTCACTCTTGTTGCCCAGGCTGGAGTGCAATGGCGCAATCTCGGCTCACTGCAACCTCCGCCTCCCAGGTTCAAGAGATTCTCCTACCTCAGCCTCCCAAGTAGCTAGGATTACAGGCATGCACCACCATGCCCGGATAATTTTTGTATTTTTAGTAGAGACAGGGTTTCTCCACGTTGGTCAGGCTGATCTCAAACTCCAGACCTCAGGTGATCCGCCCGCCTCAGCCTCCCAAAGTGCTGGGATTACAGGTGTGAGCCACCACGCCCAGCCTGGGACTGTGCATTTAAGATCACCCCAAGTGGCTGGGCACAGTGGCCTCTGCCTCCTGGGTTCAAGCAAACAAAAAGAAAGAGCCTAGGCAACCTAGTGAAACCCTGTTCGGGCTGCGGCCTATCTGTACCCCAGCTATTCCAGAGGCTGAGGCAGGAGGGTGGATGGATGCTGGGAGGTGGATGCTGCAGTGAGCAGTGATTGCACCACTGCACTCCAGCCTGGGTGACAGAGCCAGACCCCGTCCCAAATAAATAAAAATAAAGGAACCAGTTTGTAGAAAGCAGGAGAGGGTCCCATTGAACTTCAAGCCTTCAAGCTACAGCTGTGGCTGGACAGGTTGGACCAGCAGGCTGGAGCAGTCGCCATCTTGGCAGGGATCATTGACCCTGATCTATCATCGGGAGGAAGAAGAGCTGATCTTATGCAGGGAGGGCAGGTGGACTATGTGTGGACTCTGGTGATCTGTTTGGGTGCCAGGTGTTACTCCCAGGGCCACCCATAACTGTGAATGTGCAGGAACCCTGACTTAGGTTCCTGGGGAATGAGAGTTTGGTTCCCGGTACCCAGGGAAACCACCAGCATCGGCAGAGGTGATAGCTGGGGAGGAGCGGGGATTTGGACGAGAGACACAGGATGAGTACCGGGGGCAGCCCTGTGATCAACAACTGCTGCAAGAGGGGCCGTTTGTTCGACTCACTAGTCTTCTGTGGCTCTATGCGGTACTAAAGAGCAGAAGACAGAAGATACAAAAACCACAAAAATTAGCCGGGCGTGGTGCTGCGCGTCAATAATCCCAGCTACTCGGGAGGCTGAGACGGGAGAATCGCTTGAATCCGGGAGGTGGAAGTTTCAGCGAGCTGAGATCACGCCATTGCAGTCCAACCTGAGCGTCCGAGCGAGACTATCTCAGAAAGTAAAGACAGAATTAAAGTGCCCAGCGCAGTGGCTCACGCCTGTAATCCCAGCGCTTTGGGAGGCCGAGGCGGGCAGATCACCTGAAGTCAGGAGTTCGAGACCAGCCTGGCCAACTTGGCGAGACCTCCTTAAAAATACAAAAATTAGCTGGGCGTGGTGGCGAACACCTGTAATCCCAGCTACCCAAGGAGGCTGAGGCAGGAGAATCACTGGAACCCGGGAGGCAGAGGCTGCAGTGAGCCGAGATCGCGCCACTGCACTCCAGCCTGGGTGACAGAGCAAGACTTTGTCTCTGAAAAAAAAAAAAAAAAAAAAGCATGGGCGCGGTGGCTCATGCCTGTAATCCCAGCACTTTGGGAGGCTGAGGCGGGCAGATCATGAGGTCAGGAGATCGAGACCATCCTGGCTAACACGGTGAATCCCCGTCTCTACTAAAAGTACAAAAAAATTAGCCAGACGTGGTGGCAGGTGCCTGTCGTCTCAGCTACTTGGGAGGCTGAGGCAGAAGAATGGCGCGAACCCAGGAGGTGGAGCTTGCAGTGAGCCGAGATGCGCCACTGCACTCCAGCCTCAGCGACAGAGTGAGACTCCGTCTCAAAAAAAAAAAAAAAAAAAAAAGCTTGGGCCAGTGGCTCACACCTGTAATCCCAGCACTTTGGGAGGCGGCAGGCAGGCGGATCACCAGAGGTTGGGAGTTGGAGACCAGCCTGACCAACATGGAGAAACCCCATCTGTACTAAAAAGCCTCTGAGGAAGAGTGGGGGAAAGAAGCCAGAGAGAAAAGACTTTACTGCTGAATTGTCCATGGGGCCCACTGAGACTCAAAGCTAAGGTGGGAAGGTCTTCTATCTGATCAGGACCCAGGAGAGAAAGGTACTTTGCAGATGTTCCCTGGGAGCCTTGGGAAAAATGCCTCCCTCCCTCAACAAAGCAGGCGGGGCCTGCCCAGTTGCCCTGGCAGTAACCACATTGTGAGGTGGTTCCAGTTATAGGCAGAGGGGTCTGAGTGGGAAGAGACAGAGGTGGTGGGAGCAGTGGGCTCTGTCTGTCCCCACCCCCACCTGGGGCCTCACCCCACCTCTTCCTATAATCCTGGAGACCCTCCCTAATCTGTCTGGACCTCAGTTTCCTTGCCTGAAGAATAAGTGATAACTTGTTACCTTCTTTCACATAGCTGGTATAAGGATCAAATAGAATAATGGATGGGAAATAAAAGATAAAGTATAAAATTGTTTAGCTACAGGTTGGTATTATTATCCTACCTGACCCTTCCAAGGACTGTGTCCTCAGTAGGTGGAGTGAACAGGTGAGAGGATTATTCTCTGAAGCCCAGGAAGGCTTTTGGGGATAGAGACTGTGCATTTAATTTTTTAATTTTTAAATTTTATTTTTATTGTATTTTTTGTTTTTTGAGACGGAGTTTCACTCTTGTTGCCCAGGCTGGAGTGCAATGGCATGATCTTGGCTCACCGCAACCTCCGCCACCCTGGTTCAAGCAAGTCCTGCAAGTGATCCGCCCGCCTCGGCCTCCCAAAGTGCTGGGATTACAGGCGCGAGCCACCACGCCTGGCCTGGGACTGTGCATTTAAGATCACCCAAAGTGGCTGGGCGAGGTGGTAATCCCAGCACACTGGGAGGCCAAGGTGGGCAGATCATGAGGTCAGGAGATCAAGACCATCCTGGCTAACATGGTGAAACCCCGTTTCTGCTAAAAATACAAAAAATTAGCCGAGTGTGGTGGCACATGCCTGTAGTCCCAGCTACTCAGGAGGCTGAAGCAGAAGAATTGCTTGAACCTGGGAGGCGGAGGTTGCAGTGAGCCGAGATAGCGCCACTGCACTCCAGCCTAGGTGACAGAGCAAGACTCCATCTCAGAAAAAAAAAAAAAAAAAAATTAGCCGGGCATGGTGGCGGCCGCCTGTAATCCCAGCTACTTGGGAGGCTGAGGCAGGAGAATCGCTTGAACCCAGGAGGTGGAGGTTGCTGTGAGCCAAGATTGCACCACTGTACTCCAACCTGGGTGACAGAGCAAGACTCTGTCAAACAAACAAACAAACAAACAAATAAAGCCTGTAGGCTGGGACATTGGCTCATGCGTGTAATCCCAGCACTTTTGGAGGTGAAGGTGGGAAGATTGTTGGAGCCCAGGAGTTCCAGACTAGCCTGGGCAACATAGACACGACATATCAACTGGCATGCCCACCCCACCATTTCCCAACCCCCATCTCTACAAAAAATAAAGCAAGTTTGTTGTTATTCAAGACCCAGAATCTTCTGTTTTGGAAGAAGCAAAGTGTGGTTAGAAGCACAAGCAGGGCCGGGCATGGTGGCTCACGCCTGTAATTCCAGCACTTTGGGAGGCCAAGGCAGGTGGATCACCTAAGGTCAAGAGATCAAGACCAGCCAGGCCAACATAGTGAAACCCCGTCTCTACTAAACCCCCCGTCTCTACTAAAAACCCCCCGTCTCTACTGAAAAACCCCGTCTCTACTGAAACCCCCCGTCTCTACTAAAAATACAAAAAAATTAGCTGGGCGTGCTGGCGGGCGCCTGTAATCCCAGCTACTCAAGAGGCTGAGGCAGGAGAATCGCTTGAATGTGGGAGGCAGAGGTTGTGGTCGGCCGAGATGGCGCCACTGCACTCCAGCCTGGGCGAAAGAGCAAAACTCCATCTCAAACACACACACACACACACACACACACACACACACACACACACACACACACACACAGAAGCACAAGCAGATAAGTCCTGTGAAATATCAGCTGCAAGGCCGGGCACGGTAGCCTACGCCTGTAATCCCAGCACTTTGGGAGGCCAAGGCGGGCAGATCACTTGAGGTCAGGAGTTCGGGACCAGCCTGTCCAACATGGTGAAACCCCATCTCTACTAATAATTAAAAAATGAGCTTGGCATGGTGGCCAGCGCCTGTAATCCCAGCTACTCAGGAGGCTGAGGCAGGAGAATCGCTTGAACCTGGGAAGCAGATGTTGCAGTGAGCCGATATTGCACGCTGCACTCCAGCCTGGGCAACAGAGCAAGACTCTGTCTCAGAAAAAAACAAAACAAAACAAAAAAAAAAAACAAGAAAAAATCAGCCGGTCATGGTGGCTCATGCCTGTAATCCTAGCACTTTGGGAGGCCGAGGCAGGTGAATCACTTAAGGTCAGGAGTTTGGGACCATCCTGGCCAATATGGTGAAATGCTGTCTACTAAAGTTACAAAAAAAAATTAGCTGGGCATGGTGGCAGGCGCTTGTAATCCCAGCTACTCTGGAGGCTGAGGCAGGAGAATTGCTTGAAACCAGGAGGCAGAGGTTGCAGTGAGCTGAGATCATGCCACTGCACTGTAGCCTGAGCAATAGAGTGTGACTCAGTCTTAAAAAAAAAAAAATAAGGCCAGGCGTAGTGGCTCATGCCTGTAATCCCAGCACTTTGGGAGGCCGAGGCGGGCGGATCACCTGAGGTCGGGAGTTCGAGACCAGCCTGATCAATATGGAGAAACCCCATCTCTACTAAAAATACAAAATTAGCCGGGCGTGGTGGCACATGCCTGCAATCCCAGCTACTCGAGAGGCTGAGGCAGGAGAATCGCTTGAACCCAAGAGGTGGAGGTTGCGGTGAGCTGAGATTGCGCCATTGCACTCCAGTCTGGGCAACAAGAGCAAAACTCTGTCTCAAAAACAAAAAACAAAAAAAATCATCTCCATTATTAATTGTACAGATATGATCAATTGCTCTACCTCTATTATCAGTTCACTCACCAGCAAAATGGGGTAATAATACCTCCATCCTGGAGGTATTGGTATATTAAAAGAAGTAATCCGGCCAGGTACATTAGCTAACACCTGTAATCCCAGCACTTTGAGACGCCGAGGCAGGCAGATCACCTGAGGTCAGGAGTTCAAGACCAGCCTGGCCAATATGGCGAAACCCCGTCTCTACTAAAAATACAAAAATTAGCTGGGTATGGTGGCTGCTGCCTGTAATCCCAGCTACTCAGGAGGCTGAGGTAGGAGAATTGCTTGAATCCCAGAAGTGGAGGTTGCAGTGAGCCGAGGGAGATGGCGCCACTACAGTCCAGCTTGGGCGACAGAGCAAGTCTTTGTCTCAAAGAAAAAAAAAAAGAGTAATCCATTGTCAAGCACAGGGTTTAATAAACAGAGATAAACAGAGGCTTTTATTGTAGTATTTCATGACGTTTAGGATGTCATGGATTGTGAGAGGCACCATTATTTTATGTACCCCTCAGAAAGAAAGGAAGAAAGGAGAAAAAAAAAAAAGATGCTGACATTTAAACAGCTGTAGTGCTTTTTCCTGGCACTGGATGTAAGATGCATCCTGGTTTCTGAGGTCTAAAAATATGGAACAAAAATGTGCCCTCTGAATGAATGAAATCATCCAGGCGTGGTAGCTCACACCTGTAATCTCAGCACTTTGGAAGACCAAAGTGGTAGATCATTTGAGGCAGGAGTTCAAGACCAGCCTGGGCAACATAGGGAAATCCCTGTCTTGACAAAAAATTTAAAAAGTAGTCAGGTGTGGTGGCGCATACCTGTAGTCTCAGCTTCTCACTTCCCAGGAGGCTGAGGTAGAAGGATTGCTTGATCCCTGGGGACAGAGCAGGATCCTGTCTCAAAAAAAAAAAAAAAAAAGTGAAAGCAGGCACCATCATGGAGTGTGGTCACTTGGAAGCCTGGGCCTTGAGCCTTGGTGTCATCCATCACCTGGAAGACCCTGAACTTTCCCTCTCTGGGCCTGAATTTTCTCATAAACCAAATAAGCACAGAATGGATGTTTCCTCTGGCCTGCTGGGAGGTCATAACAAACTGAGAGGCAAGGGCTGCTTTGCTGCTCTCTGCTGCCCCCTGCTACTGCAAGGAGAGAATCGGATCTTGGGGATGACCCAGCGCTCCTAGAGGTGGTAAAGTGCAGCAAGCTGATCCCTGATATCCAATAACCTTGTGATTTTTTTTTTTTTTTTGAGACAGCGTCTCGCTCTGTTGTCCAGGATGGAGAGCAGTAACGTGATCACAGCTCACTGTAACCTCAAATGCCTGGACTCAAGCGATTCTCCCATCTCAGCCTCCTGAGTAGGTAGGACTACAGGTGTGTGCCACTACACCTGGCTAATATTTTTGTTTTTTGTAGAGATGGGGTCTCACTGGCTGGGCGCGGTGGCTCACACCTATAATCCCAGCTCTTTGGGAGGCTGAGGTGGGCGGATCACGAGGTCAGGAGATCGAGACCATCCTGGCTAACATGGTGAAACCCCGTCTCTACTAAAAATACAAAAAATTAGCCAGGTGTGGTGGTGGGCGCCTGTAGTCCCAGCTACTCAGGAGGCTGAGGCAGGAGAATGGCGTGAACCCGGGAGGTGGAGGTTGCAGTGAGCCGAGATTGCGCCACTGCAGTCCAGCCTGGGCGACCGAGCAAGACTCCGTCTCAAAAAAAAAAAAAAAAAGATGGGGTCTCACTGTGTTGCCCAGGCTGGTCTCAAACTCCTGGGCTCAAGTGATCCTCCCACCTGGGCCTCCCAAAGTGCTGCTGGGATTACAGGCATGAGCCACTCCACATGGGCCCTCTTGTGATCTTAATCATTGTGCCAGGCTCTTCACATTCCATCCTCAGCATTCAGGTTTCCACCTTCTTCAATATGTATCACAGAGGTAAGTCAGTCTCTTGGAAAATTTGGTTAGCTCGAATTTCCTTCCTGAAACTCAGCCTTCTCATCTGTTCAATGGAGATTATAAACCCTGACCCACTTTCCTCTAAGGTGGATGAGAATAAAGATCCACTGATCATAAAGATATAAAATTGCCAGCCAAAAGTGGGGGTCCCTTTTATACTCTGGGAGGAGGAAGCAGAAGGCTGAGGATTTTGGGAAGTCAGTCTAGGCAGCCTCAATTTCATCAAGTATAAAATGGGATAAATAACATGTTGCATTTGGGATTTTTTTTTTTCTGTCGCCCAGCCTGGAGTGTGCTGGTCCAGTCACATCTTGCTGCAGCCTTGACCTCCTGGGCTCAGGTGATGCTCTTGCCTCAGCCTCCCAAGTTGCTGGCACCACAGGCATGCACTACCATGCCCAGCTAACTTTTATTTTATCTTATTTTATTTATTATTACTATTTTTTTTTTTGAGACAGAGTCTGGCTCTGTCGCCCAGGCTGGAGTGCAGTGGCGCAATCTCAGCTCACTGCAAGCTCCGCCTCCCGGGTTCACGCCATTCTCCTGCCTCAGCCTCCGGAGTAGCTGGGACTACAGGCGCCCGCCACTACGCCCAGTTAATTTTTTGTATTTTTAGTAGAGACGGGGTTTCACCATGTTAGCCAGGATGGTCTCGATCTCCTGACCTCGTGATCCGCCCACCTCGGCCTCCCAAAGTGCTGGGATTACAGGCGTGAGCCACCGCGCCCGGCCTATTATTACTATTTTTAATAGAGATGAGGTCTCACTATGTTGCCCAGGCTGGTCTTGAACTCCTGAGCTTAAGTGGTCCTCCTGCCTTGGCCTCCCAAAGTGCTAGGATTATAGGTGTGAACCACTGTACCTGGCCTTATTTTTATTATTATTATTTGTAGAGATGAGGTCTCACTATGTTGCCCAACCTGGTCTCAAACTCCTAGGCTCAAGTGATCCTCCTACTTTGGCCTCCCAAAGTGCTGGGATTACAAGGGTAAGCCACCGCACCTGGCTGCATTTGGGATTGTTGAAACACCGAAAAGAAAATGTAGATACTCAGTGGCATACAGTGGGCTCAGAAAACAATACCCTAAAATGAAGGCCTCAGCAGCAGCCTCAGAAGTAAAAAGTTTTTCTCTGACTCCCCCAGTCCCATTCTCCCCTGAAGCTAGCCATAGACACAAAAATCCCTCTTCCCTGAGGCAGGTCATGGAAACCAGAAGCCCTTTTCTCCAAAGCCAGCCTGCAAGTGTAAAAATATTACTCTGGTTTTCCCTCTGTCCTATCTGTAAAAACTGGCCACAAAGAAATTACCTGACCTACTTTGTTTGACTGTAGGTCATAAGACCCCCATTCCACAGAGCATCCTGCCCGACACGCAGAAGGAAGGAATACATGCTCAGAGAAGCCAACAAGGATCTGGACAGGCCAGGCATGGTGGCCCACGCCTGTAATTCCCACACTGTGGGAGGCTGAGGCAGGAGGATCGCTTGAGGCCAGGAGTTCAAGATCCTCTATCTGGCAAAAGTCTAAAGGAGAAAGTGACAGACAGCAACAGCTCGTCATGGAAAGTGTGGCTGAAGACAAAGAGATGAAAAAGGCTTCAAGAAATTTCCACTTTGAGTCTCAAAAGGCAACATAGCAAGACACTGTTCCTTTCTTTTTTTTTTTTTTTTGAGACGGAGTCTCGCTCTGTCGCCCAGGCTGGAGTGCAGTGGCGCGATCTTGGCTCACTGCAACCTCCGCCTCCTGGGTTCACGCCATTGTCCTGCCTCAGCCTCCCAAGTAGCTGGGACTACAGGTGCCCACCACCGCGCCCGGCTAATTTTTTTGTATGTTTAGTAGAGACAGGGTTTCACCATGTTAGCCAGGATGGTCTCGATCTCCTGACCCTGTAATCCGCCCACCTTGGCCTCCCAAAGTGCTGGGATTACAGGCGTGAGCCACTGCGCCCGGCCAGCAAGACACTGTTTCTACAAAAAATTAAAAACTTAAAAAACTTAGCTGGGTGTGGTGGCACACACCTGTAGTCCTAGCTACTTAGGAGGTTGAGATGGGAGGATCTCTTGAGCCCAGGAGTTTGAGGTTACCGTGAGCTATGATCACGCCACTGCACTCCGGTTTGGGCAATAGAGTGAGACTGTGTTGGGAAAAAAAATAAAATAAAACCTGGACAGACAGGAGCCTTAGGGATTTCCCCACTCATTGTATTCTCCTTACAGCATGTCCTCTTGTCCAGTCATATTTCTACATGGCCTTCCATACTTTATTGACCCTAAGCATTAAAACGGACAATTTTCTCTGTATCTTTGGGTCTTTGCTCTGAAGACTCTCATGTATACCATTAAAAACAAAATTATATGCCTTTTCTCCTGTTAATCTGCCTCGTGCCAGTGATTTTTCACTGAACCTTCACAGGGCAAAGACGGAAGTTTCCCCTTGGCTCCCCTAAGTACTCAAAAACAATACCGGGGACTGGGAATGATGGCTGATGCCTGTAACCCCAGGACTTTGGGAGGCTGAGGAAGGATGATTGCTTGAGCTCAGGAGTTTGAGATCAGCCTGGGCAACATAGAGAGAACCCATCTCTACTAAAATAAAAAAACAAAAAACAGTACCTGGGAAACCAAATTAGCAAGCAAAAGATGGCCTGATAAACACGAAAATGAGCAGAGAGGCAGTAAAATAGTGAGCCCTGCAGGGTCATGATACTTACCACAAGCCAGGAGATTTACTAATCACTTTCTATTGTAGGAAATATTAATATATTTAATATTCATTCATTCATTCAAAAAATATATACTGAGTGGCTACTATATGCCAGGCATTGTTCAGGGTGCCAGTCATATAAAAGTGAACAAGCGACAAAGATTCCTGCTCTGGAGCTTACATTCTACTATGCTAAAATGCAATAAACGTATCATTGTATAAAATGTGGGGTGACAGGTGCCACCGAGTAGAATAAAGCCAGGTAAAAGAGAACAGAGACCCTGTGTGGATGAGGGTAGAGAACGCCAGGACTACAGACTAGATTTTAAGATTCCTGTTTTATACAGGAAAAAAAATAAGCCTCAGAGGAGTGACTTGCCTAAGCTGTTTTCCCTTGCTTTTTTTTTTTTTTTTTTTTTTTTTTGATACGGCGTCTCGCTCAGTTGCCCAGGCTGGAGTGCAGTGGGTGGCATGGTCTTGGCTCATTGCAATCTCCACCTCCCAGGCTCAAGCAATTCTCCTGCTTCAGCCTCCCGATTAGCTGGGATTACAGGCACCCACCAACCATGCCCGACTTTTTTTTTTTTTTTTTTTTTTTTGAGACGGAGTCTTGCTCTGTCTCCCAGGCTGGAGTGCAATGGTGCCATTGTGGCTGACTACAGCCTCCGCCTCTGGGTTCAAGCGATTCTCCCACCTCAGCCCCCCAAGTAGCTGGGATTACAGGTGCCCACCACCACGCCTGGCTAATTTTTTGTATTTTTGGTAGAGAGGAGGTTTCACCATGTTGGCCAGGCCAGTCTCGAACTCCTGACCTCAGATGATCTGCCCGCCTAGGCCTCCCAAAGTACTGGGATTACAGGTGTGAGCCACCCTGCCTGGCTATTTGTTTTTTTTTTTTTTTTTTTTTTTTTTGAGATAGGGTCTCAGTCGGTCCCCCAGGTTGGAGTGGAGTGCAGTGGCCTGATCACAGCTCATTGCCACTTTGGCCTCCTGGGGCTCAAGCTGTTTTCCCAGGGCTCAAGTGGTCCTCCCAGGGCTCAAGTAGTCCCCCAAGCTCAGTCTCCCCAGTCACTGGGACTACAAGCCTGCTCCACCACGCCCGGTAGATTTTCTGGTTTTTTTTTTTTTTTTTTTTTTGTAGAGATGGGGCTCTCACTTTGTTGTCAAGGCTGGTCTCGAACTCCTGGGCTCAAGTGATCCTCCCATTTCGGCCTCCCAAAGTGTTGGGATTACAGGCATGAGCCACAGTGCCAGGGCCGAGGCTCTTCTCAACTGCTGCAGCAGACAGCTTGGTTCTTGCCTCTCTGCAGACAGAAGACTTGTGTCTCAGGCTCAGTGCTTTGTCTCACAGAGTGCTGGACACACAAGAACAAATTATCTTTCTCTAGGTATCCATTTTTGGCTCTAGGCTCTCTGCTTCACAGGTGGATGGAGTGATGGGGAAGATGCTGTGGCCAGTGCACCTAGGTTCAAATCCTACCTCCCTGTGGTCTTGGGCAAGCTGCTTAACCTCTCTGCCTCAGCTTCTGCATCTGTATGTAACTTTTGCAAGTTTGTAATGAGGAGAGCACTTAACACAGAGCCTAAGCCAAACAGTAAATGCTTCCTATTTTATTGTCTCAGTCATTTCACAGTCATGACCCCTTCTGGGGAAGCTTGTGGGAAACTCTGACTCACATTGCAGACTACCGAGCCACGGTCCCTTCCTCGGCTCCGTTTCTGCTCCCTCCACCCCACGAGGTAGGCATTGGTGTTTCTGCTTTCCAGCTGGGGAAACAGAGTCCGGAGGTTAAGTGGTTTGCCCCCAGTGCCCCGCCGACAGGGCAAGGCGCGCGGACGGGGCTGTGACTCCCAGGGCGGCAGCCCCCTCGGCGCGGTCTCGCGACCCGACTTCTCTCTGTGGCCCCGGGAAGGGGGTGGGGGGCGGCGGGGCCTCGTCGGCTCCGCCTTCGCTTGGGACCCAGCCAGGCCGCGGGACGCTCCAGTCTTTACAGTGATGACCTGATGGCTTTCCTCAAAAGAGCTCGGACCACTCTCCTCCAACTCCCTTCCACAGACCGCTAGTGACGCCCACGCGCATTTCCCCCTGACCACTGTCTTGACCCCCGGATGGTCCAGACCGGGAGCCCCAGCCCAGCTTCGGCCGGCCGCTGCGAGCAGAGCTGGACCGCAGCGGGGACTCAGATCGCCGTAGCCACGCCTACCCACGCGGGAAAGGGCGAGACATGCAAATTAGAAATGGCGCTTCAGCCACGGGGCAAAAACAGAGCTGAGAATTCACTTGAAAACGTAGCCAACTATAAACCATGCCCAAAGGCTTGCTGTTTTCAACAGGCCTATTGAGAAACGAAGTTGTCAATTGCCCCTATCGTTGCTCACCGTGGGTGTAATATGGTGATATGAGGGTGGTAATGGCGAAGGCAAAGATGCTGGATTCGACAAATTTTTCCAGATCTCTGTTTGTGGTGAGGTGTAATTATGTGTGTTTTTCCTAGCTTAGTGTGTGCGTTCTTTCTTTTTGTTTCTGAGAATGCTGTGTTGAGGGGGTTTTTGGAGAAAACGGTGGGGTTGGGAGGTTGTAGTACTTCAAACAAAGGTGAACGATTTTTTAGGTGAGTGAGCGTTGTGTTTTAAAGGTTATACTTTGTTATATTCACGTTCTTATTGCGTTATATCATGCTTCAGAATTGGTCGTCAATATCCTTGTCTAGGTGAGAGTATGTGTGACCAGCCCCCTCCCCGCCTTTTTTTTTTTTTTTTTTTGTCTTATAGAGTGTCACTTTTGTCATCCAGGCTGGAGTGCAGTGGCGGGATGAGAGTTCACTATGATCTCGACTTCCTGGACTCAGATGGTTCTCCCACTTCAGCTTCCGGATCTAATATTTCAATAATTTCAAGAACACTGCATTCATTCCTCTCCACATGAGCAATTGCCAAAAGTAGGCTTTACATTTTTGCTCGTTTTCTTTTGGGTCTGTGGCTAGTCTCCACTTCCTTTTTTTTTTTTTTTTTTTTTTTTTTTTTTTTAAGATAGTCTCACTCTGTCCCCCACAACCCCCAACCCCGGCTGGAGTGCAGTGGCCAGATCTGGGCTTACTGCAACCTCTGCCTCCCAAGTTCAGGTGATTCTTGTGCCTCAGCCTCCTGAGTAGCTGGGATTACAGGCACGTGCCCACCATGACTGGCTAATTTTTTGCATTTTTAGTAGAGACGGGGTTTTGCCATGTTGGCCAGGTTGGTCTCGAACGCCTGGCCTCAAAGTGATCCACCCGTTTGGGCCTCCCAAAGTGCTGGGATTACAGGCCTGAGTTACTGCACCCGGCCTGTCCCCGAAATTCGATTGCAGCCGGCGATAAAGCTTTTTTTTACCCCGCTTCTCGGCAAAGCGTTGTGTTTTTATTTTAGCAGACTCACCTGGCACTAAGGACTGCTCTGGTGGTCTTCGGAGGCTCCTGGGATCGACTGCTTGGACAGAGGTGACATCACCCAATTAGTGAGAGCCAAGACCTAAGGCTGCAGCTGCCTTCCAGGTATCTGCCACTCACTGTAGAACGATCCCACAGTTCTGCATTTCTGCCCTATGCCCGCCAGTCACAAGAAGCTCCGGTCTCTTATCCCATGTCTGATTCCTGAAACCTTGCTAATTTTCCTACCATCCTCCCTATTCCCAGCCTCCTTTCTTCTTCTTCTTCTTCTTCTTCTTTTTTTTTTTTTTTTGAGGCTGAGTTTCACTCTTGTTGCCTAGGCTGGAGTGCAATGGTGCGATCTCGGCTCACTGCAACCTCCACCTCCTGGGTTCAAGCGATTCTCCTGCCTCAGCCTCCAGAGTAGCTGGGATTACAGGCATGTGCCACCACGCCCGGCTAAATTTTTTTTGTATTTTTAGTAGAGATGGGGTTTCTCCATGATGGTCAGGCTGGTCTCAAACTGCCAAACTCAGGTGATCCACCCGCACTGGCCTCCCAAAGTGCTGGGATTACAGGTGTGAGCCACTGTGCCCGGCCCCCCTTTCTTCGTTTGCTCTATCCTCCCGCTGAAGACATTGCTTTCCTCTTTCTGTTTGCTCTCCCCACCTCTCACTCCATTGTGCCTTGCACCTGTGCTGCCCACTACCTCTCCTTGTTGCTGTTGTCTCTCCTGGCTGCTGGTCACTCCATGCCAACACTTACTTTATTCCTTGAAGGTTTTTAGCTCCTGGAGCACTGACTTTCTCCAGCATAACTCCTGTCATCAATCGACACCCTGGTTCCCCAATTCCTTGACCTCAGCTTTGACTACCCCAGCCACTCACTTCCCTGGTCTAACCCTAGGTCATGTCATTGTCGATTGCCATAACCCCATCCACTTCGAGGGTCACACTCTCCAATCACCTCTACCATCCCTCCCTCTGCTACCCTTTGGTACCTGTCACCCCACTCCCCACCCCCTCAACCCGCATCCCCAAAGTCCTTGGGCCCACCTCCAACTAATCTAACTGCACCAACTCTAACAAACTGCACCTGTGTCACTGAGTGTAACTGGTGGAAGCTGACTGGGCTCACCTTAACCCTGGGCAAGCTGGGGGAAAATAGACATCCCACATTTGCTACCTGGGGCCCAATAAGTCTGCATTAGTCTGTGCTCGTGCTGCTAATAAAAACATACCGGAGACTGGGTAATTTATAAAGAAAAAGAGGTTTAATGGACTCACAGTTCCACGTGGCTGGGGAAGCCTCACAATCATGGTGGAAGGTGAAAGGCATGTCTTACATGGTGGAAGGTGAGAGAGAACTTGTGCAAGGGAACTCCCCTTTATAAAACCATCAGATCTTGTGAGACTTATTCACTATCATGAGAACAATATGGAAAAGTCCTGGCCCCATGATTCAATTACCTCCCACTGGGTCCCTCCCATGACACGTGGGAATTATGGGAGCTACAATTCAAGATGAGACTTGGGTGGGGACACAGCCAAACCATATCATTTTGCTGTAGCCCCTCCCAAATCTCATGTCCTCACATTTCAAAACCTATCATGCCTTCCCAACAGTCTCCCAAAGTCTTATTTCAGCATTAACTCAAAAGTCTACAGTCCAAAGTCTCATCTGAGACAAGGCAAGTCCCTTCCGCCTACCAGCCTGTACAATCAAAAGCAAGTTAGGGTCGGGCATGGTGGCTCATGCCTGTGATCCCAGCACTTTGGGAGGCCAAGGCAGGCAGATCATCTGAGTTCGGGAGTTTGAGACCAGTCTGGCCAACATAGTGAAACCCCATCTCTACTAAAAATACAAAAAAATTAGCCGGGCGTGGTGGCACATGCCTGTAATCCCAGCTACTCGAGAGGCCGAAGCAGGAGAATCGCTTGAACCCAGGAGGCAGAGGTTGCAGTGAGCCAAGATCATGGCACTGCACTCCAGCCTGGGTGACAGAGTGAGACTCTGTCTCAAAAAGAAAAAAAAAAAAGCAAGTTTGTTAATTCCTAGATACAATGAGGGTACAGGCATTGAGTAAATACAGCTGTTCAAAATGGGAGAAATTGGCCAAAACAAAGGGGTTACAGATCTCCTATGCAAGTCTGAAGTCCAGTGGAGCAGTCAAATCTTTTTTTTTTTTTTTTTTTTTTTGAGATGGAGTCTTGCTCTGTCACCCAGGCTGGAGTGCAGTGGCATGATCTTGGCTCACTGCAACCTCCACCTCCCGGGTTCAAGCAATTCTTCTGCCTCAGCCTCCTGAGTAGCTGGGATTACAGGCACATGCCACAATGCCTGGCTAATTTTTTTTGTATTTTTAGTAGAGACGGAGTTTCACCATGTTGGCCAGGCTGGTCTTGAACTCCTGAACTCAAGCGATCCTCCCACCTTGGCCTCCCAAAGTGCTGGAATTACAGGAGTGAGCCGACATGCCTGGCAGCAGTCAAATCTTAAAGCCCCAAAATGATTTCCTTTGACTCCATGTCTCATGTCCAGGTCACACTGATGCAAGAGGTGGGCTCCCATGGCCTTGGCAGCTCTGCCCCTGTGGCTTTGCAGGGTATAGCCCCCCCTCCCAGCTGCTTTCACAGGCAGGCCTTGAGTGTCTGTGGCTTTTCCAGGAGCAAGGTGCAAGCTGTCAGTGGAGCTACCATTCTGGGGTCTGGAGGACAGTGACTCTTTTCTTGCAGCTCCACTAGGCACTGCCCCAGTTGGGAGTCTGTGTGAGGGCTTGCACCCCACAATTTCCCTTTGCACTGCCCTAGCAGTGGTTCTCCATGAGGGCTCCACCCCTGCAGCCCACCTCTACCTGGACATCCAGGCATTTCTACACATCCTCTGAAATCTTGGCAGAGGTTCCCAAGCCTCAATTCTTGACTTCTGTGCACTCGCAGGCACAACACCACATGAAAGCTGCCAAGGCCTAGGGTTTGCACCCTCTGAAGCCACAGCCTGAGCTGCACCTTGGCCCCTTTTAGCTGTGGCTGGAGCAGCTGGGATACAAGGCACCAAGTCCCCAGGCTGCACAGAGCAGGGGGGCCCTGGGCACAGCCCATGAAACCATTTTTTCCTACTAGGCCTCCAAGCCTGTGATGGGAGGGTCTGCCACATGAAGGTCTCTGACATACCCTGGAGACATTTCCCCCCACTGTCTTCATGATTAACATTTGGCTTCTCGTTACTTATGCAAATTTCTGAGGCCAGCTTGAATTTCTCCTCTGAATTTTTTTTTTTTTTTTTTTTTTTTTGAGATGGAGTCTTGATCTGTTGCCAGGCTGGAGTGCACTGGCACAATCTCGGCTCATTGCAACCTCCGCCTCCCGGGTTCAAGCGATTCTCCTGCCTCAGCCTCCCGAGTAGCTGGGACTACAGGTGTGTGCCACCATGCCCAGCTAATTTTTGTATTTTCAGTAGAGACCGAGTTTCACCAGGTTGGCCAGGATGGTCTCAATCTCTTGACTTCATGATCTGCCCACTTCAGCCTCTCAAAGTACTAGGATTACGGGCATCAGGCACTGCACCCGGCCTGGGTTTTTCTTTTCTACCGCATTGTCAGGCTGCAAATTTTTTGAAATTGTATGCTCATTTTAACTTTTTTTTTTTTTTTTAATGGAGTCTTGCTCTGTCACCCAGGCCAGAGTGCAGTGGCGTGATCTTGGCTCATTGCAACCTCTGCCTCCTGGGTTTAAGCAGTTCTCTGCCTCAGCCTCCCAAGTAGTGGGGATTACAGGAGCCCACCACAACACCCTGCTAATTTTTGTATTTTTAGTAGAGATGGGGTTTCACTATATTGGCCAGGCTGGTCTTGAACTACTGACCTTGTGATCTGCTCAACTCAGCCTCCCAAAGGGCTGGGACTACAGGCATGAGCCACTGCTCCTGGTCTGTTTCACTTTTACAACTGAATGCTGGCCAGATGTGGTGGCTCATCCCTGTAATCCCAGCACTTTGGGAGGCCTAGGCAGGCAGATCACGAGGTCAAGAGTTTGAGACAAGCCTGCCAATATGGTGAAACCCCATCTCTACTAAAAATACAAAAATTAGCCTGGCGTGGTGGTGGGCGCCTGTGGTCCCAGCTACTCGGGAGGCTGAGGCAGGAGAATTGTTTGAACCCAGGATGTGAAGGTTGCAGTGAGCCGAGATCACGCCACTGCAGTCAGTCCAGCCTGGGCGACAGAGCGAGACTCCGTCTCAAAAAAAAAAAAAAAATAAGAACAGAATGCTACTGGGCACAATGGCTCATGCCTGTAATCCCACCACTTTGGGAGACTGAGGTGGGCAGATCAATTCACATCAGGAGTTTGAGACCAGCCTGGCAAACATGGTGAAACCCTATCTCTAATAAAAATACAAAAATTGGCTGGGTGTGGTGGCAGGCACATGTAATCACAGCTACTCAGGAGACTGAGGCACGAGAATCACTTGATTCTCTGCGGGCAGAGGTTGCAGTGAGCCGAGATCTTGCCACTGCATGCCAGCCTGGGCAACAGAGACTATCTCAAAAAAACAAAAATAGCAAAAACAACAACAAATCCTGGATGCTTTTAACAGCACCAAAGTCACCTCTTGAATGTTTGCTGCTTAGAAATTCTGTAACCGCCAGGCGTGGTGGCTCACGCCTATAATCCCAACATGTTGGGAGGCCGAGGCAGGAGGATCACCTGAGGTCAGGAGTTTGAGACCAGCCGGATCAACATGGAGAAACCTGGTCTCTACTAAAAATACAAAATTAGCCAAGTGTGGTGGCACATGCCTGTAATCCCAGCTGCTCAGGAGGCTGAGGCAGGAGAATCGCCTGAACCCAGGAGGCGGAGGTTGGGGTGAGCTGAGATCCTGCCATTGCACTCCCCTGGGCAACAGGAGCGAAACTCCATCACGAAAAAAAAAAAGAAAGAAAGAAAAAAAGAAATTCTGTAATCGCCGGCACGGTGGCTCACACCTGTAATCCCAACACTTTGGGAGGACGAGGCAGGCAGATCACCTGAGTTAGAGACCAGCCTGCCCAACATTGCGAAACCCCACCTCTACTAAAAATACAAAATTAGCTGGGCGTGGTGGCGCATCCCTGTAATCCCAGCTGCTCCAGAGGCTGAGGCAGGAGAATCGCTTGTACCTGGGAGGTGGAGGTTGCAGTGAGCCGAGATCGCGCCATTCGACTCCAACACGCGAATCAAGAGCAAAACTCCGACACAAAAAAAAAAAAAGAAAAGAAAAGAAAAAGACAAGAAAAAGAGAGAGAGATGTTGGAAAGAAAAGCCTCACAGAAGGCAGGGCACGGTGACTCAAGCCTGTAATCCGAGAACTTTGGGAGGCTGAGGGGGGCGGATGACGAGGTCAGGAGATGGAGACCATCCTGGCTAACAGGATGAGACCGCCGTCTCTACTAAAAATAGGAAAAATTTGCTGGGCGTGGTGGCCTACGCCTGTAATCCCAGCTACCCAGGAGGCTGAGGCAGGAGAATCGCTGGAACCCGGGAGGTAGAGGCTGCAGTGAGCCGAGATCGCGCCACTGCACTCCAGCCTGGGCGACAGAGCAAGAGTTTGTCTGTAAAAAAAAAAAAAAAAAAAAAAAAAAAAAAAGCCAGGGTGAGCGGTGGCTTAAGCCTGTAATCGCAAGCAACACTTTGGGAGGCGGCGGCTCGGCAGATCACCGGAGGTCGGGAGTTGGAGACCAGCCTGACCAACGTGGAGAAACCCCATCTGTACTAAAAATACAAACTTAGCCGGGCGTGGTGGCACATGCCTGTAGTCCCAGCTGCTCGGGAGGCTGAGGCAGGGGAATTGCTTGAACCCGGGAGGCGGAGGTTGCAGAGAGCCTAGATCGCGCCATTGGACTCCAGGCTGGGTAACAAGAGCGGAACCTCCGTCTGAAAAAAAAAAAAAAAAAAAAAAAAAATTGGGAGAATTTTGCTCCCACTGCCGTCAAAATCCCATGTGTATTTCACACTTAACAGCGCAGCTCCATTAGAACTGACCACATTTCCAGGGCTCCCTAGATACCTGTGGCTAGCGGCTGCCATACTACACCGTGCTGGGCTGTAGAATGGGGATGACAAGACAGGGCGGCGGAGATTGTGTTGGCGTGAAGCGAGGGAAACACTCGGCCGCAGGACAAAACTAAAACAGCAAGGGGGCACCGAAAGACTCAGTAGTCCACGTGAATATCCTGATTATGTTGTAGCTGAGATAATGTAGGGTCCACCCCTACCGGGTCTGTGGGTTTTCTCTTCGCGTGTGTGCGGAGACGAGAGATCGAAGAGATAAAGACAGAAGACAAAGAGATAGGAAGAAAGACAGCTGGGCCCGGGGGACCACTGCCACCAAAGCGCGGAGACAGACAGGTAGTGGCCCCGAGTGCCTGGAGGCGCTGCTATTTATTGTAGTCAAGGCAAGGGGGCAGGGTAAGGAGTGCCAGTCATCTCCAATGATCGATAGGTCACGCGAGTCACGTGTCCACTGGACAGGGGGCCTTTCCCTTTGTGGTAGCCGAGGTGGAGAGGGAGGACAGCAAACGTCAGCGTTTCTTCTATGCACTTATCAGAAAGATCGAAGACTGTGGTACTCCTACTAGTTCTGCTACTGCTGTCTTCTAAGAACTTAAAAGGAGGAGCCAGGTGTACAGGCTGAACATGAAAGTGAACAAGGAGCGTGACCACTGAAGCACAGCATCACAGGGAGACAGACGTTGGAGCCTCCGGATGACTGCGGGCCGGCCTGGCTAATGTCAGACCTCCCACAAGAGGTGGTGGAGCGGAGCGTTCTCTGTCTCCCCTGGAGAGAGGGAGATTCCCTTTCCGGGTCTGCTAAGTAACGGGTGCCTTCCCAGGCACTGGGGCCACCGCTAGACCAAGGCCTGCTAAGTAACCAGGGCCTTCCCAGGCACTGGCATTACCGCTAGACCAAAGTGTTCTAAATAACAGGTGCCTTCCGAGGAAGAGGCACTACCACAAGACCATGGAGCCCTCAAGCAGCCGTTATCCGGGCATGACAGAGGGCTCATACTCTTGTCTTCTGGTTACCTCTCACATTGTCCCCTCTACTTCTTACTCTGTATGGCCTGTTTTTTCCTCGGTTATAATAACAAAGATTAATACTAAAAACTAATAATTGATAATATCCATATGTAATCATCTCTGTATCCTATGTCTGATATAACTTTCTTTTATCCTATTTTCTTTATTATATTGGAACAGCTTCTGCGTTCAGTGTCTTGCCTTGGCATCTGGATGGCTTTCTGTAGGGTGCAGCCCTACAGGGCCTGTGGGTTTTTCTGTATGTGTGCGGAGACAATAGATCATGGAAATAAAAACACCGGACAAAGAGATAGTAGAAAACACAGCTGGGCCCACGGGAACACTACCACGAAAACTCGGAGACCGGTAGTGGCCCTGAAGGCCTAGCTACGCTGTTATTTATTGTATACAAGGCAAGGGGGCATGGTAAGGAGTGCGAGTCATGGCCAATGATAGGTAAGGGCACGCGAGTCATGCATCCACTGTACAGGGGGCCCTTCCCTGTTTGGTAGCCGAGGCAGAGACAGAGAGGGGAGAGCTTACGTCATTATTTCTTCTTTGCATTTCTTGGGAAGATCAAAGACTCTAATACTTTCACTAATTGTGCTGCTGCTATCCAGAAGGCGGGGCCATGTGCACAGAGCGGAAAATGAAAGTGGACCAGGACCACTGAAGCACAGCATCACAGGGAGACGTTTAGGTCTCCGGATGCCTGCAGGCATGGTTGCAGGCGGGTCTGACTAATGTCAGGCCTTCCACAAGAGGTGGTGGAGCAGAGTCTTCTCTTACTCCGCAGGGAAAGGCAGAGTCCCTTTCCTGGTCTGCTAAGTAACGGGTGCCTTCCCAGACACTGGCGTTACCGCTTCACCAAGGAGCCCTCCTAGTGGCCCTGCCCGGGCATGACAGAGGGCTCACACTCTTGTCTTCTGGTCACTTCTCACCATGTTCCTTCAGCTCCTATCTCTGTATGGCCTAGATTTTCCTAGGTTATAATTGTAGAACAGAGATTATTATATTGGAATAAAGAGTAATGCTACAAACTGATTAATAATATTCACATATAATCACATATAATCCTATCTATATTCTATTTCTAGTATGACTATTCTTATTCTAAATATTTTCTTTATTATACTGGAACAGCTCGTGCTCTCCGTCTCTTGCCTTGGGACGTCGGTGGCTTACCACCCACATCTCCCCACTTTTTATTGACTAGGATCATCATTGCCATCATTGCTTGTCGTTGACTTGGGACTTGTCCTCGGCCTCCTTGGAGACATCTGCAGACTAAAAGTAGACAACATAAACATACCAGTATTAATAATGCCAATGACAACGATGATCCTCCGAGGGGTTTGATCCATTTAAAGGGATTAAGATCAGATAATCCTTTAGTTATTCCTTCAAAACTGCCCAAGGCAGGAGCAGTAGTTAAATGAGCCTGTGAGGCCTCAAAAACGTGTTCTTTAGGTTTTGAAATATCTAAGGTTAAGTTATCATCCCAGGCTTTTAAATGTCTTGAGACTTCTTCCCCACTATGTTGATCTTTATTATAAACATAAGGTTTTATGCAATAATCAGAAGTATTCCAATCGCACTGTAATTGCATATGGTGTTCCAGATTCATAACTCTATCTCCCAGTCAGATTACACTCTGGTGGAGATAATTAATTTGATTAGCCAATTTTTGATCAACTTGAGCATGAGAATTTCAGAGTTTGGTGGAGTTTTTTTTGCCATGCTTCCACATATTGAGCGGTTTGAACAGAGTTGTGGATAGCAACTCCAACGGTTGTCGCTGTTGCAGTAATGGCAATTAGTCCTGCAATGACTGCAATAAGAGTAAAAATGAATCTCTTGGTTCTTTTGAGGATACCCTTAAGAAGTTCACTGACTATGTGTATAGAGGGGGAAGACTTCCATGGATGATGTAAAGAAATTATATCCATACCCCCTTCCTAGCCCTTATCAAAAGAATACTTGTTCTGGGATTAAAAGTAGCATCGATACACGTGAACAGCTTACAATCATTACATTCTATAGTTTGTGTATTGGGAGTAATAATTATAATTCCAACTAGCAGCATGTAAGGGGATTTGACACAGCTCCTGATATGTATCACCTGTCCTGACATCAAGGTGATCTTGAATATGAGTGTCTTGGTATTAGTAGGAGAGATTTGATAGGTAGCGTTCCATATCCTTATTCCTGTCATGGCTGCAGCTAATTTCCCTAATTCAGGATGTTCAGGGGTAACAATTTGATGAATCATTTTTGGTCTAGGAGGAACGATTCCTGTGTTCCTCCATTTGAATGGATAAGGGGCACCCATTCCCTCAACCTGTAGAATTGCCATCAGTCCTTTACATAATCTAACAAATAATTAAACTCCAAGCATTTGGCATTTTAGCCAGAGCAATTTCTCCAATAATACCCTCTTGGGGCCCAGTCAATAACAGCACCCATAGCTAGATTTTGGAACACTACGGCCTTTGGAGCATTACAATCATTCCATAAAATTGAATTTAGTAGAAAATGTCCCTTTGTAGGTTCCTTTGAGCAGTCTGGCAATCCTTTTGTTTTATTGCTTTTAGTAGTGACAGGAACTCTCCATTCCTCATGTGGATTAAGTTTAACATTCATGAGTTGAAAAGAATTGCTCCTGCACTTGATAAGAATCATTACTAGAGGACTGTATGGTCCACATCGAATTCTGATAAGAATAAGCTAAGCAGCCAGGCAACATTCCAATACACAGTGGTGGATATTTGTAGCCAATTGACAAATTAAAGTGCATACCTTTTACTTCTGGTTGAGCTGGAAACCTGTCATCATTGGGGACTGGCATGAAGACACTATTATTAGTGTAAACTTCCACTGAGGAGTCCATCCAGGAGACAGACCGAATTAAAGGGGGAAAAGGAATGTATGCCCAGTAGGTATAATTTTGAGTTGCCCCAACCCCTGGTATACTCACCACTGCACTGACCACCATAAAGGCAGCCAGAATTATATTACCCGTCACTTTTGGAATTCCTTTTTCTTGTAGTTATTTCTCTGTTTGATGGGATAAGACCTTTATCTGGCCCCATGTTGGTAGAGTAGAATGACTGGTGTTGGAGGTCACACGGTGAGATTTTGTTGTAATGTCGAGGTCATGGAATTTATGTGTCAGGTGGCAAAACTTGCTCTTTGATTTCTGAGGCTTCTTTGCCTTTTGTTTCTGAGAGTTCTTCATCCTTGGAGTTAAAATGCAATCTCAGTTGATGGGAGGGAACCCACACGGGTTGTTGTCCTTCTCCTGGGGAAACACAAGCGAAACCCCTACCCCATGTTACCACAGTGCCTAATTCCTATTTGTCAGTTTTTGTATCCTTCCACCATACCCACTTTCCTTTTTGTGGATCAAATCTGTTTCCAGTGAAATGTTGTTCTGCTGCTGTAAAAGGTTGATTTCTTGCTAGGTTTAAGAAATTGAGTGTAAAAAGAACAAAATTTAACTGAGTATGGGGGTAGGAGCATCCTTCTTCTCTTTAGTGTCCTGTTTTCAAAGTTGGTCTTTCAGCATTTTATTAACTCGTTCTACCAATGCCTGTCCTTGACAGTTATAGGGAATGCCAGTTGTGTGAGTAATTCCCCATGTCTGAGTGAACTTTTTAAAATCATTGCTAATGTAACCAGAAAATTGTCAGTTTTTAGTTTCTCAGGACATCCCATAACCAAGAAACATGAAACCATGTGCTGTTTAACATGAGCCGTACTTTCCCCCGTTTGACATGTGGCCCAGATAAAATGAGAAAAAGTGTCAATAGTTACATGCATAAAAGAGAGTTTGCTGAAAGCTGGATAATGAGTCACGTCCATTTGCCAGAGAATATTTTGTGAAAGTCCTCTAGGGTTAACTCCTGAAGAAAGTGGATGTAAAATTAACACTTGGCAAGTAGGACAGTGACATACAATGGTTTTAGCTTGCTTCCATGTGAAGCAGAACTTTTTTCCGAGTCCCGCAGCATTGACTTGAGTTACAGCGTGAAAATTTTCTACGTCCATAAAAATGGGAGCAACTAATGTATCAGCGCTGGCATTTGCTGCTGAGAGAGGTCGGGGAAGGGCATGTGAGCCCGAACGTGAGTAATGTAGAAGGGAGAAGACCTTGCTCTGAGTAGGGACTGAAACTTTTGGAAAAGAAAAAGTGGTTATCATCAGGCAGAAATGTGTTTAAGGCAGTTTCAATGTTGCAAGCAACACCTGCTGCGTACACCAAATCAGAAACTATGTTAACTGGTTCAGGGAAATATTCAAGAACAGCCATGACAGCAGTCAGCTCAGCTTGTTGTGCTGAAGTAGCTCCTGAGTTAAGGACACATTCTTTTGGCCCTGCATATGCTCCTTGGTCATTACAGGAAGCATCAGTAAAAACAGTGACAGCTTCAGCTAATGGAGTATCCATAGTAATGTTAGGTAAGATCCAAGAAGTAAGTTTAAGGAACTGAAATAGTTTTACATTAGGATAATGATTGTCAATTATACCCAGGAAACCTGCCAAATGTACTTGGCAAGCAATGCAGGTTGCAAAAGCCTGTTGGACTTGTAATCAGGTGAGGGAAACAATGATTTTTTGGGGCTCTGTACCCAAAAGATGAAGAAGGTGAGAAAGAGCTTGACCAATTAGGATAGAAATTTGATCTAGATAAACGGTAAGCGTCCGTAAAGAGCTGTGTGGAAGAAAGCACTATTCAATTAAATTATGTCCCTGGATAATGAGTCCTGTTGGTGAATGTTTAGTAGGAAAGATTAGTATTTCAAAAGGTAAATATGGATTCGCCCTGGTTACCTGAGACTGTTGAATGCGTTTTTCTATAAGTTGTAATTCAGAATCTGCCTCAGGGGTCAAAGACCTTTTGTTGCATAAATCAGGATTGCCCCATAATGTTGCAAACAGATTAGACATAGCATATGTAAGAATGCCTAAGGAGGGGCAAATCCAATTAATATCTCCAAGCATTTTTTGGAAATCATTTAGCGTTTTTAGAGAGTCTCATCTGAGTTGAACCTTTTGGGGCTTAATAACCTTGTCTTCTAGCTGCATTCCTAAATATTGATAAGGAGAAGAAGTTTGGATTTTTTCTGGAGCGACAGCCAAACCAGCTGTTGCAACTGCTTGTCGTACTGCAGAGAAACAAGATATTAATACAGAACGTGAAGGCACTGCACAAAGAATATCATCCATGTAATGAATGATAAAAAATTGGGGAAATTGATCTCTTACTGGCTTTAATATGCTCCCCACGTAATATTGACAAATGGTAGGCTATTAAGCATTCCCTGAGGTAGGACTTTCCAATGGTAACGTGCTGTGGGAGCGATGTTGTTAAGGGTTGGAACTGTGAAAGCAAATTTTTCAAAGTCCTGAGGGGCCAGAGGAATGTTGAAGAAGCAGTCTTTAAGATCAATGATGATAAGAGGCCAATACTTGGGAATCATAGCGGGGAAAGGCAAGCTGGGTTGTAATGTCCCCATAGGCTGAAGGACAGCACTTACTGCCCTAAGATCAGTAAGCATTCTCCACTTACCGGATTTCTTTTGGATAACAAAGACAGGTGAATTCCAGATAGAAAAAGATTGCTCGATGTGTCCCAATTTTAACTGTTCAAGGATCAAAATATGGAGTGCCTCCAGCTTATTTTTAGGGAGCGGCCACTGATTTACCCAAACCGGTTTCTGAGTTTTCCAAGTCAAGGGGATGGGATTTGGAGGCTTGATAGTGACCACTTCTAAAAAGAATAACCAAGTCCCGTAAAATCTGATTTATGGGTAGGTATAATAGGCTCGGTGATGCCTTGTGCTGATTTCCCTAAGCCCATAACTTGAACAAATCCCATTTTTGTCATAATGTCTTTACTTTGCTGGCTGTAATTGCCTTGTGGAAAAGAAATCTGTGCCCCTCGTTGTTGTAAAAGTTCTCTTCCCCACAGGTTAACAGGAATGGGTGTAATGAGGGGGCAAATAGTACCAATCTGTTCTTCTGGGCCCGTACAGTGTAAAATTGTAGAACTTTCATAGACTTCTGAAGCCTGACCAACACCAACTAATGCTGTGGACGCGTGTTCCTTTGGCCAGTGTCGGGGCCATTGATGTAAAGCGATAATGGAGACATCAGCGCCCGTATCAATCATTCCCTCAAACTTCCTTCCTTGAATATGCACAGAGCACACAGGACGAGTGTCAGAAATCTTGCTGGCTCAATAAGCTGCTTTGTCCTGATAGTCTGTGCTACCAAAACCTCCAGTTCTGGTACAAGAACTGGATCCTAAAGGAACGTAAGGGAGTATAAGAAGCTGAGCAATGCGGTCTCCAGCTGCCGTATATCAAGGGACTGCAGAGCTAATGACAATATGAATTTCACCTGAATAGTCAGAATCAATTACACCAGTATGTACTTGAACACCTTTTAAATTTAGGCTTGAGAGATCAAATAGCAAACCGACACTGCCAGTCGGCAAGGGGCCAAAAACACCTGTGGGAACAGCAATAGGTGGCTCTCCAGGTAACAGAGAAATATCTCTGGTACAACAGAGATCTACTGATGCTGAGCCTGTGGTGGCAGGGGACAAGCATTGTACTGAGATTCGTGTTGGGGCAGAGCCATTAGATCCTGTGGCACAAATTGCTGAAGTGGGAATTGGGATGTAGGTTGAATGGATTGGGCTGGCAAGGCGCTCATCTTGCTGGACGCCAGGGGCTCGGAGTTGAGGAATGCCCCATTGTTTGGAGGGGCCTAGGGCTGGCCCCTCTTCCCGTTTACCTGGAAGTGACCGTAAGGGATTGCCATCAATATCAAATTTTGAATGGCATTGAGCCACCCAGTGATTTCCTTTTTGGCATCGTGGGCATATAGTAGAAAGTGGGGCTTGTTGTTGAAAAAATTTTGGTTGTTGGTGTTGAAAAGAACAGCGGTCTGTATGCCAAGGACAATTTCTTTTAGAATGTCCCGATTGGCTGCATAGGAAGCATTTGCCAGGGAATTGTCCAGGCATTCGAATAGAGACCATGGCTTGTGCCATGACCATTGCTGTACGCAGAGTTCCCCTCACGCCTTCACAGACTTTAATGTATGAGGTGAGTACATCACCCCCTGGTGGAATTTTGCCTTTAATGGGGCAAATAGCCACCTGACAGTCTGGATTTACTTGTTCATAAGCCATAAGTTCTATAACAAGTCATTGGCCCTGGCTATCAGGGATAGCTTTTTCTGCTGCGTCTTGAAGATGGACAATAAAGTCTGGATACGGTTCATGTTGTCCCCGTCTGACGGCTGTAAAACATGGGCATAGTTTGTCATCATCTTGAATCTTGTCCCAAGCATCTAAGCAGCATTTCCACAGTTGTTCAATAACCTCATCATTTAGTATAGTTTGGTTTCGAATTGCAGCCCACTGGCCCATTCCCAGTAATTGGTCGGCTGTAACATTAACAGGAGGATTAGAGCCCAAAGACGAATGCATTCCTGGATAGCATCAACCCACCAAGTCCTGAATTGTAAATATTGAGATTTAGATAAGACTGACTGCTAAAATCTCCCAGTCATAGGGCACCAAGTGTTTATTTTCTGCTAGGGCTTTTAATTTGGAATGGACAAAAGGGGAGTTGGTGCCATACTGCTTCACAGATTCTTTGAAATCTTTGAGGAATTTAAAAGAAAAACTTGGCCAGGTGCGGTGGCTCACTCCTGTAATCCCAGCACTTTGGGAGGCCCAGGCAGGTGGATCACAAGGTCAGGAGATCGAGACCATCCTGGCTAACAGGGTGAAAGTCTGTCTCTACTAAAAATACAAAAAAAAAAAAAAAATTAGCCGGGCATGCCTGGGAGACAGAGCGAGACTCCATCTCAAAAAAAAAAAAAAAAAAAAAAGAAAAAAAAACTTTCCTAAGTAGCGGGACATAGCTGAACCTGGCCTGGATGTATAGGGTCAGGTTGAACTACTGCCTGAACTACTGGAACATCAGGAACTGGCTGTGTCTCAGCGGCAGGCAGTTGTGGAGCCTGATTATTTTCCTGAGCAGCCTGATTGTCAGGCTGTTGATCTTGACGGGTTGCGGGATCAGCTGCCTGCTGAGAAGGATCAGCAGGCTGTGGCTGATTTTGTGCCACTGGGACGGCGGGTATTGGAGGTTGTAAAATTACAGGAAATTGCCAGGCTTCGGGATCCCCATATTCTCTTGTCTGAGCTATAGCCCTCATAAAAGGAGTGTCATTTTCAGGGATGTATATAGCTCATTGCTTATGAGCGGCAATGGTGGTATTGGCCACCACAGTAGCAACTGGACCAGAAGCAGGAAAAAGTTTGGAATTTTGAATGGAGGAAGAGTTGAGAACCTGTAGGCCAGGATGAGACGAGATTACCTGCTGGGCAGGTCTTTCATGGGCCTGAGGCTGCCGCAGTAACTGTGGACCAGGCTTCAAGGGAGCCTGAGGTTTCAAGGGAGCCTGATTTGTCAGAAAAGACCCAGGCTTCAAGGAAGTGTGATTTGCCGAAAGAGACCCAGGCTTCGAGGGAGACTGATTTGCCAAAAGATACCCAGGCTTCAAAGGAGCCTGATTTCTGAAAGAGACCCAGGCTTCAAGGGAGCCTGATTTACCAAGAGAGGTCCAGGCTTCAAGGGAGACTGACTTGTCAAAAGAGAACGAGAAGAGAGAGGTGGAAAAATAGGTTGAATATGGATAGGGTTGAGGGCCTCATAACTGGGCTGAACTGGTAGAAAGTTGAGAGCCCCACAGCGGGGCTGAACAGAGATAGGGTTGAGGGCCTCATTACCAGGCTGAATAGGCAAGAAGTTGAGAGCTCTACAGCAGGGCTGAACAGGGATAGGGTTCAGGGCCTCATTACCAGGCAGGGAATTGAGAGCCTCTTCACCGGGCTGTGTAGAAATTGGAGCCTCTGTACCAGGCTGCATGAAAACATAGTTTAGAGCCTCTTTTTCAGGCTGCATCATCTCATTTTCTATCTGCATAGCTGGAGAGTTGAGAGTTTGAGGAAAGGTAGGAGGGTACAGCTGTGATGGCTGTTGATAATATCTTTCAGCTGGATTTTGCTGGTTGGGGGAAATAAATTCATTCAGATCAGTTAAAAGTTCATCATAAAGCGATAACCGGGGCATGGTAGGCTCTGGCGTAGGTGGTGGCACCAAAGGAATATCAGAGTGGAGGTCCATCTGTAGAACTATGGCCTCAATCTGTGCAGTATCCTCAGGTGAAAAAGAACTAAGCACTTCCTCAGCCTCCTCAGAGGAAAGAGGGATCAGTCTCCATGTTGTCCTCCTGAGTCTGTAAAGAGTCTAGGACAGAGCGAACCGAAGCCCAGATTGACCAAATTGGGGGTGGAATAATATGCCCGCCTTTATGAGCAATTTTGAATGTCTGCCAATCTCATCCCAATCCTTAAGTTCTAAAGTTCCCTCAGTAGGAAACCAAGGGCAAAGAAGATCTACAACATCAAACAGTTCAATTAACTTATCAGTAGATACTTTTAACCACTCCTTCTTTAAGGAGAGTTTTTATAAAATTTAAATAAGCTGAGTACTTAGTACAGGCCTGTCCCTTGGTGTCCCCGGGATACTCTGAGTGCCCAAGCTTACCACCAAGCTTATTGACCTCAATCCTCAGGAATCTGTCATTGAAATCCTCTGCTGTGTTTCACGCTCAAAGTGCAACTTCACACAGCGAGAGAGAAATTCTCGTTGGGCGCCAGATGTAGGGTCCAACCCTACAGGGCCTTTGGGGTTTTCTCTTGTGTGTGGAGATGATAGATCATAGAAATAAAGACACAAAACAAAGAGATAGAATAAAAGACAGCTGGGCCCGGGTGAACACTACCACCAAGACGCGGAGACCGGTAGTGGCCCCGAATGCCTGGCTGTGCTGTTACTTATTGTATACAAGGCAAGGGGGCAGGGTAAGGAGTGCAGGTCATCTCCAATGATAGGTAAGGTCACGTGAGTCACGTGACCACTGGACAGGGGCCCTTCCCTATTTGGTAGCTGAGGTGGAGACAGAGAGGGGACAGCTTACGTCATTATTTCTTCTATGCATTTCTCGGAAAGATCAAAGACTTTAATACTTTCACTAATTCTGCTACCGCTGTCTAGAAGGCCAGGCTAGGTGCACAGAGTGGAACATGAAAATGAACAAGGAGCGTGACCACTGAAGCACAGCATCACAGGGAGACGTTTAGGCCTCCAGATGGCTGTGGGCATGGCTGCGGGTGGGCCTGACAAAGATCTTCCACAAGAGGTGGTGGAGCAGAGTCTTCTCTAACTCTCTCCCTTTCCTGGTCTGCTAAGTAACGGGTGCCTTCCCAGGCACTGGCGCTACCACTAGACCAGTCTGCTAAGTAACGGGTGCCTCCCCAGGCACTGGCGTTACCGCTAGACCAAGGAGCCCTCTAGTGGCCCTGTCCGGGCATGACAGAGGGCTCACACTCTTGTCTTCCGGTCACTTCTCACCGTGTCCTTTCAGCTCCTATCTCTGTATGGCCTAATTTTTTCTAGGTTATAATTGTAAAACAGATATTATTATAATATTGGAATAAAGAGTAAATCTACAAACTAATGATTAATATTCATATATGATCATATCTGTATTCTATTTCTAGTATAACTATTCTTATTCTATATATTTTATTATACTGGAACATCTTGTGCCTTCGGTCTCTTGCCTCAGCACCTGGGTAGCTTGCCGCCTGTAGGGTCCAGCCCTACAGGGTTTAGTGGGTGTTCTACCCATGTATGGAGATGAGAGATTATAAGAGATAAAGACACAAGACAAAGAGATAAAGAGAAAACAGCTGGGCCCAGGGGACCATTACCACCAAGACGCAGAGACCAGTAGGGGCCCGGAATGGCTGGGCTCGCTGATATTTATTACATACAAGACAAAGGGGGAAGAGTAAGGAGGGTGAGACGTCCAAGTGATTGATAAGCTCAAGCAAGTCACATGATCATGGGACAGGGGGCCCTTCCCTTTTAGGTAGCTGAAGCAGAGAGGAAAGGCAGCATACATCAGTGTTTTCTTCTAGGCACTTATAAGAAAGTTCAAAGATTTTAAGACTTTCACTATTTCTTCTACCACTATCTACTATGAACTTCAAAGAGGAACCAGGAGTACAGGAGGAACATGAAAGTGGACAAGGAGCATGACCACTGAAGCACAGCACCACGGGGAGGGGTTTAGGCCTCCAGATGACTGCAGGGCAGGCCTGGATAATATAAAGCCTCCCACAAGGAGGTGGTGAAGCAGAGTGTTTCCTGACTCCTCCAAGAACAGGGAGACTCCCTTTCTTGGTCTGCTAAGTAACGGGTGCCTTCCCAGGCACTGGCATTACTGCTTGGCCAAGGAGCCCTCAACCGGCCCTTATGTGGGCATGACAGAGGGCTCACCTCTTGCTTTCTAGGTCACTTCTCACAATGTCCCTTCAGTACATGATCCTACACCCATCAATTATTCCTAGGTTATATTAGTAATGCAACAAAGACTAATATTAAAAGCTAATGATTAATAATGTTTATACATTATTGATTGATAATTGTCCATGATCATCTCTATATCTAATTTGTATTGTAAGTATTCTTTATTCTAACTATTTTCTTTATTATACTGCTACAGTTTGTGCCTTCAGTCTCCTGTCTTGGCACCTGGGTAATCCTTCGTCCACAGCTGCCCAAATCTCCCCTCTTTTTATTGACTAGGATCATCATTGCCATCATTGCTTGTTGACTTTGGGCTTTTCATCGGACTCCCTGAAGACATCTGCATACTAAAAGCAGACAACATAAACACACCAATATCAGTAATGCTAGTGACAATAGTGAACCTCTAAGGGGTTTGATCCGTTTAAAAAGATTAAGATCGGATAATACTTTGGTGATTTCCTCAAAAATATGAGAGCCAGGAACGGTAGTTAAGTGAGCCTGTGAGGCCCCCAAAATTTGCTCTTTCAGTTTTGAAATATCTTAAGTTAGATTATCATCCCAGGCTTTGAATGTCTCATGACTTTTTCCCAGCTATGCTGATCTTTTTTATAAGCATAAGGCATTATGCAATAATCAGAATTATTCCAATCACATTGTAATTGCATACGGTGTTGCAAATTCATAACTCTATCTCCCAGCCATATCACACTCTGGTGGAGATCATTAATTTGATTAGCCAAATTTGATCAACTTGAGCCTGAGAATTCCAGAGTCTGGTGGAGTTTTTGTTTGTTTGTTTGTTTTTTTGCCACACTTCCACATATTGAGTGGTCTGAACAGAGTTGTGGATAGCAACTCCAGCTGCCATTGCTGTGGCAGTGACAGCAATTAATCCTGCAATGACTGCAATAAGAGTAAAGATGAATCTCTTCGTTCTCTTAAGGATTCCTTTAAGGATTTCATTGACTATATGAATAGAGGGAGAAGACTCCCAAGGGTGGTGTAAAGAAACGGTATCCTTACCCCCTCCCTAGCCCTTACCAGGAGAATACTTGTTATGGGATGAAATGTAACACGAATACATGTAAACAATTTGCAATCATCAAATTCTATGGTTTGGCTGTTGGGGGGTGATAATTATATTTCCGACTAATAGCATATAAGGGGATTTTACACAGCTCCTGCTAGGTATCACCTGTTCAGACATCAAGGTGACTTTGTATACGTCTGTCTTGGTATTAGTGGGAATGATCTGATAGGTTACATTCCATATCCTAATTCCAGTCATGGCAGCAGCCAATTTCCACAATTCAGGATGTTCTGGGGTAACAATAGGATGAATCACTTTTGGTCTAGGAGGAATGATCACTTTGTCCATCCATTTGAATGGGTAAGGAGACACCCATTCCCTCAGCCTGTAGGACTGCCATCCCTCCTCTACATAATCTATCAAATAGTTGAACTCAGAATATTTGGCATTTAGGCTGGAAAAATTTAGCCAATAATATCCTCTTGGAGCCCAGTCAATAACCACCTGTAATCAGGCCCTGTAACACTACTGCTTTTGGAGCATTACAATCATTCCATACAATAGTTTCAACTGTAAAAGGTTCCCTGGTAGGTTCACTTGAACAGTCTAGCAGTCCTTTTGTTGTATTATGTTTGGTAGTGACGGGAACTCTCCATTCCTCATGAGGATTAAGTTTAACAGTCATGATCTGAAAAGAATTACTACTAAACTCATTATGTACTTGATAAGAATCATTATTAGAGGACGGTACAGTCCATATCCAATTTTGATTAGAGAAAGCTAAGCAGCCAGGTGACATTCCTATGCACAATGGCGGGTATTTATATCCAATTGACAAATTAAACTGCATACCTTCTTCCTCTGGTTGAGCAGGAAACCTGTCATCGTTAGGGACTGGTATAAATGCACTACTATTAGTATATAGGCAGCATTTGCGAAGCTGTTGAATGACCTCATCATTTAGTATAGTTTGATTTGTAATTGCAGGCCATTGTCCCATTCCCAATAACTGGTCAGCTGTAATATTAACAGGAGGATTAGAGCCTTGATTAAGCTGAACTCGATCGTGGACAGCATCAACCCACCAAGTCCTGAATTATAAATATTGGGATTCAGATAATACTGATTTTGCTAGAATTCCCCAGTCATAAGGCACCAAACGTTTATCCTCTGCTAGAGCTTTTAATGTGGAATGCACAAAAGGGGAGATGGTGCTGTATTGTTTCACTGATTCTTTGAAATCTTTGAGGAATTTAAAAGAAAAACTTTCCCGTGTAGCAGGGAGTAACTGGACCTGGCCTGGATGAAAAGGATCTGGTTGGACTACTGCCTGGACTGCAGGTATACCTGGAGCTGGCTGCGCTACAGCAGCAAGCATTTATGGTATAGGTTGAGGAGCCTGATTATTTGCCTGAGGAGCCTGATTTTCAGGCTGCGGACCTTGGGGAGCCGTGTGATCAGCCACCTGCTGAGCAGGATCAGCGGGCTGTGGCTGATCCTGTGCCACAGCAACAGGAGCGGCAGGTATATGGGGATGTAGAATAAGAGGAAGTTGCTAGGCCTCAGGATGCCCATACTCCCTGGCTTGAGAAATGGCTCTCATAAGAGGAGTGTCATTTTCAGGAATGTATGTAACCTGTTGCTTATGAGCAGCCATGGTGGTGGCAACAGCAGTGGTAACCGGACCAGAAGCCAAAAAGAGATTCGAGTTTTGAATAGAGGAAGAATCAAGAACCTGTAAGCCAGGATGAGGTGCGATTACCTGCTGGGCAGGTCTTTTAGGGTTGAGAAATCAAGGCTGCTGCAGTAACTGCAGGACAGGCTTCGAGGGAGCCTGATGCACCAAAGGAGAAGCAGAAGTGAGAGATGGATAACCAGGCTGTGGAGGGATAGGGTTGAGGGCCTCATTGCCAGGCCAAACAGGCAGAAGGTTGAGAGCCCTACAGCAGGGCTGAACAGAGACACAGTTGAGAGCCTGTAGGGGCCAGCCCTACAGGGTCTGTGGGTTTTTCTCCCCGTGTGCGGAGACAAGAGATCATAGAAACAAAGACAAAAGACAAAGAGATAAAAGAAAAGACAGCTGGGGCTGGGGGACCACTACCACCAAGACGTGGAGACCAGTAGTGGCCCCAAATTCCAGGCTGCGCTGTTATTTATTGGATACAAGACAAGGGGGCAGGGTAAGGAGTGTTAGCCATCTCCAATGATAGGTAAGGTCACGTGGGTCATGCATCCACTGGAAAGGGAGCCTTTCCCTGTTTGGCAGCCGAGGCGGAGAGAGAGGAGAGACAGCTTACACCATTATTTCTGCATTTCAGAGACTTTTAATACTTTCAGTAATTCTGCTATTGCTATCTAGAAGGCAGAGCCAGGTGTACAGGATGGAACATGAAAGCAGACCAGGAGCATGACTACTGAAGCACAGCATCACAGGGAGACGGTCAGGCCTCTGGATAACTGCAGGCAGGCCTGACTTATGTCAGGCCCTCCATAAGAGATGGTGGAGTAGAGTCTTCTCTAAACTCCCCTGGGGAAAGGGAGACTCCCTTTCCTGGTCTGCTCAGTAGCAGGTGCTTTTCCTTGGCACTGACGCTACCACTAGACCATGGTCCGCTTGGTACGGGCATCTTCCCAGACGCTGGCATTACTGCTAGACCAAGGAGCCCTCTGGTGGCCCTGCCTGGGCATAACAAAAGGCTCACACTCTTGTCTTCTTGTCACTTCTCACCATGTCCCCTCAGCTCCTATCTCTGCATGGCCTGCCTTTTTCTAGGTTATGATTGTAGAGTGAGGATTATTATAATATTTGAATAAAGAGTAATTACTACAAACTAATGATTAATGGTATTTATATATAATCATATCTATGAGCTATATCAGTATAACTCTTGTTATTTTATATATTTTATTACACTGGAACAGCTCGTGCTCTCGGTCTCTTGCCTCGGCACCTGGGTGGCTTGCCACCCACATCTCCCCGCTTTTTATTAACTAGGATCACCATTGCCATCATTGCTTGTCGTTGACTTTGGACTTGTCTTCGGATTCCTTGCGGGATCTGCAGACTAAAAGTAGACAACATAAGCATACCAATATTAATAATGCCAGTGACAACAATGATCCTCTGAGGGGTTTGATCCATTTAAAGGGATTAAGATCAGATAATTCTTTAGCTATTCCTTCAAAAATGTCTGAGCCCAGAACAGTGGATAAATGAGCCTGTGAAGCCTCAAAAATTTGTTCTTTAAGTTTTGAAATATCCAAGGTTAAGTTATCATCCCAGGTTTTTAAATGTCTTGAGACCGATTCCCAGCTATGCTGATCTTTATTATAAGCATAAGGTGTTATACAGTAATCAGAAGTATTCCAATCACATTGTAATTGCATACGGTGTTCCAAATTCATAACTGTATCTCCCAGCCATATTACACTTTGGTGGAGATAATTAATTTGATTAGCTAACTTTTGATCAATTTGAGTCTGAGAATTCCAAAGTCTGGAGGAGTTTTTTTGCCATGCTTCAACATATTGAGTGGTTTGAACAGAACTGTGGATCTCAACTCCAGCGGTTGCCACTGTTGCAGAAACCGCAATTAGACCTGCAATGACTACAATAACAGTAAAAATAAATCACTTTGTTCTTTTCAGGATACCTTTAAGAACTTCATTGACTATGTGTATAGAGGGGGAAGACTCCCATGGATGATGTAAAGAAACTGGTATCCATACCCCCTCCCTAGCCCTTACGAATAGAATACTTGTTGTGGGATTAAAAGTAGCATCAATGCACATGAACAGCTTACAATTATCACATTCTATATTTTGTGTATTGGGAATGATAATTATATTTCCAACCAACAGCATGTAAGGGGGTTTGACACAGCTCCTGATACGTATCACCTGTTCAGACATCAAGGTGATGTTGAATGTGGGTGTTTTGATATTAGTGGGAGAGAGTTGATAGGTAGCACTCCATATCCTTATTCCTGTCATAGCTGCAGCTAATTTCCATAATTCAGGATGTTCTGGGGTAACAATGGGATGAATCATTTTTGGTCTAGAAGGAACAATGCCTGTGTTCATCCATTTGAATGGGTAAGGAGACACCCATTCTCTCAACCTGTAGGACTGCCATCCGTCCTCTAATATTGTAACAAATAATTGAACTCTGAGCATGTCGTATTCTGGCTGGAGCAATCCCGCCAATAATGGCATTACAATTATTCCATAAAATTGAATTCACCAGAAAAGGTCCCTTTGTAGATTCCTTTGGGCAGTCTGGCAGTCCTTTTGTTTTATTGCTGTTAGTAGTGACCAGAACCCACCATTCCTCTTGTGGATTAAGTTTAACAGAAGTTGAAAAGAATTGCTACTGAACACATTATGTACTTGATAAGAATCATTTGTAAAGGACGGTACTGTCCACATCCAATTCTGGTAAGAATAAACTAAACAGCCAGGCGACATCCCAGTGCATAGTGGTGGATATTTATAGCCAATTGACAGATTAAAGTGCATACCTTCTTATTCTGGTTGAGCTGGAAACCTATCATCATTAGGGACCGGCATGAATGCACTATTATTAGTGTAAACTTCTACTGAGGAGTCCATCCAGGAGACAGACTGAATTAAAGGGGGAAAAGAACACATGCCCAGTAGGTATAATTTTGAGTTGCCCAAACTGGTGGTATACTCACCACTGCACTGACTACCATAAAGGCAGCCAGAATTATATTACCTGTCGTTTTGGGGATTCATTTTTCTCTTAATGATTTTTCTGTTGATGGGATAAGACCTTTATTTGACCCCAAGTTGGTGGAGTTAAATGAGTGGTGTTGTAGGTCACACGGCGAGATTTTGTCTCAATGTCGAGGTCATGAAGTTTATGTGTCAGGCGGTGATACTTGCTCTTTGGTTTCAGAGGGGTCTTTGCCTTTTGTTTCTGGGAGTGTTTCTTCTTGGGAGTTATGGTGCAATTTCAGTTGTCGGGAGGGAACCCACACAGGTTGTTGTCCTTTTCCTGGGGAAACACAAGCAAAACCCCTACCCCATGTTACGACAGTGCCTAATTCCCATTTGTTAGTTTTTGCATCCTTCCACCATACGTGCATTCCTTTTTGTGGATCAAATTTATTTCCAGTGAAATGTTGTTCTGCTGTTGTAAAAAGTTGATTTCTTAGTAGGTTTAAGAAATTTCAGTATAAAAGCAGCCAGATTTAACTAACTGAGCATAAGGGGTAGCAGCATCCCTCTGTTTTAGTGTCCTGTTTCCGAAGTTGCTCTTTGAGTGTTTTATTGGCTCGTTCCACCAAGGTCTGTCCTTGAGAGTTATAGGGGATGCCAGTTGTGTGAGTAATTGCCCATGTCTGAGTGAACTTTTTAAAAGCAGCACTAGTGTAGCTGGGGCTGTTGTCAGTTTTTAGTTTCTTGGGACAGCCCATAACCGAGAAACATGAAAGTATGTGTCATTTAACATGAGCCATACTTTCCCCCTGTTTGACAAGTGGCCCAGACAAAATGAGAAAAAGCATCAATAGTTACATGTATAAAAGACAGCTTGCCAAAAGCAGCATAATGAGTCATATCCATTTGCCAGAGAGCATTCTGTGAAAGTCCTCTAGTGTTAACTTCTGAAGAAAGTGGATGTAAAATTAACACTTGACAAGTAGGACAGTGACATACAATGGTTTTAGCTTGTTTCCATGTGAGGGGGAACTTTTTTCAGAGTCCCACAGCATTGACATGAGTTAAAGTATGAAAATTTTCTGCATATGTAAAAACGGGAGCAAGTAATGTATCAGCTCTGGCATTTGCTGCCAAGAGAGGTCTGGGGAGGGTTGTGTGACCCCGAATATGAGTAATGTAGGAAGGAGAAGACCTTGATCTGAGTATGGACTGAAACCTTTGGAAAAGAAAAAGTAGGTTGTCATCAGGCAGAAATTTGATTCAGGCAGTTTCAATGTTGTGAGCAACATGTACTACATACGCCGAATCAGAAACAATGTTAACTGCTTCAGGGAAATATTCAAGAACAGCCATGATACCAAACAGCTCAGCTCACTGTGCTGAAATAGCTCCTGTGTTAAGAACATGTTCTCTTGGACCCATATATGCTGCTCGGCCATTACAGGAAGCATCAGTAAAAACAGTGGCAGCTTCAGCTAATGGGGTGTTTCTAGTAATGTTAGGCAAAATCCAAGGAGTTTAAGGAACTGAAATAATTTTACATTAGGATAGTGATTATCAGTTATACCCGGGAAACCTGCCAAATGTACTTGCCAAGAGATGCAGGTTGCAAAAGCCTGTTGGACTTGTAATCGGGTGAGGGGAACAATGATTTTTTTGGGCTCTGTACCCAAAAGATGAAGGAGACGAGAACGAGCCTGACCAATTAAGATAGAAATTTGATCTAAGTAAATAGTAAGTGTCCGTAAAGAGCTGTGTGGAAGAAAACACCATTCAATTAAATTATGTCCCTGAATAATGAGTCCTGTTGGTGAATGTTCAGTAGGAAAAATTAGTATTTCAAAAAGTAAATGTGGATTCACTCTGGTAACCTGAGACTGTTCAATGCGTTTTTCTATAAGTTGTAATTCAGAATCCACCTCAGGAGTCAGAGACCTTTTGCTGTGTAAATCAGGATTGCCCCGTAACGTTGCAAAAAGATTAGACATAGCATATGTAGGAATGCCTAAGGAGGGATGAATCCAATTAATATCTCCAAGTAATTTTTGGAAATCATTTAGAGTTTTTAAAGAATCTCATCTGAATTGAACTTTTTTGGGCTTAATAACCTTGTCCTCTAGCTGCATTCCTAAATAGTGATAAGGGGAAGAAGTCTGAATTTTTTCTGGAGCGATAACCAAACCAGCTGCTGCAACTGCTTGTTGTACTGCAGAGAAACAAGATATTAATACAGAGCGTGAAGGTGCTGCACAAAGAATATCATCCATGTAATGAATGACATAACATTGGGGAAACTGATCTCTTACTGGCTTTAGTATGGTCCCCACATAATATTGACAAATAGTAGAGTTATTAAGCATACCTTGAGGTAGGACTTTCCAATGGTAATGTGCTGCAGGAGGGATGTTGTTAAGGGTTGGAACTGTGAAAGCAAATTTTTCAAAGTCCTGAGGGGCCAGAGGAATGTAAAACAAGCAATCTTTAAGGTCAATGATGATAAGTGGCCAATACTTGGGAATCATAGTGGGGGAGGGCAAACCAGGCTGTAATGTCCCCATAGGTTGAAGGACAGCATTTGCTGCCCTAAGATCAGTAAGCATTCTCCACTTACCAGACCTCTTTTGGATAACAAAGGCAGGTGAATTCCAGGGAGAAAAAGAGGGTTTGACCCAATTTTAACTGTTCAAGAACCAAAATATGAAGTGCCTCCAGCTTATTTTTTGGGAGCAGCCACTGATCTACCCAAACCAGTTTCTGAGTTTTCCAAGTCAAAGGGATGGGATCTGGAGACTTGATAGTGACCACTTCTAAAAAGAATAACCAAGTCCTGTAGAATCTGGTTTATGGGTAGGTATAATAGGCTCGGTGATGCCTTGTGCTGATTTTCCCAAGCCCATATCTTGAACAAATCCCATTTTTGTCATAATGTCTTTACTTTGCTGGCTGTAACTGCCTTGTGGAAAAGAAATCTATGTCCCCCATTGATATAAAAGATCTTTTCCCCACAGGTTAACAGGAATGGGTGTAATGAGGGGGCAGATAGTTCCCATTTGTCCTTCAGGGCCCATGCAATGTAAAATTGTGGAGCTTGCATATACTTCTGAAGCGTCACCAACACCAACTAATGCTGTGGACATATGCTCCTTTAGCCAGTGTTGGGGCCATTGATGTAAAGCAATAATAGAAACATCAGCACCCGTATCAATCATTCCCTCAAACTTCCTCCCTTGAATATGCACAGAGCACACAGGATGAGTGTCAGAAATTTTGCTGGCCCAATAAGCCACTTTGCCTTGATAATCTGTGCTACCAAAATCTCTGTTTCTCATACAAGAACTGGATCCTAAAGGAATGTAAGGGAGTATCAGAAGTTGAGCAATGCCGTCCCCAGCTGCCACATTCCAAGGGACTGCAGAGCTAATGACAATATGAATTTCACCTGAATAGTCAGAATCAATTACACCAGTATGTACTTGAGCACCTTTTAAATTTAGACTTGAATGACCAAGTAGCAAACTGACACTGCCAGTCAGTAAGGGACCAAAAACACCTCTAGGAACAGCAATAGGCAGCTATCCAAGCAACAGAGAAATGTCTCTGGTACAAGAGAGATCTATTGCTGCTGAGCCTGCAGTGGCAGGAGACAAACACTGTACTGAGATTCCTGCTGGGGCTGGGCCATTAGATCCTGTGGCACAAATTGCTGAAGTGGGAATTGGGGTGGAGGTTGAATCGATTGGACTGGGAAGGCACCCATCTGGCTGGATGCCAGGGGCTGGGAGTTGAGGAATGCGCCATTGTTTAGAGGGGCCTGGGGCCAGCCCCTCGTTCCATTTCCCTGGTTGTTAAGCGACTGTAAAGGATTACCATCAATATCAAATCTCGAATGGCATTGAGCAGCTCAGTGATTTATCTTTTGGCATCGTGGGCATAAAGTAGAAGGTGGGACTTTCTGTTGTTGAAAAATTTTTTGTTGTTGGTGGTGGTGGGGTTGAAAAGAATGGCAACATGTACACTGGGGACAATTTCTTTTAGCATGTCCTGTCTGGCCGCATATAAAGCATTGGCCAGTGAATTGTCCAGGCGTTCGAATAGAGGCCATGGCTTGTGCCATGATCATTGCTGTGTGCAGAGTTCCTCCCACACCTTCACAGGCTTTAATGTAGGAGGTGAGTATATCACACACACACACACACACACCCATGGAATTTTACCTTTAACAGGGCGAATAGCCACCTGACAATCTGGATTTGCTTGTTCATAAGCCATGAGTTCTACAACAAGTCAATGGCCGTGGCTCAGGGATAGCTTTTTCTGCTGCGTCTTGGAGATGGGCAATAAAGTCTGGGTAGGGTTCATGTTGTCCCTGTCTGACTGCCGCAAACGATGGGCATACTTTGCCATCATCTTGAATCTTTTCCCAAGCATCTAAGCAACATTTCCACAGTTGTTCAATAACCACATCATTTACTATAGTTTGGTTTCTAATTGTAGCCCACTGACCCATTCCCAGTAACTGGTCAGCTGTAACGTTAACAGGAGGATTGGAGCCCTGATTAAGATGAATGTGTTCCTGGACAGCATCAACCCACCAAGTCCTGAATTGTAAATATTGGGATTTAGATAAGACTGACTTTCAGTCAAGTGAGCATTTTTTAAGAACACGTTGTACTGAGAACCACTTAAGCATTGAATGCGGAGAAAGCAGTGCTACCTCAGTTTTGCTGGAAGTAGACTTCTTTGATAGTTTTCTTTCTTTGATGAAGTTTCTGTATTTTCATGTTGTAAGTGGAAATACTTTTTTTTGTTTGTTTGTTTCATTTGCCTTGGAGCCAAAGTTTCTGTTCCTGGTGGTCGGGAAACTGCCTGCCGGCCAACTGACTTGAAGGAAAACTGTGGTATGGAGCTCTGCTTGAATTTTTTTTTTTTTAATATTTTTATTTTTTTCTTTGAATATCATCAGCTTACTTGTCTGGCAAGGGCAGAAGCCTGGGGTTGGCCTGAACTCTGCCAAACAAATATCAAAGTGTATTTAATAGTTAAATTTGTGCCCTTTCCCTTCTTGCTGCACCCATGTTGTCACTTAACCCCCAGGAGTTATTTATTATCTTTTTGTCAAAGTCAGGCTCATTTGGGGTAATGTGATGACTGTTTAGGTTTACATGACCCTCCTCTCCTTTCCCTACCCCCAAATATGTATATATACATATATAAAATATGTATATATTTTACCTATATAAAATATATATATATACACATATATGTATCTATATTCCTTTGTTTCTTTGCCTGCTTATACTGGCCATAAAAGAGGGAGCTGCCTTCAATGTATAAAGTATAAGAAGAGTGCCAGGGAATGCCATAATGGAGGTTTTTGGATCTGAATTTGGACCATTTCACTAAAGAGAACATGAGTTTGCTCAACCCTTTCCTCACAAGAGGGAGGGCCCCGGTTCCCCAGACTTCTCCACGCACTGGCTCCATAAAGGCCAGCTTTGGCCAGGCTGCCACAGGGGCCTGAGGAGCTCACTCTGGGCCTACCTGGTTTCAGTTAGAGGGTCCTCCTGTTATTTTTCCATTTAAAAAGTATGTCCTCATAAAACTGTACTGGAAGGATGGGTGGCAGGAACTTGTATAGTTCAGCTTCCAACACTTTGGAACAGATTAAAAAGGGAATCTTTTAAATAAAAACTTATAAAAATAAAAAAAAATAGATAAGACTGACTTTGCTAAAATCTCCCAGTCATAGGGCACCAAACGTTTATTTATCTTCTGCTAGGGCTTTTAATGTGGAACGGACAAAAGGAGAGTTGATGCTGTATTGTTTTACTGATTCCTTGAAATCTTTGAGGAATTTAGAAAAACTTTCCCAAGGAGCAGGGCGTAGCTGAACCTGAGCTAGAAGTATGGGGTCAGGTTGAACTACTGTCTGAACTGCTGGAATACCAGGTACTGGCTGTGCCCCAGCGGAAGGCAGTTGTGGAGCCTGATTATTTCCCTGAGCAGCCTGATTGTCCGGCTGAGGGGCTTGATTATCAGGCTGTTGATCTTGATGAGCTGCAGGATCAGCCGCCTGCTGAGCAGGATGAATGGGCTGTGGGTGATTTTGTGACCCTGGGGTGGCAGGTACTGGAGGGTGTAAAATTACAAGAAATTACCAGGCACCAGGATCCCCATATTCCCTTGCCTGAACTATAGCCCTCATAAGCGGAGTGTCATTTCCAGGGATGTATGTAACTTGTTGCTTATGAGTGGCAATGGTAGTATTGGCAACAGCAGTAGCGACCAGACGAGGAGCAGAAAAACGGTTGGAATTTTGAAAGAAGGAAGAGTTGAGAACCCGAAGGCCAGGATGAGACCAGATTACCTGCTGAGCAGGTCTTTCATGGGCCTGAAATCCAGGCTGCCACGGCAACTGTGGACCACGCTTCAAGAGAGCCTGAGGCTTCAAGGGAGCCTGATTTGTAGAAAAGGAACCAGGCTTCAAGGGAGCCTGTGACTCCAAGGGAGTCCGATTAGCAGAAAAAGAACCAGGCTTCAAGGGAGCCTGTGACTCCAAGGGAATCCGATTAGCAGAAAAGGAACCAGGCATAAGAAAACTAGGCTGTGGAGGGATAGGGCTGAGGGCCTCATTACCGGGCCGAGAATTGAAAGCCTCCTCATCAGGCTGTATAGATATCAGAGCCTCTGTACTCTGGGCTATCGAGCTGCATGGAAACATAATTTAGAGCCCTGCTTTCAGGCCACCTGATCTCATCTGCTATCTGCATGGCTGCAGCATTGAGAGGGTGAGGAAAGGCAGGAGGGTCTGGCTGCAATGGCTGCTGATACATTTCAGCTGCGTTTTGCTAGTTGGGGGAAATAAGTTCATTCAGGTCAGTTAAAAGTTCATCATAAAGTAATAACTGGGGTGCAGTAGGCTCTGGCGTACGTGGTAGCACCAAAGGAATGTCAGAGTGGAAGTCTGCCTGTAAAATTATGGTCTCAATCTGTGCAGTATCCTCAGGGGAAAGAGAACTGAGAACTTCCTCAACCTCATCAGAGGAGAGGAAACAGGGATCAGTCTCTGTATTGTCCTCCTGAGTCTGTAAGGAGTCTAGGACAGCAAACCAAAGCCCAGATTGACCAAATGGTGGGTGGAATAAAATGTCCCCCTTTATGGGCAATTTTGAATTGTCTGCCAATCTCATCCCAATCCTTAAGTTCTAAAGTTCCCTCAGTCAGAAACCAAGGGCAAAGAAGATCCACAACCTCAAACAGTTCAATTAACTTATCAGTAGAAACTTTAACCCTTCCTTCTTTAAGGAGAGTTTTTATAAAATTTAAATAAGCTGAGTACTTAGTACTGGCCTGTCCCATGGTGTCCCCAGGATACTCTGAGTGCTCAGGCTTACCACCAAGCTTGTCAACCGCAATCCTCAGGAATCTTTTGTCAAAATCCTCCACTGAGTCCCATGCTCAAAGTGCAACTTCACACAGCGAGGGAGAGCCCCACATTGGGCGCCAGATGTAGGGGACAGCCCTACAGGGTCTGTGGGTTTTTCTCCCCATGTGCGGAGACGAGAGATCATAGAAATAAAGACACAAGACAAAGAGATAAAAGAAAAGACAGCTGGGCCCAGGGGACCACTACCACCAAGACACAAAGACCGGTAATGGCTCCAAATGCCAGGCTGTGCTGTTATTTATTGGATACAAGACAAGGGGGAAGGGTAAGGAGTGTGAGCCATCTCCAGTGATAGGTAAGGTCACGTGGGTCACATGTACACTGGAAAGGGGGCCCTTCCCTGTTTGGCAGCCCAGGTGGAGAGAGGAGAGACAGCTTACGCCATTATTTCTGCATTTCAGAGACTTTTAATACTTTCAGTAATTCTCCTACTATCTAGAAGGCAGAGCCAGGTGTACAGGATGGAACATTAAAGTGGACCAGGAGTGTGACCACTGAAGCACAGCATCACAGGGAGATGGTTAGGCCTCTGGATAACTGCAGGTGGGCCTGACTGATGTCAGGCCCTCCACAAGAGGTGGTGGAGTAGAGTCTTCTCTAAACTCCCCCAGGGAAAAGGAGACTCCCTTTCCTGGTCTGCTCAGTAGCGGGTGCTTTTCCTTGGCACTGATGCTACTACTAGACCATGGTCCACTTGGTAACAGGTGTCTTCCCAGATGCTGGTGTTACTGCTAGACCAAGGAGCCCTCTGGTGGCCCTGTCCGGACATAACAGAAGGCTCACACTCTTGTCTACTGGTCACTTCTCACCATGTCCCCTCAGATCCTATCTCTGTATGGCCTGGTTTTTTCTAGGTTATGATTGTAGTGCAAGGATTATTATAATATTGGGATAAAGAGTAATTACTACAAACTAATGATTAATGATATGTACATATAATCATATCTGTGATTTATATCTAGTATAACTCTTGTTATTACATATATCTTATTACACTGGAATAGCTCGTGCTCTCAGTCTCTTGCCTCGGCACTTGGGTGGCTTGCTGCCCACAGAAGCCTCATTACCAGGCCAAACAGGCAGAAGGTTGAGAGCCCCACAGCAGGGCTGAACAGAGACAGAGTTGAGGGCCTCATTGCTGGGCTGAACAGGCGGAAGGTTGAGAGCCCTACAGCAGGGCTGAGGAAAGACAGGAGGGTCTGGCCATGATAGCTGTTGATGATATATTTCGGTTGGAGTTTGCTGGTTTGGGGAAAGATCATTTTTAAAGGTCATCAAAAAGTGATAATGGAGGCATGGTAGGCTCTGGTGTAGGTGGTGGGGCCAAAGGAATGTCAGAATGGAGGTCCGTCTGCAGAATCACGGCCTCAATCTGTGCAGTATCCTCAGGGGAAAGAGAACTGAGGACTTCCTCAACCTCCTTGGAGGAGAGGAAAGAGGGACCAGCCTCCATGTTGTCCTCATGAGGATGCAAGGAGTCTAGGACAGAGTGAACCAAAGCCCAGATTAAGCAAATGTGGGCAGAATAATATGTTCCCCTTTATGAACAATTTTAAATTGTCAGCCAATTTCGTCCCAGAGTTTGAGTTCTAAATTTCCCTCAGTAGGAAACCAAGGGTAAAGGAGTTCTACAACCTCAAACAGTTCAATTAACTTATCAGTAGAGACTTTTACACCTCTTTTTTTTTTTTTTTTTTTTTTTTTTTTTTTTTTTTTTTTTTTTTTTTTTGAGACAGAGTCTCGCTGTGTCTCCCAGGTTGGAGTGCGGTGGCGCAATCTCAGCTCACTGCAAGCTCCGCCTCCCGGGTTCACGCCATTCTCCTGCCTCAGCCTCCCAAGTAGCTGGGACTACAGGCGCCCGCCAACACGCCCGGCTAATTTTTTGTATTTTTAGTAGAAACGGGGTTTCACCGTGTTAGCCAAGATGGTCTCGATCTCCTGACCTCGTGATCCGCCCGCCTCGGCCTACCTCTTTCTTTAAGGAGAGTTTTTATAAAGTTCAAATAAGCCAAGCACTTGGTACTGGCCTGTCCCATGGTGTCCCCGGGATTCTCTGAGTGTCCAAGCTTACCACCAAGCTTATTGACTGCAATCCTCAGGAATCTGTCATTGGTAGTCCTTCGCTGAGTTCCACGCTCAAGGCGCACCTTCACACAGTGAGAGAGAAGACCTCATTGGGTGCCAGACGTAAGGTCCAGCCCTACAGGGCCTGTGGGTTTTCTCTTCATGTGTGGAGACAAGAGATCATAGGAAAATAAGACACAAGACAAAGACAGTAAGAAAGACAGCTGGGCCCAGGGGGCCACTACCACCAATGCGTGGAGTCCGGTAGTGGCCCAGAATGCCTGGATGCATTGCTATTTATTGTATACAAGGCAAAGGGGCAGGGTAAGGAGAGTGAGTCATCCCAAGTGATTGATAAGGTCAAGCAAGTCACTTGTCCACGTGACAGGCAGCCTTTCCCTTTGTGGTAGCCAAAGCAGAGAGGGAGGACAGCATACGTCAGCATTTTTTCTATGCACTTATCAGAAAGATCAAAGACGTTAGTACTTTTACTAATTCTGCTACTGCTATCTTCTAAGAACTTAAAAGGAGGAGCCAGGTGTACAGGCGGAATGTGAAAGTGAACAAGGAGCATGACCACTGAAGCACAGCATCACAGGGAGACGTTTAAGCCTCCAGATGACTACGGGCAGGCCTGGCTACTGTTCGACCTCCCACAAGAGCTGGTGGAGCAGAGTGTTCTCTAACTCCCCCAAGGAAAGGGAAACTCCCTTTCCTGGTCTGCTAAGTAATGGGTGCCGCCTTCCCACGCACTGGCACTACTGCTAGACCAAGGTCTGCTAAATAACGGGTGCCTTCCCAGGCACTGGCACTACCACTAAACCAAGGAGCCCTCAAGGAGCCCTTATTTGGGTGTGACAGAGGGTTCATACTCTTGTCTTCTGGTCACCTCTCACAGTGTCCCTTCAGCTCCTGACTCTGTATGGCCTGGTTTTTCCTCAGTTAAAATAACAAACATTAATACTAAAAACTAATAATTGATAATATCCATATATAATCTCTATATCCTATGTCTAATATAACTTTCTTTTATCCTAACTATTTTCTTTATTATATTGGAGCAGCTTATGCCTTCAGTCTCTTTCCTCGGCACCTGGGTGGCTTTCTGCCCACACTGACTGAGCCAAGTGAATGGAAAGTAAGTCACACTCTGGTGATATACACGTGGTAAACGTGAATGCAGTGATCTTCATACCATATCTACTGAGCCACGTGAATCAAAAAATAGACTCAGCAGAGTGATGTTCATGCGGTAACTGGAAGTCAATCATCTTCATACCACATCTAACTGAGTCAAGTGAATCGAAAATTAGTCAGACTCTGGAGAGCAAAGTACATGTCATAAATTTAAATGACAGGCTCTTTATACCCCTCTGACTGAGCCAGGTGAATTGAAATGTAGTTAGACTCTGGATAGTGACGTACATGTGACGAATATGAATGCAGTGATATTCATACCGCATCTGACTAAGCCAAGTGAATTGAAAAGTGGTAAGACTCCTAATAGTGACATACACGCCATGACATTGAAGGCAGCAATCTTCATACTGCATGTGAGTGAGCCAAGTGAATCAAAAAGAAGTCAGACTCTAGATAGTAACGTACACACAGAAAACTTGAATGCAGCAATCATGTTACAGGAAAGGGGCCCCAATCCAGACCCCAAGAGAGGGTTCTTGAATCTCACACAAGAAAGAATTCAGGATGAGCCCTCAGTGCAAAGTAAATGCAAGTTTTTTAAGAAGGCAAAGTGGTGAAAAAACAGCTACTCCATAGACAGAATAGGACATTCCCAAAAGTAAGAGGAGGAACACATCTATCCTAGGTACAATGCTTGTATATTTGGGGAGATGTGCTCTGCTACAAGGGTTTGTGATAAAAGATTAATGTTCTCAATTACTGTATTTTGCAAGAACCGATATTATCATCTTTGAAGCAAAATTAGGAATGCCTTTGTTCTCCAGATATCGACATATCTGGACATTGCCACGTTTGGGTCTGTTTAGTAAACATTATTAATTTGTTCCCTTAGCCATAAACATCTAGAGGCTAGGAATGCCTGACTTTCTCAGAATCCAGCCCAGAAAGTCCCAGCCTCATTTTCCTAGCCCTCCCTCAAAATGGAGTCGCTTTGGTTCAAATGCCTCGGACATATCTCCCCACTCCCTTTACAACAGGACCCTTAATCCTAAGGGTTGCAGCAAGATGAAGATCTGTCTTGTGTAACTTCTTCAGGCTGAATTGGGGCAATGATATTGCTGCCTAACTATTACAGTCTCTTGCATTCGGGATAGAGAAAAGCTCAGAGAGCGTTGATATGGTAAATGTCATTCATAACTCTGAGTTCTGACGAAAGGTGATATCTGGAAGATTAGTAAGTGTCCAATTTAAAAAAGCATTGAGTGAGCTTGTCTTGCATTCCTACACAAAGAGCTCAACCACAATATTTTCCACAGCAGCAAAGCAAAGTAAGTAAAATTATTCCAAGTAAACTAAACAGGAAGTCTTTCCAAGAACTAGGCAGTTGTTGAAACCAAGCCAATATAGGGTCGATTGACAGCACGCCAATGGCAGAGATATGAGTGTCTAAAGCTTTCATAGCCTGGGTAATAGTATGTGAATAGTCAAAAACATACACACAACATTCGATTTTGATCAAAGCACATGTTTCCCCTTGGGCTGCTGTTAAAATGTCCACATACCCAGCAGTTTATCTGATTATGTAGAGAGGCTAAAGCCTATGCCCACTCAATAAATAAGTTAATCTCTGCATGATTCCAACTTCTACCCAAAAGGAGAATCCCAATCCATATCTTTAGGTTACCCATCTCTTTCATTTCTTCTGAACAGGAGTCGGAGGTCACTGCTTGGCTCACAGGGATAAACGGGATCAGTCTGTGTTCCACCAGATTGCGGGACTTCATAAGAGACAGGTTTCATTCGAGATAAGTGGACCCAGCTGTTTATTCCCAGAAGTTTAACTATAGCTGGCATACTGAGGAGAACTTGATAGGGTCCCTTCCATTTTGGGGAAAGTTGATCTTCTGGGAATAGTTCCAAGTTTCTAACAGGACTCAATCTCCTGGCTGGGTTGTAACAAGAGTCTCTTTCTTAGTGGGGGAAGGGAGTCTTTGGTTTCCATATTTAAGGAGTGCATTTTGCATTTGTTCTAAGTTGATCACATAATTCTGTAGCTTGAAAGTATCTATGTCTATTAGGAGGTCTGTAGTTAAGAAAGGCCTTCCATACATAATTTCAAAACTGGTGAGCCATAGATTTCCCTTAGGAGCCACTCAAACACTTAATAAGGCTATAGGTAATAAAGACAGCCAGGTTTCTGATATCTCCTGGCATAGTTTAGCAAGAGTCCTTTTTAGAGCTTGATTAGCTCTTTCTACTTTCCCTGAAGACTGTGGCCTCCTTGCCAAGTGAAGGCGGTACTGAATTCCTAGGGCTGAAGATACGTTTTGGGTAATTGTCACTGTGAAACATGGCCAATGATTGCTCTGTAAACTCTTAGGCGGACCAAATCTAAGACTTATTTCCTTTAACAGGAGTTTAGAAACTTCAATTGCCTTTTCAGACCAGGTAGGAAAAGCCTGAACCAACAAGTAAAGGTGTTAATGACTAACAATAAATATTTCAACCCTTTACATAGGGGCATCTGAGTATAGTCTATTTGTCAGTCTTCAACAAGGTACATTCCCCTATGCTAAACAGGACTTATTAGGGGAGGAGGTAAAGATTGGTTATTTGGGTTATTCCGGGCACATAGGTCACAGGCCTGAGTTACCTGCTTTACCATTTTAAGTAAGTCTTTTCCTACAAAAAGCCTGGGCATTAATTAAAACAGGGAATCTCTTTCCAGATGAGTAGAGAGAGTCATGCAAATACTTAGCTATTTTCCACTGATTAGCACCTGGTAGTAACAGCTTGTTGTCATTGATAAGCCAGCCAGAAGGATCTTGAATTAAACCCTGACCTTTAGCCCATTCTTGTTCCTCTTCAGTATACCCAGGTTCTGTCATTACCATGGCTGAGGGCACTAACATGCTGACAGGTCCAACTAGCTCCTTTAATGCTGCTGTCTTAGCAGCTGCATCTGCAAAGGAGTTTCCCTTAGCCGCACTAGAGTCTCCTTTTTGATGTCCTCTGCAATGGATTAGAGCTACTTCCTTGGGCAGCAAAACAGCATCCAATAGATTCCGAATTTCTAAGTGATGTTTTATAGGGATCCCTTAGCAGTTGGAAGGCCCTGTTCCTTCCAGATAGCAGCATGAGCATGAAGTGCCAGAAAGGCATACTTAGAATCAGTATTGTGGGGAAAAGCAAGAGAGATCAGATTGTTACTGTGTCTGTGTAGAAAGAAGTAGACATAGGAGACTCCATTTTGTTATGTACTAAGAAAAATTCTTCTGCCTTGAGATTCTGTGACCTTACCCCCAACCCCGTGCTCTCTGAAACATGTGCTGTGTCAACTCAGAGTTGAATGGATTAAGGGCGGTGCAAGATGTGCTTTGTTAAACAGATGCTTGAAGGCAGCATGCTCCTTAAGAGTCATCACCACTCCCTAATCTCAAGTACCCAGGGACACAAACACTGCAGAAGGCCGCAGGGACCTCTGCCTAGGAAAGCCAGGTATTGTCCAAGGTTTCTCCCCATGCGATAGTCTGAAATATGGCCTCGTGGGAAGGGAAAGACCTGACCGTCCCCCAGCCCGACACCCGTAAAGGGTCTGTGCTGAGGAGGATTAGTATAAGAGGAAGGCATGCCTCTTTGCAGTTGAGACAAGAGGAAGGCATCTGTCTCCTGCCCATCCCTGGGCAATGGAATGTCTCCGTATAAAACCCGATTGTATGCTCCATCTACTGAGATAGGGGAAAACCGCCTTAGGGCTGGAGGTGGGACATGCGGGCAACAATACTGCTCTGTAAGGCATTGAGATGTTTATGTGTATGCATATCTAAAGCACAGCACTTAATTCTTTACCTTGTCTATGATGCAGAGACTTTTGTTCACGTGTTTATCTGCTGACCTTCTCTCCACTATTATCCTATGACCCTGCCACATCCCCCTCTCTGAGAAACACCCAAAAATGATCAATAAATACTAAGGGAACTCTGAGGCTGGCGGGATCCTCCATATGCTGAACGCTGGTTCCCTGGGTCCCCTTATTTCTTTCTCTATACTTTGTCTCTGTGTCTTTTTCTTTTCCAAGTCTCTCGTTCCAGCTAATGAGAAACACCCACAGGTGTGGAGGGGCAACCCACCCCTTCACAAAGCTATTTCCATCTGTAAACCATTCTACTTTGGGATTATCTAGAGGCTCATCTTTTAAATGTGGACGGCTAGAGTAAACTTGCTCCATAACTTGTATCCAAGAATGATCTGGGGTGCCTGTGGGTTCAGGCAAGTAGGTAGCTGGATTAAAATCTGGCATACTTTAAGTGTTGTATCAGGAGCATCTAGCAACAAAGCCTGGTATTTATTCACAGGAAAGGAGAAGAAGCATTTTCTGTCTGCCTTGTCATTTCCAAAACATACTACTGTTTGCAGCTGAGTTAATAAACCCCTTCCCAACAAGGGTGGGGCATTCAGGAGAAAACCAAAGTCCCTGAAGAGCAGCTTATAGGATAGGTAAAATGGCATCTATGGGCCTGTCTATCCCCTTGACCATAGAGTTTTGGGATGACAGAGGCCCATTATAATGGGTCAAAACAGAGTAAGCATTCTAGAAGGAAGTTAATATTATTACCTGTCATGTCAAGGGTTATCTGAGGCTTCTCAGAAGATATGGCTAGTTGTCCGACGGGAGGTGTAGCGGAAGGTCTTGGGCCCCGTCACTCTTGGGCTTCCCTGGTTATTTTGGCATCTGGTTTGGGTGCAGATGGCTGCTGTAAGGTACATGGATGTGCTTTGGTCAAGGAATAGCCGAGGCAGATATCCAGGCCTGCATGACTCAGTGAGACTGCTGCACAGGCACTCACCTCCACTTGTTATATAACCTGTTTGTGTAAGCTCATACTTGGCTCTACACCACTACTGTCTGTAAAAGGAATAACTGCCCTGCTGACACTGTGCACGGGGACTCAACATGGCTCAGCATCGCTCTTGTGCAGGCACTGGTGCTCAGAAAGAGAGTGAAGCTACTGACCCCTGTAAGGGAGAATGACTGTCTGACAGGTGGATAGAGGGGAGCCAGGACATGGCTCAGCTTGTGCCCAGAGAGAAAGGTTAAGCTACTGATCTTAGAGCTGGCCTTGCAGACCAGTTGTGCAGCTGTGAGTGGGAGCTAGCTGCTGAGAGGGTCCAGAGTCAGAGCAGACAGCCAAGATAAAGGCGAACAGTATAAAAGAGCTAGTGTGAGAGAACTGCTGATGAGAGAGCTGCTGAATAAAACTACATTTCACCTGTCTACACCGCCCCGAATGTTCTTTCAGCTATTCATCTATCCATCCACTCCTCTCAGACCTCATCATGGGCTGCACCCTAACCCTGAGCATGACATTTGTCATAGTCACGGCCCTGGACCTAACAGCTCCCTTTGGAGGAAGACTGGGCAATCCCTCTTCCAATGACCAGTTTCCTTACAGTGTGCACACTGATTCATGCCCAAAACACGCTGACTTGGACATCCAGCTCTGGGCTTCTCACATTTCAGCTTCCCTTCTTCACTCCAAGAGCCAGGAAAGAAACTCTATGTAGGAGGTGAGCTTAAGGCTGCAGCCAAGAGCTGCACCTTGTGGGAGGTCCTTCTTGCTCCTCTTTCTGCTTCCTGTGCTTTGTCCCCGTTATTAAAAACTAAAAATGCCATATCCAAAAGCTGTTTAATAGGAGTCTAGGGACACATAGTCACATAGTGTGTTTTTGTTTTTTTTTTTTTAGACACAGTCTCGCTCTGTCACCCAGGCTGGAGTGCAATAGCGTGATCTGGGCTCACTGCAACTTCCACCTCATGGGTTCAAGCAATTCTCCTGCCTCAGCCGCCCAAGTAGGTGAGATTACAGGCACTTGTCACCATCCCCAGCTAATTTTTGTATTTTTAGTAGAGAAGGGGTTTCACCATGCTGGCCAGGCTGGTCTTGAACTCCTGACCTCAAGTGATCCACCCCCCTCAGCCTCCCAAAGTGCTGGGATTACAGGCTTGAGCCACCACGCCCGGCTCCCATAGCTGCTTTTTGTAGTTTCCTGGGGATATCAGGGGCAGACTGGGTCATAAAATGTCCTCCCAAAAGGGTTTGTCTCTCCTTTGAGGCAGGATCAGTGATATTATACTTCCCGATTGCTTCAACTAAATGCCCTTGAAACAAACCTGGATTCTCATCTTTATCCTGAGAATCTTCCTTAACCTGTTCATAGATAACAGGCTTTTTCATACATTTCTTCATCCCTTCCAACGAACAAGTGACCATATGATCTCTCCTCCCCAAGTGCTCACTGCGCCTTTGATAATTCCACTCTGCATCTTGATCTGGAACTGCTATACTTCCTGCCTGATACATAGTATGGTACGGGTTGCGAGCCAATACCTCATCTGCATGGGTCCTAGCTGTCCCCAAAATGCATTGTTTCTCCTCCACTGTACAACACAGAGACAACAAAACATGCAGATCCTCCCAAGTTAAACTATAGGTCAGAGTTGATTTCTCAAACTCATCTACAAATTTTCCTGGATCTTCAGAGAAATGACCAACCTTCTCTATATATAGGGTCAAACCAGACGGAGAAAAGGGAACATGTACTCTCACAGTGCCCTCTTCCCGATTTGCCACCTAAGTGGACAAAGATTTCCCTTTGGAGGTTGATAGCAGGCTGCACTATAAGTAGTACTCGGTGGGCTAAGTTCTTTGTGGGAATGGTGGGTACAGAGTGGGACTAGCTGGGTAAGGAGAAGGGACGAAGGGTTCTCAAGAACTTTCAGGTGGACTACAGGGAGAAAGAACTGACACATACGAACCTTCAGAGCTGACAGAAAGGGGTTCCGCTCCACCCAAAAATGCCTGCTGAACCACAGCAGGGCTTGCATTAAAGGATCACCTAGTATGTCTAAATCTTTTTCTTCTTTTCCTCTCATCAAACATGATTCACATTATCCAAATAACATAAGTGAGCTGAGCTATGAATCTTAGATAAACCACAACATGGACTTTGAAAAAAATGTCGAATAAGGCAAAATAAATGAAGAGGATTTAGATGGGAACAACCAGAGTAACCAATAACAGCAGTGAGGATTGGAAAAGCAAAGCAAACACGGTTTGCCCGAATCCAAGAAAAGAAAGTTTTTTTATTTTCTTTTGAGACAGAGTCTCGCTCTGTTGAGAAGACTGCTGGAGTGCAGTGGTGCAATCTCAGCTAACTGCAAACTCTGACTCCTAGATTAAAGCGATTCTCCTGACTCAGCATCCCAAGAAGCTGGGATTACAGATGTCTGCCACTACACCCGGGTAATGTTTGTATTTTTAGTAGAGACGGGGTTTCAACACGTTGGCCAGGATGGTCTCGAACTCCTGATTTCAGGTGATCTGCCTGCCTCGGCCTCCCAAAGTGCTGGGATTACAGGTGTGAGCCACCGCACTTAGCTACAAAGGAGATTTTTTAGTGTGCAAAACCAAACAAAACAGCAAGGAGAAAAGTCCCCTGATTTCCATCCTAGTGCTTCTCAATCACACTCAGCACAGCAGCAACAAAACACAACCACATCTATCGAATCTTACTGCTCATAGCTGTTAAATATCAAATCTCAATCAGCAATTTTAGAGCCGGATCCTCCAATGCTTTTGGTTCCCAGTGTTTCACAAGCAAACGGACAGAAATCGGGAGGGACATAGGAGAAGAATCAGTTAAAATCCCTAAGACCAGTTAAATGAAGTCTCCTGAAAATGACACTGAAACGGAGACAGCAACCAAGACAAGGAGGACGAGGCAGACTAATACAAAGAGCATAGCCTGCGGTGTCAAACCTGTTTTTTAGCCGAGAGGGGCTTTACTGGGAGGGGCCTCTAACCCTCCTCGGTCGGGCCTCTAACCCGAGGTCGGTCAAGTGTCCTTGCCTTTTATTAAGAGGGGCCTCTAACCCACTCTCTTTTAGGAAAGACTCTAACTCCATTAAGTTGGGCCTCTAACCCAATCCCATTCTTTACCCGGGCACTCCACCACTTACCCAAAGTCAGTCTACTGACTACTGCAGTGCTGCAGTCTACTTCCTTTGGGTTGGGGGAGTTTCTTCAGTATCGTCCCTTCCATCATTCGCCAGAAATATGTTATAGGACCCCAACACTTCCCCAAAGCACTATAGTCCCATCTGTGGTGGCCAGAAATACGTCACAGGAAAAGGGCCCCGATCCAGACCCAAAGAGAGGGTTCTTGGGTCTCGCGCAAGAAATAACTCAGGGCAAGTCCGCGGTGCAAAATAAAAGCAAGTTTATTAAGAAAGTAAAGTGGTGAAAGAACAGCTACTCCACAGACAGAGAAGGGCGTTCCTGAAACTAAGAGAAGGAACGTATCCACCCTAGGTACAATGCTTGTACACATGGGGAGAGGTGTTCTGTTACAAGGGTTTGTGATAATTAACTTTAATTATTACATTTTGCAAGAATCCCTATTACTACCTTTAAAGCAAAATTAGGAACGCCTTTGTTCTCCAGATATCCAGCTATCTGGACACTCGGGTCTCTTCAGTAAACATTAATTTGTTCCCTTAACCGTAAGTATCTGAAAGCTAGGAATATCCTTCTGAGAATGCAGGCCCGTAAGTCCCGGCCTCATTTTTCTAGCCCTCACTCAAAATGGGGTCGCTTCAGGTTCCAACGTCTCTGACAGTCATACTACATATGACTCAGCCACGTCAATGGAAAAAGTAGACTGGATAGTGACGTACCCGCAGAAAACGAATGCAACAATCTGTCATACAGATCTGACGGCAGTCAGATTCTGCAGTGAAGTAGAGGCGGTAAACTTGAATGCAACGATCTTCATACCGCATCCCACAAAGCCACGTAAATCCAAAAGCAGTCCGACTCTCGATAGTGAAACACATGCGGTAAACTTGAATGGAAAGATGTTTATACTGCCTCGGATAGAGACACGTAAATGAAAAAGCAGTCCCACTTGGGATAGTGAAGTATGGGCGCTCAACTTAAATAGGACCGTCCGCATATCGTATGTGAGTGAAGCAAGTAATAGCAAAGGGCAGTCAGATTACGGAGACCGATGGCGACTGAAGTGAGTGCAGTAACCTTTAACTCAATGATCGTCACGCCGCAACCAAGTGAAACCGAAAGCAACTAAGCGCTCGAAAGCACGCCCGGCCAGCTCAAAAACTACGGCGCTGATGGACCCCAGTGATCCGACGTAAAGGTGCAAACGTAAAGCGCACACGGCCAATTTAAAAGCAGCGGCGCTGATAGGCCCGGACGAACCGACGTGAACGCGTAGAAGTAAGGTACGCGCGATGAGCTTAAATACGCGAGTACTAAGAGACCGTGAAACCCGGATTTAAGCGTGTAAACGCAACACACAACCTAGGAGGTCAGTAACAACGGTCCCAACTGATGCAAATGGCCCAATGCAAACACGTTGACAATCTCCCGTTAGCGACAGTAACAGACGCTAAGCGCCCAATGCGAACAAAACTCCCGCTTCGAAAACTACACCTCGGAATCCTTCCAGCGATCAAGGGCCAGCAACACCACAAGCCTTCCACTGTATCAACACCGTTTTCAAAACGAAAATGTTAACGATCGGCCACTGTACTCCTTCTCCCACACATCCTAACCTCAGGGTGACAGATAGCACCCTGAATAACTCTCTCTCCTACGTTGAGATTGTGTATCTTTATCCAAATCTGAACACCTGCGTAAGTAATATTGTTACTATTTTGGAGGATATTCACTTTCCTTTTTTGCTCCCATAACTCCCGAGAGAAGCAGCCATTTTAAATTTGCATGCCCCGCCGTGCCCTGCCTGCCAACCACTGAACAGAAAAGCGCCTGTAAATCACTGGAATCTTGGGAAAGCTCCTTCGGCTTCATTGCCCTTCAGGAGGAAAAACCCACAACGGAAAAGACACGAAGAGCTCTAGGAGGCTCTTCTTTCCTCCTCCTCCCCCTCCCCTTCCCCTCCCCTCTCCCTCCGCCTCCCTTCCCCTCCGCATCCCCTCCCCCTCCCTTCCCCCTCCCCCTCCCCATCTCGTCCTGACCTAGCTGGCATCCAACATTACTTTAAACTTTTTTTCACACATACGTTGAAAGAATTGTTTGGTGAACACCCGTATGCCCATCACCTAAAGTCATCTTGCTGTACTTGCTTTATTACATGTGTTACAGACGTCTAATTACATTTTTTTTTTCTTTTTTTTGAGAGGGAGTCTCGCTCTGCCGCCCAGGCTGGAGTGCGGTGGCGCGATCTCGGCTCACTGCAAGCTCCGCCTCCCGGGTTCACGCCATTCTCCTGCCTCAGCCTCCCGAGGAGCTGGGACTACAGGCGCCCCCACTACGCCCAGCTAATTTTTTGTATTTTTTAGTAGAGACGGGGTTTCACCGTGTTAGTCAGGATGGTCTCGATCTCCTGACCTCATGATCCCCCGCCTGGGCCTCCCAAAGTGCTGGGATTACAGGCTTGAGCCACCGCGCCCGGCAATTACATATTTTGTATAGCTGCACACATGGAGACAGGTACTCAGGTCTCGTCCCTCTAGCCATTTCTCAACTGTCTGGTCCGGCAAGGGCAAGTTTTCGAGGAGGCCAGGGTGCAGCCCTCAGGGGAGCACATGCTCTGACTGGTTGCAGGGCTGGGCGGAGCCTTGGGAAAGGGGCCCCTGTAAGAGTTAAAGAAAGAGGATATAAACACGAAAAGAGTTTGGCTCTTGTTGCCCAGGCTGGAGTGCAATGGAGCGATCTCGGCTCACCACAAAGTCCGCTTGCCAGGTTCAAGTGGTTCTCCTGCTTCAGCCTCCCAAGTAGCTGGGATTACAGGAGCGCGCCACCATGCCCGGCTAATTTTTGTATTATTGTATTTTATTTATTTTTTTTTTTTAGAAGAGACACGGTTTCACCATGTTGGCCAGGCTGGTCTCCAAATCCTGACCTCAGGTGATCCACCCGCCTCGGCCTCCCAAAGTGCTGGGATTACATGAGGTACCGCACCCAGCCCCACATTACTATCTTCAAAGCAAACTTGAAAGCAACGATCTTCATACCGCATCCCACAAAGCCACGTAAATCCAAAAGCAGTCCGACTCTGGATAGTGAAACACATGCGGGAAACTTGAATGGAAAGATGTTTATACTGCCTCGGATGGAGACACGTAAATGAAAAAACAGTCCCGCTTGGGATAGTAAAGTAGGGGCGCTAAACTTAAATATAACGATCCGAATATCGCATCTGAGTGTGCCAAGTAATAGCAGAGACCAGTCAGAATACGGATACTGATGTGGGTGCAGTAACATTTAATCCAATGACCGTCACACCGCATGTGACTAAACCAAGTGAAACCTAAAGCAGCCACACTCTCCAAAGTACGCGCTGCTGACTTATACACAAGTGTGCTAACAGGCCCCGAAGATCCGATGCAAACGCGTGGAGGTAACGAAAGAAGCTCCCATTCCACCTTGTCAGCAGACAGCGTTTGAAGATCTCCTTTGCTGATGTAACGCGAAATAACAGTAACTGATAGAGCAAGTTCCGCACTTAACCTGAGCCTAAACGACCAAGGCGCTGCCGGCATTAGCGTTCGTCCACGGCCCTCCTCCTCTTAGAGCCAAGTGTATTAATAGGTCCCGACAATCTGAGTGGAGATGACAAGAGGCTCCCATTCTATGAGTGGAGATAACAAGCTGATGACGAAACCCGGGTGCTCCCCTCATTGGCACCCAGCAGGCAGCACCGGCCCGCTCCCGGAGCCCTCCATCCTGCGCTTTCCCAAACCCCCATCAAAACACCAACCCAGTCTCCTCCCTCTCAAGCCATTTTCCAACCTGCCTGGGAGCCACTCTGATCTCCCAGAACACCTCATTTTGTGAATTATAAACCTTTTCACACCTTCTCGGTCCCTGTGTGATGTCACCAGTCTCGATTTCCAAAATAAATTTGGGGTCAGTGGTGGGGCTGGGGTCCATCTAGTTCTGCAGAGTGGGAACAGCACAGAAGCTACCGGACTTGCTGTGCGCATAGTCCAATTTGGGTGCAAAAGCCTCCCCACTGGACTGGGTGGCCTCTTATCAGTGACAAAACCAAGGGATTTGCTAGTCCCTCATTTACACACTGGTTACTGAGTGCCTCCCGTTGAGTTGAACACTTTTACTTCCGGGGAAAATTCGTTGTTCCAGACCAAGTTGACTACTGTCTTCACTGGACATTCTAAGAGGTGCTTTTGGTCCCAGGGAAATACCCCGGAAGCTGTGAAGTACAACAGCCTTAGGCCCTGTCCCAAATATTCTAATTTAATGGCTGTACGGTGGGGCTAGGACCTCAGGATGATTCACTCCACCGAGGTATCCGGTCGTCCTGAAGTATAGCCAAGGTTGAGAAGCACCGATAGACACGGAAGAATTTTCACTCCCCTTCAGCAAAGACCTTTGTAGGTATGACCTCCTTTGGCTGTCATTGTTCAGAATGGTGGGGGGTCTGGCAAGAGCGAGTCTTAGGGCTGAGACTAAACCCAATTTATAGGATTTAAGTCCTCTAGATGGGAGGTGGGACAACTGGGACTGCTCACTTGTTCACATGTACATCGGCCTGGTGTATTTCCACCAGAAACTGTTCCTCATTATACTGTCTGCCTGGGCCGATCCCTCCTGTCATAAGTTGACACAAGTAAATTGCAAAGTCCTAATCACCTAATTTTGGTGGAGTCTTTAGGTTTTTCCAAATATATCACCTTCAAACGAGGATAATTTGACTTCTTCCTGTCCTTTTTTTTCTTCTTCTTTTTCTTTTCTTTTTTTTTTTTTTAAGACAAAGTCTCACTCTGTCACCCAGTCTGGAGTGCAATGGCACGATCTCGGCTTACTGCACCCTCTGTCTTCCGGGTTTAAGTGATTCTCAGATCTCAGCCTACTGAGTAGCCGGGACTACAGGTGTGTGCCACCATGCCCAGCTAATTTTTTTATTTTTGTAAAGGCAAAATTTCACCATGTGGCCTAGGTTGGTCTTGAACCACTGGACCCAAGCAATCCTCCTGCCTCTGCCTCCCAAAGTGCCAGGATTACAGGTGTGAGCCACTGCGTCCAGCAAGAATAATTTCAATCTCTGGTAAATGCACCTGATAGAACTGTGAATTTCCAACTTCTTTGTCTTTTCTTTTCTCTTTTCCTTTCCCTCTCTCTCTCTCTTTCTCTCTTTCTTTCTTTCGTTTCTCTCTTGTTGCCCAGGCTGGAGTGCAGTGGGGATCTTGGCTCCCCATAGCCGGTGCCTCCCGGATTCAAACAATTCTCCTGCCTCAGGCTCCTGGAGTAGCTGGGATTACAGGCACAGGCCACCATGCTTGGCTAATTTTGTAGTTTTTGTAGAGACGGGGTTTCTCCATGTTGGTCAGGCTGGTCTCGAACTCCCAACCTCAGGTGATCTGCCTGTCTCGGCCTCCCAAAGTGCTGGGATTACAGGTGTGAGCCACCGCGCCTGGCCGTTTTCTCTAGTTTCTTTAAATTTCCTCAAAATGGCTATTTTGAATTCTCTGTCTGAAATGTCACGTCTCAGTTCCTCTGGAATTGAACAAATGTGGTTTGGTGAGACCATGTTTTCTTGGATGATCTTGATGTTTGTGGATGTTTGTTTTGTCTGCGTATGGAAGAATTAGGTATTTACTGTATTTTTCACAGTCTGGGCTTGTTTCTGTGTGTCTTTCTTGGGAAGGCTTTCTGGGTATTCCAGGATATGTGTGCCCCAAGTCCAATCATGCTGTGATTCTTACAGACTTGTAGAGGTACTACCCTGGTGGTTATTGGGGGAAATTCAGCCAGCTATCAGGCAAAATTCACCCCTGATATTTTACGTAGTTCTTTTCTATTTTCCTGAAGTGTCGGCCAGTCTGAGAAATAAAGGGACAGAGTACAAAAGAGATAAATTTTAAAGCTGGGTGTCTGGGGGAGACATCACATGTTGGCAGGTTCCGTGATGCCCCCTGAGCCATAAAACCAGCAAGTTTTTATTAGTGATTTTCAAAAGGGGAGGGAGTGTACGAACAGGGTGTGGGTCACAGAGATCATGTGCTTCACAAGGTAATAGAATATCACAAGGCAAATGGAGGCAGGGCAAGATCACAGGACCACAGGACTGGGGCAAAATTAAAATTGCTAAGGAAGTTTCAGGCACACATTGTCATTGATAACATCTTATCAGGAGACAGGGTTTGAGAGCAGACAACTGGTCTGACCAAAATTTATTCGGCGGGAATTTCCTCGTCCTAATAAGCCTGGGAGCGCTATGGGAGACTGGGGCTTATTTCATCCCTACAGCTTCGACCATAAAAGATGGCCGCCCCCCGAAGCAGCCATTTTAGAGGCCTACCCTCAGGGACGCATTCTCTTTCTCAGGGATGTTCCTTGCTGAGAAAAAGAATTCAGCAATATTTTCCCATTTGCTTTTGAAAGAAGAGAAATATGGCTCTGTTCTGCCCAGCTCACCGGTGGTCAGAGTTTAAGGTTATCTCTCTTGTTCCCTGAACATTGCTGTTATCCTGTTCTTTTTTCAAGGCGCCCAGAATTCATGTTGTTCAAATACACATGCTCTACAATTTGTGCAATTTACACAATCATCACAGGGTCCTGAGGTGACATACATCCTCCTCAGCTTACGAAGATGACGGGATTAAGAGATTAAAGTAAAGACAGGCATAGGAAATCACAAGGGTATTGACTGGGGAAGTGATAAGCGTCCATGAAATCTTCACAATTTATGTTCAGAGATTGCAGTAAAGACAGGCGTAAGAAATTATAAAAGTATTAATTTGGGGAACTAATAAATGTCCATGAAATCTTCACAATTTATATTCTTCTGCCATGGCTTCAGCCGGTCCCTCCATTCAGGGTCCCCAGCTTCCCGCAACAGTGGTCTTGGATGAGATCTGAAAGAATCCTCTGGATTACCAGGCAGAGACTCTTGTTCTTTTCCCTTACTTTCTCCTAAATAAATGGAGTCTCTCTCTGTGCTGAGATGCCTAAGCAACCCTGTGCTGGTTCAGACCCAAACCCAGCACAGCACCAGGTCTCACTCAAAGGCCTGCTAGATCCACTACCTGCTACCACCTATGCCCCCTCAAAGCAGTAGAGCTCTAGGATCAGGTGGCCAAGCCAGCCAGGATTATGTCCCTCCCTTTAGGGCAGTGAGCTCCCTCAAGCCCTGGGTGGGTGCTGGAATGCTGTCTAGGAGCCAAGGTTTGGAGTCAAGACCTTAGAAATGTAACTGATGTTTTATTCTACTGCAGTTAAGCTCCTACGGAAACCACAAGAAAAAAGTTCTCCCCACTCTTGGCTAACTGCAAGATGCCTCCGATGAGGCCTCCTACCCAAACCTTTCTTATTCGCAGGGACCAGGCTTTCTTACTCGCAGGGACCAGGCTTCAGCTCCCTGACTAAGAAGTCAAATAAAGGTCGGGCGCGGTGGCTCAGGCCTGTAACCCTAGCATTTTGGGAGGCCAAGGCGGGCGGATCACTTGAGTTCAGGAGACAAACCTGGCCGACATGGTGAAACTCCCTCTCTCCTAAAAATACAAAAATTAGCCAGCCATGGTAGCGAACGCCTGTAGTCCCAGCTACTCGGGAGGCTGGGGCGGGAGGATCGCTTGAATCCGAGAGGCAGAGGTTGCAGTGAGCCGACATGAGGCCACTTCACTCCAGCCTAGGCAACAGAGTGAGACTCGGTATCAAAAAAAACAAAAAAGAAAAAATGTGAGCAGTTGGGAAGCAATAATATGAAAAATGAGAGCAAAAGTAACTGCAACATTGGGGAAGACTAAACAACGTCGCTTCTGGCGTTGGCTTATGGATGACCACCCTGCTTTCTTCACGTTTTAACTGTCTGGAGTCCAGAAATTAGCAATGCACCTCCTTGGCATATCAGGATGCCAACAAGCACCCTTGTCCCCAGTTTCAGGACTCGGCGGCGTACTTTCCCAATACGCATTCCCTTATTCTCAATCCGGTTAGAAGCAAAGAAGTAATACCACCCACCAATACTTTCCTTATACAACACAAAAACACACACACACATACACAACACCACATAATGAAACCAACGCGAATGTAAGTAAATCTGTTCTTTGTAAAACGTGTTTTGACCCTCTTTGGAAACACGGCAATACCAAGTCGATGCGCAGAGTGGAAAAAACCAGCTCCTATTTCATCTTTCTATTCCAAAACCCCACTTAAATATATCGTCCTCAGACCAAAAAAAATCAGTTATTCAACTGAAAAAAACATGCTACATTGGATCTTAGTCAAAAAGCCAAAAAAGAAACAAGCCCTTTCTTTCGGCCACAGCACTCCTTCTCCCACTCATCCTGAGGTCACGGTAAGAAAAATGATCCTCAAGTAAAGAAGCACTCTCTTCCCTAAGTTCACACAGTGTTCCTTGTTACAATTTGTAACATTGCATAAGTAATACTGTTACAAATTTGGGGGGGATATTCGCTTTCTCTTTTTGTTCCCATAGCTCCTGAGCGAAACAGCCATTTTATATTTGCATGCCCCGCCCCACAGGCTCCGAGCTCCGTCCTCCCCGCAGGCTGGCCCTATTACCACCATCTAACATCATCTTGCTGGACTTGCTTTATGTATTTATTTAAGACGGATTCTCGCACTGTTGCCCGGGCTGGAGTGCAGTGCCGCCATCTCGGCTCTTGCAGCCTCCGCTTCCCGGGTTCACGCAATTCTCCTGCCTCAGCCTCCCGAGTAGCTGGGATTACAGGCGTACACCAGCACATTAGGCTAAATTTTTGTATTTTTAGTAGAGACTGGGTTTCACTATGTTGGCCAGACTGGTCTGGAACTCCTGACCTCGTGATCCGCCCGCCTTGGCCTCCCAAAGTGCTGGGATTACAGGCGTGAGCCACCGTGCCCGGTCTGGACTTACTTTATTATATGTTATAGACATGTAATTACATATTTTGTATAGTTGACCACACAGAAACAGGCACTTAGGTCTCCGTCCCTCTAGCCATTTCTCAACCGTCTCGACCGGCGAGTTTTCGTTGAGGCGAGGGAGCGCTCGCTCCCACAGGTTCGAGGGCTGGGCGGAGCCTTGGGAAACGGGCCCTGGTAATCTCCGCTCAGTGAGTGGCGCTGCGAAGCTGCTTCTGCCCGGGAAGGAGGAGAGGGGCCTGGAACCGCCGAGGGAACCACCAGTTCCGACGCCCTGGGGTGGGCCCGGAGGACCGAGTGGCTGGGGCGGCACGGGGCGGGGGGCTGGGCGGGAGGAGCGGGGGTCCAGGAGGTGACCCAGGAGGGGGTAGGATCGGGCTGGGCCTCGTGGGCTCCCTGCCCCCGGAGGGGGCGCGCAGAGGGAGGGCGGTAGCCCAGTGAGCGCGACCACTACTTCCCTGTGAACGCGAGAGCTCAGACAAGCCACAGGGGGCCAGAGCCGAGAAACCGGAAGACCGGCGAGGAGACCATAGCACACTCCCAGGAAAGAGAGCGCGAGGGCTTGGGCCAGGATGGGGGCAGTGCGGGGGCTGAGGAGTGGCCAGATTCTGGGTGTACTTTGAAAGCAGAGCTGATGGCCTTTGCGGACAGTTGGGATGAGGGGTGAGAGAAAGGAGTGGAGGGTGACTCCAAGGGTTTGGCCAGAGCGACTGCCACATTCAGCCTGGGCGACAAAAGCGAAACTACGTCTCCAAAAAAAAAAAAAAGTCTGCCAGGCGCAGTGGCTCACGCCTGTAATTTCAGCACTTTGGGAAGCCGAGGCGAGCGGATCATTTGAGGTCAGGAGTTCAAGACCAGCCTGACCAATGTGGTGAAACCCTATCTCTACTAAAAATACAAAAATTACTCTGGTGTGGTGGCAGGGGCCTGTAATCCCAGCTACTTGGGAGGCTGAGGCAGGAGAATCTCTTGAACCCGGGAGGCAGAGGTTGCAGTGAGCTAAGATAGCACCACTCTGCACTCCAGCCTGGGGAACAGAGTGAGACTCTGTCTCAAAAAAAAAAGGTCGACAACACATAAGGCTGAAGGAGACTTAAAGAGACCTGACAACCAAAAGTGACAAGTGATCCTGGGCCAGAAAAACCTAAAGGACTTTATTGGGACAATTGGTGAAATCTGAACTCGGACTGTAGATCCAGTATGGAATTAATGTGAAACTTCCAGAAGGCCTTTGTTCTTAGGAAACACACCGAAGTATTGGTGGACTGGGGGGTGAAGGGACATCCTGTGTGCAAATTACTTACCAATGGTTCAGGAAAAAAATGTATATAGGTGTCTTCTTATGAGTGTGTGTGTTGTGTAAGAGAGAGTGAGACAGAGAAAGAGTGAGAGAGAAAATTATAAAGTAAATGTGGCCATCAAGGGGAGAGAGAGGGAGTGAAGGAGGGAGGGAGAGACAACAGAGAGAGAGAGAGAGAGAAAAGAAAGAGCACGAACTTGGGAGTTAAGAAGTGTGTCACTGAACCCCAGACTTCTCGCTTTACCAACTGTGTACCTTGCGGGGATGGGGAAGAGGGTAGAGAAGTTCTCCATGTAAGTCTTTTAACTTTTCTGCAAGTCCGAAGTTATTCAAAGATTAAAATAATTGAGGCTGGGCACAGCAGCTCATGCCCGTAATCCCAGCACTTTGAGAGGCTGAGGTGGGCAGATCACCTGAGGTCAGGAGCTCAAGACCACCCTGGCCAACGTGGTGAAACCCCATCTCTACTAAAAATACAAAAATTAGCCAGGTGTGGTGGTGCATGGCTGTAATCCCAGCTACTAGGGAGGCTGAGGCAGGAGAGTCACTTGAACCTGGGAGGCAGAGGTGGCAGTGAGCCGAGATGGTATCACTGCACTCTAGCTTGGACAACAGAGGGAGACTCTGTCTCAAAAAAATAAATAGGCCGGGCGTGGTGGCTCACACCTCTAATCCCAGCACTTTGAGAGACGGAGGTGGGCAGATCGCTTGAGGTCAGGAGTTTGAGACCAGCCTGGCTACCATGGTGAAACCCCATCTCAATTACAAATTCAAAAATTAGCCCAGCGAGGTGGTGGGCGCCTGTAATCCCAGCTACTCAGGTGGTTGAGGCAGGAGAATTGCTTTAACACAAGAGGTAGGGGTTCCAGTGAGCCAAGATTATGCCACTGCACTCCAGCCTGGGTGACAGAGTGAGACTCCGTCTCAAATAAATAAATAAATAAAATAAAATAAAATAAAAAATAGAGAGAGGGGGGAGAGAGAGAGAATGACAGGGACAAATATAGACAAGTGTTTGGAGGAGTTTTCCTGTTAAAAGAAGGGAAATGAGATGGTAACTATAGAGTGAAGTGGGGTCAGGGTAGGGTTTATTTTATTTACTTATTTTTAGGGTTTGTTTTAAAGTGGAAACAATAACAGCACTTTTACATGCTGGAGGTGGGCAGGGGGTGGGGGCTGGAAGAGAATACAACCCAGAGAATATGAAGGATGCAGGAGAGAGAGAGGGAGAGTTACCAGAGGTAAGGAGGGATGGATGGGTTCCTGTGCCCAAGTGGCAGGTGGGCCTTTGCCAGGAGCACGGATGGCTCATCCACAGCACCAGAGGGGAAGGTAGAGGTGGTGGTTACACGTGGAGGAGGTGGGTGGATGTGTCCTGGGAACTCACGGAAGTTTCCTCTGATTGTTTCTATTCCCCTGGGGACATAGAAAGCAAGGTAGTCAGCTGAGGTTCTTTGGAGGTTGAAGAAGAAAGTGAGAATCAGCTGTCTGGAAAATGTAAGATCTATACATTAGGGAAACAGGATGATTTCACTTCTCAACACTAAGAGGCTCACCTGAGTCAGTGATTGCAAAGTTAACCCCCACTATACCACCAGGGTCCCTTGGACCCAAAGTTATAGCTGACTAATCCATTCTTCTTCCCACCCCGAGCCCCCATTCATTTCCGTTTCTTTTTGGAGCAATTCTAGATGTACATACTGATATTTCATGACCTTTGTTCTTTTACAGGTCTTCCAATGAAATAAATAAGTTTCTTTCTTCCCCCCCTCTCCTCCCCCCCGCTTTTTTTTTTTTGAGATGGAGTCTCACTCTGTTGCTCAGGCTGAAATGCAGTGGCACGATCTTGACTCACTGCGGCCTCTGCCTCCAGGTTTCAAGAGATTCTCCCACCTCAGCCTCCCAAGTGGCTGGGTTTACAGGCATGCACCACCATGCCCGGCTAATTTTTGTGGTTTTAAGGTGGGAAATTAAAGAAAAATAAAATTAAAAAGAAAGAGAAATAAATTTTCATGTATTAGGCCGACTTGTCCCAGAGGCAGCAACGGGCACAGCCCAGACCCAGGAAAAGTCTTGATAATATTATCTAATGTGCTCTGGAGACTCTCTCAGCAATCCCTCAACATAAGGAGAAGAAAAACAAATTTTCCTTTGTTTTATGGAATGAGTTTATAGATTCCTGTTCTCTGTAACTGTAGGGTCCAGCCCTACTGGGCCTTGCGGGTTGTTCTCTTCGTGTGCAGAGACGAGAGACGGTAGAAAAATATGACACGAGACTAAGAGATAGTAGGAAAGACAGCTGGGCCCAGGGGGCCACTACCATCAATGCACGGAGTCCAGTAGTGGCCCCGAATGCCTGAAGGTGCTGCTATTTATTGTATACAAGGCAAGGGGGCAGGGTAAGGAGAGTGAGTCATCCCAAGTGATTGATAAGGTCAAGCAAATCACATGGGGGTCTTCTTTGTGGTAGCAGAAGCAGAGAGAGGACCACATATGTCAGCATTTTTTCTATGCACTTATCAGAGAGATCAAAGACTTTAATACTTTCACTAATTCTGCTACTGCTATCTTCTAGGAACTTAAAAGAGGAACCAGGTGTACAGGCAGAACATGAAAGTGGAAAGGAGCGTGGCCACTGAAGCACAGCACCACAGGGAGGGGTTTAGTCCTCCAGATGACTGCGAGCAGGGCTGGATAATGTCAGACCTCCCACTAGAGCTGGTGGAGCAGAGTGTTCTCTAACTTCCCCCAAGGAAAGGGAAACTCCCTTTCCCGGTCCGCTAAGTAACGGGTGCCTTCCCAGGCACTGGCGCTACCGCTAGACCAAGGTGTCCTCAAGCGGCCTTTATCAGGATGTGATAGAGGACTTTCACTCTTATCTTCTGCTCACTTCTCACAATGTCCCTTCAGCTCCTGACTCTGTATTGGCTGGTCTTTCCTCGGTTATAATAATAATACAGAGATTAATACTAAAAACTAATGATTGATAATATCCATATATAATCATCTCTATATCCTATTTCTTTTTCTTTTTTTTTTTTTTTTTGACATGGAGTTTCACTCTGTCGCCCAGGCTGGAGTGCAGTGGCGTGATCTCAGCTCACTGCAAGCTCCACCTCCTGGATTCATACCATTCTCTCGCCTCAGCCTCCTGAGTAGCTGGGACTACAGGCGCCTGCCACCATGCCTAGCTAATTTTTTGTTTTTGTATTTTTAGTAGAGACAGGGTTTCACCCTGTTAGCCAGGATGGTCTCAATCTCCTGACCTCGTGATCCGCCCACCTTGGCCTCCCAAAGTGCTGGGAGCCACTGCATCCAGCTCTATTTCCTACTTCTAATATAACTTTTCTTATTCTAACTATTTTCTTTACTATATTGGAACAGGTTGTGCCCTCAGTCTCTTGCCTCAGCACCTGGGTAGGTTTCCGCCTACATGTAACCAGTGACTTCAAATATTCTGTTTTATCTAAGAAGTACAACGAAGGTCATGAGAAGCCTGAGTAGGCCTGAACTACAGCTGCCTGGGCACCATAGTGAAGGTTATAGGATAAGCCCATGCCCAGACAAACCTAGATAACGGACATCTGGGTTACTTGGCAACAGTCATGTGCAATCCTGTCTTTGTCCTGCCTCTGTATTGCTGCTTTTCACACCACTGTAAGCTTGCTTCAAGCTAGCCCACCACCTTCTGTGAAGTATGTATAAAAGTCAGATGCTGTCTTTGTTCCGGGCCCAGTCTTTTGGACGTTGAGTCAGCTGGGCCTGAGTGCACTCAATAAAGATTCTAGTTTCAACCTGAGGTCTCTCTCGTCCTCCTGAATCCTGCAACATTTCCAGTAGAGACAGGATTTCACCATGTTGGCCAGACTGGCCTCAAACGCCTGACATCAAGTGATCTGCCCACCTCTACCTCTCAAAGTGCTGGGATTACATGCGTGAGCCACCATGCTCTACCGTTTTCTTCCCTTTTTAAACAGAATAAAACTCATTATGTCTTGCAATGACCATATAGATCTATTGGTAGGCCCTCTTATAACCTGTCAGCACCATCCAGCCAAAGGCCACCAGGAACACACCTGTCATGACATGAGTTAGCTTTGAGGGAGAACGTTTTGCATGCCACGGGGAACTGTGGGGCAAATAAGTAAGAGGGTGTCAGGGATGGTTTATTACAGGATTTGGGCATGTGTTAGGTGGTTTGAGGAGTCCTTTCTCTGGGATGCTCTCAGGAAGTGGGGGTAATTCTATGATTGAGGATCTTAACAAATTTCACCAAGAAGGAGGGAAGAGTAGAGGAAGGCCAAAGCCGTAATTGGCTAAAGTAGCAGCAGTCGATCCTATTAGCCAGGACATGGGGTATGGCCTGGCTGTGAATCCCAGACCCACTTCTGGTTCTGCTTTTCTCTTTCCAAAAATCCAAGACATATTGTGGGATCTTAGCGGTCTTACTTCTTCTGCATCTTGAAATGATTTGCTATTTCATCATCCTGGGAAATCTTCTGTAGTTAATTCATTGATTCCCAAAAATGACTTAAGAGTCTTCAAGAGGCCAGGCACGGTGGCTTATGCCTTAATCCCAGCACTTTGGGAGGCCGAGGCGGGCGGATCATGAGGTCAGGAGTTTGAGACCAGCCTGGCCAACATAGTGAAACTGTGTCTCTACTAAAAATACAAAAATTAGCCGGGCATGGTGGTGCATGCCTATAATCCCAGCTACTCAGGAGGCTGAGGCAGGAGAATCGCTTGAATCTGAGAGGCGGAGGTTGCAGTGAGAGGATTGTGCCACTGCACTGCAGCCTGGGTGACAGATTGAGACTCTCTCAAAAAAAAAAAAAAAAAAAAAGAGGTGTAAGAATTAAAGAGGAAAGAAACATGAAAGGGGATGGGCAGTGGGGAAGTGGAGTAACATGTACCACAGAGTAACAGAGGGAGGGGTGGTAGAAGGTGATTGGAGAGTGTGACCCTGGAAGTGGATGGTGGATGGCGTTATGGCATCAGCAATGACAAGATCTAGACTTAGACCAGGGAAGTGAGTGGCTGGGGTACGTAAGGCCTAGGTCAAGGAACTGGGGAACTGGGTGTCAACTGATGACAGGAGTTATGTTGGAAAGTGAGCCAGGAGCTAAAACCTTCAAGGAATAAGTAAGTGTTGGCATGAGTGTGACTGGCCACCAGGACAGATGACAGCAATAAAGGGAGGTAGTGGGCAGTATGGGTACAAGGCACAATGGAATGAGGGGTGGGGAGAACCAACAGAGAAAGGAAAGCAATCAATGTCCTTAGTGGAGGATAAAGCGAAAGAAGAAAGGAGGCTGGGAATAGGGAGGACAGCAGGAAAATGAGCAAGGTTTCAGGAATCAGACACGGGATAAGAGATGAAGCTTCTTGTGCCTGACCCACACAGAGCAGAAATGCAGAACTTCAGGGTCATTCTACAGTGAGTGGCAGATACATGGAAGACAGCTGCAGCATTAGTTCTTTGCACTCACTACCTGGGGGATGTCACCTCTGTCCAAGTATAATGCCCAGGGGGTTCTCCTTGCCTGCTGCCTAAACAGAGCTGATTCATCAGAACAGGGGAATTGCAATAGAGAAAGAGTAATTTGGCTGGGTGCAGTGGCTCACACCTGTAATCCCAGCACTTTGGGAGGCCAAGGCAGGTGAATCACCTAAGGTCAGGAGTTTGAGACCAACCTGGCCAACACAGTGAAACCCTGTCTGTACTAAAAATACCAAAAATTAGCCGGGCGTGGTGGCACGTGCCTATAATCCCAGCTATTGGGGAGGCTGAGGCAGGAGAATCGCTTGAACCTGAGAGGCGGAGGATGCTGTGAGCCAAGATCCTGCCATTGCACTCCAGCCTGGGCAACGAAAGTGAAACTCCATCTCAAAAAAGAAAGAGTAATTCACGCAGGGCTGGCTGTGTGGGAGACCGGAGTTTTATTATTACCCAAATCAGTCTACCCGAGCATTTGGGGAGCAGACTTTTTAAGGACAACTTGGTGGGTAGGGGGAAGCCAGTGAGCCCAGGAGTGCTGATTGGTCAGGGATGAAATCATAGGGAGTTGAAGCTGTCTCCTTGTGCTGATTAAGTTCCTGGGTGGGGACCACAAGATCACATGAGCCAGTTAATCAGTCTGGGTGGTGCCAGCTGATCCATCAAGTGCAGGGTCTGCAAAATATCTCAAGCACTGATCTTAGGAGCAGTTTAGGGAGGGTCAGAATCTTGTAGCCTCCAGCTGCATGACTCCTAAAGCATAATTTCTAAACTTTTTTTTTTTGAGACAGAGTCTCACTCTGTCGCCCAAGCTGGAGTGCAGTGGCAAGATCCTGGCTCACTGCAACCTCCACGCCGCCTCCCAGGTTCAAGCGATCCTCCCACCTCAGCTTCCCAAGTAGCTGGCAGTATAGGCATGTGCCACCATAACCGGCTAATTTTTGTATTCTTTAGTAGAGATGGGGTTTCACCACGTTGGCCAGGCTGGTCTTGAACTCCTGACCTCAGGTGATCTACCTGCCGTGGCCTCCCAAAGTGCTGGGATTACAGGGGTGAGCCACGAGGCCCAGCCCATAATTTCTAATCTCGTGGCTAATGTTAGTCCTCCAAAGGCAACCTAGTCCCCAGGCAAGAAGGAAGTCTGCCTTGGGAAAGGGCTGTTAACATCTTTGTTTTAAACTATAAAATAAAATATAAACTAAGCTTCTCCCAAAGTTAGTTCAGGCTATGCTCAGGAATGAATAAGGACAATTTGGAGGTTAGAAGCAAGATTGGGTCGGTTAAGTTAGATCTCTTTCACTGTCTCAGTCATAATTTTGCAAAAGCGGTTTCACAAGCAGTCAATACCAGGAGCCTCTGAAGACCACCATAGCAGTCCTCAGTGCCAGGCAAATCCACTAAAATAGAAACACCAGGCTTTGCCAAGAAGGGAAAACAAAAAGAAAAACAAAACAACTTTATCGCACATTTCATTAGAATTTCAGGGACAGGCTGGGTGTGGTGGCTCACAACTGTAATCCCAGCAATTTGGGAGGCCCAGGTGGGTAGATCACTTTGAGGCCAGGAGATCAAGACCAGCCTGGCCAATATGTCGAAACCCATCTCTACTATAAATACAAAACATTAGCCAGACATGGTGGCACGCACCTGTGATCCTAGATACTCCAGAGGCTGAGGCACAAGAATCACTTGAACCTGGGAGGCAGAGGTTGCAGTGAGTTGAGATTGCATCACTGCACTCCAGCCTGGGTGAGAGAGAGAGACTCGAATTTCCATGGACAGGCATTCATGTTCAGGAGAAGGGGGGTCTGGGCACTGGAGTTGGAGGAAAGAGCCTCAGTAAAGGTACAGAAACGTTAAGCACAGGGCAATCAGAAAATGAGGGGACCGGTTCATACATCTATGACCCATCCAGCCACCTGGGAAGGTAGGATCTGGGCCTTAGCCTGTCCCAGAGAATGCAGTAATGCCCTGTCCCAGAGAATGCAGGCTCCACGTGGGCTCCTTCCTACTGTAATTGCCCCCATTACACCCACATCCATCCCCTCACAGACTGGTTTATGTGCCAGACTCAGCCAGCGGGTGGAGCTTCTCCCGGGAAGCCACACCTCCACCTCCCCAACACGCAGCACCCCAGCCTCGCTCTGACAGGCTCTTCCTTACATCATGGCAGTTTTTCATCAGGGAACCACTGTCTCCACAAGCCAAATGCTGTTGTAGGCCAATCAGACTCTGAAATCCATGCACCTTTGTTAGCAGGTCATCGTGGAGGATGCACCCATCGAAGGTGGCCTTCCACCCCCGTCCTATAAAAAGAAGGCCACTTCAGCAAATAGAATAAAGAGTCTGACAATGTCTTTTTTTTTTTTTTTTTTTTTTTAACTTTCTTGTTATGGACCAATCAGTAACCATGATCACGACCACATTTGAGAATCAGGGCTCTTTGCAGCTGGGGCAATACTTCTGGATCGGGAGCAACTTATCATGGAGGACCTGGTATTAGAGGACACGTTGACAACATAGAATAATACAGGCAAGTACGATCAAGGCATTAAAAGTCCTCACATCAAGATGGACATGGCCTTCTCCCAGTCCATTCCACATACAGCATTTATTTGGCCGGCACTGCTGTCTATTTCTTCAAGAATGCATTTTCTCCTAATCATTCCATTTCAAACAGAGCCACGGCTTTAAATGCTTAGGTTAATTTCAAAAGAGGTGAGTCCCTTTCAGCATCTCATGGGGCATACTGTATCTCCTTTCTTTCTTTCTGTTTTATTTTATTTTATTTTATTTTTTTGAGACAGAGTTTCACTCTCGTTGCCCAGGCTGGAGTGCAATGGCGCGATCTCAGCTCACCGCAACCTCTGCCTCCTGAGTTCAAGCGATTCTCCTGCCTCAGCCTCCTGAGTAGCTGGGATTACAGGCATGTGCCACCACGCCTGGCTAATTTTGTATTTTTAGTAGAGACAGGGTTTCTCCATTTTGGTCAGGCTGGTCTCAAACTCCTGACCTCAGGTGATCCACCTGCTTCAGCCTCCCAAGGTGCTGGGATTACAGGCGTGAGCCACCGCACCCGGCCTGTATCTCCTTTCAAAAAGAGCTGCTGTCCTTGTCCACTTTGGGAAGCCAAGGAGGGCGGATCACCTGAGGACAGGAGTTCTAGGCCAGCCTGGCCAACATGGTGAAACACTGTCTCTACTAAAAATACAAAAATTAATTTACAATGAGCTGATGGACCCACCCGGGGTCAAGACAGTGACCAAGCGAAATGGGCGTGGGCGTCACGAGGTGTCTGCGGAAGGAAGTTGGAGGAGAGTGGTCCGAGCTCTTTTGAGGAAAGCCATTACTGTGAAGAGCGGAGCTTCAGCGGTCTGGCTGGGTCGGAGGCGAAAGCGGAGCCCATGAGCCCCCTCTCCCCCACTGGGGGGGGACTTCCCGGGGCCGCAGAGAGAAGTCCGACTGCGACTGCGAGATCGCGCCCTGAGGGGGCTGCCGCCCTGGGAGTCACAGCCCCGCCCCTCTCCCTGCCCTGTCAGTGGGGACTGGGGACAAACTACTTAACCTTCGGACTCTCAGTTTCCCCAGCTGGGAAGTGGAAACACCACTGCCTACCTCGTGGGGTGGAGGGAGCAGAAACGGAGCCGAGGGCGCGACCGCGGCTCAGTAGTCTGGAATGTGGGTCCCAGTATCCGACTAGCTTCCCCCGAAGGGGTCTTGGCTGTGATACCGAAGCACCTGAGCAACTGCGTTGCCTGCGGACAATACAATAGGAAGCATTTACTGTTTGGCCTAGGCTGTGTGCTAAGTGCTCTCGTCATTACAAACTCGCAAAGGTTACCTACAGAAGGAAACCTTGAGATGGAGGTTAAGCAGCTTAGGCAACAGAGCAAGACCCAGTTTCTACCAAAAAAAAAAATTTTTTTTTAATTATTATTATTATTTTTTTTAAACGGAGACTCGCTCTGTTGCCAAGGCTAGAGTGCTGGAGTGCAATGGCACAATCTTGGCGCACTGCAACCTCCACCTCCAAGGTTCGGGGTAGTCTCCTGCCTCAGCCCCCCGAGTAGCTGGGATTAGATCTTTTAGCAAGTTGGGCAGATGACTCATGCCTGTAATCCCAGCACTTTGGGAGGCCGAGGCAGGTGGATCACCTGAGATCGGGAGTTCGAGACCAGCCTGACACCAACATGGAGAAACCCCGTCTCTACTAAAAATACAAAATTAGCCAGGTGTGGTGGCGCATGCCTATAATCCCAGCTACTAGGGAGGCTGAGGCAGGAGAATCGCTTGAACACCCCTTCTCTGGTCTCATGGAAAAATGGTTTGGAAATGGAAGGGACTCATGACCTCAATCTTTACCTCCCTTGCAATTATTACCAGTGTACTCATTCTTGTAGGTTGTGTCATACCTTGCATTTGTGGATTTGTGCAAAGGCTTATAGAAACAGCTCTTACCAAACCCCTCTCCATTCTCCCCCACCCTACTCAGATAAACTCCTACTTCTAGAAACCAAGAGGAGCAACAAAGCCAAAATATATTAGAGGAATTTGAAGAGGAAGAACTATAAAGTCAGGAGGGGGAAAATTGCCAGAAACAGTAAGTTCCTCTTCAAAGTTTCCTTGGTCTTTCTTGCTCTATACGCAGCCCTTCCTGCTTAATCAGGAAGGAGCACTTGTTTCTCTGTTTAATGGGTAACTAGCAAACCTCTTACTTGGTAAACAACCCTTCCCGCCTAGTTGGTAATGGACAGCCTCTCCCTTCCTGCCTAATTGGCCTTATTCAATTTCAAGCACTAGTCAATTGGGTCAGCTTAGACTGTGCTGTCCAACTCCAGCAAATGGGGAAAGGACACAGAAACAGAAACTGTGTTAGGGATAAAAACCCCTGCTCTACCCGGCTTGATGTGCTCTTGGGATCAGTCAGACGCAAGCTGTACCCTTCTGCAGAAGTAAATGTGCCTTGCTGAGAAATTCTTTGTTTAAGTGGTGGTTTTTCTTTGCAGCACTGAACACTTGTTTCTAACACCTGGGGGGCAGAGGTTGTGGTGAGCCGAGATCTTGCCATTGCCCTCCAGCCTGGCGCCATGGCTCACATGGGAGGCTGAGACAGGCAGATCACTTGAGCACAGAAGTTCGAGATCAGCCTGGGCAACATTGGCAAAACCCTGTCTCTACAAAAAATACAAAAACTAGCTGGGCATGGTGGTTCAGGCTTGTCATCCCAGCTACTTGTGAGGCTGAGGTGGGAGGATAACTTGAGTCCAGTAGGCAGAGGTTACAGTGAGCTGGGATCATGCCATTGCATTCCAGCCTGGGTGACAGCCAGACTCTGTCTCAAAAAAGAAAAAGAAAAAGAAAAAAAAGTGGTGGAATCTCTTACACCAGTAAGGGGGTGTACCTTTTTGCATGCTTAAGATCTTCTATTTTCTTTTCTATGAGCTGACTGCTCAGATCCTTTCCCCATTGGCCTTTTTGAATTGTTGATCCTTTGTATTTGCATCCCTAACCTACTTGTTCTAGTCTATGATTTCAGTTACACATCCAACTTTTGTTTTTTTAAGATGGCTAACCAGTTGCCTCAGCATCATATATGGAGCAGCCCACCTTTTCATCAGTCTGAGATGCCACTTTTATCATATAATAAAGGCCTCATATATACTTAGGTCTATTTCTGAAACTTTCTTTTAAACAAAAGAGCCTTCTGGTATCATGGCTGTTTTTTAAACTTTTGATTGATTGTGTACCTACCTTTGTATACCTACCTTTGTGTACCTGTGAACGTGGCCTTGTCCGTGTGGTTAGCAAGGAGCATGTGTTCCATTCCTCCTCTGGCTGCCCTTCAACACCATCCACTGCTCACAATGCTGCCAGGGAAGCCTGGGCACCTCCAGAGGTGCCAACCTGACCATGCCAAGGCTGCCAACTCCAGGTGCTTCTAAGGTTTTCAGTCCTTGGGCACCAGGAGGCTGCCAGGTTTCCTGCCAGCTGAGGAGAGCAGCCTATTCAACTATTCAACCTATGCAACTCCAGGTCCTGCTATTTCTGTTTTTCTTGGCCCTGATTGCACTTCAGTTTTCGCCCTGTCTTCTGGAATGGCTCCTTCAAATTCCCCTTTTCATCACATCAGTTTTCACAGGTAGTTGAAGAGATCTGCTTGGAGAGAGATACCATTTGTTTCCCTATTTTCCTTTGCCTCCTCTCTGACTCCTTCCACCACCCCTGCCCCCTGCCCAGCCCCACCATTCTTTTCTCTCCCGCCTGGGCCTCTTCACAGTTACCAACCAAAAACTTTCACTTATAGCAACAGAAACAGAACTGTGCCAATCTGTGTGGCCTTGGTGGGGGAAGGGAGATTGTTTGGCTGCAGCAGCCAGCAAAGTTAGTGTTCCATATGGCTCCTTTTTTTGTTTCTGTTTTTTTTTTGGGGGGGGGCGGAATTTCGCTCTTGTTCCCCAGGCTGGAGTGCAATGGCATGATCTCGGCTCACCACAACCTTCGCCTCCTGAGTTCAAGCGATTCTCCTGCCTCAGCCTCCCTAGTAGCTGGGATTACAGGCATGTGCCACCACGCCTGGCTAATTTTGTATTTTTAGTAGAGACGAGGTTTCTCCATGTTGGTCAGGCTGGTCTCGAACTCCCGACCTCATGTGATCTGCCTGCCTCGGCCTCCCAAAGTGCTGGGATTACAGGCATGAGCCACTGCACCTGGCTGTTTTTTTGTTTTTTTGATACACAGTCTCACTTTGCCATCCTGGCTGGAATGCAGTGAAGAGATCACGGCTCACTGCAGCCTTGACCTCCCAGGCTCAAGCAATCCTCCTGCCTCATCCTCCCAAGTAGCTGGGACCACAGGCGCGCATCACCACAACTGGCTAATTTTTTTTGAGACGAAGTCTTGCTCTGTCACCCAGGCTGGAGTGCAGTGACACAATCTCAGCTCACTGCAACCTCTGCCTCTCGGGTTCAAGCGATTCTCTTGCCTCAACCTCCCAAGTAGCTGGCACTACAGGTGTGCGTGTCCAGGTAATTTTTGTGTTTTTAGTAGAGACAGGGTTTCACCATGTTGGCCAGGCTAGTCTTGAACTCCTGACCTCAAGTGATCCACCTGCCTTGGCCTTCCAAAATTCTGGGATTACAAGTGTGAGCCACCACGCCCAGCCACCTGGCTAATTTTTGTTAATTTTTTTTTTTTTTTTGGTAGAGATGAGGTCTACCTATGTTGCCATGGGTGGTCTCAAACTCCTCCTCAAGCGATCCTCCCCCCTCGGCCTCCCAAAGTGCTGGGATTGCAGGCATGAGCCATTGCGCCAAGCCCATATGCCCCTTTAAAAAAAAGATATTTAGTAGAAATGGAGCATCTTGCTACAGTCTTGCTGCTCACAGTGTGGTCCCCAAACCAGCACCATTGATATCATCTGGGGGTGGGTTAGAAGTGCAGAATCACTGGCTCCAGACCTATTGCGTCAGAACCTGCATGTTAACAAGGTTCCCCCAGAATGCACATGCACATCAGAGTTTGGGAAGCATTCTGCTCTGGGACTTGATGACTGAAGGAGGGAGGCTGAGGGAGAGAGAAGAAGCAAATATGTTTTTTGAGACCTCAATTCTCACTACCAATATCTGAAACTTGGGGACCACATGGATTTGGATAACAAGTGATACAGTTATAACTCCAGATGTCTACGCTGGTGGCTGAGTGGGTCTTAGAACACTTTCTGGGGTTATAAAATACAGAATCAGCAAGTTGAGGCAGAAAGGCCTGAAGGGAGATGGCAAATCCGTGTGAGCAAGGCTAAGTCTAAAGACCCATGGGCCAGGGGTGCTTACTGAGAACAGAGTACGTGGCACCATTAGGGGCAGAGGATGGAAGCAAGCACATATGAAACTAGGCATGGTGGCATGCTCCTGTAGTCCCAGCTACTCAGGAGGCTGAGGTGGAGGGTCACTTGAGCTGGGGAGGTCGAGGTTGTGAGCCATGGTCATGCCACTGCCCTCCACCACGGGCCACAGAGCGAGACTTGAAAAAAAAAAGAAAGAGAGAGAGAGGGAGAGAGAGAGAGAGAGAGAGAGGGAGAGAGAGAGAGAGGGAGAGAGAGAAAGAAAGAAAAAAAGAAAGAAAAAGAAAAAGAGAAAAAGAAAGAGAAAGAGAGAAAGAGTTGAAAATCTTGGAGGCCTTTGAAAACATAGAGAGACTGGACTTCTGTTTCTATGATCAGGGTGAGGTATACAGGTGGTCCCCAGTAGCCATGGACTGGGAGAGATGACACGGAGATACTACTTTGTGTAAGAGAAGAGTACATGTTTCAGAATCACAGGAACACCAATGTGTAATGAGCAGGCAGGCCGAGAGAAATGACAACGTATGTCCTTATAAAGACTTAGAGGCAAATGTTTAGAGCAGAATTATTCGAATAGCTTTGAACTGAAAACTACTCAAACGTCCATCAGTGGGTGAACGGATAAACAAAATGTGATATTCAGGAATAAAAACATAATGGTACAACATAATGGCACATGTCACAATGGGGATGAACCTCAGAAACATTATGCTCAGAGAAAGACATCAGTCAGACACAAAAGACCACATACTGTGTAATTCCTTTCATATGAAATGCCAGGAACGGGAACTCTAGACATAAAGTAGATCAGTGGTTAACTCAAGATGAGGGTGGGAGTGGGCAATGACTGTGTAGGGGAGGCAAAACTTTATCTCCTTAGGGTCCTTGCTGGGCCTGAGACTCAAACTGACATAGATTAGCAGGAGGAAAGCTATCATAAAAGCTGTCAATGTAAGTTTTACATGACACGGGAGCCCTCACAAGGAAATGAAAACCCAAGGCCACGATCATATATGTGCATTTGTTCTGGTTATTTTCTGCCTCCCCTTCCACTTGCCATTCTTCTCTCCCCTGCTCTTTTGTACTGCATAGAGCTGCATAAGGGTCGTGAGCCAAACAGCACTCCCTCTTGCTGCAGCTGGTCACAGGGCTGCCCCTGCTACTCATCCTGTGCCTCATGGGCAACATGTTATGCCCATGTCCAAGGTACAGAGAAGTGGACCCAGAGCCAGGGAGAGGTGATAGGGACCTTTGGGCGGGGTGGGAGGTGCTTATTGAGAACAGAGTCCATGTCACCATTAGGGAGAGAGCATGGAAGCAAGCACGTTTGACAATCCTGTGTCTGCCCTGTTTCTGGAGAGGCAGATGCAGACAGCAGGTCAGAGGGAATTTGACTGGACAGGAACTTGGGGGGTTGAGGGTAGCCATTGCATATAACCAAACCTGTTACACATTTCTTTGATATCTGATGTCATTGTGACATGATCTAGAAACCTCTGTCAAAATAGTTCCTAATGATACTAAACAACAACTGAGACTGTTTATTGAGTTTGTGAAATCAAGGAGTGGCTGCTCTTCTAGAAGCAGTGAGTTGATGTCTGTTCTAACATTGTTCTGAGACAAGGAAACCTTTTTATACTTTAATAGCCAGGGTCAGAATTTCTCAGATTGTATATTTGCATGTAGCACAGGAGATGCTCTTTTAATAAAAATCCAGAAATTTGTTGTGCACATTATTCAATAGAGAACAATATCAAATTAAACCAACAACAATGACACTTAACATTTGCCCAAAGCTTGGTAAATGTTGATGGTCACTGTGTACCTTCAGATAGCTGTGTACTCTAACAGAGAGAATGATTTCAAAATCAGTTGAAGAGAAAACGCCTCTGCCTGCCTGTACCTGTATATTACTGTCAATGTCAATCAGGAATGTGTGGGTTCATTCCAGTTATTTTCCGGCTCCCAATCTACTTGCCATTCTTTCATCTCCTGCTCTTTTGTACTGCATAGAGCTACAGAAAGTTAGTGAGTCAAACGACAGCCCCTCTTGGTGCATTTGGTCACAAGGCTGCCCCTGGTACTCAACCAGTGCCTCCTGTCCTCTCCCCTCCAAATCCCCCCTCCTTCTCAGCTATCAACTCTGTTAATCCTGGTGGTTTCCCTGGCTACCGTGACCCAAACTCTCATTCCTGAAAAGTCTAAACCCCTCAAGGCCACATCTTTCTCAAGTCAGGGTTCCTGCACTTGTCCATTCATGTCACAGGTGGACCTGGGAGTAACACGTGGCACCCAAACAGATCACCAGAGTTCACATATATTCCACCTGCCCTCCCTGCATAAGAGCACTACTCCCTCTTCCTGATGATGGTTCAGGGCCATTAATCCCTGCCAAGATGGTGACTGCTCCTGCCTGCTAGTTCAACCTGTCCAGCCACAGCTGTAGCTTGAAGGCTTGAAGTTCAATGGGACCCACTTCTGCTTCCACGCTTTCTTTCCTTTAATTTTAATTTTTATTTATTTGAGACAGGGTCTGGCTCTGTCACCAAGGCTGGAGTGCAGTGGTGCAATCACGGCTCACTGGAGCATCCACCTCCCAGACTCAACTGATCCTCCTGCCTCAGCCTCTGAAATAGCTGTTGTACAGATATTCGTCACCCTGAACAGGGCTTCACTACCTTGCCTAGGCTGTTTCTTTTGTGCTTTGTTTGTTCGTTCGTTTGTTTCGAGATGGGGCTCTGGCTTTGCCGCCTAGGCTGGAGTGTAATGGCGTGATCTCACCTCACTGTGGCCTCCTGGGCTCAAGCCATCCTCCCACCTGGGCCTCCCAAAGTGCTGGGATTACAGGCATGAGCCACAGTGCCCGGACTGAAGATATCCTTTAGAGAAAGAAGCAGCGGGTAGTTTTGCCAAGGCCAGACAAGATTTCTGGAGTTTGGAAAGGGTGAGAGATTGGGTCAGCAAAAGACACATTCTGATCTTTATGCTGGGATGCAATTTATAGATACAGGGATGAGACCCAAAAAAGCTGGGAGAGATTTGTCATCATGGTTGCAAGGCAACTGCCGGTGGCTGATCCCGTAAAGGATACACATACCTAGAACAGAGCCTAAAAAAGCATCAAGCATGAAGGGTGGAGCCACGATGCTTGGACTCGAGTTCTGCTCCTGTGCATTCCTCGGTAACTTAAACTACCTGTGCCTCGATTTTTCCTGGGGAAAAAAGGAAGTTTGTAGCCAGTACATTGGTGCCTGCCTTAAAGTAGAACTACTCCATGGGCTGAAGAGGAAGTTCAGCTGGGCGTAGTGGCTCACACCTGTAATCCCAGCAATCTGGGAGGCCCAGGCAGGTGGATCACCTGAGGTCAGGAGTTCGAGACCAGCCTGGTCAACATGGTGAAACCCCGTTTCTACTAAAAATACAAAAATTAGCTGGGCATGGTGGCGGGTGCCTGTAATCCCAGATACTCGGGAGGCTGAGGCAGGAGCATTGCCTGAACTCGGGAGGCAGAGGTTGCAGTGAGCCGAGATGGTGCCGTTGCACTCCAGCCTGGGTACCAAGAGCTAAACTCCATCTCAAAAACAAAAAACAAACAAACAAACAGAGTAAGTTGAAGTCCAGCCTGGGCAACACACCACTGGAATCCATCCCTTTGAAAGGTCATCACCCCTCCACAGCCAAGCTGAGATTTAAAGCCCTCCAAGTAAAGTCGAACATGTTCCCTACTTGGAAATGAATATTCTTGTTTTGGGTCCTAGGATACTCTCCATAAATCATGAACCTTATGATACTTAAAGGAGTAAGAAAACCTACCAACTATCCTAAACTACCCGGCGCAGTCTTTTCTTTCTAACCTTGCAAACAGGTTGTATCCCAGGAGAGGGAGCCCCATTCCTGGAGGTACTGCAATACCAGGTCGACGCGTGGAGTGGACAGAGCAAGCTCCTATTTCATCTCCCTGCTCCAAAAATCTATCTAATATAATTGTTCTCTGATAGAGGACGTATCAGATATTAAACTGATAAGAACAGATACTACACTTGATCTTAGCCAAAAGGACGAGAAGAGATGTCGTCGCCTTCCTCCCTGCCATCACCGTCCCACTCTCATCTACATTCAAGACGCGGTGAGAGCCCCAGCCTCGCTCCTTGCCTCATTCACTTTGTCTTGTCCACACCAATATTGACGCCATTACACACTCGGGCTGATTTCTTATTCTCCACGTTTTAAAAGAAAAATCTGCCGGGCGCAGTGGCTCACGCCAGTAATCCTAACACTTTGGGAGGCCGAGGCGGGTGGATCACAAGGTCAGGAGATCAAGACCATTCTGGCAAACACGGAGAAATCCCGTCTCGACTCAGGAGCTCGAGACCAGCCTGGGGAACACGGTGAAACCCCATCTCTACTAAAAATACAAAAAAATTAGCCGGGCGTGCCGGGCGCGGTGACTCACGCCTGTAATCCCAGCACTTTAGGAGGCCGAGGCAGGTGGATCACGAGGTCAGGAGATCGAGACCATTCTGGATAACACGGAGAAACCCCGTCTCTATTAAAAATACAAAAATTAGCCGGGCGTGGTGGCACGTGCCTGTAGTCCCAGCTACTTGGGAGGCTGATGCAGGAGAATCTCTTGAACCTGGGAGTCCGAGGTTGCAGTGAGCCAAGATTGCGCTACTACACTCCAGCCTGGGCGACAGAGTGAGACTCCATCTAAAAAAAAAACAAAAACAAAAAAACAAAAATTAGTCAGGCGTGGTGTCGCGCGCCTGTAATCCCAGCTACTAGGGAGGCTGGGCAGTAGAATCACTTGAACCCGGGAGGCGGAGGTTGCAGTGAACCGAGATCGCGCCACTGCACTCCAGCTTGGGCGACAGAGCGAGACTCTGTCTCAAAACAACAACAAAACAACAACAACAACACAAAAACCAAGAGAAATCTTACACCAGTTCTAGTTCCGGGGTTTCCGGGCTTTCATTTCGAATTTGCATGCCCTGCCCTTTCCCAGGAGGCGTGGCCACCGCGGTTGACTCCACCCCCGGGCCCGCCTCCAGCTAAGGAGCCGCGGCTGGGCTAGGGGCGACTTCCTTGTTTGTATGAGCGAAAAGACTGAACCAAAAGAGACAGGGGGTGAAAACAAGATAGGTCTGTGGAAGAGACCTGTAGGCGGAGAGCGGTCCCTGTTTTCCTGGAGAAAGACGAGTCGCAAGATATCATCACCAGGGGAAACCAGGCTGAGCTGGATCTTTACGTCGTCACCAGTGGGCGGGGAGACCAGCCTTGTACCCACTGGACAGCGGGCCCATTCCGAGTCAGGGAAGCAGAAGGCCTGGAGGAGCTTCGGGGAGCAGGGGCTGGAGTTCCTCTGCCAGGCAGGAGGCTGACACCAGACACCGGGCAGAGGGAGGCGGCGCATGGACGGCGAGGGCCCAGCAAGGATTCTCCCCAGCCCCTGTGCCTGCGTCTCCTGCGGCTTCTGTGCGCGGACCGTGTCCTGTGCTGTGTAGGGAAAGCTGCTTCTCTGCTTGGGACGTGGATTCCTTTACCCTCCTCCTCGCCTGACTACTTCTGACGCGGGTCGTCAGGACTCCGCTTGGGTGTCACCCGTCCAGGAAGCCTCCCTTAATTAAGGGCCCTCGGCACCCACCCCATATGTGATTAGCAGCCCTCCTGTGTATTTCATCGCACCTCGTTGTTTATATCAACTACTCCACTCACCACCCTTCTGGGCAGTCCTTTATCTCCCCCTCTGAAATCCGATCGCTGAGGGCTGGGACCCTCATCAGTACTTATCCCCGTTTCTCTGCGCTAGTCTAATTAGTGCCTGGCAAGTTGAAGGCGCTCAGTAAACGTTTGTGGAGCGAAGAAACGACGGATAGGGCGTAATGAGCACGACACACGCAATCAGAGAGGACGCAGTTAGGAGGCTATTGGCCCGGGGCAGGCGTGAAGGGGGAAGATCGGGCTCGGGGTGGGAGGACACCAGAGGGCGGGGTGACTGTCGGGGTGCTCTGGAGGAAGATGGGCGTCAAGGCCCCCAGCAAGGTTGGGATAAATTTTCTCTCTGAGGCACAGACTGCCGCCTGTAGCGTCAGCATTTACCATTCCCGTCCTCCTTCCTAACACAACAGTTGAGATGAGAGTTTATGGCTCTTTTATTTGATTTCAGAAAAGCAAGAAGGTATCATAGATCCGATAGTGACACTCAGTCAGTCATGCTCCCCCTGCAGGATGGAAAGCCGGATGGCAGGGATTGCCTGGTGAACAACCAGGTCAAAAAATATAAACTGTGCCTTTCCCAATGCCAGCCTCGGGTCCGAGGGCTCTACGTGCATTATCTCTTTTAGTTCACTCGACAGCCCTAAGAGATGGGCGTTATTATTAGCCACGGCCAGGATTAGGGTGAGGTCATTCCTCTAGGTTCGAATTTCAGGGGGTGATCCTCCAGAACCCTTCAGTAATCAAAATAAATAATAGTTCAATGCAATATATCTTATCTCGATTATAAGATAATCAAGCCATTTATCTGGATTGCTGAGTCTTTTGGTGCCCCCTTATTTTTTTTTTTAACCTCTCAGCAAGTGTTTCCCTCATTTCACTTTACCCCAGTCTCCACCGAGTCATTGTCATCTCCATTCTATTACCCTGTGAAGTGCAATATGGCAGCCACCCACCTCGGCCTCCCAAAGTGCTGAGATTATAGGCGTGAGCCACTGCGCCTGGCCTGTCTGTCTGTCTGTCTATCTATCTATCTATCTATCTATCTATCTGTTCTTTTTTCTGAGACGGAGTCTCGCACTGTCGCCCGGGCTGGAGTGCAGTGGCGCTATCTCAGCTCACTGCAACCTCCGCCTCCCGTGTTTAAGCGACTCTCCTGCGTCAGCCTCCCAAGTAGCTGGGACTACAGGTGCGTGCCACCACACCGGACTGATTTTTTGTATTTTTAGTAGAGACGGGGTTTCACCGTGTTAGCCAGGATGGTCTCCATCTCCTAACCTCGTGATCCGCGTGCCTCGGCCTCCCAAAGTGCTGGGATTACAGGCATGATCCACCGCGCCTGGCCATATCTATCTATATTTTGAGACAAGGTTTCCCTCTGTTGTCCAGGCTGGAGTGCAGTGTTACAATCACGGTTCACTCACCATACACCAAGATAAATGCCAAGTGGGCCAAAGATTTCAAAGTGAAAAAAATGGAACTATAAAAGTATATAAGGGCCAAGGCCAGGCGCGGTGGCTCACGCCTGTAATCCCAGCACTTTGGAAGGCCGAGGAGGGCAGATTACGACGTCAGGAGTCAGAGACCAGCCTGGCCAATGTAGTGAAACCCCATCTCTACTAAAAATAAAATTAGCTGGGTGTGATGGCACGCACTCGTAGTTCCAGCTACTCAGGGGGCTGAGGCGGGAGAATCGCTTGAACTCGGAGGTGGAGGTTGCAGTGAGCCAAGACCATGCCACTGCCCTCCAGCCTGGGTGACAGAGTGCGACTCTGTCTCAAAAAAAAAAAAAAGTATATGAGGGCCAAGCACGGTGGTTCATGCCTGTAATTCCAGCACTTTGGGAGGCCAAGGTGGGCAGATTGCTTGAGCCCAAGAGTTTGAGACCAGCCTGGGCAATATAGCAAGACCTCGTCTCTACAAATAATTTTTAAAAATAAAAATAAAAATTGTAAAAAAAAAGACCAAAAAAAAAAGTATAGAGGACACCAGGGGTGGTGGCTCATGCCTGTAATCCCAACACTTTGGGAGGGCAAGGTGGGAAGATCACTTGAGCCCAGCAATTCAAGACCAGCCTGAACAACACAGGGATACCCTGTCTCTACAAAATACTAATAATAGGCCGGGCATGGTGGCTCATGCCTGTAATCCCAGCACTTTGGGAGGCTGAGGTGGGCGGAGCACCTGAGGTCGGGAGTTCGAGACCAGCCTGACCAACGTGGAGAAACCCCATCTCTACTAAAAATACAAAATTAGCCAAGTGTGGTGGCGCATGCCTGTAATCCCAGCTACTGGGGAGGCCGAGGCAGGAGAATTGCTTGACCCAAGGAGGCGGAGGTTGTGGTGAGGCGAGATGGTGCCATTGCACTCCAGCCTGGGCAACAAGAGCAAAACTGTCTCAAAAAAAAAAAAAAAAAAAATAGGCTGGGCACTGTGGCTCACGCCTGTAATCCCAGCACTTTGGGAAGCCGAGGCCGAGGTGGGCGGATCACGAAGTCAAGAGATCGAGACCATCCTGGTCAACATGGTGAAACCCTGTCTCTACTAAAAATACAGAAATTAGCTGGGCGTGGTGGTGCGTGCCTGTAGTCCCAGCTGCTTGGGAGGCTGAGGCAGGAGAATCGCTTGAACCTGGGAGGTGGAGGTTGCAGGGAGCCGAGGTGGTACCATTGCACTCCAGCCTGGGTGACAGAGCGAGACTCCATCTCAAAAATAAAATAAATAAATAAATAAATAAAATAAATAGTAATAATAAATAAAAATTAGCCAGGCATGGTGGTGTGCATCTGTGGTCTTAGCTACTTAGGCAGGCTGAGGCGGGAGCATCACTTGAGCCCAGGAGGTTGAGACCAGCCTGAGCAACATAGTGAGACACCATCACTATTAAAAGGAAAAAATGTAGTAAAATATGAAGCTTTTTTCTTTCTTCTTCCCTCTCTCTCCACTTGTCACCATGTTTTTCACTTTCTATTTCATGATCACACTCCTCAGGCACAGGACAGAGGTAGGAGAGTGCAGACTCTTGCAGGAGTCCAGAGGCCCTCTGTCCCACAACTTAGGATGGTCCCTGTGACCTCAAAACTCACTAGTCAAGTAGGAGGTCTGAGCTCCCAGTGGAGTAACCAGCCATCCAGTTTGCTAGGGGATTAGGGGTTTCCTGGAATATGGGACTTTGAGAACTAAAACTGGCAAAGTTCCAGGTGATCAGGGAGAGTTGGTTACCCTAGAGCTCTGAGCTGTGCCAGACCTCAGAGTGGGCTCCAAATTTTGGGGGAAATGAGAACAACCATCCTGATATAGTTCACAGGTGGCTTTCCCCAAGGGTGGCACATGCTGAAAGGATGCAGTCAGGGGGATGCAGCTGGTCTTCGGTGGTCTCCGGAGCCCACAGGGAGGCAGAGGAGCCCCCCCACCCCACGAACTATAGGCTTATTGCCTTTCGCACACCAAGTCCCAAGAGCCCATAACACCTCTTTCGACCATCAAGGCCCTCATTCTGCTCCTCAGGAAGTCCTGGCACCCAGGCCATGAAATCTGGCTTTGAGACTGACATTCTTGCTGAGACTGGGGTATTCTCCTTTTACCCATATCTAAGAGCCTGTGAGTTTCCTTTTGTGTCCAATAAGGGCTAATCCTGGGTGGTCTATGACTGCCTGTCTGCAAGGTCACAGAAGGACGTGACCTCCATCTGCTGTTGCTTTCCTGATGGCTCCCTTGGTCTCCTGCAAGTTCTCCAATGCCAGCTTAGTCCTTGTTCAACTCTACGTTTTCTGGAGAGAACCCTTCTTGGCACTGTCACCTCTGTTGAGATAACTCTCCTCCAAATCTCCAGCCCCCTTCTCTAGCCACCCCTAGACATTCTTCTTGGGAACCCCCATCCCCAGGCTGTCCGAATTCCCTCTGGCCTCTCAGTCCTTGGATGCTGAGGGCCACTCCCTTTTACTTCCTCAAGTTCTTACTTTCCTTGGCTTCAGGCACTTGCAGCTTTGTGGCCTTTTAAAGTCCTATGGTTTTCCTTCTACCTCTCCAGATGCTGCTTCTCCATCTTTCACTTCATTTCCCTGCCTTGAATGTGGAGATGCTCATGACAGTGTTATGGAACCACTTTCCTCCTCTCACCCCATTGCTCCCTGGGGAATTCCACCCATCTCAGGACTCTTTTCTCACTGACCACCCAAGGCCACTCCTCCAACTAAGGCCTCCCCTGAGCTCCAGGCTCCTGAGCAAATGGACTCTGGACATTTGTCCCCACATGGATAGCCTGCAGACATTACACCATGGCTGCAACTGAACTCTTGAAAACCTTCCCAAGGCCGAGCACGGTGGCTCTTGCCTGTAATCCCAGCACTTTGAGAGGCCGAGGCAGGTAGATTGCTTGAGCCAAGTTTGAGACCAGCCTGAGCAACGTGGTGAAACCCCGTCTCTACTAAAAATACCAAAATTAGCCGGGCATGGTGGCACACGCCTGTAATCCCAGCTACTCGGGAGGCTGAGGCAGGAGAATCGCTTGAACCCGGGATGTGGAGGTTGCAGTGAGCCAAGATCATGCCCTCCAGCCTGGGCGAAAGAGCAAGACTCCACCTCAAAAAAAAAAAAAATTAGCTGGGTATTGTGGTGGGAGCCTGTAAGTCCCAGCTACTCAGGAGGCTGAGGTGGGAGGATCACTGAAGCCCAGGATATAGAGGTTGCAGTGAGCTGAGATCACACCATTGCACTCCAGCCTAGGTCATAGAGTAAGACCCTCTCTAGGAAAAAAAAAAAAAATCTTCCCCACCCTGCAGCCCTCTCCTGCCTGCCTCAGTGTTCCCTGGACCTATTAGACCCTCTGTAAATACATGGAAAATGTCATCAAAATTAGAGTTTCTGCTCAAATAGTGTTCATTTTAATTTGGTATCTCACACACACTAAAAACTTGAAGAGGGTGTATTTTCTACCTCCAACCTGAAACTGTAGGAAAGGCCCTGTCTGAAAGGAGACTTCGGGAGCTGACAAAGGAACCTGAATAACTTCATCCACTAAGACTCCGCTTTTCTTCACCAATCAGGCGGTGACAAATACATCCACCAGGGGGCAGCATCTACTTATTTCTAGCCCCTGGCTCCACCCTAGGCCTTGATTTTGGGGTGGTTGCCAGGGAAAGAGTTCCTGGTTGGGGAGAAGGGTATCTTTGGGGCCCTTTCGCACATTTTTGCCCCACACTCATACTTAGCGATAGGTTGGGTTTTCTCAATTTTGTTCATGAGGAAACAGAACTGGGATTTGAAAAATGGGCCTTCGTGATTGCCGAGCTGGTAACTGCTCCGTGGCGTCCATTCCCCCACCCCACCCCCTACTCCTGCAGACTCCTCTTTCCCTCGTTTGTTCACGAAGACAAGTACTTGGTTAAGATGCTGCAGAGACAAGGATGTTCTCAGCCACTTCCTAGAAGAGCTCCACCCATCCTCCTACCCTCCCTTACTTCAGAGCATGGGCTGTTATGGGGAAACGACCTGGAGACATCTAAAGCCCCTCATTACAGGATGAGGAAACCGAGGCTCCCAGGTGGGGAAGTTACTTTTTTTTGAGACGGAGTCTCGCTCTGTCGCCCAGGCTGGAGTGCAGTGGCGCAATTCGGCTCACTGCAACCTCCGCCTTCCCGGTTCCAGCTATTCTCCTGCTTCAGCCTCCGGAGTAGCTGGGACTACAGGCGTGCGCCACCACGCCCTGCTAATTTTTTTGTATTTTTAGTAGAGACGAGGTTTCAACATGTTGGCCAGGCTGGTCTTGAACTCCTAACTTCAGGTGATCCATCCGCCTCAGCCACCCAAAGTGTTGGCATTATAGGCGCGAGCCACTGGGCCCGGCCGGAAGTGGCTTTTTACTTTTTCAAGTCACTCTACTAGTGAGGAATGGAAGGATGGGACTCACGCACTGAATCTCAGTCTGGTGTTCCAGCATGTCCTAAGGGCAACCTGTCTCTCCAGTGTCATCCCCATTTTTGGTCCTTGTTTTTCTCCTTTAAGTTCCTCCTCTCCAATAAAGGCCTGAGAGTTCTATACTACTCAGACACTGCCTAGAAATGCAGGGTTTGTAGGAATTCCTGGCCAACCCAGTATCAACAGAACCCCCAAGGGCCCAAGGGCCCAAGGACCCCAGGCTGGGAAACTCCCACGCTAAGGGTGGAGGTTTGGTTCTCCTACTCAGGGAGCCCTCTGAGTACATTTATTCCATCATGCATTCATTAATTCACACAAGATTTTCTGACTGCCTATGTGTGCCAGGCATGGTGCTGGGCATGGTAGAGCTACAGATAAGAACCAGCTGCTGCCCTTGATCACGTAGTCTGGTGGAGGAGACAGCTCTGAGGAAGAATGATGCTTATCTGACTCAGTGTCACTTAAACCTTGGCTCAGCGTCGCCGCTTTGAAACTTTCTCCTGCACACTCTTCCACCAATCTAAAGTAGTTCTCCAGCCACATGTGGTGGCACGCACCTGTAATCCCAGCTACTCAGGAGTCTGAGGCGGAGGATCTCTTGAACCGAAGAGTTCAAGGCTGCAGTAAGCTATGGTCTCGCCACTGCACTCCAGCCTGGGTGACAGAGTGAGACCTTGTCTTTAAAAAAAAAAAAAAAAGGCCGGGCGCGGTGGCTCATGCCTGTAATCCCGGCACTTTGGGAGGCCGAGGCGGGCGGATCACGAGGTCAGGAGATTGAGACCATCTTGGCTAACACGGTGAAACTCCGTCTCTACTAAAAATACTAAAAATTAGCTGGGCGCGGTGGCGGGCACCTGTAGTTCCAGCTACTCGGGAGGCTGAGGCAGGAGAATGGCATGAACCCGGGAAGTGGAGCTTGCAGTGAGCCGAGATAGCGCCACTGCAGTCCGCCCTGGGCAAAACAGCGAGACTCCGTCTCAAAAAAAAAAAAAATTATTTTTATTTTAATTTTGAAAAAATAGGGAATGCTTCATGAATTTGCAAGTCATCCTTGCACGGGGCCATGCTAATTTCTGTATCGTTCAAAAAAAAATGATTGCTTAATGTACAAATGTTCAGATGTTCTCTGCAGGGATTAGTGTAAGCCCATAGCTTAGTGCTACCTGGACGAGCTGGGCCCCTTTTTTTACCCCTCCCCAGCCCCACCTTCTCCTTCCCATTTGTTCATTAACACCTTCTCTGGCAAACATGAAAGACGGAAGGGTGGGGTAGGATTGTCAGTTTCATTTCCTTTATCAGATAAGTGACAATTTCTGTCTTGGATGTGAGTCCCAAGACAGATTATAGGAGCCATGTTAAAGAAGCTTCAAAGATTGTGGAAGAAACAAGACAACTTGTGTATTTTCAGTTTTTGTGTGTTTTCAGTCTCATAGCCATTGTAACATTTGTTCAAAGCCAGGTTTGGCCAGTTTCTAGCTGGATGACCTTCAACAAATTACCTAACCTTTCTGTGCTTCAGTTTCTTCTTTTTAGACTAACCATACTTACTTCATGGGCTTGACTTGTGTATTAAAAAAGGAAAAGTAAGCAAAGTTCCTAGACCAGAGCCTGGCATGCAGTGGCCACTCAACAGTGCAGTGGTTCTCAACCGCTGGGCCTGCTCCGTCTTCCCCTCTCCTAACTTCACCATGCTCAGGTCTGTCTCCTGTACGTTAGCTGCTGCTGCAACCTGTCACCCTCCAACTTGGGGTGTAACAAACTAATTTCCTAAGGTCTTAATCTTAGACTAATTTCCTAAGGTCTTTAGGGATTTGGGGAGGCTCCCTGCATTGCTGGGGAAACCAGGTGGCTGGTTTTGTAGTGGAGGGGAGAAAAAGGAGGTGGCAAAGCACACTGGTGACAAACAGATGGGAAGCTTATTTATCAGCACTTGATTGAGGAGGGTGGGCAGGAAAAGGCTGGGCCGTGCTGTCTGGCAATGACTTCCCTTCTCCTTTTTCCAATCCCTCTCACACATAGCCCTTAAAAAGATTAATACTGAATTACACAATAAATAAAATAATCCACGCCTGTAAATCCCAACACTTTGGGAGGTCGAGGCGGGCGGATCACCTGAGATCGGGAGTTCGAGACCAGCCTGACCAACATGGAGAAATCCTGTCTGTACTAAAAGTACAAAATTAGCCGGGCGTGGTGGCACATGCCTATAATCCCAGCTACTCGGGAGGCTGAGGCAGGAGAATTGCTTGAACCTGGGAGGTGGAGGTTGCAGTGAGCCGAGATCGCACCATTGGACACCAGCCTGGGTAACAAGAGCAAAACTCTGTCTCAAAAATAAATAAATAAATAAATAAATAAATAAATAGATAAAGTTACAATTTACAATTTCATTCTTCTTTGATTGGCCCTCTTCTCTCCCCCACCTAATTGCTGTTGTCCTTTTGGTCACACTGCCCTTTGTGACATCTCCTTCCTTTCAGGGCTGCCCAGACTGTAGCAGGCTGCAGTGGCTGGGGAGACCCTACTCATTCCTGTGCCCCTCCTAACCAGTCCTAGATAGGGCTAAAGAACGTCTATAAACCTTTTCAGAAGCTTCCAGTTGACACATTCTCTCTCTTCTCTGAAATCCTACAAGTGCTATCTCATGATTTACAAAGACCCAATACATGTGCTGTCTCATTCTGTCATTGCCAGTCTTAAGTCTTAAGCCCTTTGAGGCCTGATTCTACAGCCGAGACATCCTCTATTTCTCCACCATCTCTCTGTCTCATTCAGAGCACACAGTATGAATGAGGTCAATAAACACAGTGTTTTTTGTTTTGTTTTGTTTTGTTTTTGTTTTTTTTGAGACAGAGTCTTGCTCTGTTGCCCAGGCTGGAGTGCAATGGTGTGATCTCAGCTCACTGCAACCTCCGCCTCCCGGGTTCAAGTGATTCTCCTGCCTCAGCCTCCCGAATAGTTGCAATTACAGGCGCCCGCCACCACACCCAGCTAATTTTTGTATTTTTAGTAGAGACGGGGTTTCACCATGTTGGCCAGGCTGGTCTCGAACTCCTGACCTCAGGTGCTTCGCCCACATCGGCCTCCCAAAATGCTGGTATTACAGGCGTGAGCTACCGTGCCCAGCCCAATAAACACACTGGTTTTTTTTTTTTGTTTGCTTTGTTTTGAGACAGAGTCTTGCTCTGTCGCCCAGGCTGGAATGCAGTGGCGCTATCTCAGCTTACTGCAACCTCCGCCTCCCGGGTTCAAGCGATTCTCCTGCCTCAGCCTCCCGAGTAGCTGGGATTACAGGCACCCGCCACCACGCCCGGCTAATTTTTGTCTTTTTATTACTGATGGGGTTTCACCCTGTTGTCCAGGCTGGTGGAACTCCTGAGCTTAAGTGATGTGCCTGCCTCAGCCTCCCAAAGTGCTGAGTTTACAGGTATGATCCACTGCGCCTAAACATACTGTTGAGTGTAACCTCAAATAGGTCATTTAACCCTTCAGGGCTTTGTGTATCTGTAAAAGGCAGACAACAGTCCCTAACAGGCTATTGCAGATAATGGGCTTAGCACTATGAAGCAGCTGTTTTATGGGGCTCCAGGTTCACCTTAGGTTTGACAATTGAATTATGAAAGATAAAGGAGAAAGACTTGTCAGCCTCTCCGAGTAGATCCTTTGGCCGAAGGAGTGTCCATGTGGGGTGGTATCTCGGCCTGGTGGAGGGGGATGCGATGGTAGTGAGAATATTAGGGTATTCATATCTTTCCTCCCGAGTCAAACGTTGCCAGGCACGTTCCTTTCGCCCCTCCCACCCTCCATTCTGCATTAATTCCAAGTTTAATTCCAAATATTAGAGTGTGGTAGAAAAGGTCAAATAGAGCAGCCACGGATTAAGCAAACGCCCCTCCGCGTATGGTGGGGGCTGCAGCGCCCGTAGCTCCACGCTCCGCCCCGCCGCCGCTGATTGTCCCGCGCCTTGTGACGTCACACGCGGGTTTTTAAGGCCGAACCCTAGGCAGGCTCTGCAGAGGCAGCGGTTGGAGGCGCGGTGGGTGTCTGCGGGGGTCTCGCGGGGCGGCTGCGGTGTTTCACCGGGAAAGGCTCGAGGAGAGCGCGGCTCACGAGAGGTAAACGGACCCTGCAGACCGTGCTGAGGCGGTCCCGGTGCCGGGCCGCTGGAGCTGGGGTCGGCCATCGGAGGAGGGCGGGCGGGCAGGAGAGTGTCGCGGGGCGGTGGGGCGAGGGTCGCGGAGTAAGGAAGGGCACCGTGTCAACGGCTTGGGGCTGCGGAGGGCGGGTGGGAGCCGGACTCAATCTCCGGTCTCAGCGTCTGCACCCTAGCTCTTAGTTTGGGGGCACTGTCGACTTCCCCCGTCCCTCGGGGATCTTGCCTGGGGGATGGCGCCATAAGCTCTGAGAAGAGGCTCTAGAAGCCCACTGTCCATGGATCGAGCCCTCACCCCCCACTTGAGTGGCCCAGGACCTGGGAGTCTCTCTAGGTCCCATCGCCCCCCTCACGACCCCCCCAGGGAGTGGGGGAACACCTCTGTTATGCCTTAAAAAAAAAAAAAAAAAGGAAAGGAATTTTAAAAATGAAGGATGGGAGGGTGATTTAGGAAGGGATCAAGAAGTTGCAAATCTTGTGTGTATTATTAAACGTCTCCTTTTTCTCCCATGACCTTTTCTTGGTTCAGATAACCCAGCTGTGCTCCCTGGAACCTTCAATTTCAAGGCCTCCCTGCCTCTACTAGGCGCCTTAGCTCACTATGGGGAACCACTTGACTGAGATGGCGCCCACTGCCTCCTCCTTCTTGCCCCACTTCCAAGCCCTGCATGTCGTGGTCATTGGGCTGGACTCTGCTGGAAAGACCTCCCTCCTTTACCGCCTCAAGTTCAAGGAGTTTGTCCAGAGTGTCCCCACCAAAGGCTTCAACACCGAGAAGATCCGGGTGCCCCTCGGGGGATCGCGTGGCATCACCTTCCAAGTGTGGGACGTCGGGGGGCAGGAGAAGCTGCGACCACTGTGGCGCTCTTATACCCGCCGGACAGACGGTCTAGTGTTTGTGGTGGACGCTGCGGAGGCTGAGCGGCTGGAGGAAGCCAAGGTGGAGTTGCACCGAATCAGCCGGGCCTCGGACAACCAGGGCGTGCCAGTGCTGGTGCTGGCCAACAAGCAGGACCAGCCCGGGGCACTGAGCGCTGCTGAGGTGGAGAAGAGGCTGGCAGTCCGAGAGCTAGCAGCCGCCACTCTCACTCATGTGCAAGGCTGCAGCGCTGTGGACGGTCTGGGCCTGCAGCAGGGCCTTGAGCGCCTCTATGAGATGATCCTCAAGAGGAAGAAGGCAGCTCGGGGTGGCAAGAAGAGACGGTGACCCAAGCCCCCCCTCCCTTTCCTCCCACCTAGTAGGGGTCTGCACACTTGGACAGCAGGGTGGGACCAGCCTGTGACCTCTCAGTCAGACTGGGGTGCAGGACCTGTCCACCTCAATGAAGGAGAGAGGAGCATGGGGTGTCCCGTTTTGGTGCCACACTGGGGTGGGGATGGGAGATGGGATGTCTTTGCATATCTCTCTCATCCTCTCTGGAGAAGTGGGCGCTGCAGGACTGTGGAGACGTAAATGTAAACTGTGACTCTACCTCGACCCTGTTTCTTATTTTTCTTCTCTGGCTAAAAATTTTTAATTGGATGTGTTTGGGGGCGGGGGGATGGAAGTGACTTGGAGAATGTGTTTGGGATGAAATAACTATCTCCCCTTCCTCTGTCCCCCAACTGGGGAGTCTCCCCAGGCTGCTTTTCTAGGAATACCAGTCACATAGTTTTTATTTTTGTGTCTGTGAAAGTGCCAAGAACCCCTCCCCACATTTGTAGATCCATGACCCTTTTTATAAGCTGTGTGTGTCCTCTGTATTATTGTTATTAACTATTTTTTAGCATTTGCCTGTAAGTTATTAAAGACTGATAACTGTAGCTCTTACCTTGGTCTGGGGCATTTTCCTCTCCTTATCTTGCCCCAGAGACAATTCAAGATTTCTATATGGGGTTGTGGCGCAGGGGGAGGGAGATTTATCTTGAAGCTGAATTTGCAAAGCAAGCACTTATAAAAATTAGATTGTGTGTTACGGGATGGCTTGTGAAAATTATAGGGGGGAGTGGAAAACCCCTCAAGCTATTGCCTGATCTCTGTAGTTTTTTGGGTGGGGTCACTTCCTTTTTCTCTGATTTAACACCCCTCCCCTCATCCTCTGGGTCTTACTTGTCCCTTATATCAACTGCTCCTTGCAGATTTAACTTCAAATTTTGCTAGTCTGAGCTACTCCTAGGTTCTTGACCTTGGTGACACCTAAGTCTATATAGGTAAGTCCTCAAAGAGCCATTCTGTTCCCATCCTCCCCACTTCCCCAGTCTTAGGTTGGTTTGATTTTTTTCCTCCTTGTAAGATGTGGTGAGAGTGGAAAGTAATTCCTCCCTGGCCTTAAGTCACCTCTGTGTACTCAATCCTGCTGACTGGCTCACTGGCATGATGGCAGCGGCTGGTGCTAGGGAGGCCTGGGCTGGATTGAGCCAGCCTGGCCCTGGTGACTAAGCCATGAGTTTTCCAGCTCTGGGAATGGTAGCTCTTCTCACGAGAGGGGCAGAAGTAGTAGCTGTTTGTGCTTGGTGGCAGAGAGGACTGCTGGACATACACCCTCCAGACTCCAAGATAGAAGGGGGAAGACATAAGCCCCCAGTATTTGTGGTGATTGTAAGAATAAAATGCTAATATTACAAGGGCTTGAGTGCCCCTACTCACCAGCACCAGGGCCAGCTATGTCTGATAACAGAACCCTTAGATCCTCTTAATCTTCTGGGTGGGAGCAGTGAGTAAGAACTAAGCACAAGGCCGGGCACAGTGGCTCACGCCTGTAATCCCAGCACTTTGGGAGGCTGAGGCAGGAGGATGGCTTGGGCCCAGGAGTTCAAGACCAGCCTGGGCAACATAGGGAGACCATGTCTCTAAAAAAGAAAAAAAACAAGCACAATTCTTTCCAGTTGTCGAGCCCTCCAGCCACCCCCTGCCACCTTTTGTGCAAACACACAATCCCCAGAGCAGGTTCAGCGTTCACACCCTGCTTCTCCCCAATTCTGTCTCCTCTTCTCCGGAATCAGATGAAAGGACCTGGGGAGAAAGAGAAGGTGCCGGCAACCCCCACTTCTGGGGAAGGTTTCCTAAAGAACTTGCTTCTTCCTACCCAGCGCTGCCAGAAGCTCAGATTTGGTCCCCTCCCCATCCCTGTAGCTGGCAGGATTGGGGTGAGTGTGCATTGATCCGGAAGGGTGCCCAAGTGTGCGTCAGTGCTAGGGCCTGCTTGACAGAACTGCTGGGCTGGTTCTGCTGGGAACATGTGCTACCTGCCCCTCCCCCAGACACACCTGCGACTCCTCTCCCAGTCTTTTTGGGGCACAGTCCTATAGCCCAAGGACAGGTTGAGGCCCCAGTCCAGGCTGGAAAGGAACTGGCCAGAACTGACCCTCTGTCCTGCCAGGAGATCTTTCCTCCCCACCCCACCCAAATTCTGCTCTTTTGTCTTAAAATCTTCAATTATACATTTTCATTTCTTGTCACTTGGTGTACTTAGGTCTCCAGATTTGGGGGAAGAGGTGCAGAGGTGTTCCCCAATCCCTAGCAGAGGGGCCTCCAAGATGTCAGCTCCTGATTCTGGCTCTTCCAACCACACTCCTTCCCTACCTGCTTAAAACAGGTATCTTCTGCTTCCCCATGCCCAGCCCTGGGGGCGGTCAGGGATCATGGTCCACAGGAGGCCTTTGAATGTCCCAGGCTCTTCCCCAGTCCCTCTGGCCTGACTGTCCAGCTGGTGGCACTAAAGGAAGATGGGGGCTTGTGTCAGAGAGAGACGGAGAAGCCAACTGCTCTGCCAGAGTAGTGGGGAGAGGGGAACACTGGGGAATTCTGAGTAGAAAGCCACAAATTGTGGCCGGGTCAGAGTCAGGAGCTTTGGAATAATCCTCCTGCCTTGGCTCATCAAAGGGACTGGAGAGCTGGAAGGGAAGGGATCACTTCCTATCTGCAGGATGAGAGAGGGAGAGAGAACCTCTCACTCTCCAGTCCTGCCCAGAGATTCTGCATTTTGAACTCAGGGCAAGGGCAAGGAATGAGGGTGTGATCAGGATGGAGAGTGAGGTTATATTTGCCCTGTACTGGCTTCTCTATTAAGTAGGATTTCTTCGAGACCCTGGCATGGGTGCTGAGGAGCTCTTCCTTGGGGGCCAAGAGTGGTGTGGCTGAGGCTAGTTGCCTGTAAAGTTGAGGGAAACCTGCTGTAGACCCAGAGTTCCAGAGTAGAGGCCGTTTTTTTTTTTTTTTTTTCCTCCTCTGTTACCCAGGCTGGAGTGCAGCGGTGCGATCTTGGCTTGCTGCAACCTCCACCTCCCCGGTTCAAGTAATTCCCATGTCTCAGCCTCCCAAGTAGCTGGGATTACAGTCACGCACCACCATGCCTGGGTAATTTCTGTATCTTTAGTAGAGATGGGGTTTCGCCACGTTGATCAGCCTGGTCCTGAACTCCTGACTTCAAGTGATTTGCCTGCCTCAGCCTCCCAAAGTGCTGGGATTACAGGCGTGAGCCACCATGCCCAACCCCAGAGTTGAGGCTTTCTTCTGAGCTGTCCTTCCCCACCCAGCCACCCCTTCTTGCACAGGTTGGAACATAAAATCCAGATGGAAGCCTTCCTTTCCTGGAGCTCCTCATCATGAGGGCAAAGATGGCAGTGGTCCCCCACTTTCCCATGCCCTTTCCAGTCCTCTCCATGCTGCAAGGGCTCAAGGAAGACAGAGGAAGGAAAGAAGTCCCTAAGGCCCAGAGTGGGCAGTGACTTGCCCGCGGATACACGGCCACTTAGCAGTGCACCCAGCTCCTTCCTCCCAGGCCAGGTCTTTGTACTCCCAGGGCAGAGGATAGGAGGTAGGAGACAGGGAGCGAGCACAGTTATCTCAGAGCTCAGATTCCCCCCTCCCTCCCTCTTCCCTCTCCTTGATTAGATTAAGGACCAGCTTTCCGCTCTCTCACTCCCCTTCCTGGGGAGTGAGAGCTTTATCTCCTAAGCCCAGCAGAGGTCTGGCCTCAAATCTGGCCAGAAGTTCCCATCCTTCCTTTATCCTGACCACGTGTCATTGCAAGTCTTTCTTGAGATGGACACCTCCACCAGGGCCTGGGAAGTGCTGAGTTCTGCCCAAGTGCTAGGAGCACACAGGACAGCATGTTCTCTAACACAAGCCTGTTTTGAATGGGGCCAGTGGGTAGAGAGGAAAGGGAGGGAGTGAGGGTGGCAAGGGAGACCCAGGCCAGCATTCAGCTGGAAAGGGTGGGCAGTGTGGCTGCACTTCATTTCCAAGGCCATCTGTTGGGGAGTTTGTGGGTGGATGCATGAGACCTCCTCCTCTGGATGATCCAGAAGAGGGTATTCGCTGTTCCCTTAAAAAATTTTTTTGAACATGTTAGATATTCCTATTCTTTTTATTTTTTATTTTTGTAGAGATGGGGCCTTGCCCTCTTGCCTGGCCAGGGTGGTCTGGAACCCCTGACCTCAAGCGATCCTCCTGCCTTGGCCTTCCAAAGCACTGGGATTAGCAATACAAGCCACCACACCCAGCCATGTTCCTATTTTTTTTTTTTTTTTTTTTTTTTTTGAGATGGAGTCTCGCTCTGTCGCCCAGGCTGGAGTGCAGTGGCGTGATCTCAGCTCATTGCAAGCTCCGCCTCCCGGGTTCATGCCATTCTCCTGCCTCAGCCTCCTGAGTAGCTGGGACTACAGGTGCCCGCCACCACGCCCGGCTAATTTTTTTGTATTTTTAGTAGAAACGGGGTTTCACCATGTTAGCCAGGATGGTCTCGATCTCCTGACCTTGTGATCCACCCGCCTCGGCCTCCCAAAGTGCTGGGATTACAGACGTGAGCCACCGCGCCCAGCCTTTTTTTTTTTTTTTTTAAATTTTTACTTTGCCCTGAGAGTTTTTTGTTTGTTTGTTTTTGTTTTTGTTTTGAGACGGAGTCTCTCTCTGTCACCCAGGCTGGAGTGCAGTGGTATGATCTTGGCTCACTGCAACCTCCGTCTCCCAGGTTCAAGTGATCCTCCTACCTCAGCCTCTGGAGTAGCTGGGATTACAGGCACATGCCACCATGTCTGGCTAATTTTTTGTACTTTTAGTAGAGACGGGATTTTGCCATGTGACCAGGCTGGTCTCAAACTCCTCACCTCAGGTGATCCACCCGCCTTGGCCTCCCAAAGTACTGGGATTACAGGCATGAGCCACTGCACCCGGCCAGCTCCTTCTTTTTAAAAAAAATTTTCTCTCCCTCATTGGAAAAGTAATAGATCTTATAGATCTCTATGTGGAAGAAATCTAAATTTAGAAAATGAAGAAACCTAATCTCACAACTTGTTTAATGAAACATTAAAAAAAGAAAAAGAAAATGAAGAAACTGGCTGGGCACGGTGGCTCATGCCTGTAATGCTAGCACTTTGGGAGGCTGAGGCGGGTAGATCCCTTGAGCTTAGGAGTTCAAGACCGGCCTGGGCAACATAGCGAAACCCCATCTCTACAAAAAATACAAAAATTATCCAGACATGGTGGCACATGCTTGTAGTTTCAGCTACTTGGGAGGCTGAGGCAGGAGTATATCTTGAACCTGGGAGGTCGAGGCTGCAGTGAGCTAAGATTGCACCACTGCACACTAGCCTGGGGGACAAAGTAAGGTCCTGTCTAAAAAAAAAAAGAAAAAGAAGAAACTTTATAATCTCAACTTTAGAGCTAACCGTTGTGAACAGGTTTTTATATATTCTTCTGGGAATTTTTTTCTCTGCATGTACAAAAGAGGTATGTCTATAGAACATATATGGAATTATATAAAGCAAACAGTTTTGCTTTTCTCATTTATATCTTGGACATTATTCCATGCATGCCATTATTCCATTATACCACTGCCATCTTTGCCCTCATGAGGAGGGGCTTCAGAAGGGAAGGCTTCCATCTGGATTTTTCTCATTCTTTTTGATGACCACATGAGATTCCATTGTATGAATGTACCATCATTAATTAATTAAATCACTTGTTGAAGACACAGTCTGCCCACAGCCATGGTCCTCCTTGCATATATATTTTTTGGTACACTTGGGGAAGCTTTCCCATAAGATATATTCCTAGAGTTGCAATTGTTGTGTCAAAGGGTGTATGTATTTAAAGTTGTCATAGATACTGCCAAAGTTTATGTGTTTGTGTAGAGGTTGGGTGGGAGGGAAATTAAATCCAGCTTCCTCATCCTCTATTCCCAGATCTCAAGGCTTTTTCAAGCTAAGATGTGTGTATATGGTAGAGGAGACATTACAGTGCTCTTGCTTTTTTTTTTTTTTTTTCTTTTTTGAGACGGAGTTTCACTCTTGTTGCCCAGGCTGGAGTGCAATGGCGCGATCTCGGCTCACTACAACCTCCACCTCTTGGGTTCAAGTGATTCTCCTGCCTCAGCCTCCTGAGTAGCTGGGATTACAGGCATGCGCCACCATGCCTGGCTAATTTTGTATTTTTAGTAGAGGCAGGGTTTCTCCATGTTGGTCAGGCTGGTCTCGAACTCCCGACCTCAGGTGATCTGCCCGGCTCGGCCTTCCAAAGTGCTGGGATTACAGGCACGAGCCACTGCACCTGGCCTCCTTATTTATTTTTTATTTTTTTAAAATTTTTTTCACCAGAGCTGCCAGTAAAGGCGCCTGTGCTTTTTGGGAGGTAAGGAATAAAATCACCAGCAACTCAGCAGAGGATTTGCAGGGATAGCGAGTAAGCTTGGGCTCACTTTCCGGGGCTAAGGATTGAGCGCCACCTGGGACTGCCTGGCTGGTGGCGGAGGTGGGCAGATGGTGAGGACTCCCTAGCACCCAGCTTGTCACAGACGTCAGGCAGAGTGGGCGAAACAAGCCCTGAAATAGATTCCCGGGATTTGGCTTAGGGAGGAAGTGAGGCTGAGACCAAGAGTGTATGCTCTGAAGGGAACACAGAGAAGGAAACTTCAGCCCGAATGAATTGGGCAGCAGTGGAGCCCTGGACCTCCCCCATACAGACACCCCACCCCCATGTAGAGACTCCCACCAACTGCTATAGCTCAAGGACTCTTGTAAAAGGAAGCAGAAGCCTGAAGTAGCAGATATCTTGGTCACTCTGGAGTGTTTGGGGCTTGACTTAAGGCTCCTGGGAAAATCCTGGGTCTATGCCCCTCCTCAGTGGAGTGGGGAGGTGGGGAGGTGGGGAGGTGGGGAGGTGGGGAGGTGGGGAGGTGAGCAAGCGGGAGAGCTTATCTCTTTAGCAGTCCCTACCTCCTCCTATTAAATTTGTTAAATCTCATGAGAAATCCTTTGGAGGAGGGTGGGGGGACAGCTGGGTTTCAAAAGCTTGTTGAAAGTGAAGTTTGGTGCTTTTGATTGTATTTGTTTTTATAAGATTACCATTGCTTTGCATTCCAGATGCCTCTCTTATCCTTAAGGAGAGAGAAGACAGAACTGCTTACTCACTCTCTGGAACTCTCCTAGCCTGATGGGGGAGGAACAGAGCCACCAGTCTGACTTTGCAGTGCCCCAAACAGTAACCCACAAGGCAACATACAGGTTAAGACTTGGCTCTGCCACCAACTTCTGTGACTTTGACCGAGCCATTTCTAGTCTCTTGGCCTCAGTTTACTCATCTGTAAAGTGAGGGGATTGAGTAGGCAATAGCAGATCTTTTCTAGTACACTTTCTATGGTTCTCAGTACAAGGTGGGCATGGGAAGCTCTTTAATAGTCTTTCTCTCTTCATCTGTTTTTTTGTTTTTGTTTTATTTGTTTGCTTGTTTTTGAGACAGAGTTTTGCTGTCACCCAGGCTGGAGCGCAGGGATACAATCCTGGCTCACCGCAGCCTTGACCTCCCAGTTTCAAGCGATTCTCCCATCTCAACCTCCCAAGTAGCTGGAACTACTGGCATGTGCCACCATGCCCAGCTAATTCTTTTATTTTTTTAGAGACAGGGTCTCTATCAGTTAAGGTTGGAGAATTTATCTGGGAAGGCTTCCTGGAGGAGGTAAGGAAAAGAAGTCAGCTTGGAGCCAGAATTAAGTATTCTGATTAATGAGGGACCTGGAGCATTGTAGGCTTCGGAGCACCTTTTTGGCTCCACCTACTCCTCAGGAGGAAAGGCCTGAGTCTGAGGTTTAATAGATACAGTTTTGTTCCTCCTTTCCCTGTAATTACCTGGCCTGAGACACTCTCAGACTCTGTCCACCACTCCTGTCCTTCAACTCCTCCCACTGTCACCTGAGGATAGGCTGTATCTAGATTCACATTCTCTACCTCCTACTCCAGAAGAGTAGGTTGTAGGGCAGGTGTCAAAGAAGAGACTCCCAAGCTCTAGACCTGTGGTGTCCAATATGGCAGCCATGAGCCACACATGGTGATTGAACATGGGGAGTGTGGCTGGTCTGAACTGAGATATGCTGTACGTGTAAAATACACAACAGATTCAGAGCCTTCATGTGAAAAAAGAATGTAAAATTTCTTATTAATACTTTTTATATTGATTATGCATATGTTGAAGTGATACTTTTTACATAATGAGTTAAATAAAATGATTAAAATTAGATTCAGTTGTTTCTTTTTAACATTAAAATGTGGCTATCAGAAATATTAAAATTACATATGTGGCTCACATTCTTCACATTCTGTTTCTTTTCTTTTCTTTTCTTTTCTTTTCTTTTCTTTTCTTTTCTTTTCTTTTCTTTTGAGATGGAGTCTTGCTCTGTCGCCCAGGCTGGAGTGCAGTGGCGTGATGTCGGCTCACAGCAACCTCTGCCTCCGAGGCTCAGGCGATTCTCTTGCCTCAGCCTCCCAAGCAGCTGGGATCACAGGTGCCTGCCACCATGCCCAGCTAATTTTTAGTAGAGATGGGGTTTCATTATGTTGGCCAGGCTGGTCTTGAACTCCTGGCCTCGGAGTCCACCCACCTTGGCCTCCCAAAGTGCTGGGACTACAGGCGTGAGCCACTGTGCCCGGCTTCACATTCTGTTTCTACAGATAGTGCATCCACATATTTGGGGGGAAGGAGCATTATGAGTAAAAGAATGAAACACTTGTTCTCCTTTTTGTCTGAAATCAGAAGAGAAACAGGGCCAGGCGCAGTGGTTCATGTCTGTAATCCCAGCACTTTGGGAGGCTGAGACGGGAGGATTGCTTGAACTCAGAGTTCAGGACCAGCTTGGGCAACTAAAGAAGATCCTGTCTTTACAAAAAGAAAAATTAGCTGTGCATGGTGGCTCCTGTGGTCCCAGCTACTCAGAAGGCTAAGGAGGGAGGATTGCTTGAGCCTAGGAGGCAGAGGCTGCAGTCGTTGTGTTCAAACCACTGCAACTGCACTCCAGCTTCAGTGACAGAGTGAGACCCTGTCTCAGAGAAAAAAAAAAAAAGAGAAACAGACCAGAACTGTAACAGTATGGAAGGAAGGTAAATTATAGGAAGGCCTTCTTGATAGGAAGGACTGAAAAACCTGAAAGATCCACATACTTCTTTTCTTGGAAAGCTTTCAGAATAGGAGAGGACTTTGCATATCTTAAATCATTTTAAGATGGTATCTTATCATACTATGATTCTCAGTGATCCAAACTTGGTTACTTAGCAGGTGACTTTCCTGGCCTTGTTCAAGGTGTTTTCACCACACAAACAACTCTTAATTGTCTACTTGGTGATGAGCCCAGATACCTGGAATCCATAGAAAATTCCTAACATGATTTTACCCAATAGTTTCTAATCTTTCATCAGACTGCTGAGGCAGCAGCAACAGTGTTGACAGACTGAGGTTTCATCATCCTGCCCTCCCCTGCTGCCTGTCTCTGCCCACCCTCTACCCCCGGGAAAGTGCTGGAGCAGAGGGAGGGTTCAGGGAGGCAATATTGAGAAGGAACATGCCAGCTGGGGGTCTGGATAATCCACAAACTGGATTATCTGTCCCTGACTTTGCATAGATGTAAGCAGGTGGCCTATATGTAGACAGGATGTACTGGGATGAGCCATGGGCATCTGGTTAACGTGTGTGTGTATATGGGGGGGTGGTCCTACAATAAATTCCCCCACCTACTTATCTCCCATCCAGAGCATTAATTCAACCAATCACTCCTTCTTTCAATTAACCACATATAATATGAATAGTATTTAGCATTATTTACTGTAGTTTCATAGTGAGAGACTAGAATTTTTTTTTTTTTTTTCAAGACGGAGTCTTGCTCTGTCGCCTAGGCTGGAGTGTAGTGGCGCGATCCAGGCTCACTACAACCTCTGCCTCCTGAGTTCAAGTGATTGTCCTGCCTCAGCCTCCTGAGCAGCTGGGATGACAGGCTCACGCCACCAGGCCTGGCTAATTTTTGTATTTTTAGTAGAGACGGGGTTTCACCATGTTGGCCAGGCTGGTCTTGAGCTACTGACCTCATATTATCCGCCCACCTCGGCCTCCCAAAGTGCTGGGATTACACATGTGAGCTACCACGCCCGGCCGAAAAAATTTTTAAAAATCTTTATTGTGCACTGAAGGCTGACTAGGGGCTGACACAGCATCCTAGGCACTGGAGCTAAGGTGCAATTTGTACCCAAAGAAGTGTCTTAGATCTGGTTCCCTTGATGTGCAGACTGAGATGGGGATTTGGGCGGCACATGGTTTATTGTGAGGCAAACTCTCAGGAGAAGGGAGGAAAGGAAAGAGGGTGGGGCACAGAGTGGGGAAGCAAGGATGTGCTTCACAGCTGAGTCTGGTTTTGGCTTGATCCTGTGGGAAGCTCTGGGTGGACAACTGTATGACAGAAAGGATCCCACCTGAGTCAGGGAGGCTAGTTTTTTATGTCCCTGTCAGTCAGCTAATTGGCTGCCCTCTAGGCCAAGGGCAAGTCCAGAGATGGAGAGCCATTGGCAGCCAAAACTCACAGTCAGCACCGGGAATCTGGGTGGAGCACCAAGGCATCCACTCAGGGAGTAGCCTGAGAAGAGAAGAGTGAGCTGACCCGAGCAAGCACAGCCCTGATTGTTATCCACACTTGGCAACCCAGTCCTCTTTCTACTCTCACTCTCAGCCTGGCCTCAACCCTTATCTGCCCTTGTCCCACCTTCTTTCTCTTTCTGTTTCTTTTTCTTCCTCTTTCTTTCCTTCTTTCTTTCTTTCTTTTTTTTTTTTTTTTTTTGACAGCGTCTCACTCTGTTGCCCAGGCTGGAGTGCAGTGGCATGGTCACGGCTCACTGCAGCCTGGAACTCTTGGGCTCAAGCGATCCTCCCACCTCAGACTCTCTAGCAGCTGGGACCACAGGTGCACACCACCATGCCCAACTAATTACTTTTTGTAGAGACAGGGTCTCACTATGTTGCCCAGGATTCCTACTTCTGATCCTGCCTTGTCTGTCTTGAGAATGTTTATCAGGTTGAAACCTTGAGTTTCTTCAAGAGGCTCCAGGAGGCTGTGGCTACTGAGTCATTCCTTGACCTCTTTCCTTGCCTATGGGTCATCTGAGCCCCACTGTTCCCTTAGGCAGAAAACTTTGATATCCTTGGGGACATCTGACCCTAACCCCTTCTCTTGCTCTTTCTCCTTTATTGGGTGTACCCATCCCATCTCCTGTGGTGGAGAAAGGACAGTTCAAGAGAAATTCATTCTCAAGGCTTGACTCCTACTTAAACATCACAGGATACATTCCCTGGAAGGGGAAGGGTGCGTCTGTACTGGCTTCCTTAGAAACTTCAGAACAGAAAAGACGCCTCCTTTCCCTCCCCCTCCCCAATTCAAACAGGGGCTGGGAGAGAGGAAGAGATTATTGTTTCAGGGGGTGGGGGGTGTGGATGGACTGAGTGCTGAAACTTCCTTTTCTTCTGGCACAGCTCTATTTGTAGAAGTGCCAGAGTCCTGGGGAGAAAAGCAAGAGAGGGAGAAAAAGAACATTATTTGAGGGCATTTGGCTGCTCTTTTACACTCGAGATCAAACAGAGAAAATCCAGCGTCATGCCCTCCCCATCTTTCTGTCCCTAGCATGTAGATGTCCTGTGGTGTGTCTCACAAATGCACATGCACATGCATGCGAACACACACACAAACACGCACACACACCCTCGCACTGTTGAAACCAGAGCTGCTGGCTCCAGGGAGGGGAGTGAAGAAGCAGCTGTGGACAGGTATGGGTGGCCACATACCTGCCCTTCTGGGAGGTGACACTTCCATTACACCTCCACAGGTTTCATGTTGACCTCACCCTAGCTTTGGCCCAATGTTGTCAGGATGGGCAGAAGGATGGCAGAGCTCAGCTGGCCCAAAGCCAGCAAGCAAAGAGTTCTCAGCAGGCCCTTGAAGTGCCAGCAAATCAGTTCCCCCCAAGGACCAAATCTGGAGAAAACTCAGCTTAAAGCACAGCAGTAGCACACACTGGCTTCAGCAACACATATACTAAAATTGGAATGATACAGAGAGGATTAGTATGGCCCCTGCATAAGAATGATACGCAAATTGATGAAGCATTCCATATTTTTCAGTTTGTCAAGCATTTTATTCTTTTGAATAAAACCAACATGTCTATAACTTAACAAAAAAGCAGCATAGCAGCAGAGATTGGGCCTAGATCACTAGGTGAACTTCAGTGATGGCTGAGAGAAGCACCCTGGAGACTTCTTGAGGGTTGGGGGAAGCCCCCATCTTCCCTGAGGGATTTTCGGAAGGCAGGGTGCAGGCCCAGGATAAAGTTCCGGGTCTGGATTGCAGAAAGTGACCCTGGCAGCCCAAAACCTTTGGCATTGCTGAATCAGAAGGGATTTTGACTGGCCTCATGTCACCCCCAGTAGGCTGGGACTGGGGCTCTAATTGGCTGTAATTTGTTGATGAATGCAATTTGCAGCTGCCTTCTCTCTTTGTGACAGGCCTCAATTAGAGCCGCCAAAGGGATCTAGGGTGGGAGGGGGAGCTGGGATGTTGATTCCAACTCCTTCCCCTGGTCCGCTCTCAGCACTCTGCCCCATCCTGAAGCAAGAGGAGGTTCTTGAGGCTAGTTAATTGTCCCCCAGCTTGGCCGGGGAATGGTGGCTCACGCCTGTAATCCCAGCACTTTGGGAGGCCGAGGTGGGTGGATCACGAGGTTAGGAGATTGAGACCATCCTGGCTAACACGGTGAAACCCCATCTCTACTAAAAATACAAAAAATTAGCTGGGCATGGTGGCGGGCGCCTGTAGTCCCAGCTGCTTGGGAGGCTGAGGCAGGAGAATGGTGTGAACCCGGGAGGCGGAGCTTGCAGTGAGCCGAGATCACGCCACTGCACTCCAAGCCCAGGCGACAGAGCGAGACACCGTCTAAAAAAAAAACTTGTCACCCCACTTACAGTCAGTGATATAATTTTAGAACAAGTGGAGAGTGAGAAAGGTATAAAATGAAGGCTGCCTTCCTGCAGGTTGGTCTGGATGTTATGGATTTTAAAACTTGACCACGTTTCATGTTTAGTACTTTCTTATTTATTTTAGAGCTTCTGAAAATTCTATAGAAAGGAAGACTTTTGAGCTAAAATGTTTATTTCTATCTTATAGTCCTTTCTCCCTCTTACCAGATAAAGCAAAAAAAATAGAAATCAGAATGATGGGGCCGGGCGCGGTGGCTCACGCCTGTAATCCCAGCACTTTGGGAGGCCGAGGTGGGTGGATCACCTGAGGTTAGGAGTTCGAGACCAGCATGACCAACATGGAGAAACCCCATCTCTACTAAAAATACAAAATTAGCTGGGCGTGGTGGTGCATGCCTGTAATCCCAGCTACTGTGGAGGCTGAGGCAGGAGAATCACTTGAGCCCGGGAGGTGGAAGTTACAGTGAGCCAAGATCATGCCACTGCACTCCAGCCTGGGCAACAAGAACGAAATCCCATCTCAAAAAAAAAAAAAAAAGGGTAACGGGCCAGGTGCAATGGCTCACGCCTATAATGCCAGCACTTTGGGAGGCCAAGGTGGGTGGATCACTTGAGGCCAGGAGTGGGAGACCAGCATGGCCAACATGGTGAAACCCTGTCTCTACCAAAAATACAAAAAAGTTAGCCGGGTGTGATCTCAGCTACTTGGGAGGCTGAGGCAGGTGTATCACTTGAACCTGGGAGGTGGAGGTTGCAGTGAGCTGAGATTGCACCACTGCACTCCAGCCTGGGCAACAAAGTGAGATTCCATCTCAAAACAAACAAACAAACATCTAACCTGGAAGCTCAATGTGTAAAACACGACACAACTGATCCAGTTAAAGTGGAACTGGGGGCTCTGAGCCCCATTGGACTGGCCTCCTCCCTAAATCTTGCCTCTCCTACCCCTTGCCTTGGTGGCCTCCCTATGACAGCTATAAGGTTCAGTTAGATTGACCAACTCATCCCAGTTTGTCTGACTTTATTTATTTATATTTCTTCTGAGTGGCCAATGCAGCATACCAGTCCCAGCTGGCTCAATTTGTCTAGTTTTGGCACTGAAAGTCCTGCATCCTGAGAAATATCTGGAACCTGGGCAAACCAGGACAGTTTGTTGCCCTAGGTTCAACAGAGCATGGTTTGAAAACTAGTGATACAATCCCTCTGATCTACTGATGAAGATACTGAGCCCATAAGAGATGTGGTAGTTTGAAGTCCCATAGATAGATTATCATGCCCAGGAGTGACCTGCATTGGGGTGGTGAATATTGCTTCTCTGTCCCGTATCTCTGTGAGAAGTAAAACTGTCCATCGCCAAATCTCTCTTCTCCTTCAAGACCCCCTTTTATGAAGCCTTCCTTGGTTCTTCCAGAAAGAGTTGTGTTCTCTTTTCTAATTCTTCTTTTAGAGTACTTATCGGGTAGAGTTATTTTTAATCTTGGGTCTTTCCATTCAGACTGGAAGTTTCTTGGTTCCAAGTCCCATTTGTTTTCATATTCCTCAGCACCTAGTGCAGCGTCTGGCATAGAGTAGGCACTCAAAGATATTTTTAGATAGATGGATGGATGGATAGGTGGACAGTTGGATGGATTTGGAGGATAGGTGGATGAAGAGATGGATGGATAGATGAATGGATGGGTTGGAGAATGGATAGATGGAATGGATGGGTAGAGAAAATGACGGATGCATGGAAGGCTTGGTGCCTTGTTGAAGAGAGTGGCATGAAACAATTAGGAAGTTTCTAGGCAAGTTCTTCTTGCATCATTTCCCCGCTACTATGGCCATTTTCCCTGAATTCGATTTTTGGAATATCTAATGTACGTACATTCAGATGCAAGGACCAAAACAACTTCCCAAGCCAATTAGAAGTCACTTAAATGTGTCATTTTTGGATTATTTGTGCCATTGCTTTCCTCTACAGAAAGTTATGGTTTAGCTACACAAATACAATATTTGATGAGAATACCTCAAATAGGCAGCTGATGGCAATGACGAAGACTGTCTGAAAATAAAACAGCTTGAAAATATCTGACAGTGGAGAGTGTAGGAGGCAGGGACAGAGAGTAAGCCACTGGTGCAAATAGCGAGCAAGGCGATCAGGACTTGAGGACTGGAAAGGCAAGAATTATGAAAGGAGGATTCAAGACACACATTAGAAGGACTTCCCAATTATGTTTGGAAGCAAAACATTAGACTAAATGATTATTTGTGATTTTTAAAAATTTTATTTTTGAGACAGGGTCTCATTATGTCGCCTATGCTGGAGTGCAGTGGTGTGATTATAGCTCACTGCAGCCTTGATCTCCCAGGCTCAAGTGATCCACTCACCTCAGCCTCCTGAGCAACTGGGACTACAGGTGTACACCACCATGCCCAGCTATTTAAAGGAATTTTTTTTTTTTTGGCCGGGCGTGGTGGCTCATGCCTGTAATCCCAGCACTTTGGGAGGCCGAGGTGGGCGGATCACAAGGTCAGGAGATTGAGACCATCCTGGCTAACACAATGAAACCCCATCTCTACTAAAAATACAAAAATTAGCCGGGCGTGGCGGCATGTGCCTGTAGTCCCAGCTGCTGGGGAGGCTGAGGCAGGAGAATGGCGTGAACCTGGGAGGCGGAGCTTGCAGTGAGCAGAGATCGCACCATTGCACTCCAGCCTGGGCGACAGAGCGAGACTCTGTCTCAATAAATAAATAAACAAATAAATAAATAAAAGAGTTTTTTAGTAGAGATGAGGCCTTGCTATGTTGCTCAGGCTGGTCTTGAGCTCCTGAGCTCAAGTGATCCTACTGCCTTGGTCTTCCAAGGTGCTGGTACTACAGGCATGAGCCAATGCACCCAGCCTATTCATGATTCTTGACCTACTCTCTCTCAAGTAAAATTTATTGAGCATCCATTCTGACCCATGTATCAGGCTAAGCACTTTCACTTGTATTATCTCAGCCCATCATGCCTGGGGACAGGAAGATGGAGTTCACACACTCTTGATGTGCACATTTTTCTTAGACGATCTCCTCCACACCCGTGCTTTTAACCACAGAAGCTACTTTGACTCTCTGGTCCAGCTCTCCTCTTGCCCCACACCTTTCCTTTACCCTGCTGCTGACTCTCTCCCACTAGATGTCTGCAGATGCCTCCAACTGAAGGGACTCCACACAGGACTCATCTGTTTTCCCACTAAACCTTCTCCTCTGCCCAGATTCCCCATCTCTACTCATGGCACTCTCACCTGACCCACTCAACACCCAAGTCAGAACATGGGCATCAGCTCCTTTTCCCTGCCTGTGCCCCCCATGCTGGTCACCATGTCCAGTAATTCTACTTCTTAAATGCCTCGCAGATCTGTGTTTTCCTTTTCCTTCCAATGGGAGCTGCCCTAAATTCAGGTCCTCACCATTTCTCACTGGGTTACTTCCCTAGCTTCCTTTTGCTCCCTTTCTCCCCCATCTCATATTCTGGGAATCCATTCTTTACTTAGTTGCCAGACTCATTTTCCAAAATGCAAATCTGATCAGTCACACACCCTCCAAGCCTTTTGATGATACTCTAGCTGTTTTTAAAATAACATCCAAAATCCTTAGCTTCTCTGACAAGAGCCTTAACCCCTCACTCTGCCACACCAAATCCCAGTACTTGCTGGCCTATGCACTTTCATCCCCATGCCTTTTCACAGGCTACTTCTGCTGCCTAGGAATGCCTTTCCTCCCATTTATACCAATCTAATTCCTCCTCATTCCTCACGATTCAGTGTGTTAGATGTCACCTCCTCCAGGCAGACTCTCTGACTGCCCCTCTGCTCCTGAGTCTGAGTGAGCTCCCCCTCCTCTGGCCTCTCACTGTGTCCAGTGCTTGTCTCTTCTTTAGTACTGATTACGCTGTATTACAGTTGCCTGTTTCCTTGTGTGTCTCTCCCACTCAAATGTGAGATATTCCAGGACAGGTGTGCTGTCTTTCACATCTGCATTCCTTGCGCTGCATGTTTTGCCTGGCATGTAGTGTGCCCAGTAAATGTTTGTTGAGTGAATGTATGGCTGGTAGTTCTCTATAATCTACGGGCCTTTGATCTCATTCTCTCTCATAGGACAGTCAATTCAGTACAGTTTAAGATAGGACTCAAGATGTGCTGTGGAAATCAGTACATTTTTCTCTCTCTCCTTCCCTCATCTCTCTCAGAATTCGCCGGTGGCCACACCCTTGGCACAGACACAGGCAGCTCAGTCTGCAGAACGTCAGCTGGCAGCGAGCAGCCCTTCCCTTCCTCCCTGGCTCTGTCTTCGCGCTCAGCACAAATCGTTTTTCCTTTTTGGGTGTTCAGAGCTCTGATAGCAGAGGGCTGGGTGGGAGTGTGGCAGAGCGGGCTGTCTGCAGGGAGGCAGAAAAGCGGGGTGTGGGAGAGCCAAGATGTGGGTGGAAGCATTGCTATGTAGGCCCTTTTAGAGGGAGAAAGAAAATTTAGCTCCTCTTTGGGGCTGCCTGGGGCACAGCAGCTGAGATGTGCTTGTCCCCTTTTGCTCTCCGGGGGTTGGGATAACCCTGTTGATATTTAGCCTCCTTCTGAGCATTGGCAAGCCTTCTGAGAGAGAGAGGCAATGAGAGAGGGAGAGATTATGGATTTTCAAAACTGGCCCAGTACATTCCCTTGATACCAAGCCACTGGGCAGAATCTTGGGGGTCAAGCTATTGCTGTTTCCTTGTTTTGGAGAACATAGGAAAAGATAATCTGCCACATACCTCATTCATTCATTCAGTACCTGGGTGATGCCAGACACTGGGGACACAGATGAATAAGGCCCAGTGCTCCTCCTGGGGCTCACAGTATACGGGGCATGGGCTTGTAAGGAGATGTGTTACAAGTGGGCTGGGATGGTTGTGAGAGGAAAGGCTTGGCAGGCTTGGAGGAGAACAGGTCACTCCGTCCATGGAAAGAAGGTGATGTTGGGGCTCTGGGAGTGATTTCTGTACGGTCTTGTACTTACAACTACCTCCAACATCAGTTCCTGAGAGGAGACTCTGTTTAACTCTTCATAAAGACAGCAGCAGCAGCCATGGTAGAGAATATGGAATTTGGAGAAGACAATGTGATTTCAGACCCTGGCTTACCACCTCATTCATTCATTCAGTAAATGCCTGGATCTGCTGTGAACAATTGACATCAGTTCTCTGAGCCTCAGTTTTGTCATCTATATAATTGGGATAGTGGTGACACTCACCTCACCATTCTGTTGGGAGGATTACATGAGCTCGTTTATGTGATAATGCTTTGTAAACTGGAAAGTGCTGTGCAAATATGAGCTGCTAATTACCCTTCCATCTATCCACTGATTCAGTCAACAAATAACTATCAAGTGCCCTCTTCTAAAGGCCTGACAAGGCCCTTTTTGAGGCAGGAGCCTGTTTCTTGCATGTGCGCGTGTGTGTGTGTGGGGAGGGGGTTGCTGTGTGTGACCATAGCGCGTCTTCATTAAGCGGCAACCATCTGCTCTGTCTGAAGGGAAGTCCTAGTTTCCCCAGCTCTCAGCCCTCGTCCCCACTGCAGGCGGGCAGGGACACGTTCTGCAGTCTCCCCGCTGAGGGTTGCTGCTGCACACAGGAGGCCGGCAGGGCGTGTGAATCACCAGCCTTAGTCACCACTCTGCCTACAGGGCTTGTCTTCCCTACCAGATGATGAGCCCAAAATAAAAATACGGCTGAAGAGCGAGTTAGCATTCCAGGCTGTCTCTGAGAGGCATCTGAGCCACCAGGAAAGGAGCTGAATGCATTATTTTGCACTTCTCCCAGCCCCCAAAACTCACATCAGGAGCATCCTGGGTAACCTCAGAGCTGAGGGGCAGCAGAGAGAGGGACGCCGGGCTTGGTGGTGAGGGTAGGAGACTGAGGGTGGCTTTCCGCACAGTCACCGTCTCAGCAGGTCCTGTCCAGCCACATTATCAGCTCTAACTTGTGCACAGTGCTTTGTGGCTTACAAAGTGCTTTGATACACTTTCTCTCATTTGATGCTCATGAGAACTTTGTGAGGGAGTTACTGGAAGGCAGAACAGCCTGGAGGTCCAGTGTGTGGCTTCTGGAGCCGAACCTGCCTGACTTTGAATCTGTTTTTGTTGCCTACTGGCTGTGGGACTTTGAGCAAAATCCCTTAGCCTGTTTTTTTGTTTTGTTTTGTTTTGTTTTTTTGAGACAGAGTCTCGCTGTCTCCCAGGCTGGAGTGCAGTGGCGCGATCTTGGCTTACTGCAAGCTCCGCCCCCTGGGTTCACGCCATTCTCCCGCCTCAGCCTCCTGAGTAGCTGGGACTACAGGCGCCCACCACCACCGGCCGGCTAATTTTTTGTATTTTCGGTACAGATGGGGTTTCACTGTGTTAGCCAGGATAGTCTCGACCTCCTGACCTCGTGATCCGCCCGCCTCAGCCTCACAGTGCTGGGATTACAGGCGTGAGCCACTGCGCTGGCCTAATAATAGTGGTGGTGTTTTTTTTTGTTTGTTTGTTTGTTTGTTTGTTTGTTTGTTTGTTTGAGACAGAAAATCTTGCTCTTTCACCAGGCTGGAGTGCAGTGAGGCGATCTCGGCTCACTGAAAACTTCTGCCTCTTGGGTTCAAGCGATTCTCCTGCCTCAGCCTTCCAAGTAGATAGGACTACAGGCACACACCACCACACCCAGCTAATTTTTTTTGTATTTTTAGTAGAGACAGGGGTTTCACCGTATTGGACAGGATGGTCTTGATCTCTTGACCTCGTGATCCACCCGCCTCAGCCTCCCAAAGTGTTGGGATTACAGGCGTGAGCCACCCGCCTGGCCAGTAATTATTTTTGTAGAGATGGAGTCTCACTACATTGTCCAGACTGGTCTTGAACTTTTGGCCTCAAGCCATCCTGCTGCCTCAGCCTCCCAAGTAGCTGGGATTACAGGCGCCCGTCACTGCGCCTGCCTAGTTTTTGTATTTTTGATAGAGACGGAGTTTCACCATCTTCGCCAGGCTGGTCTCAAACTCCTGACCTCGTGATCTACCTGCCTCAGCCTCCCAACGTCCTGGGATTACAGGCATGAGCTACTGTGCCTGGCCCAGTTTTCTCATTTTCAAAATGGAGGTACTGGCTGGGCACGGTGGCCCATGTCTGTAATCCCAACAATTTGGGAGGCCAAGGCAGGCAGATCAGCTGAAGTCAGGGGTTCAAGACCAGCCTGGTTAACATGGTGAAACCTCGTCTCTAATGCAAAAAATTAGCTTGGCATGGTGGTGTGCACCTGTAATCCCAGCTACCTGGGAGGCTGAGGCAAGAGAATCGCCTGAACCCAGAGGGCAGAGGTTGCAGTGAGCCACTACACTCCAGCCTGGGTGACAGAGTGAGACTCCGTCTCAAAAAAGTAAATAAGTAAATACATAAAATGGACATACTAATAGTACAGTTTTTGTTTTGTTTTGTTTTTGTTTTTATTTTTTGAGACAGAGTCTCACTCTGTTGCCCAGGCTGGAATGCAATGGCACCATGTCGGCTCACTGCAAACTCCGTCTCCTGGGTTCGAGCAATTCTCCTGCTTTAGCCTCCCAAGTAGCTGGGGTTACAGGTGCCCGCCACCACGCCTGGCTAATTTTATATTTTTAGTAGAGACAGGGTTTCACCATGTTGGCCAGGCTGGTCTCAAACTCCTGACCCCGTGATCCACCCACCTCGGCCTCCCAAAGTGCTGGGATTACAGGCGTGAGCCACCATGCCTGGCCAATAGTACAGTTTTTATAAGGTTAATATTTTTTAATCTGTTTATTATCTCCCCAAATTAGAGCAAAAGCTATAATAAAGAGGGATCTTTGTTTTTTAAGACACTGCCCGACACAGGGAGGTTTGCAATAAATATTTGTGCAATGAATGAATAAGAGGCTTAGAACAATGCCAGGCACATAGTAGACACTATGTGTGCTAGCTATTATTATAGGATTTTTTCCATTTGGGCAATGTAGAAACTGAAGTTTAGAGAATTTAAGTGAATTGCCTGAAGTCACAAAGCTAAGATGTGGCAGATTTGGAGCTTTAAATAAAGCTGCTACTCTAAAATAAGGGCCCCTCCTCCCACACTGTGACTACCCCAGTTCCTCCTCTTCTTTCCTTTCTTTAATCTCTTTCCTTACCTTCCCCAGATACTCATTAAAATTGAGCAACAGAGTTAATCCACTTCCTTGTCTGCAGTATAGAAAGCTGTAGAACTGGCCTGGCGCGGTGGCTCATGCCAGTAATCCCAGCACTTTGGGAGGCCGAGGCAGGTGGATCACGAGGTCAGGAGTTCGAGACCAACCTGGCCAAGATGGTGAACCCCTGTCTCTACTAAAAATACAAAAATTAGCTGGGTGTGGTGGCAGGTGCCTGTAATTCCAGCTACTTGGGAGGCTGAGGCAGGACAATTGCTTGAACCCAGGAGGCGGAGGTTGCAGTGAGCCGAGATCATGCCACTGCACTCCAGCCTGGGCGACAGAGCAAGACTCCATCTCAAAAAAAAAAAAAAAAAAAGAAAGAAAGCTATAGAACTTTCAGCAAGTCACATAACTTCTGTGTAGCACAGTTTCTCCATCTGTGAAATGGACGTCATAATATAACCCACCTCACAATTCCACTTTTGTGAATATTAAGTGATAGTTAATATATGTAGTGATGAACACATAGTAATAGCTCAATACACAAAATTTTTTTTTTTTTTTTTTGAGACGGAGTCTCACTCTCTCCCAGGCTGGAGTGCAGTGGCGCGATTTCGGTCCACTGCAAGCTCCGCCTCCCAGGTTCATGCCATTCTTCTGCCTCAGCCTCCCAGGTAGCTGGGACTACAGGCGCCCACACCACGCCCGGCTAATTTTTTTTGTATGTTTTAGTGGAGACGGGGTTTCACCGTGTTAGCCAGGATGGTCTCAATCTCCTGACCTCGTGATCCGCCCACCTTGGCCTCCCAAAGTGCTGGGATTACAGGCGTGAGCCACCGCGCCCGGCCACAAAAGCTATTAATCATCATCTTTTGGGGACCACTAGAACATATCCAAGATTTAGATTCATAGAATGTTAGAGTTGGAAGAGATCTTACAGAATATGATCCAATTTTAAAATTGGATCACATATGAGAAATAAAAATTTTCACATATGAGAAAATAAAAACCCAGAATCATTTGACTTGCCCAAGAATACAATACTTGAGTTGGGTGCGGTGGCTCATGCTTGTAATCCGAGCACTTTGGGAGGCTGAGATGGGTGGATCACCTGAGGTCAGGAGTTTGAGACCAGCCTGGCCAATGTAGTGAAACCGCATCTCTACTAAAAATACAAAAAATTAGCTGGGCGTGGTGGCAGGTGCCTGTAATCCCAGCTAATAGAGAGGCTGAGGCAGGAGAATTGCTTGAACCAGGGAGGTGGAGGTTGCAGTGAGCCTAGATTGCACCATTGCACTCCAGCCTGGGCAACAAGAGCAAATATCCATCTCAAAAAAAAAAAAAAGAGAGAAGAATACAATACCTATTTTTAAAAATTTATCACCTAGGAGAAACTGGGTAAAGTGTTACAGGCACTCTGTCTACTATCTTTACAACTCTTTTGTAAACCTAAAATTATTTCAACATAAACATAACAACAATAGCTGCTGCAACTATTCCTAAAAAAAAAAATCATGTAAATTATAGGGCAGAGAGAAGAAGACAGTGTGTGGGGGGTGGGGAGGTGTTTAGGAATATTTTTCTCCAATTACCTTGTTCCTTCCCAAAAGAGATATTGACCTATATTCTAGTACACTTTATCCTGTCTTCTGCTATAGCCAACCTGTTGAACTCATCCATTTATTTTTTTCTTTCTTTTCTTTTTCTTTTTTTTTTTTGAGATGGAGTTTCGCTCTTTCTCTCAGGCTGGAGTGCAGTGGCACAATCTCAGCTCACTGCAACCTCCGCCTCCTGGGTTCAAGTGATTCTCATGCCTCAGTAGCTGGGATTACAGGCACCCGCCACCATGCCCGGCTAATTTTTATATTTTTAGTAGAGACGGGGTTTCACCATGTTGGCCAGGCTGGTCTTGAACACCTGACTTCAGGTGATCAGCCCACCTCAGCCTCCCAAAGTGCTGGGCTTACAGGCATGAGCCATGGCGCCCAGCCTTATCCATTGATTTCTTAATTTCAGATACCCTATTTTTCAGTGTACATTTGTGGATTTTTTTGTTATCAAAAAACCATTTTTTTTTAGATTCTAATTCTCTGTTGAAATTCTCCATATTATGTGCATCTTTTCCTCTATTTTCTGAATATATTAATGATAATTATTTAGAAGTCCTTGTCGTCTAACTCTGATGTCTATATCATCTGTGGATCCACATCTTATGTTTTCTATTTATCAGTCATATATTTTTGTCTTTTCACATTGCGATTTTTGACTGAATGTTGGTAAAATACACACAAAAGCACTATTGAGGCTCCATAAAATATTTATTTTCCACCAGAGACAGTTTACACAGTCCTCTGCAAGACACAAAGTGTGGTTAATCCCCTCAATCCAGTCAGGAACTCCTATGAGTCCAGGCTGTATTACATATTTGGTGAGGTTCAGTTCATCTCTGTTTGAGTCCATTCCTAGGTTGTGACCCTACTCAGCTTACGGTTGAGGGCATGGCCGACTGTGTCCTCAACACCAAGAGAAGCATAAGAATTTCCACTCTGCTTTTCAGAGACTTGTCAGTTTCTCTCTTTAGTTTTCCTCCCTGCATAGCTTCAGACTTCAGCAGATGTTATGAGAGGGAATCTGGCTACCTATTTAAGACCCCTGGATGGGTCTTGGTGGTTCATGCCTGTAATCCCAGCACTTTGGGAGGCTGAGGTGGGAGGATCACTTGAGCCCAGGAGTTCAAGACCAGCTGGGCAACATAGTGAGATTCTGTCTCTAAAAAAAATTTTTTTTTAATTAGCTGGTTGTGGTGGCACCAGCTGGTAGTCCTAGCACTTTGGAAGGCTGAAGTGAGAGGATCGCTTGAACCCAGGAGTTCGAGACCAGCCTGGGCAACAAAGCGAAACCCTGTCTCTACAAAAAGTAAAAATAATTAGCCAGGTGTGGTGATGCATGCCTATGGGACCCAGCCACTCGAGAGGCTAAGGTGGGAGGATCGCTTGAGCCCAGGACTTCAAAGTTGCACTGAGCTATAATCAAGCCACTGCACTCCAGCTGGGGTGAAAGAATGAGACCCTATTTCTTAGGAAAAAAAAAAAGAGAGAGAGAGAGAAAGAAAGAGTGAGAGAAAGAGACCCTTCAAGTATCCCATTTTGTGTTTCCAGTCCCCGTGTGACCGTCAGAAGCTCTGCTGGCTTCTCTGCCTAGCAGCAATGCCTTCTGTGTAGGACAAACCCAGATTATCAATCTCGAGTCTTATCTAGAGTTAGAAAATGCTCCTGGGGAAAAGGAGCTGCAGATCTTCATTCATCTCGGAAAGGTGAACCCTTCCCTGTAATGTCAGTCTCTCTTATGAACTTCTGCAGCTCTCTGATGCTTTCATAAATATCATTTTTGCAGTTTACCTGGCTTTTTTAGATGTTCCCAGAAGAACTATTGGCTTGCTGTGAACTATTTTGTCCTATTCAGAAATACTCTCAAGATATATTCTGATGGATTGAATATATTATCATAGGTTTTGTTGGAACAAAATCTCTTGAGAAATCATTTTTTCCTTTATCTCTTCCTCTTCCCCCCACCCCCAGCCCTCTAGATGTGGGTATAGAGAAAGAAGCACCTTGGGTCAATTCCAGATCTCCTGCTCACCTAGTGTATGGGATTAGAGCATTTATTTAAACTCTCTGCCTCTCAGTTTGATCTGAAAATGAGGATCCTGTGAAAATTAAGTGAGGTAACACTGTATGGCACCCAGCACGAAGGCTGGCACATGGATTTTAATGCCTTTCACCTCTTTCTTCTCTCTCCTCTCCCCACAGCTGATTTGAGCAAGCTTCCTCTTAGTGGCTGGGAGAGTTTTCCCACAAAGGGATCAAAGCTAAGTGGTTTAGTGCTGGACGCGGTGGCTCATGCCTGTAATCCCTGCATTTTGGGAAGCCGAGGCAGGAGGATTACCTGAGGTCAGGAGTTTGAGACCAGCCTGGTCTACATGGCGAAACCCCATCTCTACTAAAAATACAAAAATTAGCCGGGCGTGGTGGCGGGCACCTGTAATCCCAGCTACTGGGGAGGCTGAAGCAGGAGAATCGCTTGAGCCTGGGAGGCAGAGGTTGCAGTGAGCCCAGATGGTGCCACTGCACTCCAGCCTAGGCGACAAAGAGAAATGGTCTCTCAAAAAAAAAAAAAAAAAGAAAAGAAAATGCTTAGCGGTTTTGTTTGTTTGTTTCGTTTCACTTTTGAGCCGGAGTCTCACTCTGCTCGATCTCGGCTCACTGCAACCTCCACTTCCTGGGTTCAAGCGATTCTCCTGCCTTAGCCTCCCGAGTAGTTGGGACTATAGGCGTATGCCACCACGCCTGGCTAATTTTTTAAAAATTTTCAGTAGAGATGGGGTTTCACCATGTTGGCCAGGCTGGTCTCGAGCTCTCCCTTGGCCTCCCAAAGTGCTGGGATTACAGGCGTGAGCCACCGCACCTGGCCAGCTTAGTGGTTTAAAGGTAGTTTCTCTACTGATGACTAGAAAGGTGGTCAATGTGTCCAGTCTTAGGGGTAAAAGGAGATAAAGCAAGGTCTTTACTCACAGCATGTGGCCCTTGGAAATGACAACTTCAGGATATGGAGAGGCTAAGAGTAATTTAGAAGCGGTAATGGAGCTTCCCAGGGCCAGGCGGGGTCCACGCTCATAGCTATCTGGAGGTGGAAGACACTCATGGGACAGAGCTACTCAAATCTGTCACTCTTCAGTCGCTTTCCTCAGCCCCCTAGACAAGGCACTTAGACGCACGGTTTCATTTAAACTCTAAGCAGAAGCAGTGGTGTGCTGGACTTAGCTCAAACCATCTTGGATATTGAGAGCTGAATGTTGAATTTTCAGGAATTTTATGAGCTGGTTGACTTCATGTTGGTAACTTAAAATCTGCGATGGTGAGCTGGGTGCTGTGGCACGCACCTGTAATCCCAGCTACTCAGGAGGCTGAGGTGGGAGGATCACTTGAGCCCAGGAGTTCAAGACTAGCCTGGGCAACATGGTGAGACCCCCATCTCAAAAAAAAAAAAAAAAAAAAAAAGCTGCCATGGTGGGAATATTTATATGATGGAAACCAATGAACACTACAAAGAAAGGATTTGCGTTTCTTCTGGAGAGCCAGTTGTTAAATATTTACTAGCAAACCACTGAACATAAGTGTTTTTACCAATTTACAGTTGAGTAAACTGAGGCTTTGAGACCCAAGTTCTCTCAGAGCATAAGTAAGTGGCACAGCCAGTATTAAAATCTGGCTCTATTTTTCATTTATTTATTATTTACTTCTTTCTTTCTTTCTTTATTTTTTGAGATGGAGTCTCTCTCTGTCTCCCAGGCTAGAGTGCAGTGGCGCGATCTCGGCTCACTGCAACCTCCACCTCCCGGGTTCAAGTGATTCTCCTGCCTCAGCCTCCCAAGTAGCTGGGACTATAGGCGCCCGCCACCATATCTGCCTAATTTTTTGTATTTTTAGTAGAGACAGGGTTTCGCCATGTTGGCCAGGCTGGTCTTGACCTCCTGACCTCAGGTGATCCACCCACCTCGGCCTCCCAAAGTGCTGGGATTACAGGCGTGAGCCACCACGCCCGGCCCATTATTTTTGTTCTCAGGATGGTCATATATAACCCCAGGATAGGAAGAAATAAAAATGCTGTACTTCCCTTCCCACCCCCACTCCCTGCCCCAGTGTGAGTATCCAAAGAATATCAGAATCTCACTTCTGCTCACTGTGATCCTCACCGTGATCCCTGGCCCAAGCGGTCTTCCCTTAATCATCCCCATTCTACAGACTGGGAGGAAGCCCCATAAGGTTCAGTGACTCCCAGCCCCGGGCTCACACATTAGTGCCAGGACTCATTAGAGGCCTCTCCACCTGAATCCAGAAACCCTTGGCCATGCTCCAGCTAGCTGCCTGATAAAGGAGCAGAATTCTCGATTCAGGTTCAGGTTCAGCAACCATGCACATTTCCTTTCCTTTTCCCTTCAGGTGACAGGAAGCCATTGCTGGTCCTCAGGCAGGCTCTGTTCATTGCTGCCACAGCCTAAACTGCAAACATGGCATATCTGGGTGCCGCTGGGAAGCAACTCATTGAGGAGAGTGTGGCAGATGCTGCTGAGAGGCTAGGAATGTAGAGTAAGGTATCAGCAGGAGCCTGGGCAACATAGGGGGACCCCGTCTCTGCAAAAAATAAAAATACAAAAATTAGTCACGTGTGGTGGTGCATGCCTGTAGTCCCAGCTACTCAGAAGGCTGAGGCAGGAAGATTGCTTGAGCTACAAAGGTCAAGGCTGCAGTGAGTTGTGTTCGAGCCACTGCACTTCAGCCTGGGCAACATAGCAAGGCCCTGGGTATGAATTCTGACTCCCCACCTTAGCTGGGGGAACTTGGACTAATCACTGTGATCCTTAGTTGTATAATTTATAAAATGGGGATATTAATCTCGTCAGGCGCGGTGGTTCATACCAATAATCTCATCACCTTGGCTGGAGGATTGCTTGAGTCCAGGAGTTTGAGACCCTCCCTGGCAAAATAGTGAGACCCTGTTTCTACAAAAAATAAAAAACTAGCCAGGGTGTGGCGGTGTGTGCCTGTATTCTTAGCTACTTGGGAGGCTGAGATGGGAGGAACACTTGAACCCAGGAGGTTGAGGCTGCAGTGAGCCATGATTGCACCACTGCACTCCAGCCTGGGTGACAGAGATCCTGTCTCAAAAAAAAAAAAAAAAAAAGAAAGAAAGAAAATGAGAAAATGAAAAAGAGAAAACCTGAAGATTAACTGAGCCAACATGCAGCACCAGGGCTGGTGGACAATCAGTGCCCAATAATTAGTAGATTGGGGGCACACCAAAGGGATGTTTTGGACAAATGTTAAATCAATATTTGGCTGAGGCTGAAGAAAAATATCATTACCACATAATAAAATTCTCAGCTGGGCACGGTGGCTAATGCCTGTAATCCCAGCACTTTGGGAGGCCAAGGTGGGCAGATCACTTGAGGTAAGGAGTTCGAGACCAGCCTGGTCAACATAGTGAAAGCCCACTTCTACTAATAATACAAAAATTAGCCAAGTGCAATGGTGCACGCCTATAATCCCAGCTACTGAGGAGGTTGAGGCATGAGAATCACTTGAACCCGGGACGTGGAGGTTGCAGTGAGCCGAGATCTCACCACTGCACTCTGGTGGCAGAATGAAACTGTGTCTCAAAAAAATAAAATAAAATAAAATAAAATTCTCAGAGTCAAGAATAAATCTTATATTTTATTAAAGATTTAGTTACTGCTGCAAGTTTATTATTTAAAAAATTTAGTAGTCATATCTCTAAAGCTTGTCCTAATGCAGAAATAATACTTTCTCAGCACATTCAGCACCTGAATTGTTCCTTCGGTCACTACTTGGCACATTTAGGTTATAAGTAGAAGTTCACTTTCTATTATTATTATTATTGTTATTATTATTTTATTAGTTTTTGAGATGGAGTCTCACTCTTGTCACCCAGGCTGGAGTGCAGTGGCACAATCTCAGCTCACTGCAATCTTCACCTTCTGGGTTCAAGCGATTCTCCTGCCTCAGCCTCTGCGCCTGGCTAATTTTTGTATTTTTTGTAGAGACTGCGTTTCGCCATGTTGGCCAGGCTGTTCTTGAACTCCTGACCTCAAGTGATCTGCCTGCCTTGGCCTCCTAAAGTGCTGGGATTACAGGCATGAGCCACCATGCCCAGCTGATAAGTAGAAGTTCACTTTCATCTGGGGTTAATGGAGGGTCAAAACGTTTTTTGGATATCTCACTTATCTGACATTTTCTTCTTTCTTTTCTTTTTTTTTTTAGAGGGAGTCTCACTCTGTCACCCAGGCTGGAGTGCAGTGGAGCAATCTCGGCTCACTGCAAGCTCCACCTCCCGGGTTCACGCCATTCTCCTGCCTCAGCCTCCCGAGTAGCTGAGACTACAGGCACCCGCCACCACGCCGGCTAATTTTTTGTATTTTTAGTAGAGATGGGGTTTCCCTGTGTTAGCCAGCATGGTCTGGATCTGACCTCGTTATCTGCCCGCCTCGGCCTCCCAAAGTGCTGGGATTACAGGCATGAGTCACTGTGCCTGGCCTCTTTATTTTCTTTATTGCAATTGGATTGAATGAAACCCGTCATGAATGTTGTGTATGTTTTTTCTCTTCCTGAAATTTTGAAGTGACAATGTTGACATTTGCTTTTGGTGCAACTTCACAAGATATGGAAATTCTCAGATAGTCTTTTTTGAAAGACTCATGGACTAAATAACTAAGGATTACAACACTCAAAGTTTATTTTGCTTAAGGTTATAAAGGCTAGTTCACCAAACAATTCTACTAAGACTAGAATTATGATATGGTAACTATTATTTTGTCTTATATTATCGTTTAAATTTTCATAAATGTTTCATGGCCTAAAAAGGCTGTAATATTTTCCCTAAGGTTTCTAGCTCAGAGTCATTCAGTGTGGGTCCTCAGGCTAGTAGCATTACCAAAACACTGGAGTTTGTTAGAAAGACAAATTCTTGGGCCAGTCCAGAGACCCATTGAATGAGAACATTTGGAAGACAGGTTCCTGGAATCTGTATTTTAATCAGCTCTCCAATGATTTTGAGTGTCCGTAAGTTTGAGAAGCACTGATCTAGCCAACACACACTCCTGATAATTGCATAGTTGTCCATCTACTTTTTATATCACCATTTGAAAGTTCCAAACTGTTTTGGTACATAGATCATCATTAAATATTACAGCATTTTAAATCTTGAGACAAACATTTCAACACATAGAGACACACGGAGATTTTTCACTTTTTTTTTTTTTTTTTTTGAGATGGAGTCTTGCTCTGTCGCCCAGGCTGGAGTGCAATGGCGCAAACTCGGCTCACTGCAACCTCTGCCTCCCAGGTTCAAGCGATTCTCCTGCCTCAGCCTCCCTAGTAGCTGGGATTACAGGCATGTGCCACCACACCTGGCTAATTTTGTATTTTTAGTAGAGACGGGGTTTCTCCATGTTGGTCAGGCTGGTCTCGAACTCCCGACCTCAGGTGATCCGCCCGCCTCAGCCTCCCAAAGTGCTGGGATTACAGGCATGAGCCACTGCGCCCGGCAGTTTGTTTTGTTTTTAGTCTGCAAAGTGGGAAATATAATCCCTGTTGTGGGACTCTACTGGCACCAAGTGGGAAGGGGATTCTCTGCCCTAATAGCTTCCCTGACAGAGGCAGGAAGGTCCCTAATGAATCTGTTTAAAGACATTTTGCTTGGTTTATTTCCTCTTCTCTCCCAGCCTATCAAGGTAATTGTGAATAACCCATGAAATACCAGATGTGAAGGTGCTTCATCATCCAAAGGGGACCGGGAGAAGGAGCCCAACTAGTTACCTTCCTACTGGAAGGCATGGTCCCACTGACACAGTTTCTGCTCACGAACACATGGTAGTTGCTGAAGAAATGTCCTTTGAAGAGTGTTTTGTGGCCTGAATGTGTTCTCTGCACCCTGCTTTCTCTCATTCTTTTATCCATTTGCTCATTTGTTCACATGGCCAGCATTCCTTGAGTACTGCTCTCTGCAAGTCCTTGTCTGGGCACTGGGCATAGAGTGGAGTGAACAAGGCAAACCAGGTTCTTGCTCTCAAGCAGTAAACAATCTGTGGGACAGAGAGAGTCCTGGAGGATTCCAGTGCTGTGTGATTGGTGTCAGGATAGAGGGACACACAGGGGGACTGTCGGATTGCAGAGTTCTCATATTGGTCCTTCTCAAGTATAAGGAGGATCTGCTAAGCATGGAATTTCCCAGCCCAACCTGAGATATATCCCTTTGCTCTCAAAGGTCCAGGGTAGACAGCAGATAGAGAAGCTCTAGGACGGTCCCAGGGGAGGAATCCCGACTGGGCACATTCTTACTGTAACCTTACTTCCCTGACCCTGCTGTCTCCCTGCAAGGCATCTGTAGCACCGGCCTTGCCATTTTAGCCTTCTCCAATTAGACATCACTCATGAAGGCAGGGAGACTTGGAGTGAAGCCTGGCCAATGGGTTATTTATTCTATCGTTTGAATCACAATACATCTCCAAGCTTACCCTTGATTTGGCTAATTCAAGAGATTAAAGCCCAGATGTGATGGGGGCTGTGCTGTCACAAAATGTCACAAACCCCTCATTTTGTGCCAGCTGATGAGAGACTAATTGCCCAGACGGTGAGAGAGCATGATTAGTCCTTCTTTTATGCCAAGCCCCGAGGGAGATGAGAATTAATCGTGCAGCCCGGTGGGAGGGGCTCTTCTGTCTCAATGCGCTCTCTCAAGCTGGCGAGAAGGTTCCCTGATGAATATGCAGTAGAGGAAGCTGATTTGTCTTCCTGCTTAGCTTCAGCCAGGTCCAGCAATAACTTCTGATTCTGGCAGGCTCTGTGTTCAACATGGCTCTTCCCTCCAAGTCTTCTCTCTCTGGCTGCATATTTTGTTTCCCCCCTTTTCCTGCATACTTCACTTCTTCACCTCCCACACATCCTTTTCAATATGTTTTTATGTTCTTGGCAACCCTTACCAAGGACAAGACTGACCTCCTACTCATCAAGACTAATGTTTACCAGGATGGTCCTCATCTATTTGACCTCTCTGTAATGTTTGAAGCTGTTGGCCACTTTTTCCTTCTGGAATCTCTTTCCTTGTCTTCTGGGAGTCCTTCCTCTCTCACTTTCCTAATCTTTTCTTCTCCATCTCCAACTTCCTCCCCCACCCTGAAAATGTTGACATGTTCCCAGTTCTCTGTTTCAGTTCTTTTCCTATTCTCTTTGCTCCCTCAGAGAGTGACACATGCTGTTGGTTGCCAATTCAACACTCATTCTCTCTTCTTTTTTTTTTTTTAAGATGGAGTTTTGCTCTTGATTCCCAGACTGGAGTGCAATGGCGCGATCTCGGCTCACTGCAACCTCTGCCTTCCAGGTTCAAATTATTCTCCTGCCTCAGCCTCCCAAGTAGTTGGGATTACAGGTATGTGCCGCCATGCTTGGCTAATTTTGTATTTTTAGTAGAGACGGGTTTCTCCATGTTGGTCAAAGTGGTCTCGAACTCCCGACCTCAGGTGATCCGCCCGCCTCAGCCTCCCAAAGTGCTAGGATTACACGTGTGAGCCACTGCACATGGCCTTTTTTTTTTTTTTTTAGACAAGTCTTGCTCTGTCACCCAGGCTGGAGTACACTGGGGCTATCTTGGCTCACAGCAACCTCTGCCTCCTGGGTTCAAGTGATTCTCCTGCCTCAGCCTCTCGAATAGCTGGGATTACAGGCGCAGGCCACCATGTTTGGCTAATTTTTGTATTTTTAGTAGAGACAGGGTTTCACCATGTTGGCCAGGCTGGTCTTGAACTCCTGACCTCAGGTTATCTGCCTGCCTTGGCTTCACAAAGTGCTGAGACTACAGGCAAGATACACCGCACCCAGCCATTCTCTCTTCTTGTTCAGGGAGGGTGACCCCTCCTCTGTGCCAAAGGATGAATCATGATTGGTTCAAACAATCATGGTAAATCATTTATCTTTGCCTATGATTTAAGAGTGGACACGTAGGCTGGGCACAGTGACTCACGCCTGTAATCCCCGTACTTTGGGAGGCTGTCGCGGCTGGATCATGAGGTCAGGTGTTTGAGACCAGCCTGGCCAACATAGTGAAACCCTGTCTCTACTAAAAATACAAAAATTAGCCGGGTGTGGTGACACGTGCCTGTAGTCCTCAGCTACTCGGGAGGCTGAGGCAGGAGAATCGCTTGAACCTGGGAGGCGATGCTTGCAGTGAGCTGAAATTCTGCCAGTGTACTCCAGCCTGGCTGACAGACTGAGACTCCGTCAAAAAAAAAAAAAAAATGATTAGACATGTGACATACTCCTTGCCAATGGAGCACAAACAGAAGTTTAGATGGGAGGCATTTCAGGAAACAAATGTGTGGGGAGAAGCTGCCTTTTATACCTTTAAACAAGATTTGAGGACATGGTGCCTGAAGCTGTAGAATCCATCTGCAGCTGAGCCTGGGGAGAAGTTGAACAGAGTCAGTCACAGTGATGCTGTCCTGAGCTTTGAGGTAGTTAAGCCAGTAAGTGAATCAATCCTGGACTGAACCTGCTATTCTCATTTTTGAGTTGCTATGAGTTGGGTTTTCTGCTACCTGCAGCTGAAAGCATTCCCAATGGTACATAGGGAGATACTAACATCTCCCATGACTTTGACTACCAGCTCTGCACTGTTGCTGCCAAAGTTTATGAGTTTAATTCAGATCTCTTACTTGTAGCATCATAGATGTCTTCACATGAATATCCCTCACACTTAAGATCTAAACAAAACCCCATCTGTATATCCTCTTATTCTCAGGCCAAGTCAACTGGCTTTCCATCATCCTGCAGTAATTTGTTCATACCTCTGTTAGAGCATTTGTCCCATGAGTTTGTTTGTTTAACTGTGTCTGTCTTCCCCTTTAGAATATAAATTCTCCTTTAGAACCTTTTTTTTTTTTTTTTGACAGAGTCTTGCTCTTGATCTGTCACCAGGCTGGAGTGCAGTGGCGCAATCTCGGCTCACTGCAACCTCCACCTCCTGGGTTCAAGCGATTCTACCACCTCAGCCTCCCAAGTAGCTGGGACTACAGGCGCCCAGCACCACATCCAGCTAATTTTTGTATTTTTAGTAGAGATGGGGTTTCACTATGTTGGCCAGGCTGGTTTGAATTTCCTGACCTCATGATCCGCCCACCTCGGCCTCCCAAAGTGCTGGAATTACAGGCATAAGCCACTGTGCCCAGCCTAGAACCTTATCACATCTTTAAATCCCTAGTATTAAGTAGAAGCTATTATATACTTGTTGAACAAATTAATTGGCAAATGTTCAGAATGTTCAGAGGTGTTCAACTGCAAGTAACACAATATCTAAAGACTAGTGACTTAAATTGTAAAGATGTTTACCTATCTCACAAAATGTGAACTTTGGAGTTACATTGTTCCAGGATTAGTTAAGCAGCTCATCAAAGTCAGGAAACTGAGTCAGAATATCTGAGATCCTCTTGGCTCAGAATCTCTGAGATTCTTCATTGTTGCAAAGTAGCTGCCACAACTCCAACATTACATCTTTGCACAACAATCTTCCAAGCAGGAAACAAGGGAAGCAGATCTTGGTGGCAGCAAAAGGGCTTCCACTTCACATACTTCTCTCTTTTTAGGGGGGTGCAAATCCTTCCAGAAACAACTCTCTGCATTGTTAACTGGAACTATGTTATGTATCCCCTTGGATCAATATCTGGCAAAGGGAACAGCAATGACCGAGATCGGCTTAGACCGATCTTGAGTCATTCCTGGTGCTGGTCATGTTGCTGTCTGACCAAAGGAGGATTCTGAATCAAGGTGGGAGAGTATCTACCGGATAGGTGATTAATGATACTTGCCCTTGATGTGGTTTCCTGAGTCCAAGCTCTTCCAGAACCCTCGCTGTTTCTTGGGCACTTCTGAGATACACATAGCTCTGTGGTCAGCCTGTTCCTTTATAGAACAATCCCTATATTCTCCATGTTTAGTGATCCATAGCAGAGGCTGATTATGTGCAGTTGTATAACTCTGTGAACTTGCTCTTTAGCAGGGCTAGTGCACACAGGAGTCAGTGTCAAGGGGAGGTGGATGGCGGCAACTTTGCTTGCCAAGCCACGCACCTTGGCATGGGGTTGTGTCTGTTTGGAGGTAGGAGTATCTTGTTGCAATTCTCACAAAGGCACTGTAATGGCTGTGGCTGCTCTGTCTTCCAGAAAGGCTGTACCAGCATGGTGAGTGTATAATGGACATGAGCATGGACATGGGATGGACATGAGAATGTTCATCTGTCTATACCCTCTCCATTACTAGGTATAATCACTCTAGAAAATCTTTAATAATCTTTTATCTGGTCCCCTTGGCTTTAGCCTTTCCCTATGCACTTGATATCTACTCCCAGATTTACCTTCCCCCAAATCTCAAAGCAGTTGCTTCCTTGCTTAAAATCTTCTGTTGACTGTCTTTTTTTGTGGGGGGGGACAGAGTATTGCTCTGTCACCCAGGCTGAAATGTAGTGGCGTGATCTCAGCTCACTGCAACCTCCACCTCTGGGTTTCAAGTGATTCTCCTGCCTTAGCCTCCGAGTAGCTGAGATTACAGGCACACACCACCATGCCCAGCTAATTTTTTGTATTTTTAGGAGAGACAGGGTTTCACCATTTTGGCCAGGCTGGTCTTGGACACCTGACCTCAAGTGATCTGCCCATCTCAGCCTCCAAAAGTGCTGAGATTACAGGCGTAAGCCACCCCACCAGATCTGGGACTGTCTTATAGGTATACGTTAAACCCCTTACTTGACATTATGGGCCACTCAAGATCTGGCCCCACCCTATGATCCCAACCTTATTTCTCATTATGAATCTTTCACCGAAGCCAAAATTTTTTTTATGCTGCTCTTCACCCTCAAATTCCTTTCTTCTTCCTTTCTGCTTATTCTTGAAGACATGGCTCAGATCCAATCTCCTGAGGAAACATTCCTTGGCTGCTCTAGCCTACCCTCTTATCACCTCTGAATTCCTTCCATTCAGTGGTTCTCAACTTTGGCTACAAGTTAGGATTACCTGGTGAGCTTTAGAAAATACCATTGCCTGGGTCCAGCCATAGACATTTTGATTTAATCAATCTTGGTGCCAGATTGGACTCTGGGATATTTAAACACTCCCTAGGTGATTCTAATGTGCAGCCAAATTCCTGGACTCATTTGGAGTTTTTGTGTTGCATTTGTGAGTTTTAAAAATCAGATTCCTGAGCTGCACCTCCAGGGGTTCTGACATCTATATAAAAGCTCCCCAGGTGATTCTAAAGTGAAGCTTGATTGAGGGCCACTGTTCTGTGCTTACATATTTTTATTAATATTTTGTTTTGGGCCAGGCGTGGTGGCTCATGCCTGTAATCCCAGCACTTTGGGAGGCCGAGGTGGGCAGATCACAAGGTCAAGAGATTGAGATCATCCTGGCTAACACGGTGAAACCCCATCCCTACTAAAAATACAAAAAATTAGTCGGGCGTGGTGGCGGGCACCTGTGGTCCCAGCTACTCTGGAGGCTGAGGCAGGAGAATTGCGTGAACCCAGGAGGTGGAGCTTGCAGTGAGCCGAGATCGCGCCCCTGCACTCCAGCGTGGGTGACAAAGCGAGACTCCGTCTCAAAAAAAAAAATGCTTTGTTTTTTGTTTTGTTGTGTTTTTTTGAGAGTTTCCCTCTGTTGCCCAGGCTGGAGTACAATGGCACCATCTCAGCTCACTGCAACCTCCGCCTCCCGGATTCAAGTGATTCTCTTGCCTCAGCTTCCTGAGTAGCTGGGATTACAGGCATGCGCCACCACACCCAGCTAATTTTGTATCTTTAATAGAGAAGGGGTTTCTCCATGTTAGTCAGGCTTGTCTCGAACTCCCGAACTCAGGAGATCTGCCCACTTCAGCCTCCCAAAGTCCTGGGATTACAGGCGTGAGCCACCGTGCCCATCCTTATTTATTTATTTATTTATTTTTGAGATAGTGTCTTGCTCTGTCATTCAGGCTGGAGTGCAATGACATGATCTTGTCTCACTGCAACCTCCACCTCCTAGGTTCAAGGATTCTCCTGCCTCAGCCCCCCAAGTAGCTGGGATTACAGGCATGCACCACCATGCCCCACTCATTTGTATATTTTTAGTAAAGGAGGGGTTTCGCCATGTTGGCCAGGCTGGTCTTGAACTCCTGACCTCGGGTCATCCGCCCTCCTCGGCCTCCCACAATGTTGGGATTACAGGCAGGAGCCACCATGCCCAGCCTCTTTCAGTTTTATTTCTATGCATAACAAAATGGCATTATGCGATGGCTTGTGTTTTTTTTTTTGTTTTTTTGTTTGTTTGTTTGTTTGTTTGTTTTTGAGACAGGGTCTGGCTCTGTCATCCAGGCTGGAGTGCAGTGGTGCGATCTTGGCTCACTGCAACCTCCACCTCCTGGGCTCAAGCTATCTTCCCACCTCAGCCTCCCAAGTAGCACAGGCCACCACACCCAGCTAATTTTTTATTTTTTGTAGAGATGGGGTGGTCTAAAACTCCTGGGCTCAAGTGATCTTCCTGTCTCGGCCTCCCAAAATGCTGGGATTACAGGTGTGAACCACTGCGCCCAACCCTGATTTTTTATCTTCACTTAGCAATATATCATGAACATTTGCCTTTGTTAGTAAATATTCTTCTATAGCAAGAATATTGAATATTAGTTGGCAAGCTTTTTCTATAAAGGTCTAGGTAGCAAATGTTTCAGGCTTTGTGGGCCATACAGTTTGTTGCAACTCTGTTGTTCTAGCATGAAAACAGCCATAGACAACACATAAACAAATGAGTGTGGCTGTGTTTCAATAAAACTTTATTTACAAAAACAGGATGGACATTCATTTGGCTTGTGGGTGTGTTTCCTGACTCCTGTCTTATAGCACGGTTTCTTTTTTAGAGCTCACTAAGATCCCATTGTATGTCTACTCTGCAATTTTTATTCTCTTAACCTTGAATATTTAGTTCATTTCCATTTTTTAATATTACAGAGAATCACTGCAAGTAATATCTGTGCATCTTTGTCTCCCCTGTCCACCCCCAAGATAAATTTCTAAAAGTGTATTGATGGGCCATGGGTTTTGCCTAATTTTTAGAGCTTGCGACTCAAATTGCCCAGTGGCCCTTCAGGAAGTACAGGAGAGGGCTGCCCACTTCTTGCATCTTTGCCAAAACTGGGTATTAAAATTCCTTTTAATCTTTGTCAATATACTTTGTCAATATACTTTTTTTTTTTTTTTTTGACACGGAGTCTCACTTTGTCGCCAGGCTGGAGTGCAGTGGCATGATCTTGGCTCACTGCAACCTCTGCCTCCCGGGTTCAAGCAATTCTTTCGCCTCAGCCCCCCGAGTACTGGGACTACAGGCACGCGTCACCATGCCCAGCTAATTTTTGTATTTTTAGTAGAGACAGGGTTTCACCAGGTTGGCCAGGATGGTCTCGATCTCTTGACCTCGTGGTCCGCCCTCCTTGGCCTCCCAAAGTGCTGGAATTACAGGCGTGAGCCACCGTGCCCAGCCGATATATACTTTAAAATATTTTTAACTGTAATTTTAATCCCATGGCATCTTAATTTAATGGTTTTTGTCACCACAAAACCGGTGTTTGCAGATCATGAAGCAAAGATACATGTGTCCTTTGTCTCCAAGGTGCTGGCTTTTGACATGCTGTGAAACTGCCCCAAGGGACAGTCAGATAAAACAAATTACTTGCTTCAGAAGCAAACCCTGTCTGTCAAGTTATTGGATACAAGCTGAGACCCCAGAGCCCTGCTCACAGATAAGTATTCAGTGGAGAAAGTAGGAAGATTACTATAAGTCTGAAGTTAAATATCCTCTTTTTCCGACCTCCAGTAAAGGGAAATGTATTTTGGAACTTATGTAAAAATGTCTTTGTGATTTTTGCCTTAGAAAACAAACCTGACTCCTTTGTTTTAAGTCCAAGGGCTGATGGTCCACCCCCAGGGATGGGGGGTGTGTCCTGTCACACAGGAGGTGGTGCTTTGTGTGGCTTCCAGTCTCTGCTGGCTCTTTAGGAGTTCAATTTGGGAAAGGGAAAAATAAGGCAACTTAAGTTGCTGCCATCAGTTCCTGGGATGAATGGCTAAGTGATGATGCTGATGAACAATTTGCAGCTAAGAGGCTGTTTGGGAGTTGAAGAATAGCCCATGATTGCAGATAAACACCACCTGCCATGCTGTCCACCGCAGCCCCCCTTCTACTTGGGAGGCAGAGGTTCTCCTTTTCCTTCTCTCTCCATTGCTTTTATGCTAATGCTTTAGAGCTGGATGAGAAAACCGGATTTATAGAAAGTCTAGTTGGTTCCTCTGGCAAAAGCCATTTCCAATTGAAGCTTGTCTACATTTTAACTAAATCAGAAAAATGGTGGCTGCAGAGGCTCTTTAAAAAAAAAAAGAAAAAATTATTGGCCGGGCGCGGTGGCTCACGCCTGTAATCCCAGCACTTTGGGAGGCCGAGGGGGGCAGATCACGAGGTCAGGAGATCGAGACCATCCTGGCTAACACGGTGAAACCCCATCTCTACTAAAAATACAAAAAATTAGCTGGGCGTGGTGGTGGGCGCCTGTAGTCGCAGCTACTCGGGAGGATGAGGCAGGAGAATGGCTTGAAAACCCAGGAGGCGGAGCTTGCAGTGAGCCGAGACTGAGCCACTGCACTCCAGCTTAGGCGACAGAGCCAGACTCCACCTCAAAAAAAAAAAAAAAAAAAAAAAAGTTTACCCTACTTTCAAGCCAACGAGTTATTTTTTTGTTTATTATTATTATTTTATTTATTTATTTGCTTTTTGCAGAGGCTCTTTCCTGGTCCTTGATGGTCCCCTTTGTGTGGACTGTGGACATCATGATTGTTGGAATGCAGATTCCATGGCCCTACACCGGATCCCTGGTAGGCTGGGAATCTGCATTTTGACAAGCTTGCCTAGGTGATTTCATAAACTCTAAGGCAGTGGGTCCTAAACCTAGGTGAGCCTCATAATTAATTGGAGGGTGTTAAAAACTATAGATCATCAAGCCCTGGTCCCTGGAGATCCCGATTCCACAGGCCAGAATCTGTGGAAGAGTTCTTGCAAGGGACTCATGGAAGCAGCCAGGTCTAGGAATTACTACCTTAAGGAAATTACTGGAGGTGAAATATTCAGACTCTCTTATTCATTCTACAAGACCTAGAGCAGAAGAGGCCAGAAGGGGGCCGGAGGTGCCAGGATCCTTTCTGGGGCTGCCTTTGTGTTTATCTTTGGACCTGGGCTGATTGCTTGGAACCAGGCAAGCAGTAACTACAGAGTTTAGAAGCACTTTGGATCAGCCCCTCATTTGCTTGTGGGAGGGAATTGCAACCGCAGACACTCGTTTCATCACTGAGCATGTCTGAGCTGGGGGAGGATATGGGGTGGGATGGCAAGGGCATTGGACTAAGCAGGCCTAAAATATTTTGGGTTTTTTTGTTGTTGTTGTTGTTGTTTGAGATGGGGGTCTTGCTATGTTGCCCAGGCTGGTTTCAAACTCCTGTGCTCAAATGATCTGGCCTCAGACGCCTGAGTAGCTGAGACTGCAGGTGCACACCACTGTGCCCGGCTAGAAAATGTTTACTCTAAGTTTAGTCAATTCTGTCAACTTGAGCAACTTTACCTAATGTCTCTGATCTTCAGAGTTTTTATTCGTAAAATGAATATAACTCTCATTGTAAACATTATATACGGCCAGGTGCGGTGGCTCACGCCTGTAATCCCAGCACTTTGGGAGGTTGAGACGGGCATATCACGAGGTCAGGAAATCGAGACCATCGTGGCTAACACAGTGAAACCCCATCTCTACTAAAAATACAAAAAAAAATTTACCGGGCCTGGTAGCAGGCGCCTGTGGTCCAAGCTACTCGGGAGGCTGAGGCAGGAGAATTGGCGTGAACCCAGGAGGTGGAGCTTGCAGTGAGCCGAGATCGCACCACTGCACTCCAGCCCTGGTGACAGAGCGAGACTCCATCTAAAAAAAAAAATTTATATACAATTTATTAATATAACAAAGAATGGAAATAATAAATAGCACTATGGCAATGCACTAAATCACAGAAATGCAAATTCAAACCAACTTGAAGTATAATTTCACATACATGGACGGTTTTTTTTTTTTTTTTGAAATGGAGTCTCACTCTGTCACCCAGGCTGGAGTGCAGTGGCATGATCACAGCTCACTACAGCCTCTGCCTCCCAAGTTCCAGCAATTCTCCTGCCTCAGCCTCCCAACTAGCTAGGACTACAGGTGCCCACCACCACACCTGGCTAATTTTGTATTTTTAGTAGAGACAGGATTTCACCATGTTGGCCAGGCTGGTCTCAAACTCCTGACCTCAGGTGATCCCCCCGCCTCGGCCTCCCAAAGTGCTGGGATTACAGGCGTGAGCCACCGCACCCAGCCAAGATTTTTAATATTAAAGTAGTCTGGGTGTGGTTCATGCTACTGGATAGGTTACACTCTATACAAATGAAGGATTCTGCCCAGGACCAATAAGAGGCAGAGCTCTGCCCAGGACCAATCAAAGGCATCCCATCTGTGACCTATGAGCAAATGAAGGTTTCAGAATGGACCATTTACAGAAATTCCCGTTTTTGACATAAGGGAGGGGAGGTTCAGAGAGGGAAGGGCCTATCCAGTGGCTCATGCCTGAAATCCCAGCATTTTGAGAGGCTGAGGCTGGAGGATGGCTTGAGGCCAGGAGTTTGAGGCTGCAATTGAGGCAGGAGAATAGTGTCTGGAGGCAGGAAACCTAAGGCCAACCCACAGCTGCCTTCTTGGAATTGGACTGAAAGAAAAACCCCACCTTTCCATGACCAAGTGATGAGGGGCCAAAGGCCCCTCTCTCTCTGAACCTCCCCTCCCTTATGTCAAAAATGGGAATTTCTGTAAATGGTCCATTCTGAAATCTTCATTTGCTCATAGGTCACAAGTGGGATGCCTCTGATTGGTCCTGGGCAGAGTTCTGCGTCTTATTGGTCCTGGGCAGAATCTTTCATTTGTATAGAGTGTAACCTATCAGACGCTGCTAAAGGGTGCTTAGGGGTGTTACCATGCTCTTTCAATTCAATGAAAACCCCAAGAAACTTTACAATCAGGGTTCTTGAGCCACTCTGTGGAGTGCACTTTCACTTCAATAAATGTATGCTTTCATCTTCTATTGTTTTGTCTGTGCATTTTGTTCAATTCTTTGTTCAACACGCCAAAAACCTGGACAACTCAGTCAAGGCTTCCCATCCTATAACACAATGAGCTATGATTGTGCCACTGCACTCAGTCTGGGCGACAGAGTGAGACCCTGCCTCTACAATAATAATAATAATAAAATAAAAGTAGATTTGTGCAATGGAACACTATGCAGGCATTAAAAAAATCATTCATTATGAAGACCATGTAGCAACAAGGAAAACATTTATAAATGTTTAGTGAAAATAGCAGAACCCCAGATGGTATACCCTTTGACTATAACCGTGCACACTGAGAGAGAGCATGTAGACAGGGCCAGGAGGTAACATGCAAAACAGGGTAGTTGTGCAGAGGATAGGCTTATAGTTACTTTTTTCTTTGCCAAAATTAAAAACAATTTTACTGTTACATTCTTTTTTCATAATAGGAATGACTAATTCCTGCCCTTCTACCATGCTGGCTTGTTCAGCGGACCAAATGAAAAACTGAGAAAACTGTTGTGTCTTCCCGTAGGATGTTGGAGTGAATCTACCATGCATGACTCATGTTTCCATCCCTATCATCCTGGGTAGGGAAGCACCAAGCTGAGGACTCTGGATCCTTTCAGGCTCTAATGACAATGCACATCCAGCATTTGTGGAGTATGTATACAGTTGTCTGGGCCAACTACTGTGGGAAGAGGAAAAGAAGTCACATTGCTACTGGTCATCAAGAGCTCACAAAATAGATGTAGACATCATTTGGGGCTATCTACTTATCCTAGTGATTCTCAACTGAGGTTGATACTTAAATTTTTTTTTTTCATTTTCTTTTTTTTTTAAGTTTCAAGAGGTTGATACTTTTGATTGTCACAATGATTGGCTTTTGATTGTCACAATGATTGGGAGCGTTATTACCACTCACATATAGTAAATGAAGGATGGGATAGTCCTACACAAAAAATTATCTAGCTCCAAATGTCCTCAGTGTCTCTGATGAGAAACACTGATCTAGTCCATAGTCAGGGCTGCCAGGTATGGGTGTGCAGGTTGCCCACTGTACAACTCTTAAGGGAACCATTCACCTGGTGGCTAAGTGTGTCAATTCTGAAACCATACTGCCTGAGTTCCAGTGCCAACTGGAACTGCCCCCCACCCCCTACTTCTTTTTTTTTTTTTGAGACCGAGTCTTTCTCCACCACCCAGGCTGCAGTCCAGTGGCACAGTCACAGCTCACTGCAGACTCTACCTCCCGGGCTCAAGTGATTCTCCTACCTCAGCCTCTTGAATAGCTGGGACCACAGGCACCACCACCACACCTGGTTACTTTTTAAATTTTTTGTAGAGATAAGGTCTCCCTATGTTGCCCAGGCTGGACTCAAAACTCTGAGGCTCAGGTGATCCTCCTGCCTCGGCCTCCCAAAGTGCTGGGATTACAGGTGTGAGCCACCGGACCTGGCCTGGAAGCTCTTGAACATATTGCTTATCTTCTGTGGACCTCAGTTTCCTCATTTATAAAATGGGAAGAGCAATAGTAATATAACTCATACTGATAACATAAGAATATGTTATCAATAATATATGTTCCTGCACATAGCAGACATTCAATTCATGTTCAATGATTATTATTCTCTGAGATCTGACTTCCCCATTGACTGGGGTGGGGCCCTGGTGTCTACTCCCTGATAAAGACCACGTATGCCTGGATTCCTGCTCTCCCTGAGGCTTAACTTTCCTGGTTCCACCTGTAATCTCATTGAGAACTCCCATTGTTGCCTAAACTTGCTTGAGATGGTTTTTGTAATCTACAACCAGAAGTCTTAATTACTAAGACAAGGTGAAAAGACTCACCTGTAGGAAACACAGTAGATAATACAAAAGGGCTTTCAAGTTAGTGTGAGACTGCTTGGCATAGAAAGACGATAAATGCCACAGACAAAACCTAATCGTAACTGAAATAAATAAATTCGAACAACAAATTGTTAAGTGAATGGAATGCAGCTAGCTAGGATCTCATGCTCTGTTCTAAGAAAACAGACAGGTCAAACAATCAGGACCAGTCCAGACATGTGTCTGGGAAGTTAAAGGAAAGAGACCCTGTCCCTCAAAACCTTCCTTACTAGTGACTCATGTCTTCGTTTACCAGGAGGTCTTCTTTGAAAATATGAATGTTTCTGGGAAGGGTAATCCAGAAACCTACTGAGGCTCACCCTACTAGGAATGTATTTACCATTTTTCTTTTCTTTCATGTCTGTTCATTGAGAACACAGAGAATGTATTTATTCAGTGACTTTCTCTCTCCTCCACTTCCCAACCCCAGCTACAAATGGGGACAGCAAGAGAGAGAAAACCTGGGGAGAACGGAAGAAACCATGCTTTGTAGAATGGATCCTGCTTCAGAATTGCTGATCTCATCAACCACATGTTTATAGAGAGAGCAGTGGCCCTTAAGGAACTGGAGAGAATGCTCTGATTTACTTCTGTCCGGCATGGTGAACAGCAGGATTGGCTGTAGCTGTTCTCTTTGCCAAGGACAGATCTGATCTGATTGCCTTGAGGTGAAAGTGAGGTAAGGTGGGGCGGGGATTAGCTTTTGGCTCCCAAGAATGGTTGTTCATCAACCTTTTGCTAAGCCCGTGGTTCTCAAATTTTGCTGCATGTTAGAATCACCTGGGAAGCTTTAAAAAAACATCTCAGTACCCAGGTTGTACCTCAGACCAATTAAATCTGAATGCCTGGGGGCGGTTGCCAGGCATCAGAAGTTTTCAAAGACCTCCCCCAACCAGGTGGTTCCTGGACATGTACCCACGTCCGGGAACCACTGTCCTCAGCATTTATTGTATGAGGCAACTTAGGTGACACACAACAGGTGAGAACCTGGCTCCTGCCTTTCGGACACAGGACTTAATTTTTTTTTTATTTTTTAAATTATGCAGTAAAATTTTTTCTGTTGGTGTACAGGTCTATGAATTTTTTTATACTGAGTTTTTCATACTGCCTGAGTACAATTTAATGGTATACCATAAAGTATACCATAATTTTATGGTATACCGTAACATTTTACATACCATAATTTTATTTTTATAAAGTATACCCACAATTTTATGGTATACCATAAAACTAGTATAGTATACCACAAAATTTACCCTTTTAAATTATACAATTCAATGCTCACTTCAGCAGCACATATACTAAAATTGGAATGATACAAAGAAAATTAGCATGACCCTTGCTCAAAGATGACACTGTAATTTGTGAAGTGTTCCATATTTAAAAAAAAATTTTTTTTAAAGTGTACAACTCAGCCATATGCAGTGGTTCCCACCTGTAATCCCAGGGTTTTGAGGCCAGGCACGGTGGCTCACGCCTATGATCTCAACACTTTGGGAGGCCGAGGTGGGTAGATCACCTGAGGTCAGGTGTTCAAGACCAGACTGTCCAATATGGTGAAACATCATCTCTACTAAAAATACAAAAACTAGCCGGGCATGGTGGTGTGTGCTTGTAATCCCAGCTACTCGGGAGCCTGAGGCGAGAGAATCGCTTGAACCCAGGAGGCGGAGGTTGCAGTGAGCCAAGATTGTGCCACTGCTCTCCAGCCTGGGTGACAGAGCAAGACTCTGTCTCAAAAAAAAAAAAAAAGGCTGGGTGTGGTGGCTCACACCTGTAATCCCCAGTACTTTGGGAGGCCGAGGCGGGCAGATCACCTGAGGTCAGGATTTCCAGACCAGCCTGACCAACATGGTGAAACCCCATCTCTACTAAAAATACAAAATTAGCCGGGCATGGTGGCGCATGCCTGTAATCCCAGCTGCTCAGGAGGCTGAGGCAGGATAATTGCTTGAACCCGGGAGGTGGAGGTTGCGGTGAGCCAAGATCTCGCCATTGCACTTCAGCCTAGGCAAGAAGAGTGAAGCTCTGTCTCAAAAAAAACAATCCCAGGGTTTTGGGATGCCTAGGCGGAGGCTCACTTGAGGCCAGGAGTTTGAGACCAGCCTGGGCAATGCAGCGAGACCCTGTCTCTACCAATAAATGAATGAATGAATAAATAAATAAATAAATAAATAAATAAATAAATAAATAAATAAAATTAGCTGGGGATGGTGGCAAGTGCCTTTAATCCTAGCTGCTCAGGAGGCTGAGACAGGAGGATTGCTTGAGCCCAAGAGTTTGGGGTTACAGTGAGCTATGATCACGTCACTACACTCTGGCTAGGGTGACAGAGAAAGACCTTGTCTCTAAAAAAGAGAGGAAAACAAGTTACCAAATTATACAATTATCTGTTCAGACCTAGATTTACAAGAAAAAAAATGTAAAATTTCGTGTTTTTAGTATATTTGTAAAGTTGTGCCACCATCACCAGTAATTCCAGAACATTTTTATCTCGTCTCCCCAAAATACCCCGAATCCACAGTAGCTTCTCCCCATTTCCCCTTCCGCCCACCCCCTGGCAAATACGAGCCATAGAGACTCTCTCCCTCTATGGCTTTGCCTACTCTTGATATGTCACATAAATGAAATCACACAATCTGTGGCCTTTTATGTCAAGCTTATTTCACTTAGCATGCTGTTTTCAGGGTTTATCTGTGTTGTAGCATGTATTAGTACTACATTCCTTTTTATTGATGAATAATATTCCATTGTATGGATATACCACATTTCATTTATCTATTCATCAGCTGATGGACATTTGGGTTGTTTGCACTTTTTGGCTATTGTGAATAATGCGGCTATAAACATTCTTGTACAAGTTTTTGTGTGAATGTATATTTTCATTTTCTTGGTCTTGGATACTTTTTTTTTTTTCTGAGACGGAGTCTTGCTCTGTCGCCTAGGCTGGAGTACAGTGGTGCAATCTCGGCTCACTGCAACCTCTGCCTGCTGAGTTCAAGCAATTCTCCTGCCTCAGCCCCCCAAGTAGCTGGGATTACAGATGTGTACCACCACACCCGGCTACTTTTTATATTTTTATTAGAGACAGGGTTTTGCCATATTGGCCAGACTGATCTTGAACTCCTGACCTCAAGTGATCTGCCTGCCTTGGCCTCCCAAAGTGCTGGGATTACAGGCATGAGCCACCGAAACCGACCCATAAATCTTTTTATATAGGTGTGATTTCAGCTTAACATTAGTAAAAAAAAATTTCATAAATTTCTTTTCATTTGAGCTATTTTGCAATAGAATGAATGACTGGCTGCTTCACTGGGACTATTAATTCTACAAATATTTATTGAATGCCTACTATATGCCAAGCATTGTTTTTCTCCCATTTGGTGATTATTTATACTTTTATTTTTAGTTTACATGTAATGATTGTACATATTTATGGGATTCAGATTGATACTTCTTTTTTGTTTGTTTGTTTGAGACAGTCTCGCCCTGCCTCCCAGGCTGGAGTGCAGTGGTACAATTATGGCTCCCTGCAGCCTTGACCTCCCAGGCTCAAGTGATCCTCCCACCTCAACCCCCTGAGTAGTTGGGACCACAGATGTGTGCCACCATGCCCAACTAATTAAAAAAAAATTTGGTAGAGACAAGGTCTCACTATGTTGCCCAGGCTGGTCTCCAACTCCCGGGGTCAAGCAATCCTCCTGCCTTGGCCTCCCAAAGTGTTGGGATTTCAGGTTTGAGTGACTGTACATGATGATTATTTCTTTTTTAAAAAATTATTTTTATTTTTTTGTAGAGATGAGGTCTTGCATATTGCCCAGGCTGGGCGAACTCCTGGCCTCAAGCAATCTTCTTGTCTCAGTAATTGTATTGAAAGTGACCCATTACAGGCATGAGCCACCTCGCCTGGCTGTTGAACATCTTTTCATGTGCCTATCTGCCATCTTAATATTCTCTTTGGTGAAGTATTTGTTTACATCTTTTGCTCATTTTTAAAGTCAGTAATCTGTTTTCTTATTTAGGTATGAGAGTTCATTATAAATTCTGGTTTTTGTTTGTTTGTTTTTGTTTTGTTTTGTTTTTGAGACAGAGTTCTGCTCTTGTTGCCCAGGCTGGAGTACAATGGTGTAATCTTGGCTCACTGCAATCTCCGCCTCCCAGATTCAAGTGATTCTCCTGCCTCAGCCTCTTGAGTAGCTGGGATTACAGGCACCCGCCACCACGCCCAGTTAATTTTTATATTTTTAGTAGAGATGGAGTTTTGCCATGTTGGCCAGGCTGGTCTCAAACTCCTGACCTCAGGTGATCCACTCTCCTCGACCTCTCAAAGTGCTGGGATTACAGGCATGAGCCACCGCGCCTGGCCCATTATAAATTCTGGATACAAATCCTGTGTTGCACATATGATTCGTAAATATTTTCTCTTAGTCTGTGTTTTGGACACAATACTTTTTGTACATGTGTCTGATGAGAGAAAGGTATGGAATTAACATTTACTGAGCACCTACTATGTGCTGGACGTTGTAGTGGATTGCTGGAGGAATAGGGATATAAGTAAGATAGAGTCCCTATCCTCAAGAGAGGTTTCCTGGAGGAGGGGTGAAGTTTGGACACTACTGTCTATACTACAGGCAGAAATTTTTGTAGAGACGGGGTCTCACTATGTTGTCCAGGCTGGTCTTGAGCTCTTGGGCTCAGGCGATCCTCTGAGCCACAATAAGGTAGAAGAGGGAAATGTAGAGCCAAGTGGTTACAAGTAAGGACTTTGGAGTCAGTTTGTCTGGTCCCAGCTGCAGCACTTACCACCTGTATGTCCTTGGGCAAGTTACTAAATCTCTCAGTACCTCGGTTTCTTCATTAGCAAAATTAGGGCAGTAATAATGCCCATGGAAGGGCTGGGGGTACGAAATGAGAGGGTGTAGGTGGCAAAGGGAAACTCTCCACTCTTATCTACTGTATTATCATTTATTTGGGTAGCAACGTTGTTCTGTGGCCATCAGGGGAAGCTACCCTCCACCTCCTGGAGGAGGTGTCATTGGAGCTGAACCTCAAGGCCTGGAAAGACTTCCAGAAGCTGAGATGGGTGCATTGAAGTGGTGGAAGCTGCTCTTTAGAACCTATATTTTGCCCCAAACCATATATTCCTCCCCAAAGAGAGAAGTTTTCCTCTTTCTTGTTCCATCCCCTCCTCTCTTCATCCTGCGCTGTCCTCTCATCAAGTCTTTTTCTTTCTTTTCCCTGTCTCTCCTTCTCACCTGCCAGAGGCTTCTATGGGCCCCTCTTGTGTCCTTGGCCTTATGAAGTCACCGACACTTGGGTTATGGGCTGCTGCTCTGAGGCTGCAGGGTCACCTTCGGCCCCTCGATGGGGACTTTACACTCTACTCCAAACAGAAGCAGGATGCTGTCTTGGGGATTCTTTCCCCCTGCAGTCTGGTGCCCTGGTGCCAGTGCTCAGGGAATGAATTTAGTGCTGGGTCACTTCCAGTACAAATTATTGAGCAATTTTCTGTGTGGACATCAGGCCTATGTTGAGACAACAGCTCTGCCAGTTCGAGCTTGTTCCGTTAATAATTTACTGGCGGAGAAATGGGAGTTAAATGAGCCAGGAGGCATATTTTGCATGAACTTTGAGGGTACCTCTGACAGCAGTTCATGTAATTTGTCCGGGAAGATACTAAAGCTGTCTGAAATCTAATGTCCTGCCTGCCACACTGACCCTTTGGATCCATTTTATTAACACAGTTGGCTTTGATTTATGTTTATTTTATTGCTTTGGTTTCTCTTCTGAACTCATAACCAGAGTGGTGGTGCATGTGGAAAATGGCTCTGTGAAGAATTAGGTTCCCAGGTGTGCTTGTGGAAGGAAACCTAGCAGCAGCTGTGGGTTTTTCTCGGCTTTGCAGGACTGGGATGTCTTGTGGCAAAACTGCCCCTTTCTGAGTGACTGGCCACTGTGTGTGTGCAAGGCCAGCACCATTGATGTGTGACCTGTGCAGTTAAGCAGGGCCCCATGTTTAGAAGGACCCCCTGCTTGATTTAATGCTCTGCTGTCACCATTTAAACGTCTTAATAATTTAGAAACAAGGAGTCATCCTTTTTTTTTTTTGAGGCAGAGTTTTGCTCTTGTCGCCCAGGCTGGAGCGCAATGGCGCGATCTCAGCTCACTGCAACCTCTGCCTCCTGGGTTCAAGCGATTCTCCAGCCTCAGCTTCCCAAGTAGCTGGGATTACAGGCACCTGCCACCACGCCTGGCTAATTTTTGTATTTTTAGTAGAGACGGGGTTTCACCATGTTGGCTGGGCTGGTCTCAAACTCCTGACCTCAAGTGATCCACCCACCTCGGCCTCTCAAAGTGCTGGGATTACAGGCATGAGCCACCATGCCTGGCTGGATTCATACATTTTATACTGGCCCCTGAAAATTCTGTAACCAGCCCTGAGTGTGTGCCATGGTCCACATTCCCAATTCTTTATGTTGAACCTAGGTGATTCGCCAAGTTTATTCTGTTCTTTCTGGGGCCATCCCAAAATCCTTAAGGAGGCTATGGCAACTCTGTCCCAGTGTCTTACAGGCCCACCAGCCAAGATATCTGAAAACACATACAGATAAAAAGTTTGCTTAAAAAAAATCAGTTACGGCCTCTTCCCGGCCACCATCCCATCTAGGAAGTGAGGAGCGTCTCTGCCCGGCCACCCATCGTCTGAGATGTGGGGAGCGCCTCTGCCCCGCCGCCCCGTCTGGGATGTGAGGAGCGCTTCGGCCCGGCCGCGACCCCGTCTGGGAGGTGAGGAGCGTCTCTGCCCGGCCGCCCCGTCTGAGAAGTGAGGAGACCCTCCACCTGGCAACTGCCCCATCTGAGAACGGCATTCCAGATTTTTCTGCAGTCCAGAATAGAGCACCACCACCATAGCATTTCAAGCTCATTCTAAGTTCATCTTATCAATGACAAGAGGAGACACGTTGTTCATTCATGTATGAGGTAGTACTTTCCAATTGAAGACATTGCTTTGAAAGAGACTGCCAAATTGGTTTCATTGAGAAGGAATGAAAGAAGCTAAAAGGCTTTCACCTGAGATTTGACAATAGCCAGAAAACCTCTGTTAATAATGAATGTTTCCCTATCTGCAAAGTGAAGATATGTTTCAATGCTTCAACGCATAGGAAGTCTGTAGAACAGTGCAAAGAATATACAGGCATACCTTGAAGATATTACAGTTTTGGTTCCAGACCATCATAAAAAGGTGGATATTGCAATAAGGCTGGAGTGCAGTGGCGTGATCTCGGCTCGCACAACCTCCACCTCCCAGCCGCCTGCCTTGGCCCCCCAAAGTGCCGAGATTGCAGCCTCTGCCCGGCCGCCACCCCGTCTGGGAAGTGAGGAGCGTCTCTGCCTAGCCGCCCATCGTCTGGGATGTGAGGAGCCCCTCTGCCTGGCTGCCCAGTCTGGAAAATGAGGAGCGTCTCTGCCCGGCCGCCATCCCATATAGGAAGTGAGGAGGGCCTCTTCCCGACAGCCATCCCATCTAGGAAGTGAGGAGCGTCTCTGCCCGGCCGCCCATCGTCTGAGATGTGGGTAGCACCTCTGCCCCGCCACCCCGTCCGGGATGTGAGGAGCGCCTCTACCCGGCCGCGACCCTGTCTGGGAGGTGAGGAGCGTCTCTGCCCGGCCGCCCCGTCTGAGAAGTGAGGAGACCCTCCGCCTGACAACCGCCCCGTCTGAGAAGTGAGGAGCCCCTCCACCCGGCAGCCTCCCCGTCAGAGAAGTGAGGAGCCCCTCCGCCCGGCAGCCACCCCGTCTGGGAAGTGAGGAGCGTCTCCGCCCGGCAGCCACCCCGTCCGGGAGGGAGGTGGGGGGGTCAGCCAGCCGCCCCGTCCAGGAGGGAGGTGGGCGGGTCAGCCCCCTGCCCGGCCGGCCGACCCGTCCAGGAGGGAAGTGGGGGGGTCAGCCCCCCGCCCGGCCAGCCGCCCCGTCCGGGAGGTGAGGGGCGCCTCTGCCCGGCCGCCCCTACTGGGAAGTGAGGAGCTCCTCTGCCCGGCCAGCCGCCCCGTCCGGGAGGGAGGTGGGGGGGTCAGCCCCCCGCCCGGCCAGCCGCCCCGTCCGGGAGGGAGGTGGGGGGGTCAGCCCCCCGCCTGGCCAGCCTCCCCGTCCGGGAGGTGAGGGGCGCCTCTGCCTGGCCGCCCCTACTGGGAAGTGAGGAGCCCCTCTGCCCGGCCAGCCCCCCCGTCCGGGAGGGAGGTGGGGGGGTCAGCTCCCCGCCCGGCCAGCCGCCCCGTCCGGGAGGGAGGTGGGGGGGTCAGCCCCCCGCCCGGCCAGCCGCCCCGTCCGGGAGGGAGGTGGGGGGGTCAGCCCCCCGCCTGGCCAGCCTCCCCATCCGGGAGGTGAGGGGCGCCTCTGCCTGGCCGCCCCTACTGGGAAGTGAGGAGCCCCTCTGCCCGGCCGCCACCCCGTCTGGGAGGTGTGCCCAGCAGCTCATTGAGAACGGGCCATGATGACAATGGCGGTTTTGTGGAACGGAAAGTGGGGAAAGGTGGGGAAAAGACTGAGAGGTTGGATGGTTGCCGTGTCTGTGTAGAAAGAGGTAGACATGGGAGACTTCTCATTTTGTTCTGTACTAAGAAAAATTATTCTGCCTTGGGATCCTGTTGATCTGTGACCTTACCCCCAACCCTGTGCTCTCTGAAACATGTGCTGTGTCCACTCAGGGTTAAATGGATTAAGGGCGGTGCAAGATGTGCTTTGTTAAACAGATGCTTGAAGGCAGCATGCTCGTTAAAAGTCATCACCACTCCCTAATCTCAAGTACCCCGGGACACAAACACTGCGGAAGGCCGCAGGGTCCTCTGCCTAGGAAAACCAGAGACCTTTGTTCACTTGTTTATCTGCTGACCTTCCCTCCACTATTGTCCTATGACCCTGCCAAATCCCCCTCTGCGAGAAACACCCAAGAATGATCAATAAAAAAAAATAAAAAAGAAAAAAAAAAAAAAAAGAAACTATCCAATCCTCAGCCTGCTCGGCTGCTTACTCTGTTTCACCCATGCCTTCTGTGAAAACAACAGTAAAGGTTTTGCCCAGGGAAAAAAAAAAAAAATCAGTTACTGCTCGGTTCAGTGGCTCACGCCTATAATCCCAGCACTTTGGGAGGCCAAGGAGGGTATAAAGAACGTGGCTGTGTGTTGGTCAAGGATAGGCCGAGGTAGGATGTTTACATCCTGCATAACTCGCAGGTGTATAACTCTACATATTATCACAGCCATATAGCCATAACATGGGAAAGCCCTCCCTTGGCCCTACGCCACTATGGTCTGTAAAGGTATAATTGCCCTGCTGACACTGTACAGGTGCTCACACCCAGAGAAAGAGAGAGAGTCAAAGCTGTCCATCTTGAGATGGACAGGAGGGAGCCAGGACACAGCTCAGCTCGCTCGTGCCCAGAGAGAGAAAGAGTTAAGCCGCTAACCCTGAAGGCAAGGGAGAGCCAGCTGTGTGCAGCTGCGTGTGAGAGCCGTTGTACTAAGCAGCTGAGACAGGGAGGATAGTGTGAGAAAGTTGTTAATGAAAGTTGCTGCTGAATAAAATAATCTTTCACCTGCCTACGGCCTCCTGAGTATTCTTTCTGCTCATCCACCCACTTCCCTCAGACCTCAGCATGACAATTGGCGTAGTCATAGACCTAACAGCGGGCAGATCACTTGAACTCAGGAGTTCGAGACCAGCCTGTCCAAGATGGTGAAACCCCATCTCTATCAAAAAGATACAAAAATTAGCCAGGCATGGTGGTGTGCGCCTGTAGTCCCAGCTACTCAGGAGGCTGAGGTGAGAGGATCACTTGAACCCGGGAGGCAAAAGTTGCAGTGAGCTGAGATTGTACTACTGCACTCCAGCCTGGGCAAGAGAGTCCCTGTCTCAAAAAAACAAAAAAAACAAAAAAAACAAAAAAAAAAAGAAAAGAAAAAAAATCAGTTAAGTATAGATATATTTCAAAATTCAAAAAGTACAGAAGGCCAGCCTGGGCAACATGGAAAACCCCCTACTCTACAAAAAATACAAAAATTAGCTGGGCATGGGGGTGCGCACCTGTAGTCCCTACTTGGGAAGCTGAGGTGGGAGGATCACCTGAGCCCAGAGGTTGAGGCTGCAGTGAGCCGAGATTGCGCCATTGCACTCCAGCCTGGGTGTAGGTTAATACTTCCCTATTATTCCCTAGTTTTCTTTTTCTTTATTTTTATTTTTATTTATTTATTTATTTATTTATTTATTTATTTATTTATTTATTTATTTTTGAGACGGAGTTTCGCTCTTGTTGCCCAGGCTGGGGTGCAATAGTGCAATCTCGGCTCACTGCAGCCTCTGCCTCCTGGGTTCAAGTGATTCTCCTGCCTCAGCCTCCCGAGTAGCTGGGATTACAGGCATACGCCACCACGCCCAGCTAATTTTGTATTTTTAGTAGAGACAGGGTTTCTCCATGTTTGTCAGGCTGATCTCAAACTCCTGACCTCAGGTGATCTGCCTGCCTCGGGCTCCCAAAGTGCTGGGATTACAGGTGTGAACCACCGCACCCGGCCTATTCCCTAGTTTTCTTGTTCCCTTTCTGCAGAAGCAAGCACTGCTACCCATCTCTGAGCATCTTGCAGAAAGTCTATGCTTTGATGAAATATATGTACATATCTCCATATTTATTGTTCTTTACCAGATGGTGGGATAAGTTGTACACTATTTTGAACCTTCCTCTTTTCACCTAACTATGCATTTTGGAAAGAATTCCAAGTCATCATATAAATCTATCTCATTATTTCTTTGGTAACAATTTCCTGTTGTTTGGATTTACCATAATTCACTTCACAGGTCCCCTATTGATGGACACTTAGGTTATTGCCTAACCTTTCCTTCTATAAACAATGCTCTTAGAATAGGCTTGCCAGATTGAGCAAATTAAAATACAAGCTGCCCAGTGTTGAATTTGAGATTCGATTTTTTTATTTGAAATTTCAATTTTGAATTTGAAATGCAGATAACAAGGAACACAGTAGAACCCCCTTATCCATAGTTTCACTTTCTGGGATTTCAGTTACACATGGTCAGCTGCAGTCTGAAAACATTAAATGGAAAATTCCAGAAATAAACAACTCATAATTTTTAAATTACATGCTGTTCTGACTAGTGTGATGAAATCTCACACCTTCCCACTGTGGCCTGCCTGGGACTTAAGTCACCCCTTTGTCCAATGTATCCATGCTGTATATGCTCTTTGCCTGTTTGTCACTTTTTGTAGCTGTCTAGGTTATCAGATTGACTATTTCAGTATTGCAGTGCTTGTGTTCAAATAACCCTTATTTTACTTAATAATGACCCCAAAGTGCAAGAGTAGTGATGCTGGCTTATTGTCATAATTGTTCTATTTTATTATTGTTGTTGCTAATCTCTCTTACTGTACCTAATTTAGAAATTAAACTTTATCATAGGTGTATGTGTGGGGAAAAAAACATAGTATATAGAGGGTTTGCTACTATCTGCAGTTTCAGGCATTTACTTGGGGTCTTGGAAAGCATCCCCCCACGATAACAGGGGACTACTGTAATTCCTTAGTATAAACACGTTTCATACTTATGACCCAAAAGGGTAGGATATTTGAGGAATAGTAATACTAAACAAAATGTTGCTGTTTATCTGAAATCCAAATTTAATAGAGAGACCTGTATTTTATCTGACAACCCTATCCTAGAACAAAGCCTGGTACATAGTAGGGGCTCAGTAAAAATTTATTGAGGCAGAGTGCTGTGGCTCAAAACCTTTGGGCACTTTGGGAGGCTGAAGTGGGGGAACTGCTTGAGCCTAGGAGTTCGAGACCAGCCTGGGCAACAAAGCGAGGCTCATCTCTATACAAAATTAAAAAAAAAAAAAATTAGCCGGATATGCTGGCATATGCCTGTAGTCCCAGCTACTTTGGAGGCTGAGGTGGGAGGATCGCTTGAACTCAGGAGTTTGAGGCTGCAGTGAACTATGATTGTGCAACTGCACTCCAGCTTGGGCAACAGAGACCCTGTCTCTAGAAAAAAAGAAAAAAATGAATGAATGAATAAATGATCCCTCTCCTGAATGAAAGCCCGTGAGGGCAGCTACTTTGTTATGTCCTCTGCGCTTTCTTCAATGTTTCTTAGGCATTTGTTCAATACCTGGACAAATGCTGTAGTGAATGTCTTCATGAACGCTTCATTTGGCCCACGAGAGAATATGTTTGTAGAATAAATTCATTTGTTTGAATGCCTGATGGATTCTGCCTAATTGCCCCTCCACAGGCCTCCAACACTTCTTAGCCAAGTTGTCCAATTGTATTCCTGCTGTCACCTAAAGTCATTTAACCTTTGGGGAACTTCCTCCCTGAGGCTGCCCTAAATGGGGTTAGGAAAGGAGCTGAAAGTGCCAACCCCATTATACCACCCCTTTATGCCCCTTCCGTCAATCCACACGAGGAAATGAGGAATTTTAGATGCAAATGGCAGGACATAACATCTGGCTCATCAGAGCCCCAGACTGTCTTGTCCCCAGAGGTGCTGAGGAGCCCAGTGGGCTCTGCCAGCTCCTAATGATATATGGTTCACATGGGTTGAGCCATCCCAGAGGCTCACTCGGTTCATTGTCCACCTGCTTCCAGTCTTACAATCTGTCACCAGCACAGGACGATTTAATCATCCTAATGAGGCTGTCACTGACAGCATGCTCCACCACCTCACAAGGGAAAGTCGGTTCTGCCTCTTCCCCCAGCCAATCTAAGCACATGTGGTCTCTGTTTGCCAACCACAGAGATGTGGGTGGAGGAGCAGCTGAGGTTACATGGAGCAGAGGGGACACAGGGTTCAGCCTTTTGAACTAGGAATTGAGAAGCTTGGATCCGATCCCTATTTCACCACTTCCTGTATTAGCTTGATGACCTTGGACAAGTTACTTACCCTCTCTGAGTATCAGTTTCCTCTGTATATTGTCCAGTGTACAGCATGGATACACTGGACAAAGGGGTGACTTAAGTCCCAGGCAGGACACAGCGGGAAGGTGTGAGATTTCATCATGCTATTCAGAACAGGATGTAATTTAAAAATTATGAGTTGTTTATTTCTGGAATATTCCATTTATTTTACTACATTTATTTCTGTAGTAAAATGGGGCTAATAGCCCTGAACTATTTTCTCATGGGTTCATCATGAAGTTAAATCAATAACTTAAGGAGGAAAAGGATGTATAAATTATGAAGCATTCTATAAATATAGAATACTTTAGGGTTGAGAGTGTGGATGGCAGACGGTCTTAATCAGCTTCCAAGCTATTGCTATTATTATTTGTACTAGTGTGGCTTCAAAATTTCTATCCAGTAGGGCATAAAGGGTGAAAACATGTAGGGTAGGAGGGGGGCTTGCCCTTTACCAAAGACTGGGGAACAGTCAGTATCAATCAATAGCACCCATCAAAGTCAGGGAGCAGGGGTGGCTGATTACAGGACGGGGGAAAGCCTCTCTAAACCATCTTTTGGGGACCCCATTGTCTCTTCCCAGGACTAGGCATTGGGGTCCTGCTCTACTGGGGTCCTCTTTCTCTATGTAGAAGCCTCTCTCGAAGCTGTTCATGGAAACAGAAGATAATAACCCCATTAGCTTCTGAAAACCTGCTATTCTAAGAAGGCAGCTGTCCAACCTAATTTAAGATGGGGCTTCTCCTACATTCTCTTGCACTTTAAGAAGCCAGTTTCTCAGCACCCTTGGGGAAGGGAGAGCCTTCCCAGAAGTGGCTGGGAAGCAGAGGAAGTGCTGAGCCCTAGGGCGAGGGAGGGTGGGTCATTCTTACATCAGTGAATGTTGAAGAGAAGGCCCTGACCCACCCCGTTCTGCCTGCCAGCTCTGGGGTGTGGCTCTGAACTCCCTTTTCCCTCTAAAGTAAATGGAAAGGTGGCAATTCACAGTTGTGTGTGTGTGTGTGTGTGTGTGTGTGTGTGTGTGTGTGCGAGAGAGAGAGAGAGAGAGAGAGAGAGAGAGAGAGACAGACAGACAGACAGAGAGAGAGAGAGACAGAGAGAGAGAGAGAGAGAGAGAGATGCAAAAGGCATCAGTGACCTGGCCTAGAGGGGCCCCTTTCTGGGAGTACCACTGAGTTTTATCACTGTGTGAAATGCCAGCAAGCTGCAAATGAAGAATAACTTTCAACATGTCCTTTCAGTGTAAATTACCCCCAAAAGCATTATGTTACACCTTTGCAGGGTGGCTGCTGGCTGCCCTGTGGAGATGCCTTTGCCAGTTGTTGGCCCTCACACCCAGAGGTGGAAAATACACAAGACTTGAAATGGGTTTGTCTAGGCTGCTTAGGGGGTGGGAGGAATTCCCTAAGTGGAGAAAACAAACAGACCTAACGAAAGCAGATCAAAACCCAGCTTACCACACATTGTTCCGCACCTGGGGGCAGAAAAAAAATCAGAGCTCTAACAAAGCAGGGAAGTGAGAGGTGGTGTTGGGATGCTGGAAAAATTTAGTATACCTATTATAGCACGTGGCTGGGTGCCTCTACTCTCTCCAGAAAGGGAAAGGTAATGCACCCAGCAGAGGAAGCCTCTGTAGTTTGGAGAGGGATGACTGGCTCCCAACATGGCAGGCAGTAGCACACCAGTGTCTCCTCACCAGCACTCTCACTTCCCTGGGAGTTTGGGATTAGAGAACTGTTCTGTTCCTTTCAGGGTCCTGTCCCAGGCACAGGAACTAGGTAAGTAGAAGGAAGTGAAAGCTTTCCTCCTCCCCGGTGCCCTAGATCCTCCTGTCCAACTACCGTTTGAAAGTTTGGGGACCTGGGGCAGGAGCAGTGGCTCATGCCTGTAATCCCAGCACTTTGGGAGGCCGAGGCAGGAGAATTGCTTGAGTTCAGGAGTTCAAGACCAGCCTCAGCGACATAGCAAGACCTTGTCTCTATAAAAAAATAAAAATAAATTATCCAGGTGTGGTGGTGTGTGCCTGTAGTCTCAGCTACTAGGGAGGCTGAGGCAGGAAGCATCACTCGGGAGATCAAGGCTGTAGTGAGCTATGCTCATCCTACTGCACTCCAGCCTAGGTGACAGAGTGAGACTCTGTATCAAAATAAATAAATAAATAAATAATAAAAGGGGGCAGGTGCAGTGGCTTATGCCTATAACACCAGCACTTTGGGAGGCCGAGGTGGGCAGATCACAAGGTCAGGAGTTTAAGACCGGCCTGGCCAATATGGTGAAACCCCGTCTCTACTAAAAATACAAAAATTAGCCGGGTGTGGTGGCGGGTGCCTGTAGTCCCAGCTACTGGGGAGGCTGAGGCAGGAGAATCACTTGAACTGGGAGGCAGAGGTTGCAGTGAGCCAAGATCACGTCACTGCACTCCATCCCGGGTGACAGCGAGACTCCGTCTCAAAAAAAAAAAAAAAAAGTTCGGGGGACCTGAGAATTTTTTCACAAAGTATGAGTTCCGCGAAGCTTTGCTTCAGCTCCACTAGCCTCTTTTTTTTTTTTTTTTTTTTTTTTTGAGATGGAGTCTCGCTCTGTCATCCAGGCTAGAGTGCAGTGGCGTGATCTTGGCTCACTGCAATCTCCACCTCCTAGGTTCAAGCAATTCTCCTGCCTCAGCCTCCTGAGTAGCTGGGATTATAGGCATGCGCCACCACACCCGGCTAATTTTTGTATTTTTAGAAGAGACGGGGTTTCACCTGTTGGCCAGGCTGGTCTCAAACTCCTGACCTCAAGTGATCTGCCCACCTCGGCCTCCCAAAGTGCTGGGATTATAGGTGTGAGCCACTGCACCCCGCCCACTAGCCTCCTTTCTATTCCTGGAAGCTGCCTTCCTGCCTCAGGGCCTTTGTACCTGCTGTTCTCCTTACCAGGCTCTTGGAGAGGCTCCACCTTCAGCTAAAGTTCCTTTCTCAAAGAAGCATCCCCTGCCCACTGCTTCTAAAATAGGATTCCCACCTCCAACCCCACAACAACTGTCATCTCTAGGAGCTGAAACATAATAAGGTCCAGTGAGCAGGGATCTCTGTCAGGCTTTGCTCATTGATGTGTCTCCAATATCTAGCACAGTACCTGGCCCATTGTTGATGCTCACTACAGCTTATTTGAATGAATGTTGGATGAATGAATGAATGAATGAATAGCCATAACCATTATTGCTATTGTCAGGGCTCAGAAAGTGATACCCCCAAAATATGGCACTTTGGCATGCTGAGTGCTTTGAATTAAAGGAGACTGGAAGGCCTCAGAGGCAAAGTCTGTCTGACTTTCTCCTGCCCTCCTGTCTTCCACTCCTTTTTCTCCCCTGAAGTGGAGAATTTCTCTTCCCGATGGCAGCTCATAGAAGCTAGAACCCCTCTCTCCCAAAGTAAGACATAAAACTTAGAAAGGTCACTCTCTTCCTTCTCCCTGGAAAACCCTCATTCCAGAGGGGTCCTGTCTCATACGAATTGGGGAGGGAAGGGGGAAGGAATGCTACACAGAGAGGCCAGGAAGAATCTGAATGGATGGATCTTGCTGGGTTTTCTCCCTCAGTCTATTGCCATTAGATCATACTCTTTTCTTTCTTTCTTTCTTTTTTGAGAAAGTGTCTCACTTTATTGCCCAGGTTAGAGTGCAGTGACACAATCATGGCTCGCTACAGCCTCAACTTCCCGGACTTAAGCAATCCTCCCACCTAAGCCCCCTGAGTAGTTGGGACTACAGGCACACACCACCATGCTTAGCTAATTAATTGTTTTTTTTGTTTTTTTGTTTTTGTAGAGACCAGAGTCTCACTATGTTGCCCAGGCTGGTCTTGAATTCCTGGGCTTAAGCAATCCCCCTGCCTCAGCCTCCCAGAATACTGGGATTACAGACATGAGCTACTACTCCTGGCTAGATCATATCCTTTTGTGCAATCACTTCTACATGGCTATCCATTCTTCATAGAATCTTAAGTGTCAAAATAGTTTTCCCTGGGTCTATTGGTCATTATTTCTGAAGGCAACCATATCATGTAAAACTTTGATTAAATTCATCTGCTATCCTTTTCTCTTGTTAATCTGTCTTTTGTTTTGAGTGTCAGCCATGGCCCTTATGATAGAAGATGAGGAAAGGTATCACACCTTTCCGCCCCATACTATCAAACACCATCCTGTTTACTTATTGATTTGTGGCCAGATTGAAAGCTCTATGAGAGCAGAGATATTTCTGTCTTGTTTTCCAATGCTTATCATCAGTGCCTGCAAGAAGAGTGCCTGAAACATAAAAAATTCTCAGTGTTTGTTGAATGTATGGTCCTGTTCAGGGACCATGTTTGTCACAGACAGATGTGTCCAGATTAAAGAGAATATCCTCTTTAGAAAAAAGGAAGAAAATGCTGATGCACAGATAGATTGGGTTGTGGTAGAGCTATTCCCATTAATCCAGAATCATTTTCTATACTACAGCATGGATTTACGGTTTCTTTGGCTAAATTTTTTTTTTTTAAAAGCTTATATATGTTTGGGAATAGACGAAGTTCCAGATAATGGATTTTTCTGTTTAAAGGAGGGCTAACAAAAATCTCTTTTTTTAGACCAGGCCCAGTGGCTCACGCCCATAATCCCAACACTTTGGGACTCTGAGGCAGGTGGATCACCTGAGGTCAGGAGTTCGAGACCAGCCTGGCCAACGTGGCAAAATCCCATCTGTACTAAAAATACAAAAATTAGCTGGGTGTGGTGGCAGGCACCTGTAATCGCAACTAGTTGGGAGGCTGAGGCAGGAGAATCTCTTGAACTCAGGAGGCAGAGGTTGCAGTGAGCCGAGATGACGCCATTGCACTCCAGCCTGGGCAACAAGAGCAAAACTCCATCAAACAACAACAACAACAAAAAACAACAACAACAAAAAACCCTCTTTTTTTAGAATGCTTCTTGTAAATTTTTATTTATTTTTATTTTTTATTTTTTTGAGACAGCATCTTGCTGTCACCCAGGCTGGAGTGCAGTGGTGCAATCAGGGCTTACTGCATGCAGCTTCGACCTCCCAAGCTCAAGTGATCCTCTCAGCTCAACCTCCTGAGTAGCTGGGACTACATATCTGGCTAATTAGAATTTTTTTTTTTTTGGTAAAGATGAGGTTTTTTTTATTATTATACTTCAAGTTTTAGGGTACATGTGCACAATGTGCAGGTTTGTTACATATGTATACATCTGCCATATTGGTGTGCTGCATCCATTAACTCGTCATTTACATTAGGTATATCTCCTAATGCTCTCCCTCCCCACTCCCCCAACCCCACAACAGGCCCCAGTGTGTGATGTTCCCCTTCCTGTGTCCATGTGTTCTCATTGTTCAATTCCCACCTATGAGTGAGAACATGTGGTGTTTGGTTTTTTGTCCTTGCGATAGTTTGCTGAGAATGATGGTTTCCAGCTTCATCCATGTCCCTACAAAGGACATGAACTCATCATTTTTTATGGCTGCATAGTATTCCATGGTGTATATGTGCCACATTTTCTTAATCCAGTCTATCATTGTTGGACATTTGGCTTGGTTCCAAGTCTTTGCTATTGTGAGTAGTGCCACAATAAACGTAAAGATGAGGTTTAACTTTGTCGCCCAAATTGTTGTTCTCAAGCTCCTGGCCTCAAGCGATCAAAGTACTGGGATTATAGATGTGAGCCACCTGGCCTGGCCTACTGTAAATTTTTTTCTTTCTTTTTTTTTTTTTGAGATGGAGTTTCACTCTTGTTGCCCAGGCTGGAGTGCAATAGCCCGATCTCGGCTCATCACAACCTCTGCCTCCTGGGTTCAAGAGATTCTCCCGTCTCAGCCTCCCAAGTAGCTGGGATTACAGGCATGCGCCACCACATCTGGCTAATTTTTTTGTATTTTTAGTAGAGATGGGGTTTCTCCATGTTGGTTAGGCTGGTCTTGAACTCCTGACCTCAGGTGATCTGCCCGCCTTGGCCTCCTAAAGTGCTGGGATTACAAGCATAAGCCACCATGCCCGGCCTATTGTAAATCTTTCTACATTGTCCTGGCCCATGATTCTAGAAGAGTGTAGTAAGGATGATGGGATGGATACTTTTTGATTCAGTATCAAGGGGTTTGTTTCGGAGTGATTATGTTCAGCATCAGCAATGATATACATGACAGCAAATGTATGTAAGTGATTTGGGCTAAAACCATAGCAACACTTAAGACTAAGCCTGGACTTTACATTTGGGGAGAACAAACTATTGGCTTGTTCTGCTTTTGTACTTCCAGTTAAAAGGGAAGTACTAAAATAAAAAAATATATATTTTTGGTTAAAAATACAAAAAAAAAAAGCCAGGCATGGTGACAGGAGCCTGTAGTTCCAGCTATTCGGGAGGCTGAGGCAGGAGAATGGTGTGAACCCAAAAGGCGGAGCTTGCAGTGAGCAGAGATCGTGCCACTAATACAGTCCAGCCTGGGCATCAGAGCAAGACTCTACCTCAAAAAAAAAAAAAAAAAAAAAGATACACGTTAGAATGTGTCTGGTCAACAGAGATTTTATTTATTTATTTTTTTTAAGAGACAGGGTTTCAGCCGGGCACAGTGGCTCACACCTGTAATCCCAACACTTTGGGAGGCTGAGGTGGGTGGATCACCTGAGGTCAGGAGTTTGAGGCCAGCCTAACCGACATGGTGAAACCAAGTCTCTACTAAAAATACAAACATTAGCTGGGCATGGTGTCGGGCGCCTGTAATCCCAACTACTCAGGAGGCTGAGGCAGGAGAATCGCTTGAACCTAGGAGGCGGAGTTTGCAATGAGCAGAGACCACACTATTGCACTCCAGCCTGGGCAATAAAAGCGAAATTCTGCCTCCAAAAAAAAAAAAAAAAAAAGAGAGAGAGAGAGAGAGACAGGGTCTCACTCTGTAACCCAAGCTGGAGTGCAGTAGCATGATCACAACTCACTGCAGGCTTGAACTCTTGGCCTGAAGCAATCCTCCCACCTCAGCCTCCAGAGTAGCTGGGATTATTGGTGTGAGCCACTTCACCCAGCTAATAACAGGGATTTTATTGTACATTCAGATTGTGCTTTGATATTACACAACTTTGAATCAGTAATAGTGGGTGACATATGTCATGCAGATACTATGTCCCAGACAATATCCTGAGCTGTGTTTACATTTATTAACTCATTTAATTCTCATAACAATCCTGTGTAGGTACTTGTATTATCTCCATTTTACAAATGAGAAAACTGAGGCTCAGGGAAGTTAAGTAATTTGTCCAAGTTTACACAGTTAGGAAACAGCAGAGTCAGAATTTGAATCCAGGAAGGCAGGACTAGGTGGGGTGGGGGCAGAGCTCGGACACTGGACTCCTCCACAGCTCTGCCTCCTTCAGCCACCACGTCCCAAAAAAAAAAAAGAATTTGAATCCAGTTTCCAGAGCCTACATTATGCTCTTCTGCCTATGGTGACCAACTTGTCCCAGTTTGCACAAGACTTCCCTGATTTGGGCATTGAAGATCCTGTGTCCTGGGAACCCAGTCAGTCCTAGGCAACCCAAGATGGTTGGTTACTTTGGTCTTTCAAATACAGCTCTTCAACGTCAGCTGTTTGTAAATAAAGTCATAATTACCTCTAGCCTGTGTGACATTCAGTTCGCCGATCACTAATGCAAGATAAGGGGGTTGTGAAAATGACCTTGTTAGGCTCTTGCTATTAAAGTAATATTTGGAAATAACATATGGATAATATACGGAAAAAATATGTGCAGAGGACAAAAACAGGAGCCATGGAAAATATTTCCAAATGAATAATAAATAGTGACTGAGAAATAGGATTGGCAAAGAACTGGCTGTGAGGGAGGAAAGGACAGTTGGAAATACCAGAAATAATGATGGTGATGGCGGTGTCATCTCTAACACTGGCTGAGTGTTATGTGCTAAGTTCTGTCCAATCACTTCACCAGCGTTAACACATTTAATCCTCAGGCAGCATGTGAGATAAGCACTACCTACTATTATCTTACTGTGCAGGTGACACAATTGAGGCTCAAAGAAGTTAGGTTAGGCAAATCCTTTTAGCAGCAAAGGAAGCGGCCAGCCTCAGCAGGGGATTACTTGAGACAGCGCCTGGTGCTGGGGCTGGGTGCGGTCGCTTACACCTGTAATCCCAACACTTTGGGAGGCCGAGGCAGGTGGATCACCTAAGGTCAGGAGTTCGAGACCAGCCTGGTCAACATGATGAAACCCCGTCTTTACTAAAAATACAAAAAATTAGCCAGGCGTGGTGGCGAGCGCCTATAATCCCAGCTACTCTGGAGGATGAGGCAGAAGAATTGCTTGAACCCAGGAGGCAGAGATTGCAGTCAGCTGAGATCCCACCACTGTACTCCAGCCTGGGCAACAACAGCAAAACTCCATCTCAAAAAAAAAAAAAAAAAAAAGAGAAAAGGCATCAGAAAAAGGGATGTGGACTCAAGTTTGTTCTTGGCTCAAAAAGCTTTTTCAAAATGTTGCCTGCTTGCAATTTTCCCAGAATTTCTGAAGACAGACACATTTTTTCTAGCCCTGTAATCTTCTCAGATTTGAGCTGGAAATCAGAATAAGGACTGAGTACTGCCCCTTTCACTCACCAAACAGATTACTTCCCTGCAATCAGTAAACAACTTCTTCTTCTTCTCCTTCTCCTTCTTCTTCTTTTTTTGATGGAGTCTTGCTGCAATGCCCCGGCTGGAGTGCAGTGGCACCATCTCGGCTCACTGCAATCTCTGCTTCCCGGGTTCAAGTGATTCTCTTGCCTCAGCCTCCTGAGTAGCTGGGACTGCAAGCATGTGCCACCATGCCCAGCTAATTTTTGTATTTTTAGTGGAGACAGAGGTTTCACCATATTGGCCACTCCAACTCCTGAGCTCAAGTGATCCGCCCACCTCGGCCTCCTAAAGTGCAGGGATTACAGGTGTGAGGCACCATGCCCAGCCCAATAAACATCTTTTGCCTGCAGAGCTTGCCACGTGTTCCAGGTTTTTCTGAGTTAGTAGGAGTCAGGCATCTCCTGAGTGACTTGGCCAGACAAGTGGATGTTAATGAGTGACTGATGAGAAAACATGGGAACAATTGCCCCTGCTGGATGTCCCAGTGTGCAGGAGAAGCTGTGCTGATATCTGTGCTCAGGACTCTTTGGAATGCCATTATGATTTTATGCACCAAGGTGTATTATTGTATTGTAAGGGTTTCGGTTACCCTTAAGGGCTTGCAATTAATTTTCATTTGTCCTAGTCTTTTACAAGAGGGTTACAAATGGCTCCTTTCCTAGTGTTCTACAAAAGTCTTTCCTTTTAAAATAGTGCCCTATGACACAGACACGTGGTCCTAGAGCTTGTGTAATTTTTTTTTTTTTTTTTTAGACGGAGTCTCGCTCTGTGCAGTGGCCAGATCTCGGCTCACTGCAAGCTCCGCCTCCCGGGTTCATGCCATTCTCCTGCCTCAGCCTCCCCAGTAACTGGGACTACAGGTGCCTGCCACCATACCTGGCTAATTTTTTGTATTTTTAGTAGAGATGGGGTTTCACCGTGTTAGCCAGGATGGTCTTGATCTCCTGACCTCGTGATCCGCCCGCCTCAGCCTCCCAAAGTGCTGGGATTACAGGTGTGAGCCACCGCGCCCGGCCGAGCCTGTGTAATTTTAGGCTGGAGTCCTGCTAGCACTGGAAAGCTTTGCCCTCATTATAAATGGTCAACTTGGCCTTCTGATTTCTAAGTTCATCTCCTGATGATTTTGGCAAGTATCAATAAATTATCTGGAGACTGCTTACCAACGTAGGGGGACTGACATGATTTAAAATCCAGTGTCTTCACTTGAGGTTTGAGTGATCAACCAAAGTTTAGCTGTCCTAAGAAGCCCTGCTTCAAAATCCTTTCCTGGCCGGGCGTGGTGGCTCAAGCCTGTAATGCCAGCACTTGAGGGGACCAAGGCTGGAGGATTGCTTAAGCTCGGAAGTTTGAGACTGGCCTGGGCAACATAGTGAGGCTCTGTCTCTACAAAAGATACAAAAAATCCTTTCCAGCATGTTCTCATCTTTCCTGGTACTTGTTCTTGGTGGATGTTCTAAGAATGTCTATTAAATGAATTAATTGCCATTATGTGATTTACCTCCTCTCTAGATTATAAAAAGAAGGCTTTTCCCAGACAGGCACAGTGGTGCACACCTGTAATCCCAGCACTTTGGGAGGCCAAGGCGGGCGGATCACTTGAGCCCAGGAGTTCGAGACCAGCCTGGGCAAAATAGTGAGACCTTACAAAAAAAAAAAAAAAATTAGTCAGGTGTGGTGGTGCACACCTGTAGTCTGTAGTCTCAGGTACTCCAGAGGCTGAAGTGGGAGGATTGCTTGAGCCCAGGAGGCAAGGGTTGCAGTGCACTCCAACCACCACTGCACTCCAACTTGGGTGGCAGCGTAAGACTCTGTCTCAAAAAAAAAAGAAGACTTTTCTGGGAGGTTGCACTTAGCCATGATTGTGCCACTGCACTCCAGCCTAGGCAACAGAGCAAGACCCTTGTCTCAAAAAAAAAAAAAAAAAAAAAAAAGAAGAAGGCTTTTCGCCACTGTTGAATCTTCCACAGCACCTCGCACATACTGGGTGCTCAGTTGCTTTTCTCATTTGCTTGCTTGCTTGTATGACCAAATGCCTCCAGCCACCCTGTGACCTGGGATACACTTGAGTTCTCATTTTTCCCAAAGCTGACAGGGATCCCAGGCTGGTCTTGGTTGACCTGGAAGAGTCTGTCCAAAGGAGGAAATTATCTCCCCATGAGGATTATTCTATTTATTTCCTCAGGATTGGGTCTGGTTGGAATCCAGCCAGGAACTCAGATGGTCCAAGACAGATTTGAGTTAGATATTCACACCCAGCTGATTCTGCCTGCCCAGGGAACAGGAGCATCTGTCAGGTGCCAGGAAAGTCAATGACAGATGTCTCCCCGTGGGTGCAGCGAGAGCTTCTGCAACTTCAGCCGAGGGAGATTCCCCAAGTGACAGCACTGCCTCCGCCCCCACTTACATTTTGATCTAATTTCTGCATGTGATATCGGAACTGATATTCTTTTGGTGGGAAGGGAATAAAGCAAGGACAGGCCTGAATCATCTTCATGTGCTCATCAGGAGAAATCATGTTTTTCTACTGCTGGGATTGCCTACTAATAGAAGGGCAGGGTTTTCCCCTCCATGGGTTTCAGGCAATGGAATGTCCTGCTGCCTCCTCAAATTAGCTTCAAATACCACTGGGAGCAGCAAAGGGAGACTGGGCCACGTGTCTGGTTCATAAATTACTTGCTAGCTCCTGTGGTATTCATTTTTTTTTTTTTCTTGAGCGTTTTTGTGCTCGAGCCATCGGTTTCTGATACAGCTTGCTTGAGAATCAAGATATTTCAATGCTGGAAGATCTAATAATTTCAAGGGCCAGCAAGCATTTATTTGAAGAATTTTCTGCAGGGCTGGCAGGCATGAGAAAGCCTCTTTCATGCAGTGGGGAATTAAGGTCTCTGAACTTGCAGTCCACGAATTCAAGAAGCGGATAGAAATGCTCACAGTTTGGGATGTAGCTTTGTGTAGTGTGGCCCAGGGCGAGATAATCCAAGTTTAAGTGCCTCCTCTGCCCCCTTATTAGCTGTGTCACACTGGATGAGTCACTTCATGCCACTGAGCCACATTTGTTCATGCATCATATGGTCACTGAGCATCCAAACCGCATGGAATGGAGGAAGGAGTTTACTGAGCATCTGCTCTGCCCTGGCACTGTGGCAACTGTTTTTTCATAGTTTTCTTTTCTGTAAAATGTAGTTGATACTATACCTGCTCTTTGTCCCTCCAGGATTGCCATAAGACTCAAAACAAGACAACATGGGAAAGTATATTGGGAGCAGCAAAGAATATAACCATGTAGAGGCCTGTTACCTTTGCCTTAATTCAGATTTTCCACATTCTCTTACTCTTTCAAGTATGTACAAGCTTGCCTGGGTGTGGCTTTGTGCGGCTGATTATTCACCATACCCCATCTAAGTTCGGTGTAGACACACAGCTGGGAGTGTAGTATTTCCTTCTGAACCCATGCCCCTAGATGCATGTGTCATCTTGAAATGTACAACACCAGTGAGGACACCAGCTTCCCACATTCTGTAGAAGATTGAGGCTAAAGTGGGTATGAGTCACGTGAAGTTGAAGGGCTGGGTTTGGTACCTTTGTGCTGTTGATTCCCATGTTGTCAGGGATAAGATCTGAGTGATTAGATGAAACTTGGTCTCCTGCAGCGAAAACAGCATGGGCTCAGGAGTCAGACTTACCCATCCAGGCCTCTTTGCTCTGCCAGTTACTAGTTATATAAAGATGGCTTGACTCAGCTTGGGCAAAAAGGAGAATGTAGTGGTAGGATCGTAGGGCATCTAGAATAAGGGATAACTGGAATGAGGACTAAAATGTCTCCAGGATACTTTCTCCTGGTTTTGTTTGTTCCCCTCCCCACATGTTGGCTTTATTCTTTCAGTCCAGCTTTTTCCCCAGAGAGGGGATCATGGCTTTTGGTATCTCTCGTATCTCATGGATCTAGCTTCACTATCAAAGAAGGCCTGGTTTCTTCCCTCAATTCCAGTTTCAAAAATCCTGGGACTGAGTGTGGTGGTTTTTCCTTGTGATTCCAGTGCTTTGGGAGACCGAGGTGGGAGGGTTGCTTGAGCCCAGGAGTCCAAGGCTGCAGTGAGCTGTGATCATGCCGCTGCACTCCAGCCTGGGTGACACAGTGAGTCCCTGTCTCAAAAACAAAACAAAACATAGGCCGGGCACGGTGGCTCACGCCTGCAATCCCAGCACTTTGGGAGGCCAAGGTGGGCAGATCACGAGGTCAGGAGATCGAGACCATCCTGGCTAACACAGTGAAACCCTGTCTCTACTAAAAATACAAAAAATTAACAGGGCGTGGTGGCAGGCGCCTGTAGTCCCAGCTACTCGGGAGGCTGAGGCAAGAGAATGGTGTGGACCCAGGAGGCGGAGCTTGCAGTGAGCTGAGATCGTGCCACTGCACTCCAGCCTGGGCGACAGAGCGAGACTCCATCTCAAAAACAACAACAACAACAAAACAAAAACAACAAAAAAAAGCAAAAACAAAAACAAAAACAAATCAAACTTATCTGAATAATATTATTACAGAACTGAAAAAAAAAAAACCCAAAAATACTACTGTAAGTATATAAGAACATAATTGAATGTGAAATTGTTCTGTTTTATGTAAATTATGTTTAAAGCTAATAAAGGGGAAATGTAGAAAATTATAAAGAATTTAAGAAATAAGGCCGGGCACAGTGGCTCACGCCTGTAATCCCAGCACTTTGGGAGGCCGAGGCGGGCGGATCACGAGGTCAGGAGATCAAGACCATCCTGGCTAACATGGTGAAACCCCATCTCTACTAAAAAAAATACAAAAACTTAGCTGGGCATGGTGGCAGGTGTCTGTAGTCCCAGCTACTTGGGAGGCTGAGGCAGGAGAATGGCGTGAACCCGGGAGGTGGAGATTGCAGTGAGCCGAGATTGGCCACTGCACTCCAGCCTGGGCGACAGAGCAAGACTTTGTCTCAAAAAAAAAAAAAAAAAGAGATAAATCAGGAATTTCAAGCTATCATAAACCAATACATTAAAATAGATATCATTATGTATGCAATTTATAATATATAAGAATATGTGCAATTAATCATTTTCTTTTATATTTATGGAAATAGCTGAATGACATCCAAAGAGCATATTTCTCTATGTTCCGGAGGAAGAAAGTTATCATAAGCAGAAATTATAATAGCTTTGAGCACTGTCTCTTAAGTGGCCAAGGTAACAGTTTCTTGATCACAAACCCAGCTGGCATTTACAGGTACTGTGAAAGACTAGATCAGGCCTTGGCAACTGAGGGCAATATGGCTCTTAGAAAGAACTGAAGGATATAGTTCAAGGCTTAAACCAGCTCTGCTCAAATTTGCCTCTCAAAAGCAACCAAAATTGAGGCCCCATCATTTGAGGTCTGGCCAAATGGCCTTGCTGCCTGTCTCTCCACCTCCCTGTATCTTCTTGTAGTTCCTATCTACTTTTAGGGTCGTGGTAATAATGGTCAAAGTATCTAGTCACATGCCTAAGTAGGTACTCAAAAAATACTGCTTTACTTTCTTTCTCCAATGGCTCCACACATCTTTTAAAAAAAAATCATGAGCACACAAACAAGGTTGGCTATAGACATTTCATTGTAAGAGCCAGCTACGTGGCTCAAATATTGGCTGTGTTACCCTCTGATTTGTTTAAAATTCACCCAGGGATCCCACAATTATTCTCAATTTGATCTGAGCAAGCACAATTGGAAATATATCTTAGTATTCTAAATGCCTTCCTGGCCCATAAGGAATCAGGCAGGCTACAGCATGTTTGGATAAAGATTCACATCTAACCCATGAACATATATAAAATGCTTATATCAGTTATCTTGTGTTACACAGACACAGCGACAAAATTATAGTGTATGGTATGCCAAAGGCTCAAAATAGCAGGATGGTTATTTAAATTGTAGTTTAGAATTCCTCAAATCACTACCTTTTCCTAAGAAGTCCATATCCTTATGACATTGTAAGCCCAATAAAGAAAGGAGGAAATATAGTGTCTATCATCTGAATGTGCAGACTCCATCATATGGCAGAACATTTGTAACTAGCCACGTGGCTTGGGGCAAACCACTTTATTTCTTCAATCTGAAAAACACTTGCTTTGCATACCTACCTCATACAAGGCTTTGAGATGGACTTCTGAGGGATGACTCAGACATGCCTTTAAAGAGAAGGGCCTACTGGGTATGGACTTTCAGTAGAGTTAAGTACAGAATCTGCAATAGTTCTAGAAGCAGAATGGGATATTCAGGAATGGGGATAAGCAAGTGGTCTGATTTGGTTGAAGGATATGGGGCATGCAGAGAGTGCAGGGGACTAAGGTTGTTGGGGGGCTATTTATTGGATGTAGAGGTCATAAGAGGGGAGGTATCACAGATTTGGAGCCTAGGTGACTTGGAAAATGGGTTGCCCTTTTTTAATTTAATTTTTTTTTTTTTTTTTGAGATGGAGTCTCGCTCTGTCGCGCAGGCTGGAGTGCAGTGACGCCATCTCGGTTCACTGCAACCTCCTCCTCCCGGATTCAAGTGATTCTCCTGCCTCAGCCTCCAGAGTAGCTGGGATTACAGGGACCCACCACCACACCTGGCTAATTTTTGTATTTTTAGTAAAGACGGGGTTTCACCATGTTGGCCAGATTGGTCTTGAACTCCTGATCTCAGGTGGTCCGCCCACCTCAGCCTTCCAAAGTGCTGAGATTACAGGCATGAGCCACCGCACCCAGCCAACTTTGGTTTTAAATGTACGTCCTAGGTTTTAAGATTCTAGTTGGACATTCAGCTGGAGAGTCCAGAAGGTAGCTGAAATGTGGGATTGGATCTTGGGAGTGTTTCGGTGGACATATAGATCTGAGAGCTGCTGAAAGTGAAAGTTGAACCTGATTGGGTCTACTTACTAGGATGTAGGTTCAGGTAATGCAGTCATGATACCCTATTAATGGTAGGCTTAAACCAGACAGAGGGTTTTTTTTTCTCTCTCTCTTTTTTTTTCTTCTTTTTTTTTTTTTTTGAGACGAAGTCTCACTCTGTCGCCCAGGCTGGAGTGCAGTGGCGCGATCTCTGCTCACTGCAACCTCTGCCTCCTGGGTTCAAGCAATTCTCTGCCTCAGCCTCCCGAGTAGCTGGGATTACAGGTGCTCACCACCACATCTGGCTAATTTTTGTGTTTTTAGTAGAGACGGGGTTTCACCATCTTGGCCAGGATGGTCTTGAACTCCTGACCTCGTGATCCACCCGCCTTGGGCTCCCAACGTGCTGGGATTACAGGTATGAGCCACCGCGCCTGGCCTTTTTTTTCTTTTTCACATAATTCAAGAGTAAGCAGTCTAGGGTTGGTGTGGTGGCTCTGGGACGTCAGCGACTCAGGTTTCTCCTATCTTTTTGCTCCACCAAGCCCAGGGTCATGCCTTTGCTCACATTGTCCAAGATGGCTTAACACTACTGTAACTGTACTTCCAGGCAGTGGGAAGGAGAAAACGAGTTAAAAGTATGACCTGGATGTACTGTAGGACTAGAACCCTGGTCTTTAGCTAAACTCATGCTAGACCCACAATAAAGATTACATTTCCAGTCTCCCGTACAGATAAGTGGCCAATCAGAGGTGAGCCAAATACACATGAGCAACTTCTAGATCCATTCTACAAACATCTTTTGAATATCACTATGTCCTTCCATACTGAGTCACAGAGAACAGTGCTGTGAAAGCCAAAGGAAAGGAGAGCGCTTGCTTCAGCAGCACATTTACTAAAATTGGAACCATACAGGAAGATTAGCATGTCCCCTGTGCAAGGATGATGTGCAAATTCGTGAAATGTTCCATATTTTTTTAAAAAGTCCAGGCACAGTGGCTCATGCCTGTGCTCCCAGCACTTTGGGAGGCTGAGGTTCAAGACCAGCCTGGGCAACATAGCAAGACCTCATCTCTATAAAAAAATTTTTTTAATAACGAGAGGCTTCTGAAAGGGGTTTCACAGTGTTACAGACAGATCAAGGAGGAGGAGAACTGAAGACACGAGGGCAGTGCTTCTCAACCAGGGCCTATTTTGCCACTTCCAGGGGACATCTGGCCATGTCTGGAGACATTTTTGGTTTGTGATGACTGTGAAAGGAAATGTGTGTGCTTCTATCATCTAGAAATTAGAGGACACAGGTGCTGCTAAACACTCTGCAATGCATAGGAAAACCCCCAACAACAAAGAATAATCCTGGCCCAAAATAGCAATTGTGCTGAGGTTGAAAAACCCTGCACTAGGAGATTAGGACAGGCTGGGCCTGATGGCTCACGCCTGTAATCCCAGTATTTTGGGAGGCTGAGGCCGGCAGATCACTTCAGGTCCGGAGATCGAGACCAGCCTGGCCAACATGGTGAAAACCCGTCTCTACTAAAAACACAAAAATTAGCCGGGCGTGGTGGCATGTACCTGTAATCCCAGCTACTAGGGAGGCTGAGGCAGGAGAATCACTTGAACTCGTGAGGCAGAGGTTACAGTGAGCCAAGATCACACCACTGCACTCCAGCCTGGGCAAAAGAGCTAGACTCTGTCAAAAAAAAAAAAAAAAAAGTCCTGAAGCCCAGGTCACACCCAGGCCAATTAATTCAGACTATCTCAGGGTGGGACTCAGGCACCAGGATTTTAAAAAAATACCAAGTGATTCCAATGCACAGCAAAGTTTGAGAACTATGGGATCAGGAGGTAACTGGTAAACTCTCTGAGACAGAAGTTTTGACAATTACTGGCGTACAGAGGGTTCTTGACAACTATCTGTTGAGTGAGCGAATACATAAATGAATAACACCACTAGGATAGAAGCAAATGGTCAGTGGTTGAGGAAATAAGTTGGAAGTGGAGGTTGGGGGAGAGCTTTAAGTACAGATTACTCTTCCCTAAACTCTGGTTGTATCAGGAAAAAGAGAAGGGGTAGCACATTGAGGGAGAAGCAGATACGGAAAAGATTTTCTGTATTTTTATTTTATTTTATTTTATTATGAGACAGAGTCTCACTCTGTCACCCAGGCTGGAGTGCAGTGGCACAATCACAGCTCACTGCAGCCTCACCCTCCCGGGCTCAGATGATCCTCCCACCTCAGACTCCTGAGTAGCTAGGACTACAGGTGCCCACCACCACACCCAGCTAATTTTCGTATTTCTTATAGAGATGGGATTTCACCATGTTGCCTTGGCTGGTCTGGAACTCCTGTACTCAAGCGATTCACCTGCTTCAGCCTCCCAAAGTGCTAGGATTACATGCGTGAGCCACTGTGCCCAGCTGGGAAAAGATTTTCTATTTTTAGGTTGATGCAGAATTGAGCATGTTTGTGGGAAGAGGGTAAGAAGTAAGGAGAGAGAAAAAGGGTAAGAACATGAGGGATGAGAGGAGTCATCAGTGGAGGGGGATGAGATGAGGCATGTGCTTTCTGCAGGGGAAGAGATGTTCCTAGAGACAGAAGGTAAAGATATGGACTAATTCTAAGATAAAGGTGATGGCAGGGGTGGGGGTGGGGTCTTGAATGACCTCCATCTTCCCTGTAAGTAGAAAATGAGGTCTTATAATAAGTGTGGCAGGGGTGGATTTTGGGCTTAAGGGAGTTGAGAAGTCTTAGGCAACACTGTATAGAAAGCCACCGTCAAAAAGAGCCCAGGCCAGGCGCCGTGGCTCATGCCTGTAATCCCAGCATTTTGGGAGGCCGAGGCGGCTGTATCACCTGTGGTCAGAAGTTCAAAACCAGCCTGGCCAGCATGGTGAAACCCCCTCTCTACCAAAAATACAAAAAATTAGCCAGGCATGGTGGCGGGCGCCTGTAATACTAGGTACTCGGGAGGCTGAGGCAGGAGAATCACTTGAACCTGGGAGGCGGAGGTTGCAGTGAGCCAGTTGCAGCGAGCTGAGATCACACCATTGCACTCCAGCCTGGGCAGCAAGAGGGAAACTCCATCTAAAAAAAAAAAAAAGCCCAAATGAAGCCCAGGTGAGGTTTGGAATTGTGAATCTATACTGGGTCAAACCAGCGTGACCTTGGGACTTTCTCCAGCAATATCCTGCAGTGTGGGAGGGGAGAAACAGGGCAATAGGAGCCAGCTGGGGCTGGGAAAACACGGGCAGTAGAAAACCAGTGAAGGGAAGAAATCCTTGGCATTTATGAGCAAATTTCAAAATGGCTGAGCATGAGATCTAGGCCAGGAGGAAATATGAGTGAAATGAAAAGAGTGCTGATAATTGGAGAGAAAAGTGTAGATGAATGACTTAGAGACAACATGAAATGTTCAGTGGTAGAGAAAAAGCAGAATATTTCCAGTTCTAGGTGCTTCAGGAGCCACAGCTTAAGGTGCAGACATGGCCAAGTCCAAGAACCACAGCACAAACAACCAGTCCCGAAAAAGGCACAGAAATGGTATCAAGAAACCCCGATCACGAAGATATGAATCTCTTAAGGGGATGGACCCCAAGTTCCCGAGGAACATGTGCTTTGCCAAGAAGCAAAACAAGAAGGTCCTAAAGAAGATGCAGGCCAACAGTGACAAGGCCATGAGTGCACGTGCTGAGGTTATCAAGGCCCTCGTAAAGCCCAAGGAGGTTAAGCTCAAGATCCCAAAGGGTGTCAGCTGCAAGCTCGATCGACTTGCCTACATTGCCCACCCCAAGCTTGGGAAGCGGGCTCGTGCCCGCATTGCCAAGGGGCTCAGGCTGTGCTGGCCAAAGGCCAAGGCCAAGGATCAAACCAAGGCCCAGGCTGCAGCTCCAGCTTCAGTTCCAGCTCAGGCTCCCAAAGGTGCCCAGGCCCCTACAAAGGCTTCAGAGTAGGTATCTCTGTCTGCCAACGTGAGTACAGAAGGATTGGTGCGATACCCCCCGGGCTGCCATCTGCACGGGGCTGGGGTCCTCAAATAAACCTGAGGTAGGAAAAATAAAAAGAAAAGAAAAAGAATAAGTTGGGTCAGAGGGAATTTCACAGAATGAGATTTAGAAGTCAAGCCACTTTAAATAATGATAGAATCTAATGTGTGGGTTTGATTATATTACCTCTTAAACCCCTTTCAACTCTAAAACTCTATGAGAAATATGAATGAGTGAATACTGCACTTACATCCAAATTTCCAAGTGGCTGACAGTGTGACCCCAATCTATCCTTGTTACATATGAAGTCCCATCAAGTCCAAGTCCATGGGGATAGACTTGGACTATTTTAGGAATTTCTGCATGTGCTCAATGATAAGGATAATCAATCACTATTGGACCTATATGTCTTTCAAAAAAAAATTTTGTTTTTTTTGAGACAGGATCTCACTCTATCACCCAGGCTGGAGTGCAGTGGTGACATCATAGCTCACTGCGGCCTCAAACTCCTGGGCTCAACCAATTCTCCGGCCTCAGCCTCCTAAATAGCTGGGACTACAGACATGAGCTACATGCCCAGCTAATTTTTAAATTTTTTGTAGAGACGGGGGTTCTTACTATGTTGACCAAGCTGGTCTTGAACTCCTGGCCTCGGGGGATCCTCCTGCCTCAGCCTCCCAAAGTACTAAGAATGGCTGGGTGTGGTGGTTCATATCCGTAATCCCACCACCTTGGGAGGCCAAGGTGGTTGGATCCCTTAAGCCCAGGAGTTTGAGACCAGCCTGAGCAACACGGACTCCACCTCTACAAAAATTACAAAAATTAGCTGGGCATGATGGCACATGTCTGTAGTCCCAGCTACTCAGGAGTCTGAGGGAGGAGGATTGCTTGAGCCCAGGAGGTTGAGGTTGCAGTGAGCCATGGTGGTGCCACTGCACTCTAGCCTGGGACAGAGCGAGACTCTGTCTCTAAATAAATAAATAAATAAAACAAAGTGCTGGAATTACAGGCATGAGCCACCATGCCCAGCAAAACTTTTAATATAAATTCTACTGTCACCAGTATTTGATAGTAGACTGTGGAAGTTAGGTAAGATCAGAGTCTGTGTCACATAAAAGCAAATGTATGGCTAAGAAGGAAAAAAAAACCTTTGCTTCACACGTATCCATGTAATAGAGGTTTATCCTCACTTCCCCCTTTCCCCTCCCTCAGTCAATTTGCAATAATAATAATTTAAAAAAGGTAAAGTGGTGATGTCGTGGAACAAATTACTTTGCTTGAAAGACACAACTGCAGGTTGGTGTTTACGGGAGGACTCAGACTTGGCATGGTATTGTGAGGCAAAGAGGACGCTTGTTAGGAACTTGTGATCATTATTGAACCAGGCAGGGGAACCTGGGCCCCTGAACTCTGTCTCTTTATACTGCATTTTGAAAGCAGCACTTGGCTCTCTAATTGCCCCATATGCTGGTTTTATTCGGTGGCTCAGCTGGGTGGAGTGAACTCTGGGAAGAGATGCATTCATTTTTAGTTACCTCACCAGATTGCTAATTTTCACTCTGGAGGCATAAATCACCATAATTACTGTAATCCCAAGACGAAGGGACTTGCTATTCTGGCACAAGGGCAGCAGCTATTTGTACCGCCAAAGCTGTTCTACCTGAGAGCTGGGGAAAGAGTTGCATATGGCTGGTTCTGCCAGGACACTCTTAGATTTGGGGTGGAGGGTGTGCTCGGAGCCCATTATCCTTTACTTGGGAGAAATGGAGATCCTGGAGGAGCAGTTTCTTCTGTGTTAGTGGCAAGCCTGTGGCTTAAGACAGAGCTTTGGCCCTCGGCTCACTGCACAGCCCACACTGCCCAGCTGTTGACATGTTTGACTTGCAAACAGAACATCAACAGAACTTCAGAACTTCAGTTCCTCTTCTCTCATCTTTTCCCATCAACTCATTCCTTGGTTTGTCTTGGTTTTTGTTTTTGCATTTCTCCTGAGGAAATCCTTATTAATTTCTGAAGAAATTACCTCAAATAGAAACCAGATACTACAAAAATCCCTAGTACCCTGGAGCAGAGGCTAAATATCATTAGGGAGGGGGAAAACAGAAAAAGCCCAGTGTAACTTGTCACTTTGTCATTCATACTTATAATATGGATTAAAATTGTTTTCTTGTTCTTTATTATTTTTAATAGAGATGGAGCCTTGCTTTATTGTCGAGGCTGGTCTCCAACTCCTGGCCCCAAGCAATCCTCCCACTTTGGCCTCCCAAAGTGCTGGGATTGCAGGTGTGAGCCACCATGCCTGGCCATTTTTTTTTTTTTTTTTTTTGAGACAGAGTCTCATTCTGTCGCCCAGGCTGGAGTGCAATGGCACGATCTCGGCTCACTGCAAACTCCACCTCTCAGGTTCCAGCGATTCTCCTACCTCAGCCTCCCGAGTAGCTGGGATTCCAGGCGCCCACCATCATGCCTGGCTAATTTTGGTATTTTTAAAGTAGAGACTTGGTTTCACCATGTTGGCCAGGTTGGTCTCGAACTCCTGACCTCAGGTGATCTGCCTGCCCTGGCCTCCTAAAGTGCTGGGATTATAGGGGTGAGCCACCGTGCCCAGCCCAGTGTTTTTCTTTTTAAATAAAATCAACCTAAACTAAGTCTAAAAAATACCAACTAGATCCTGAATCAAGGTCGCTTAAAAGATGAGTAACTGGCGCAGTGGCTCATGGCTGTAATCCCAGCACTTTGGGAGTCTGAGGCGGGCAGATCACGAGGTCAGGAGATCGAGACCATCCTGGCTAACACGGGAAACCCCGTCTCTACTAAAAATACAAAAAGTTAGCTGGGCGTGGTGGCAGGCGCCTGTAGTCCCAGCTACTCAGGAGGCTGAGGCAGGAGAATGGTGTGAACCCGGGATGCAGAGCTTGCAGTGAGCCGAGATTGTGCCACTGCACTCTAGCCTGGGCAACAGAGCAAGACACCATCTCAAAAAAAAAAAAAAAAAAAAAAAAAAAAAAGAAAAGAAAAAAGAAAAAAAGAAAAAAGATGAAAAACTGATAAATAAATATGAAAAAATTCCTTGCCATTTCCACAGAAGGTGGAGAGGCCGAGATGGGGGAATACCATTTTCTTGACAAGTTCATATCATAATGGTGTCTGGGTGCCTGGCTTTGTGTTTGTTTTTGCCTGACATTTTGAAGAGTCTTAAAATGCAAGAGAAATGGGAAACTTGACTATACCAAAAAAAAAATCTGCTTAGGAAGAACATTTTTTTTTTTTTTTTTTTGCCTAATACTATAAAGCCTTGGAGAATTTAGAATCTAAAGCATCTGTTATTGCTGATGGCAGGTTGATGGCCTAAAAAGAGAGGGAACTGTAGGTCAGGAATGTTTTGCGCAAAAATGAGGCTGCGCTTGGGTATTAGAAAATAAGGCAAACAAATAACAGATTGCAACAGGATAAACTGCCCTGTGAAGTAGACTTGCCCTCCAACCCCAATCTGCCTGCCCTCAGATGACGGTAAACAGACCAGCTTTTTTTTTTTTTTTTCTGTCTTCCAATCACCTGCCCTCATGTTTAGGCAGCAGAGATCTAAGTTATAAACACAGCTCTGCCAGGAGACCCCTTGGCTGAGAATGGCATTCAGAGTATTCTAGTTCTTCCTTGATGTTTTTCCACTTTCAGACCTCCTATCCTTTTTAGAACCTGCCACAGTGCCTGGTCACAAGGTTGAAGTTTAATACAAATTTAATAAGTTGGTCCAAATTTGGAGATGAATTCTGGGGAAAAGTCAAACAGTGAAAAATAAGGAATTTTACTTTCTCTGGGGGCTCCCAGGCTCTCTGGTTGGGTCAGGGCCCAAGTGGAGCAGGGAAGAAGGGGCCACTCTTTCTGAAGTCTCCCTGCATGAATGACAGTAACAGTTGAGTGGTAGTCATATGCTTAGAAGCAAACCATTCTGATTTTGCCTCCTAGAGCAGAGATGTCTCCCCTAAGATCCATTTTACCCCAGCAGAAAAGGCCAGGGTTGTCTGGGTTGTGGCAACACTGTTTTGACAGAAAGCCCTATGATTTTTCTCACAAACTTCCCTAAGGATGCTGTCTTTCAGCTACACGTACTTAGATAATTTCTTCTCCCTTACCAACTCAACCTGATGTTGCTAAGAGGTTCAGTACTTTCTCTCTGCTTTCTACCTCATCCCAACCCCCAAGTTCTTTCCCAAATTCCAGCAGCTGGGACCAGTCTCTGGGACAGAGCAGAAATAACATGGAAATCGGGGGTAGGGTTAAACACATCTATAAGTCTAGGAACAGGCAGAAAAGTAACATCCCTGTTACTACAAGTTTGGTATCAGGAAATAATTTCTTATCCATCATGAGTGGTGATATGGGTAGTATGAGCATAAGTTATATGTAGAGGTAAATTATTTACTGGGCTATTAAAGGGCCACATGGAGGCTGTCCAAGGAAAGTCATACAATAATAATGGAAATTTATTATTATTATTTTATTTTTTGAAACAGAGTATCACTGTCGCCCAGGCTAGAGTACATTGGCGTGATCTTGGCTCACTGCAACCTCCGCCTCCTGGGTTCAAGCAATTCTCCTGACTCAGCCTCCCGAATAGCTGGGACTACAAGTGTATGCCACCACGCCCGACTAATTTTTGTAGTTTTAGTAGAGTCGGGGTTTCACCATGTTGGCCGGGCTGGTCTCGAACTCCTGACCTCAGGCGATCTGCCTGCTTCAGCCTCCCAAAGTGCTGGGATTACAGGTGTGAGCCACTGCACCCGACCTAATAATGAAAATTAATTATATCTGATATTATGTTGAAAAATATTCTATCCAGAGGACAGTTCGGAAACATTTACTTTTGCACTGCGTTCGATTCACGGTCTCTTATGGGGAGGAAGAGTAGGAGGATTCCATGTGCATCTGTGTTTGGGCTGTCAAGTTATCTGTATCTACATAACTATTTGTTTTCCTTTGGCTTCAAAGAAATTTTTGGTGTTGCAAGAAATATGTATATTGCAGAAAAACTGTCACTTCTTAAAATGTGCAGTTAATGGCATATCTAAATAAAATGTAATGTTTTGCTGTTAATATTTACTATTGATATATATGTTCAATAATTCCCAAACAATTCTAACATTTAGTATTTATTAATTCTAGTATTTATTGCTACTACTGCTGCTACATGTTATGGTTCCATAGCCCCTATTCTGACAGAGCTTTGAAAACAAAACAAACTCCCTATCTGTTCCTCCTTCCGGTTAAATATTGGAGGAAAGCAGAATAGTAATATTAATTTTTAAAGAGAAAGAAGCACAGAGAATGAACATCAGATAGAATAAGCCCTTGAAATCGTAACTCCAAGCTGGCAAATTGAGCACATTGGATCAAGTGCAGAGTTTTCCATTCTATTCATGGGGAGAAAGAGGAAGCGAAATGGGGAGGGGTAGGAAGAACTCAGAGGGTTTAGTAGTGATTCCTTAGGAACCTGGAAACCTGGAGCTTCTGGAGACAGTGAGAACAATGGCTGGGTTTTTCTCTGCCTGTCATTTTTCAGTCCATGATGAGATGTTGAAGAAACAGAGTCCAAAGGTACACCAGTGTAAAAATGTTGCCAAAGTGAAAAGTGGGAGACTGATTTCCTCCTTCCGATTGATTGGAGAGCCATTCACTTTAGGGTGCTTCTGTTTCCTTACTCATCACACAGAGCACTGGAGTGTGGGAAAAATCCCCATCCCACATTAAGGTTGCCACAAAGGTAAAAAAGACCTGAAGCAGAAGTTGGGAGACCTGAGCTTATGACCTTGGACTTACAGCACAGCTGATATTTGGGGGAATAAGGTTTGTTGTTGTTTTTGTGTGTGTGTTTTGTTTGTTTGAGACGGAGTCTCACTCTGTCGCACAGGCTAGAGTGCAGTGGCGAGATCTCAGCTCACTGCAACATCCACCTCCCAGGTTCAAGCAATTCTCCCGCCTCAGCCTCCCTAGTAGCTGGGACTACAGGCACATACCATCACGCCCAGCTAATTTTTGTATTTTTAGTACAGACGAGGTTTCACCATGTTGGCCAGAGTGGTCTTGAACTCCTGACCTCAAGTGATCCGCCCGTCTCGGCCTCCCAAAGTGCTGGGATTACAGGGGTGAGCCACAGTGCCCAGCCCCTGGGGGAATAAGTTCTGAGAGGACACAGGAAAACTGGGGATTGAAAAGCAGGTTTTCACAAGAGTGGAGGCAGCTGGCTCTGTGGGTTCCCAGACTAAGGGGATCTGTGCTTGACAGACCAGAGGCCAGTTCTGTGACCATCATCTCAGCCTTGAATTTTTTTTTTTTTTTTTTTGAGACAAAGTCTCACTCTGTCGCCCATGCTGGAGTGTAGTGGTGTGAACTCAGGTCACTCCAACCTCTGCCTCCTGGGTTCAAGCGATTCTTGTGCCTCAGCCTCCCGAGTAGCTGGGACTACAGGCGCCCACCACCACCACGCCCGGCTAAGTTTTCTATTTTTAGTAGAGATGGAGTTTCGCCACGTTGGCCAGGCTGGTCTGGAACTCCTGACCTCAAGTGATCCACCAGCCTCGGCCTCCCAAAGTGCTGGCATTACAGGCGTGAGCCACTGCACCCGGCCTAGCCTTGTGATATTAACAGTAACTGTCATTTGCGGTGTGCCTACTCTGTGTCACACTCCTTGCAGTTATTCCATTTAGGGTAGAGCAACATTATTCTAGTTTACAGATGAGAAAACTAAGGCCCCAGAGATTGATTTGCCCAAGCAGCCAGCTGGCAGTGGAAGTGCCAGTTTCTTCGTGTGTAAAACAAGAGAAGGCAATCTACTGCCTACTGGCTTGTCAAGGGTCACTTGAGATCGGACGACAGGAACCACAAAGAAGTGAGGCCGGGAATTTGCGGATCCACAGTAAAGCAAGTTTGTCTTTTTCCAGACGTGCATTAAGATTCCTTTTTCAAGTGTTCTAAAGCGCAGGCGCAGGCTGTTTTGCGGTTGCCTCCCGGCGCCTCTTGTGCAGGCCGGGGTCGCCCTCTGCCGACCCAGGGCGGGAGCGCGCTGAGTGAACGTTTCCAGGCCTGAGGGCGGGCGGAGATTTTTCTCGCCTGTAGAGGGCGCAGATCGGCGTGCAGAGTAACCCACTCTAGTTGTCCCTTCCTTAAGCACTTCCTGTTTGATCTCTATGATCCATCCTGTTGGGACTTGATTCGTTCCTCAAATTTTCAATTTACCGTAAACAAAGGGGACGCGCGCTGACCCGGAAGTGAAAGCTGGAACCCGGCCGGAGTAGCTCTGAGCGCCGGCTGTGAGGAAGGAGGTTCTGGGCAAGCTATAGCCATGGCTGTGGCTGTAGCCATGGCGGGAGCCTTAATCGGGTCGGAGCCAGGCCCCGCGGAAGAACTTGCCAAACTCGAGTACCTGTCTTTGGTGTCAAAGGTTTGCACTGAGCTGGACAATCACTTGGGGATCAACGACAAGGACCTTGGTGAGCTCGGGGAGGTCCCTGGGACCTCAGTTTGGGATTGAGGGAAGCGGAAGGAGGAAGGAGGAAGGAGAAAGGTGGTTGATGGACCGAAAGTATGTTCGTGTGAATCTGTCTCTCTCTGTCGCAGACACCGGTGCCCAGGGTACACGCTGCCGTGGCCTCGGCTTGAGAGCCCTCGAGAAACTTTAGAAACTTTCCCAGAGCTGTCAGTGAAGCCCGGGGCGGTCATCTCTGCTTGATTGTTTTTTGTTTGTTTTTTCAGCCTCAATTAAACATGTTTAACAACAACAGCAGCAGATGCTGCGATGACGACGATGATGGCTGACGTTTATTGGGTGCTCACTATGTGCTAGATGCGATGCTCAGCTCTTTATTGACATTATTTTATTTGGTCTTCACGCCACTCTGTGACATAGTAGTTAGCGTCTGTGCTTTTAACTGTGTTCTTTGACCGTTCATCCTGTACTCTTTTTTGAGGCAGGGCCTCGCTCTGTTTCCCGGGCTGGAGTGCAGTGGCACGATCTCGGCTCACTGCAGCCTCCACCTCCTGGGCTCAAGCAGTCCTCCCACCTCAGCCTCCCGAGTAGCTGGGACTACAGGCGGGCGCCACCAAGCTCGACTCATTTTTAAATTTTTTGTAGAGACGGGGGTCTCACTGTATTGCCCAGGCTGGTCTCGAACTTCTGGGCTCAAGCAGTCCTCTTCCCTCGGCCTCCCAAAGTGTTGGGATTACAGGCGTGAGCCATTGCGTCCTGTACTATGTCTTAAACACCAGTCACTAGATGTTTTGGGGCAAACTACATCTGGGGAGCCGAAACTGAGGAATTAGAAAAGGCTAGGGTCCTAAAGCTAAAGCCATAGACAGATGGAGCCTTTATGAAGGTACAGAGGATGGATGGGATCAAGGGCAACCAATGGATGGATTGACCTTTGGTACGTACAGCAAGGCTTCTTCAGTTGTAACAGGAGCGAGGACAGAGAATACAGTTGCAGATTCAGATGAGTTTAGAGATTGGTGGTGGGAAGATGAGTGAGAGAGTTCCAGCCCACTCTTCAGTTTCCTAAATGAAGATAAAGTCATCAACCGGAGGGATGGAAGGGAAGGGGCAGGTGACAGGAGGGGTTAGGGAAGTTAGACGAGTGACCTTTGGTAAGATTCATAGTTTCTCTGAAGCTGTTTTTCTCATCTGTGAAGTGGGACGATGTCTTCACAGGGTCACCATATAGCATTTAGGAAGATGCCCTGCAGCCAGTATATTTTAGTTTACTTTTTTCTCTTGCCTCCCAGCCAAGATGTGTCTGTCCTATATAACTTTTCCCGCAGGATTCTTCTCTTTTAGTTGATAATGAGGTGATAATTTCGTCGGTTTTGCTATCTCGTTAATATGTTTCCTTTATTCAGCAAATATTGAGCTGGGGGCTAGGCATACCACAGAGAACAAGACAGATTTCTGCTTTCAGGGAGCTTACCTTTCTCTCTGTTTTCATTTTAACTCCTAATACCTTGGCCTTTTAGAAGAAACAAAAAAGTTATTGACATTAACCCCCAGTGTTTAATTGTTTTGATGTTAACTTCATTTGTGTACAAAAATAGAGCGAAGTATAAACTTCATAATCTTTTAGTTTATTTATAGCTAAAGATCTCAATTAATTTGCAGAAAACCCACAAATATGCTTTTTCTGTTACATACAGAATTATAAAACCAGTAACATTAAAAGTACTAACATTGGCTGGGTTTGGTGGCTCACGCCTGTAATCCCAGCACTTTGGAAGGCCAAGACAGGCCGATCCCCTGAGGTCAGGAGTTTGAGACCAGCCTGGCCAACATGGCGAAACGCCATTTCTACTAAAAAAAAAAAATACAAAAATTAGCTGGCCATGGTGACTGGTGCTATGCAGGAGGCTGAGGCAGGAGAATCGCTTGAACTCAGGAGACGGAGGTTTCAGTGAGCTGAAATCACATCACTGCACTCCAGCCTGGACGAAAAGAGCAAGACTTTATTTCAAAAAAAAAAAAAAAAAGTACTAATATTGGTTTAATGCAATAGACAGTGTCTTTTGTTGAAACTAAATTGGCAGAGTTGGGTTTAATAACAGAAAGGCATATATTTGCTTCTTTTATGTTTTGTTTGCTGACTTGATTCTTTTGCTTTTGACCCTGATGGATGACTTATTAATTTATGTATTTAATTTTTGGGAGAGTTGAGATAGTAGAGTTTCCGATGAAAACTGGAAAACCTGCTAGACAAATTCTAAAAGAACTGTAATACTGGATTATCATTTAAATTAGTGTTATTTTTACTGTTTTCACCAATGAATTTTTTTAAACTATAAATTAATTTTTTATAATGGATTCAGTTAATTTAACAATTCCCCTGTATAATTGTGAAAATTAAAAATACTGATTAATGGGACCAGGCGCAGTGGCTCACACATGTAATCCCAGCACTTTGGGAGGCCAAGGCGGGTGGATCACGAGGTCAGGAGTTCGAGACCAGCCTGACCAACATGGTGAAACCCTGTCTTACTAAAAATACAAAAATTAGCAGGGCGTGGTGGTGCACGCCTGTAATCCTAGCTACTCAGGAGGCTGAGGCAGGAGAATCACTTGAACCTGGGATGGGGAGGTTGCAGTGAGAGGATCGTGCCACTGCCCTCCAGCCTTAGTGACAGAGCAAGACTCCGTCTCAAAAAAAAAAAAAAAAAAGATTACTGATGGCTGGCAGTGAGAATGTGCTTCAGACTGCTTTGGGAGGGGCTCTTTTGAGCATGACATGCCTAGCACCATGGGACTTAGTTCTCCCTCCACATTTCTTGAAAGAATGTAGCCTCTGAAGTTAGATTGCCTGGGTTTTATTCCTAGCTCCCCCCAGTTATTATTGGGTAGGTCAGTGTCTCAAACCGTCAGCTTCCTCATTGTAAAACATGACAATAATAGCACCTACTTATGAGGGTTGTTTTGGGGATCATGAAGTAACCCATAAAAAGCACTTAGCATAGTGCCTGGCACGTAGTAATGTTCAAAAAGTATTAACCATTGACATTATCGTTACTAACTTATTATGCATAAGATGTGTTCGTGTAGCCTGATGGCATTTGGCTTTCACTTTATCAGAAAGATAAAGGCACATTCCAGGATGGAAATTGTATGGTAGTACTACTTTATGAGTTAGTCATCTAGATCTTTCATGTTATTTATTCATTTACTTTTCTAGGATTAGCATTCAAATGAAAGCATTACAGTTTTTTTGTGGGTCTCATAGTATGAGGCTTATTATCTCAGTCTACTCCCGAGTAGCTAGGACTACAGATGCATACCACCACCCCCGGCTGATTTTTGTATTTTTTGTAGAGATGGTGTTTTGCCATGTTGCCCAGGCTGGTCTTTAACTCCTGGGCTCGAGCAATCTGCCCACCACAACCTCCCAAAGTGCTGGCATTACAGGCGTGAGCCACTGTCTGAAAGTAGCTTAATAAATAGCTCTAATATTAGAAGTTTCAAGAACTAGGCCGGGCACAGTGGCTCATGCCTGTAATCCCAGCACTTCGGGAGGCTGAGGCAGTAGGATTACCTGAGGTCAGGAGTTCAAGACCAGCCTGGCCAATGTGGCAAAACCCCGTCTCTACTAAAACTACAAAAATTAGCCAGGCGTGGTGGAGGGCACCTGTAATCCCAGCTACTTAGGAGGCTGAGACAAGAGAATTGCTTGAACCCGAGAGGCGGAGGTTGCAATGAGCCAAGATCGTACCACTGTACTCCAGCCTGAGAGACAGAGTGAGACTGTTAAAAAAAAATGAAAAAATAAAAAAAGTCCAGGTGCGGTGGCTCATGACTGTAATCCCAGAACTTTGGGAGGCCGAGGCAGGCAAATCACAAGGTCGTGGGTTCGAGACCAGCCTGGCCAATATGGTGAAATCCTGTCTGTACTAAAAATATAAAAATTAGCCGGTCATGGTGGCATGCGCCTGTAGCCCCAGCTACTTGGGAGGCTGAGGCAGAAGAATCGCTTAAACTCAGGGGGCAGAGGTGGCAGTGAGCCAAGATCCCGCCACTGCACTCCAGCCTGGGCGACAGAGCGAGACTCCGTCTCAAAAAAAAGAAAAAAAAAAGAAAAAAAGAAAGTTTCAAGAACTAGGCAGGTGTGCCGGGCACAGTGGCTTATGCCTGTAATCCCAGCACTTTGGGAAGCTGAGGCGGGTGGATCACAAGGTCAGGAGATCAAGACCATCCTGGCTAACATGGTGAAACCCTGTCTCTGCTAAAAATACAAAAAATTAGCCAGGCGTGGTGGTGGGCGCCTGTAGTCCCAGCTACTCGGGAGGCTGAGGCAGGAGAATGGCGTGAACCCGGGAGGTGGAGGTTGCAGTGAGCCGATATCGCACCGCTGCACTCCAGCCTGGGCGACAGAGCCAGACTCTGTCTTAAAAAAAAAAAAAAGAAGAACTAGGCAGGTTTGTGGAGAAAAATTTGGCAAAAAAGTCTTTCATCAATGTGGAGATTGCACCACCCAGCAGCTGCCTGGCCCTCATATACAGATTGGGTCTGTCCTTCTGTTGTGTGCCTCTGTGTGTCTACATGGGCTCATGCTTTTTATTGTCACCTTTACAGTCTAGTCTAGGTGGCAGCGTGCCCAGGTAGTGGTTTTGTGAGAAGAGGGTACCATGATGTGGGTCAAATAGGTCTTCCTAGTTTAAATGCACTCAAGGGCTACATTGAGCCATTTTGTAGTAATATCTTCCTTTCATTTGTATAAATTCTCTAGAATATGTGTGGATAATTTCAGCAGTCTAGATTTTCTCTCTTGTTTTCTTGTTTTGTTTTTTTTGTTTTTTTTTGAGACGGAGTCTCACTCTGTTGCCCAGGCTGGAGTGCAGTGGCGCAATGCCGGCTTACTGCAACCTCTGCCTCCCGGGTTCAAGTGATTCTCCTGCCTCAGTCTCCCAAGTAGCTGGGATTACAGGTGCCTGCCACCACACCCAGCTAATTTTTGTATTTTTAATAGAGACGGGGTTTCACTGTGTTAGCCAGGCTCATCTTGAACTCCTAACCTCAAGTGATCCGCCTGCCTTGGCCTCCCAGAGTGTTGGGATTACAGGCATGAGCCACCACACCTGGCCAGATTTTCTCTCTTTACCCTTACCAGATGGTGGTCTTTGTTTTTTATTACTGTTGGATAACCTAATTAGTTTTGTTTTCACCATACTTGAAACTGATTTCTTGTTCATGTCTCTTCTTTTCTGAATTCTGTTTCTTATTTGCAGCTGAATTTGTGATCAGTCTTGCTGAGAAAAATACCACCTTTGATACTTTTAAGGCTTCTCTCGTCAAAAATGGTGCAGAATTTACGGTATGTATATGTGGAGAAGATAATCTGTAGATATTAATGTTTTAATTTATGTTTGTTTGTTTGTTTTTTTTTTTGAGACAGAGTTTTGCTCTGTCGCCTGGGCTGGAGTGCAGTGGCGCCACCTCAGCTCACTGCAAGCTCCGCCTCCCGGGTTCACGCCATTCTCTTGCCTCAGTCTCCCAAGTAGCTGGGACTACAGGTGCCTGCCACCATGCCCGGCTAATTTTTTGTATTTTTAGTAGAGATGGGGTTTCACCGTGTTAGCCAGGATGGTCTCGATCTCCTGACCTCGTGATCCACCCGCCTCGGCCTTCCAAAGTGCTGGGATTACATAATTTATGTTTTAATGTCACTATTGATTTTAAATTTTGATAGGGTTTAATATAGGATTTTGATATAGGAAGGAGACAATTTTATACATATCAATTAAATAAGCCATTAAGTGTGTAATGTTTTCATGCCATTAAGTAGTGATGATTTAACCAGATTTTCTGTGATACCTCTAGGAAAACAGGGCAGGATTTTCATCATTAAGTCTTTGTAGGTATTTACATTCTTGTTCTGTGAGTCAGGAAGTTGGAAACAAGTTTTGGGGGTAGTTCTAAACCTTGGGAAATAAAATGGTTGCAGGGAGCCTAATAACTTTTCTCCCCAAAGAGTCCTAAATATCGGCTTTCTCTGAAGCTATTATACTAGGTTCATGCTACACCAGGTTGACACACTATGTTTCATGTATTCCAATTAGCTAAATTCAAGTGCGTAACCACCCTTCCCTACAGGACATTCTTTGCCTTTTAAGTGTATTTAAGCACTGATATGGGAGCTGACAATTTTCGTTCTATGTTTCTTTTCAAAGGATTCTCTTATTAGTAACTTGCTGCGTCTCATACAAACCATGCGGCCTCCAGCGAAGCCTTCCACTAGCAAAGGTAAGCAGAGCTTCCAGCTGAGCTTAGCTTCTAGAATGGTGTAGGTTTTGAACATCCTGTAAATTGCATTTGTTTTCCTCTCAGCAGTTGCTGAGCAAGTAAATGTTCCAGTAAGATTTTTCAAATGGGCTGGGCCTAGCGGCTCACTGCTGGAATCCCAGCACTTTGGGAGGCCAAGGTGGGAGTATCACTTGAGCCCAGGAGTTTTAGACCAGCCTGGGCAACATAGAGAGACCTCATCTCTACAAAAAAATAAAAAAATTAGCCAGGCATGATGGCGTGCCTCCGTAGTTCCAGCTACTTGGGAGGCTAAGGAAGGAGTGTTGCTTGAGTCCAAAAGGGTGAAGCTGCAGTGAGCCATAGTTGCACCAATGTACTTTAGCCTGAGTGACAGAGGTTTTTTTCCCCGTTTCAAGGGGAAAAAAAATTTCAAACGACTTAAGACAAAATAAAAAAGATAAGACATAACCCAATGAGTATTGCTACACTCCTCTTTCTGCTACATTTCGAGATAGTTTGTGATCAATGTATTTAGAAAATTAAATTACATTTATAGTAACAGGTATGATTAATATATAGCAAAATGCCATGTTCTGTTTCAGTTTGATACAAATCTATTGTTGAAGTTATTTTGTTAATCATTAATAATATTAAATATATATCTCTTTTTTTAACCCCTTCATGCTCTTTAATGAAACAAGATCCAGTTGTTAAACCTAAAACAGAAAAAGAAAAGCTGAAGGAACTCTTCCCAGTCCTTTGCCAACCGGACAACCCTTCTGTTCGGGTACTGATACCATTTTAAGAGTGTCTACTATAAATATATATTCTCAACCCCTTTTCTTTGTCTCATAGTAATTTTATTAATTTTAAGTTTGCCTTTGTTGTAACTTATTTTTAAGAATGAAAGTGTTTGATCACTCCCTGAGCATGTACTATGTATTGAATTTGTTAAGGGGTTCTGAGAATGATATTCAAGGGAAATGAGATTGGGAATTTGGGGAAGTAGTGATTAGGAATATGAAATAAGGTTCTGGAACAGATGCCTAAGGTGTGAAATTAGATTTTTTTTTTTTGCTCTGTTACTTGTTAAAGGTCTAATTTTTAAAGCATTTTGATTTTTAAATTTCATTTTAATAAATATTTATTGAGTACTTACTGTATGCCAAACACTGTTCTAAGTACCTGGATAACAGCAGTGAACAGAACAGACAAGAGTTTCAGCCTTTGGAGATTATATCCTAATTTTGGGGTAGGGAGCAGGAAATAAACATGTAAACATTCTGGTGGGGAGGAGATAGGCAATAAACAAACAAATAGGTATGTAACATAGCAGATAGCAATAAGGGCTATTTAAAAAAATAAAGCTGGAGTGGGGGTAGGGAGGAAGAGTGCAGAGGGAGAGTTGCTTTTTAAAATTTTTAACACCTGTTTTCTATTAATATAATCATCACTTGCATTCTTTCATGGCAGGGATGATTAATATCTAACTGCCTTTCATAGAATTCTATTAAGGACAGAGGGGATTTGTCAAATGTAGCAGTAATTCTCAAGAGCCTTTTTTCCATTTCTTCTGCATCTATCCTGAATCAAGTTTGAAATCTCTGCCCCTCTTCTATTTCCCTCACATAGTGATTAGTGATTTATAGATGTACCTGAGGTACATACAGATTCTTGAGTAGTTTTTTTTCCTAACTTTGCCGGCCTCTACCTCTGCAGACCATGTTGGATGAAGATGATGTGAAAGTTGCTGTGGATGTCCTGAAAGAACTGGAAGCTTTAATGCCCAGCGCAGCAGGCCAGGAGAAGCAAAGAGATGCTGAACACCGGTTTGTCCTTAGTGTCCTGTCCTTTGGAAGTTTAGGGTACTGTGACAGTTGAATATTATGGACCAGCCAAGCAAAATTTTGGGCAAGTTTACAGAATCTGGACTGGTCATATATCATATTGTTGGATCTGTTTTCATTGCTTCCTGCTAAGTGTATGTAGCAAATGCTAGGTTGTTCAGAATATAGAAGTCAGGGTTGAAAGAGGCTGAATATGTTTGTGGCTCAATTCTTTATTGGCTTATAGGGATGTCGTAGTTATTGAAACTCTAATTCAGTTCAAAACCTAGTGGGTACCTACCATGTGCATGGCACTGTACTGGGTGCTTGGGGATGCGAAGATGAAATCGGATTGGTTTCTTTTTTAAACAGGTGCTTATTGATTTGTTAGGGACAGGACAAAGAAGAAGAAGCGGAGTCGAAGCCGAGATCGAAACCGAGATCGAGACAGAGATAGGGAACGAAACCGAGATAGAGACCACAAGCGGAGACACCGATCCCGCTCTCGATCACGTTCCAGGACCCGGGAGAGGAATAAAGTGAAGTCTAGATATCGGTCCAGGAGCAGGAGTCAGAGTCCCCCCAAAGACCGGAAGGACCGGGACAAATATGGAGAGCGGAATCTGGATAGATGGCGGGATAAGCATGTGGACCGCCCTCCTCCAGAAGAGCCCACCATTGGTGACATTTATAATGGCAAAGTTACCAGCATCATGCAGTTTGGTTGCTTTGTGCAGCTGGAAGGACTAAGGTAATGACTGGTGCTCTTTTGTTCACACCAGTGATGGGCAGAATTTCTTTTATCACTGAGGATGTTCACATTCTAAAAAGTTACTTTGATTAATGACACTTTAGTCAAATCAGCCATACATGGTTCTTAGAAATTGACTCTTTTGAAATGTTACAGAGCCATTTATTCCTTTCTCTGTCTTCAGGAGATCTGTCCTTTGCTTGTTGGGACAGATAGAATTTGCTTCCCCACCCCATGTCTCCCCATGAGGAGAGTGTTAATACTATTTTATTGTTTGACCACCTTCATGGTACTTTTCTCTTGAGTTTAAGACCATTTTCTTTTGTTAGTTCCAGTAAGGGTAGAAATTGGTTGGGGGAAAAATATTTTTTGGCATGTTCCAGATGTGTCTGGCTCTCCCTCAGGAAGCGGTGGGAAGGCCTGGTGCACATCTCTGAGCTCCGGCGGGAGGGTCGTGTGGCCAATGTAGCTGATGTCGTGAGCAAAGGCCAGAGGGTCAAAGTCAAAGTGCTGTCCTTCACTGGGACCAAGACCAGCCTGAGCATGAAGGTAGGTGAGATGGTCAGCCTGTTCTTACATGTGATGGCCAAGGGAATGGAAGAGGACAGCAAGTGAGACAGCTCCCTTGTTTTTGTGCCTTAGGATGTGGATCAAGAGACTGGAGAAGATCTAAACCCAAATAGACGGCGAAATCTTGTCGGGGAGACCAATGAGGAGACCTCAATGCGGAATCCTGATAGACCCACTCACTTGTCCCTTGTCAGTGCTCCTGAAGTAGAGGACGACTCACTGGAACGCAAGCGCCTCACCCGAATCTCTGACCCAGAGAAGTGGGAGATCAAACAGGTTGGGGCCTTTAGTTTTCATGACCAGATAGTCATTCAGCATGTAGCATGGTGCTTAGGGGTGTGCCCTGGAGCACGATGGCCTGGGATAACTTTTGGCCACTGTATTAGTCTGTTTTCACACTCCTGATAAAGACGTACCTGAGACTGGGCAATTTACTAAAGAAAGAGGTTTATTGGACTTAGAATTCCACTTGGTTGGGGAGGCCTCACAATTATGGAGGAAGGTGAAAGGCATATCTCACATGGCAGTAGACAAGAGAGCTTGTGCAGGGAAATGCCCTTTTTAAAACCATCAGATCTCATGAGACTTACTCACTATCGTGACAACAGCGTGGGAAAGAGCTGCCTCCATGATTCAGTTACCGTCCACTGGGTCCCTCCCACACACGTGGAAATTCAAGATGAGATTTGGGTGGGGACACAGCCAAACCATATCAGCCACTTATTAGCCGTGTAATCCTTAGCTAAGCTACTCTACCTCATGCCTCAGTACCCTTTTCTATAAAACAGGACCAGTGTTGGTGGTGTGAGGATTAATTAAAGGTGAAAGTCGTTGGGCGTGATGGCTCACACGTGTAATCCCAGCACTTTGGGAAGCTGAGGCGGGCGGGTCACGAGCTCAGGAGTTCGAGACCAGCCTGACCGGTATGGTGAAACCCCATCTCCACTAAAAATACAAAAAATTAGCCGGGCGTCATGGTGCGCGCCTATAATCCCAGCTACTCACGACGCTGAGGCAGGAGAATCGCTTGAACCCGGGAGGCGGAGGTTACAGTGAGCTGAGATCATGCCACTGCACTCCAGCCTGGGCAACAGAACAAGACTCTGTCTCAAAAAAAAAAAAAAAAAAGTGAAACTCTTAGGTTAGTGTTTAGCATATGGTAATTGCTATGTAAGTCTTCATTCTTTTGTTTTCTTTCCTTTTTTTTTTTTTTTTAATTGAGACGGAGTCTCGCTCTGTCACCCAGGCTGGAGTACAGTGGTGCGATCTCAGCTCACTGCAACCTCTGCCTCCCGGGTTCAAGCGATTGTCGTGCCTCAGCCTCCCGAGTAGCTGGGATTACAGGCGCCCACCACCACGCCCGGCTAATTTTTTTGAATTTTTAGTAGAGACGGGGTTTCACCATGTTGGCCAGGCTAGTCTTGAACTCCTGGCCTCAGGTGATTCTCCCACCTCGGCCTCCCAAAGTGCTGGGATTACAGGCGTGAGCCACTGTGCCCAGCCTATTGTTTTCATCCTTCTTCACTAAATAACATAACCGTGGTGTGTCAAGCACCATGCAGGGCTAGGGCTATAAACGCGAATATATCATGGTTGCTATGCTTAAGGAACTCAAAGTCCAGCAGAGGAGACAGATCTAAACAAATAATTGTGAGGGGTTACATATTTTTTCCTTTATTTTTGAGGCAAGTTCTTACTTGCACTATTGCCCAGGCAAGAGTGCAGTGGCATGACCATGGCTCACTGCAGCCTCAACCTTTCAGGCTCAAGCCATCCTCTCATCTCAGCTTCCCAATTAGCTGTGACCTCAGGCACATGCCACCATGCCTGGCTAATTTTTTAATTTTTTGTAGAGACAGTCTTGCCGTGTTACCAGTGCTCATCTCAAACTCCTGGGCTCCAAGTGATTCTCTTGTCTCAGCCTCCCAAAGTGTTGAGATTACAGGCATGAGCTGCCGTGTCTGGCCTACGTATTATATAATAAATGTACCAGAGTGCTGTGGAAACAAGGGAAAGAGCAGATAACTTTTCCTGGGGATAATACTTTTGAGCTTATACTTTACAGCACCATGTTGGAGAACCACCTCTGCAACCCTGGAATGGGATATATGACATTTGAGCTCCCGATATCGTGGGTCAGAGGAGAAAAAAACTGGGTTTCCTACATGAAACCTCTGTAATTAACTCTCCTAGAAAAGAAGAGTTTTGGCTGGGCATGTCGCTGACACATGTAATCTCAGCACTTTGGGAGGCCAAGGCAGGAGGATTGCTTGAGGCCAGGAGTTTGAGACCAGCCTGGACAAGTAGTGAGACCCTGTTTCTAGAAAAAATTTAAAAATTAGCCAGGTATTATGGTGTGCGCCACTAGTGTCAGCTATTCAGGAGGCTGAGGTAGGAGGATTGGTTGAGCCCAGGAGTTTGAGGTTGCAGTGAGCTTTGATCAGGTCACTGCACTTCAGCCTGGGTGACAGAGCAAGATCCTGTCTCAAAAAAACAAAACAAAACCAAAAAACAAAAAAAAAGTTTTGATCTTAGCAGGTTACAAATGCTGCCTTCTCTTCTTTGGCTAGATGATTGCTGCCAATGTCCTTTCCAAAGAAGAATTTCCAGACTTTGATGAAGAGACTGGCATTCTCCCTAAGGTGGATGATGAAGAAGGTAACTAGTCAGTTGGATCGAGAAGGGTAATTGGCAAGTTGAGCCATTGAATTGGGTGATTTGCCTGTAGTTTAACCCAGTGGCTATTAATCATTTGTTCTTTGGATCTCACTACTCATCTCTCAAAAAAAAAAGGATCTCACCATGATGGAAGCAAGAAGTTCATTTTTCTGACAAGTGCTTATGTATTATTATTATTATACCTGTTGCTTATAATAAGCTCTCAGGGCCAGGCATGGTGGCTCACGCCTGTAATCCCAGCACTTTGGGAGGCCGAGGCCAGCAGATCACCTGAGGTTAGGAGTTTGAAACCAGCCTGGCCAACATGGTGAAACCGTGTCTCTACTAAAAAAATACAAAGATTAGCTGGGTGTGGTGGCGCATGCCTATCGTCCCAGCTACTCGGGAGTCTGAGGCAGGAGAATTGCTTGAACCCAGGAGACGGAGGTTGCCGTGAGCCGAGATCGCGCCACTGTACTCCAGCCTGAGTGACAGAGTGAGACTCTATCAAAAAAAAAAAGCTTTCAGGATATAAAAAGTTATAATTGTATTTTTGGGAGTAAATTTGATCTCATATTCTTAGTAATTATTCTGAAAACCCTGGATCCACCTAGATTACCTCTGAGTTGCCCTGGAAACAACTTTTAACTCAGCCCATAATGACTTTTTTGAAATTATGAAATCTTATGATAGAATTCTCTAACTTATATTGTAGTAGTAAGTGAGCACCTACGTACTCACCACCCAGCTTAAGAAGTAGAATTTTACAAGCACCTCTGAAGCCCCTACATGCTCCCCTCTGCTTAGATCTTCTTTCTTCCTTCTAGGAGTAACCACCGTCCCACATTTGTGTTAATTACTCCCTGGCTTTTCTTTAGTTTTACCATCTACGTATCTATCCCTAAACATTATATTGTGTTGTCTATTTTTGAACTTAACTCATTTTTCTTTTTTTTTGACTTACATATTTTTGATATTTATGTTGATATTTATATTGGTATTTCACTCACTTTTATTGCTATAGAGTGTTTATATATAAATTGTCTATAATTTATCCATTTTACTTTTGATGGACATATGAGTTGTTTCTTGGTTTTTGGTTAATCTTTGTGAATAATAGTATTTTGAAATTGCTATATTGTCTCTTAGTGCTTATGTGCAAAATGTTCTTTTTTCCCTAAATGCATAGAATTACTGGGTAGGCCAAGTGTCATGGCTCAGCCCTGTAATCCCAGCACTTTGGGAGGCTGGCTGAGATGGTAGGATTGCATGAGCCTAGGAGTTTGAGACCAGCCCTGGCAACATAGCTAGGCCCTGTCTTTACAAAAGAAAAAAAATTAGCCAGGTGTAGTGATGTGTGCCTGTACTCCCAGCCACTGGGGAGGCTGAAGTGGGAGAATTGCTTGAGCCTGGGAGGTCGAGGGTGCAGTGAGCCATGGTCATGCCACTGTGCTGTAGCCTGGGCAACAGAGCAACACCCTGTCTTAAAAAAAAAAAATTACTGGGTAGTAAGAAATGTGTGTGTTTGACTTTGCTGGGCAGTTCCAAATTGTTTTCTGTTGGTTTCTGTACCGTTTATACTTCTGCCATAAGTGTAAGCAAGTTCCGCTTGGTGTTGTTCAATTGTCGAACTAATTTTTTACAAATTTATTTTGGGTTAAGAATTATTCCACAATGAAGTTGGATGGCAAATGCCCTAGTACCATTTAGAATGTCAGGAGAGCATTTTCTCACAGGCTTAACTTCTTTTCAAAGTAGGTCTGATCAGTTCTTGGGCTGGAGCACAAATGCTCTAGAAATGGCTGGTGATGGGGGAATAGTCACCTGGGTTAGAGTTTTACTTGCATTGCTGTCCTTTGACCTGGGAAGGTGTTTTTTTTTTTTTTTTAATTTGAGACGGGGTTTCGTTCTTGTTGCCCAGGCTGGAGTGCAGTGGCACGGTCTTGGCTCACTGAAACCTCTGCCTCCCGGGTTCAAGCGATCCTCCTGCCTCAGCCTCCCAAGTAGCTGGGATTACAGGTCTGTACCACCAAGCCCAGCTAATTTTTTTGTATTTTTAGTAAAGATGGGGTTTCACCATGTTGACCAGGCTGGTCTGGAACTCTTGACCTCAGGTGATCAGCCCGCCTTAGCCTCCCAAAGTGCTGGGATTACAGGTAAGAGCCACTGCACCCGGCCTTTTTTTTCTTTTTTTTTTTTAAGACAGAGTCTCACTCTGTCACCCAGGCTGGAGTGCAATGGCTTGATCTCAGCTCACTGCAACCTCTGCCTCCTGGGTGCAAGCTATTCTCCTGTCTCAGCCTCTTGAGTAGCTGGGACTACAGGTGCCCACCACCAAGCCTGGATAATTTTTGGATTTTTAATGAGATGGGGTTTCACTGTGTTGACCAGTCTGATCTCAAACTCTTGACCTCAAGTGATCCTCCTGCCTCAGCCTGCCAAAGTGCTGAGATTACAGGCGTGAGCCACCATGCCCCACCAGGGGAAGCTGTTTTTGATAAAGATTGTTGGTACCTATGGAAATTAATTGTCTTGGTGAAAATTGTTATTTTTTCTTGTTTATGGCTAATTCTTCTTTTGGGGGGACTTTTAGATGAGGACCTTGAGATTGAATTGGTTGAGGAAGAGCCTCCATTCCTGAGAGGGCACACTAAGCAAAGCATGGACATGAGCCCCATTAAAATTGTCAAGGTGAGAATTACTGGACCTTTAACCTGGAAATGTCAAGTGGACTTCTTTTTCTAAAGTAATGGGTCAGGTTATTAGATCTGCGTAAGTAGAACTTGGGCCACAGAAAGTATTACTGGCTGTTAGCCAGGGTCTATAATAGTTTTATTTTAAATGGAGGTTGGGTTGGCTTTATTGCTTTTGCCTGTTGAATTCTTTTGTGCTCCTTTTGTGTATTTTGGGTGGAAGCAGAGATAGATAGGAATGCTTAATCTGCCATCATTGCCTTTGCCTGGATTCCTTAGGGCTTGAATCTTGCAGATTCAAAGGCAATTTTGAAGGATTTACTTGAGCACTTGGGGCTGGCCACCATAGAAAGCTGTAGCACTGGGTGCTGGAGAGGGCAGAGCTGTAAGGGGAATCCAAACCAGAATTCATAGAACAATAAACATTTTAGGTATGGAAAAGGGTATATTTAAAGGTCTCCCAGCCCAGCACATATGAAATGCTTATAATCCACGCATATCATTCTTCTGCGGTGTTCTTCTCATATGGTCATCTCATAGCTGCATGACATTGTTAGTGACAGGGAATTCACCAGCCCTTAAGGAGGTACATTTCATCATGAGATGGATCTGATCGCTAGTTCTTCTTTAGGCATACCTGAAACCTCGCTCACTGAAGTGTCCACATTGGTCTTGATTTTGGTTCCCAGGGTCATACAGAAAAATTCTTATACCTTTCTTATGTCCTTCATACGTTTAAAGGTAGCACATCATTCCTATCTCTTTTGGGGTTCTCATATTCAAACTAAACATCCAGTTCCTTCAATGATGTAACATTGTCCTTGTTCATTTTATCTGAATATGCTACGGTTTATCCATTTCTTTCATATAGTCTGTTACATTGATAAGAACTTTATTCCAGATGTAGTCTCATGTTTTAGATTACAGGAGCTTAACTTCTACATATTATTTCCCGGACATTTAATCCATGTTGTTTTTTCTTCTGTTGCACCAGAACCCAGACGGCTCCCTCTCCCAAGCAGCAATGATGCAGAGTGCCTTGGCCAAAGAAAGGCGGGAACTCAAACAGGCCCAGCGGGAAGCTGAGATGGATTCTATTCCCATGGGACTCAACAAACACTGGGTTGACCCTCTGCCTGATGGTAGGACCCTTGGAGGGGTGTATGGACCTTGTTTAAAAATCTGAGCCTTTCAGAACACAGGGAGGGGTCACTCCCGGCACACACTAAAAATTTACCCTTGGGCCGGGGCGGTGGCTCATGCCTGTAATCCCAGCACTTTGGGAGGCCAAGGCAGGTGGATCACCTGAGGTCAGGAGTTCGAGACCGACCTGGCCAACATGGTGAAACCAAGTCTCTACTAAAAAAATACAAAAGTTAGCCAGGCATGGTGGCACACACCTGTAATCCCAGCTACTCGGGAGGCTGAGGCAGGAGAATCGCTTAAACCCAGGAGGTGGAAGTTGCAGTGAGCTGAGATCAGGCAAGTGTACTCCAGCCTGGGTGATAGAATGACACTCCATCTCGAAAAAAAAATTTACCCTTGGTTTTTCACTTCAGTTAGAGCATGTTTGGTTTTTTCTTAAACACATGTTTAAAACCAAAAATGTTTTAATAGCCATGGTCAAATCATTAGACTGAGTTTTTCTTCTGAATCACTTTAAAAATGTTATTCTAGCGCGGTGTCTCATGCTGTAATCCCAGCACTTTGGGAGGCTGAGGCGGGCGGATCACAAGGTCAGGAGATCGAGACCATCCTGGCCAACATGGTGAAACCCCGTCTTTACTAAAAATACAAAAAATAGCCAGGTGTGGTGGTGCGCGCCTGTAGTCCCAGCTACTCGAGAGACTGAGGCAGGGGAATCGCTTGAACCCTGGAGGCGGAGGTTGCAGTGAGCCAAGATCGCGCCACTGCACTCCAGCCTGGCTACAGAGTGAGACTCCGTCTCAAAAAAAAAATTTTTATTCTAAAGGTAATACAGCTTTGAAGCTTCCTTTTTCATATAATTCTTTGTGCAGTAAATATTAGCTACTAGATATAGTCATAACAAATACTTATTAATTTAATTTGTGTTTGGCAACTGGGGATACGATTTGAATTAAACAGATATGATCCCTGCTTTTATGCGCTACAACTTAGTCGGGGATATGGATATTAATTAAATAATCACCAAATAATTAAATTATGATCAGTGCCATGTGAAGAAGTACAGGCAGTGTAATTGACTGTGGTGGGTCACTTCCCTGGGGAAATCGAGACCCAAAGGATAAATTGGACTCAGTCTGTCAAGTGGAGATGGGATGGAGGTTGGGGAGTATGTTCCAGCCTGAGGAGTAGCCCGTGTTGGGTTTGTGGGGTGGGAAAGAAGGAACTGAAAGAAGGCTTGTGTGGATGGAATAGAGAGAGCAGTGGGCAGTGGTAGGGGATGAGATAAGAACATCAGGCCAGGGCTTTGTAGGTGGCATTAGGAAGCTGGGCTCAATTCTAATAGCACTGGGAGATGTTGAAAAGTTCTTTTGTTGTTGTTGTTTTTGTTTCTGAGACAGAGTTTTGCTCTTGTTGCCTAGGCTGGAGTGCAACACCATGATCTTGACTCACTGCAACCTCCACCTCCCTGGTTCAAGTGATTCTCCTGCCTCAGACTCCCAGGTAGCTGGGATTACAGGCATGCACCACCACGCCTAGCTAATTTTTTGTATTTTTAGTAGAGACGAGGTTCCTCCATGTTGGTCAGGCTGGTCTCGAACTCGCGACCTCAGGTGATCCCCCCCCCATCTCAGCCTCCCAAAGTGCCGGGATTACAAGTGTGAGCCACCGTGCCCAGCCAGATGTTGAAAGTTTGCAGCTGGCACATGGCATGACCAGAGTTGCATTTCCAAAGGATGATTGAGGGTGCCCTGCAGAATGAGTTGGATGGGGCACATGTGATGATTTAGAAAGCTTTTATGAAGAGAGAGAATGGTGGCTTGAACATGGAGGTAGCAAAGAGGAGGGATGTACTTGAGAAAAGTAATTTGTTGAATGTGGGGCAACAGGAATGGTCAAAGATGACTTCCAGGTTTCTGGTATGAGCACTAGGATGAATGATGGGAACACTGGAGGAGAAATGGGTTTGTGGGGAAAGATGGTCAAATTCCGTTTTGGACTTGTGTCCGAGGCAACTAGAGGACATCTTAGGTTGAGGTATCCAGTGTAGAATTGAGTATAAGAGCTCAGAAGAGAGGTCTGGGCTGGAGACAGAAGTTTGGGAATTGTGTTAATTTAGATATCAGTTTGGCTGCATGTAATAGAGATTCAAATATTAGATTAGGTTCGGCATGATGGCTCACGCCTGTAATCCCAACACTTTGGGAGGCCGAGGCAGGAGAATTGCTTGAGGCCAGGAGTTCAAGACCAGTCTGGGCAACATAGTAAGACCTTATCTGTATTTTATTTTATTTTGTTTTGTTTTGTTATTTTAGTTTAGTTTAGTTTAGTTTTTGAGATGGAGTCTCACTATGTTGCCCCAGCTGGAGTGCAGTGGTGCAGTCTTGGCTCACTGCAACCTCTGCCTCCTGGGTTCAAGCGATTCTCCTGCCTCAGCCTCAAGTAGCTGGGACTACAGGTGACCGCCACCACGCACGAGTAATTATTTTGCATTTTTGGTAGAGACAGCGTTTCACCATGTTGGTCAGGCTGGTCTCGAACTTCTGACCTCAAATGATCTTGCCCACCTTGGCCTCCCAAAGTGCTGGGATTACTGGTGAGCCACCGTGCCTAGCCCTTGTCTCTATTTTAAAATTAAATTTTTAAAAACGACAAAAATAAAAACCAAAATATTAGATTTACAGTAGAAGGTTGGACATATTCGTTCATTGTTTAACAATATCATCTTCCATTTCCTCAGAATAAACCCATTCATTCCCTTTTACCCTTTAGTGAAATGTTCTCCATGACCCTCCTTTGGCCTCTGCCTAAGCTCACTTATTTGGTTAGTAGGCATAAGTATTTTTTCGTAGCCAGCTTTTGGCATCAAATTTGTAAAATGTTTGCATATGCTAGAGAGCCACTAAAATTCTGCTCATTTTTTTTTGCTCCTCAAGCCACAATTCCAAGGTGAATCTTGAAAATATAAGCTAGGTCTGGGCAAGGTGGCTCACACCTGTAATCCCAGCACTTTGGGAGGCTGAGGCAGACAGATCACTTGAGTTGGGGAATTTGAAACCAAGCTGGGCAATGTGGTGAAACCCTGTCTCTAAAAAAATACAAAAATTAGTCCAGGCATGGTGGCTCATGCCTGTAATCCCAGCAGTTTGGGAGGCTGAGGCGGGTGGATCACCTGAGGTCAGGAGTTTGAGACCAGCCTAGCCAACATAGTGAAACCCCATCTGTGCTAAAAACAGAAAAATTAACAGATGTGGTGGCACGCACCTGTAATCCCAGCTGCTAGGGAGGCTGAGGCAAGAGAATCACTTGAACCTGGGAGGCGGAGGTTGCAGTGAGCCGAGATCACGCCATTGCACTCCAGCCTGGACAACAATTGCGAAACTCCATCTAAAAAAAAAAAAAAAAAGTTTAGCCGTGTGTAATCACGTGCACCTGTATTCCCAGCTACTCAGGAGGCTAACGTGGGAGGATTGCTTGAGCCCAGGAGGTGGAGGTTGCTGAGCTGAGATCTCGCCACTGCACTCCAGCCTGCTGGGCGTCTGAGCCAGACCCTGTCTCAGAAAAAGAAAAAAATTAATCTGAGAGAAACCAGGCACAACAGACCACATATTGTATGAAGTATCCAGAATAGAACCCGTAGACATAGAAAGTAGACTAATGGTTGCCAAGGGAAAGGAAAAGGGAGGAATGGGGAGTAACTGCTAATGGGTACAGGGTTTCTTTCTGATATGATGAAAATACTCTAAATAGTGGGGATAGTTGCACAACTTAATGAATATACAGTAAAACACTGAGTTAAACACTTAAAAAGAGTAACACGGAGACCTGGCTTGGTGGCTCATACCTGTAATCCCAGCACTTTGGGAGGCCAAGGAGAGAGGATTCCTTGAACCCAGGAATTTGAGGCTGCAGTGAGCCGTGATTGCGTCACTGCACTCCAGCCTGGGAAACAGAGCAAGACCCTGTCTCAAAAAAATAAAATAAAATAAAAAAAGTGTAACATGGTTTGTGAATTACATCTCGATATAGCAGTTATTTAAAAAGGGGAGAGTGCTGCGCATGGTGGCCATACCTGTAATTCCATTACTTTGGGAGGGTGAGATGGGTGGATTGCTTTAGCCCAGGAGTTCGAGACCAGCCTGGCAACATAGAGTGACCTCTTCTCGCTTGAGCCCAGAAGGTCGGGGCTGCAGTGAGTCAGGATTGCACCACTGCACTCCCACTTGGATGACAGAGCAAGACCCTACCTAAAAAAAAATAATTCCAGTGTCAAGCAGTCAGGTCTTCACTTCTCTCAACTAACCTTTTTTCTGACATCACAGGTGTGTAGCACCACTTGTTACAGTCTCTTTCCCATTCCCTGCTGCCCCTTCTATATTCTTTTCTTCACATTAATTTGTTTCTTTGAGTACTTTTGATCACGGGTCGCTGAATTGAGATGCTGCATGTGCAGTGCCCGCATGCCATTTTATTTTTTTCCTGGTACATCTTGAGGTAGCTTGAGGACAATACTAAGTTGCCTGTTTTCCTTTCCAGCGGAAGGCAGACAGATTGCTGCCAACATGAGGGGTATTGGGATGATGCCCAATGATATTCCTGAGTGGAAGAAGCATGCCTTTGGGGGCAACAAAGCCTCTTACGGAAAAAAGACCCAGATGTCAATCCTTGAGCAGAGGGAGAGCCTGCCCATCTACAAACTGAAGGAGCAATTGGTCCAGGTGAGAAGACTTTTATGATGTATTGGTGGGGAGTAGGGTTATTGTCTAAAAGAGGGGTGATATTTTTAAACTGAAACTAACGGGACAAGTATGTGCCTACTTGAAGTGGCTCATCCAAAAGAGTTAAGAAAGAAGGATAAAACTTTCTAAATACTTTTTTTTTAAATGGGGCTGGGCGCGGTAGTGGATGCCTATAATCCCAGCACATCAGAGGCCAAGGCAGGAGGATCACTTGAGCCTAGGAGTTTGAAACCAGCCTGAGGCAACATAGGGAATCTTGTCTCTACAAAAAATAAAAAATTTGGTGGGGCGTGGTGGCCCACACCTGTAATCCGGCACTTTGGGAGGCAAAGGTGGGCGGATCACAAGTTCAGGAGTTCGAGACCATCCTGGCCAACACGGTGAAACCTTGTCTCTACTAAAAATACAAAAAATTAGCTGGGCGTGGTGGCGCATGCCTATAATCCCAGCTACTCTGGAGTCTGAGGCAGGAGAATCGCTTGAATCAGGGAGTCGGAGGTTGCAGTGAGTCAAGATCACGCCGCTGCACTCCAGCCTGGCTACAGAGAGAGACTCTGTCTAAAAAAAAAAAAATTACCTGGGTGTGGTGGTCCATGCCTGTAATCCCAGCTACTCGGGAGGCTGAGATAAGAGGATTGCTTGAGCCTGAGAGGTCGCGGCTACAGTGAACTGCAATCACACCACTGCACTCCAGCCTGGGCGACCAAGTGAGACCCCATATCACAAATGTTTGTGTGTGCGTGTACAGACACACATACTTATGTATGTGTCTGTATATCTTCTTTTTCCTGGGGCCCCTAGAACAGTTTCCAAGTGGGCAGAGTATTGTGTTGCATGGACCAACAGCTCTGTTCAGTAATTAAAAATGAGGATACTCAGTCAATAAACTCATATGGGCAACTCATAGAGTGCTTCGGTACTCTATATTCTGGAGTTCTGATTTTAAGACCACCGAGTCTTCCTTGAGGTAATCAGGTTTACTAGTTTCTAGTGAATCCTTTCAACAATATCTTATATGTATACAAGCAAGTACAAATATATGCACACACACGCACACACATTTTATATGAGTACTGTGTGTGTTTACAGGTGGCAGTGATATTATATACACTGTTCTACATCTTTTTCCACTTAATGATATATCTCAGAGATTTGTGTGTGTGTGTGTGTATGTGTGTGTGACAGAGTCTCGCTTTGTGCAGGCTGGAGTACAGTGGCTTGATCTCAGCTCACTGCAACCTCTACCTCCTGGGCTCAAGTGATCTTCCCACCTCAGACTCCCAAGTAGATGGGACTACAAGGCATACACCATCATGCTCAGCTAGTTTTTTGTATTTTTTGTAGAGATGCGGTCTCACTATATTGTCCAGGCTGGTCTTGAACTCCTGGACTCAAGCAATCCTCCCTCCTTGGCCTCCCAAAGTGCTAGGATTACAGGCATGAGCCACTGTGCCTGGCCTTCTTAAACAAACAAACAAAAAAAATTGCCAGGCCAGGCACAGTGGCTCACACCTGTAATCCCAATACTTTGGGAGGCCAAGGCGGGCGGATCACCTGAGGTCAGGAGTTCGAGACCAGCCTGGCCAACATGGTGAAACCCTGTCTCTACTAAAAGTACAAAAATTAGCCGGGCGTGCTGGCGGGCACTTGCAGTCCCAGCTACTTGGGAGGCTGAGGCAGGAGAATCACTTGAATCCGGAAGGTGGAGGTTGCAATGAGCTGAGATCATGCCACTGCACTCCAGCATGGGCGACAGAGTGAGACTTCATCTCAAAAAAAAAAAAAAAGCCTTTTTTTATGGGCTGTATTATTTGGATAGGCTCTGGTTTATTTAACTAGTCCTATATCCATAGAAACATCGTTGATTGTAATCCTTGGCTGTTACAAACAACGTAGAAATAAGAAATAACTTTTGGGGAAAGATATAGAAATTTGGGAGTTACAGTGGGAAGGAACATTTTTTATGTATCTTTTAAATTCATTGTTGACTTCTTTAACTATATGTGTATATTCCTCTTTTCTTTGGTGTTAGAATATAGTAATTATTTTATTCCAGAGTAATGTAGATTTTAATGACCATATTTATATTCTGTTTAATGACCATATTTATATTCTGGCAGATTTTAATGACCATATTTATATTCTGTTGCTTTCAGGCCGTCCATGACAATCAGATCCTGATTGTCATTGGTGAGACAGGATCTGGAAAGACAACACAGATCACCCAGTACCTGGCGGAGGCAGGCTACACTTCCAGGGGCAAGATTGGGTGTACCCAGCCCAGAAGAGTGGCAGCTATGTCGGTGGCCAAAAGAGTGTCAGAGGAGTTTGGTTGTTGCTTAGGCCAAGAGGTAAGTAGATAGTGGAGTCGCTCGAAAAATACCAGAAGCAAAGGCCCAGGTCTCTTAATCTATCAAATGGAAATATTAATAATACTGCCTTTTTTCAGGTTTCTCCTGAGGGAGAGAGGGTTCCCATTGTCATAATCAGTCTGTTCAGAGTATAGTCTAAGACATACCTTACTATGAGGAAATTACTGTACATCTTGATCAGATTCTTAAGATTATGAGTGAGAGTGACTGGGCTGAAATCTTGCCTGGTGATTGGGAAAAGGAGACATTTGTATCCTAGGTTTTCCCCTTCTCTTCTGCTTTAGGTGGGCTACACCATTCGATTTGAGGACTGCACTAGCCCTGAAACAGTCATCAAGTACATGACAGATGGGATGTTGCTTAGAGAGTGCTTGATTGACCCTGACCTCACTCAGTACGCGATCATCATGTTGGACGAGGCACATGAGAGGACAATTCACACTGATGTGCTCTTTGGATTGTTGAAAAAGGTAACTAGATGCTCTTTAATGACCCCTCTACCTGTTGGAAGCTGAATTCTGGCAGTTGGATTTGAGTACCTGTGTCTTTGGGTAGTCCTTTTCAGTAAGCCACATAATATTTCTCTTCAGACAGTTCAGAAACGGCAGGACATGAAGCTGATTGTCACCTCAGCCACCTTGGATGCAGTGAAGTTTTCTCAATACTTCTATGAAGCTCCCATTTTCACCATCCCAGGTCGAACATATCCAGTGGAAATACTGTACACAAAGGAACCTGAGACAGATTATCTGGATGCCAGCCTGATTACTGTTATGCAGATTCATTTAACAGAACCACCAGGTAAGGGGAAAAAGCAATTTTCCTTTTTGGGAGGCCTAATTTTCCCTCTTAGGCCAAAAGTCCTCATATGGGTATCTTTTTTGCTAATCTTTTTAAAAACAACTTCTAAATATTCATCTCTCTGCAAGCCTCAGGCTTGTATGTTTGAAATGATGGTGGTTATAATGTCATATATAAACAAACTTGTATTGTTTACTTACTGGTCAGAATATGAATGCATATGTTCTGTTATTTGAAGTTTTATTAATATCACCATAGCCCTTGTATAGGACACACATACACACACAGAAAGTAGATGAATGTTCTATTCTGCTCGTAGGTGATATCCTGGTCTTCCTGACTGGTCAGGAAGAAATTGATACTGCTTGTGAGATCCTGTATGAAAGAATGAAATCCCTGGGACCTGATGTTCCAGAGTTAATTATCCTCCCAGTGTACTCTGCTCTTCCCAGTGAGATGCAGACCCGAATCTTTGACCCAGCTCCACCAGGCAGCAGAAAGGTAACATGGGCAAAAATGAAGCTTCCATGTGCCCTGAAACCATGTGTTGTGTGCAGCCTGTCAGCCATAGTAGGGATTGCTTAGGGTGTATGCAAGTCTTTTTTTTTTTTTTTTTCCTCGAGGCAGAGTCTCGCTCTCACCCAGGCAGGAGTGCAATGGCACCATCTCAGCTCACTGCAAGCTCCGCCTCCCGGGTTCACGCCATTCTCCTGCCTCAGCCTCCTGAGTAGCTGGGACTACAGGCACCTGCCACCACGCCTGGCTAATTTTTTGTATTTTTAGTAGAGACGGGGTTTCACCGTGTTAGCCAGTATGGTCTCGATCTCCTGACCTCGTGATCCGCCCGCCTCAGCCTCCCAAAGTGCTGGGATTATAGGTGTGAGCCACCGCGCCCGGCCAGGTGTATGCAAGTCTTGTTTGTTAGGTTTCAGAGACTGGTCCAACCAATTTGTTTAGGAATGAGGTCCAACCAATTTGTTTAGTATGTGACCTCTCCTCTTCTTCCTCTTCTTCATTTGACAAATATTTTTTGAGCATCTACCAGGCTTTGGGCTACACATGGGAGCTGCATTGTGAGAACAAGCCTCTATCTGCTGTGGGGCATCCCCCAGTCAACAGACTTTCAGCATTTAGTGTGAAAATGCCACTCATGCTTGGATACCCAGGCGGGAGCACCCAACCCTGTCTTCCTAGAGGAAATAAGGATCTAAGGTAGTCCTGGAGAACTCTTGAAAGGCAAGGGGACAAGCATTCTAAGGACACAGAACTATCTGTGATGGCCTGGAGACGAGCAAGTAGGGCCAGTTCAGGGAATGGCATAGTTCCAGTGGCTGGAACCAAGTATATGACTGTGTGTATGAGACAACAGGAAAGGAGACAGATGGATGTAGGTATTTTTTTAGTAACAGTTTTATTGAGATATAATTTACATACCTTTCAATTAACTCCCTCCACCTCCCACTTATTTTTTTTTTTTTTTTTGAGATGGGGTCTCAGTCTGTCACCCAAGGTGGAGTGCAGTGATGTGATCTCAGCTCACTGCAACCTCTGCCTTTCAGGCTCAAGTGATCCTCCTGCCTCAGCCGCCTAAGCAGCTGGGACTACAGGTGCATGCCACCATTCTTGGCTAATTTTGGTTTTTGTTTTTGTTTTTGTGTTTTTTTTTGAGACAGAGTTTCACTCTTGTTGCCCAGGCTGGAGTGCAACGGCACAATCTCGGCTCACTGCAACCTTCACCTCCCAGGTTCAAGCGATTCCCCCGCCTCAGCCTCCCGAGTAGCTGGGACTATAAGCACCCACTACCACGCCTGGCTTATTTTTGTATTTTTAGTAGAGATGGGGTTTCCCCACGTTGGCCGGGCTGGTCTCGAACTCCTGACCTCATGTGATCTGCCGGTCTCGGCCTCCCAAAGTGCTGGGATTACCGGCGTGAGCCACTGCGCCCAGCCAATTTTTGTATTTTTTTTGTAGAAACACAGTTTCGCCATGTTGCCCAGATTGGAATTTACTGTTTTTTGTTTGTTTGTTTGTTTGTTTGTTTGTTTTGAGATGGAGTTTCGCTCTTGTTGCCGAGGCTGGAGTGCAATGGTGCGATCTTGGCTCACCGCAACCTCCGCCTCCCAGATTCAAGTGATTCTCCTGCCTCAGCCTCCCGAGTAGCTGTGATTACAGGCATGTGCCACCACACCCGGCTAATTTTGTATTTTTAGTAGAGACAGGGTTTCTCCATTCTGGTCAGGCTGGTCTCGAACTCCTGACCTCAGATGATCTGCCCCCCTCGGCCTCCCAAAGCGCCGGGATTCCAGGTGTGAGCCACCGTGCCCAGCCAGAATTTACCCTTTTAAAGTGTACAGTTCAAAGGCTTTTACCCATGGTATGTGGGGATTGGTTCCAGGACCCCCGAGGATACCAAAATCCAAGTATGCTCAAGTCTCTTATGTAAAATGCCATAGTATTTGCATGTAAACTATGCACATCTTCCTGTGTGATACTTTATCTCTAGATTACCTATAATACCTCATACAGTGTAAATGCTATATAAGCAGTTGTTTTACTGTATTTTTTATTTGTATTTTTTTATTGTTGAATTTTTTTCCTCAAATATTTTTAATCTGCTGTTGGTTGAATCCATAGATGGGGAACCAGCAGATACAGAGGGCTAACCATATTCACAGAATTGTGCAGCCATCACCACAATTATATTTAGAACAATTTTATCTCCCTAAAAAGAAATGCTGTACCCTTTAGCAGTCATCTACCCCCATTTACTCCTCTGCTCAGCCTCTGGAAACCACTAACCTATATCTTCCATCTCTGTGGATTTGCCTATTCTAGACATTTCATATAAATGAAATCACATATTTGTGGCTGGCTTATTTCCAGTGATTTTTCCAGACTTAGCATGTTTTCAGAGTTCATCAACATTGTAGTATGTATCAATACTTCATTTCTTTTTCTTGCTGAATACTGTTGTGTTGTATGGGCACAACACATTTTGTTTATCCATTTATCAGTTGATGGACATTGGAGCTGAGCGCAGTGGCTCACACCTGTAATTTCATCACTTTGGGAGGCTGAGGCAGATGGATCACCTGAGGTCAGGAGTTCAAGACCAGCCTGGCTGATATGGTGAAACCCTGTCTCTACTAAAAATACAAAAATTAGCCAGGCGTGGTGGCGGGTGCCTGTAATCCCAGCTACCTGGGAGGCTGGGACAGGAGAATCACCTGAACCCAAGAGGCAGAGGTTTCAGTGAGCCGAGATCGTGCCATTGCACTCCAGCCTGGGCAATGAGCAAAACTATCTCAAAAGGAAGATAAAGATAGACATAGGAGTCATTTTCACTTTTGGGCTTTCTTGAATAATGCTGCTGTGAACATTTGTTTACACATTTTTGTGTGAGCCAGGCGCAGTGGCTTATGCCTGTGATCCCAGCATTTTTTTTTTTTTTTTTTTGAGACAGAGTCTTTCTCTGTCATCCAGGCTGGAATGCAGTGGCATGATCTTGGTTCATTGCAACCTCTGCCTCCCAGGTTCAAGTGATTCTTCTGCCTCAGCCTCCTGAGTAGCTGGGATTACAGGCATGTGCCACCATGCCTGGCTAATTTTTGTATTTTTAGTAGAGACAGGGTTTTGACATGTTGGCCTGGCTGGTCTCGAACTCCTGATCTCAGATGATCCATCCGCCTCAGCCTCCCAAAGTGCTAGGATTACAGGCATGAGCCACCACGCCTGGCAGATCCCAGCATTTTTGGAGACCAAGGTGGGAGGATCCCTTGAGCCCAGAAGTTCAAGATCAGCCTGGGCAACATGGTGAGACCCCTATCTCTACAAAAAAAAAAAAAAAAAAAAATCAGCCAGGCGTGGTGGCACATGCATAGTCCCAGCTACTCAAGAGATTGAGGTGGGAGGATCACTTGAGCCTGGGAGGGTGAGGCTGCTATGAGCCATGATCACACCACTATACTCCAGCCAAGGCTACAGAGCAAACCAGACCCTGTCTCAAAAAAGAAAACCAAGTTTTTGTGTGGACGTATGTTTTCATTTCTCTTGGACATATACCTAAGAGTAGAAGGCAGATGGACTTGGCCGGGTGTGGTGGCTCACACCTGTAATCCCAGCACTTTGGGAGGCTGAAGCGGATGGATCATGAGGTCAGGAGTTCGAGACCAGCCTGGCCAACATAATGAAACCCAGTCTGTACTAAAAATACAAAAATTAGCCAGGCATGGTGACACGTGCCTGTAATCTCAGCTACTCGGGAGGCTGAGGCAGGAGAATCGCTTGAACCCGGGAGGTGGAGGTTGCAGTAAGCCGAGATTGCACCACTGCACTCCAGCTTGGGCAACAGAGTGAGACTCTATCTCAAAAAAAAAAAAAAAAGGCAGATGGACTTGAGTAATGTTAAAGAGTTAAAATGGACAAGACTTGGTGGGTACTAGCAGGTAAAGGGAAGAAGGGTGAGGGAAGTCAGGCATGACTGTCAGGTTTCTGGCTTGGGCAGCTGGATGGAAGATGGCACTGAGGAGGGAAACATGGGAGGAGGCTTGAGTGGAAAGATGGTGAATTTCTCCCCTATTCTATTCCTAATAATGAGAGTTCTTTCTAAGCAGGGCTTCTGTAGTTCTGTAGCAGGTAGAAGCCTTTCAGGACCAGTAAGATGCTGGCATGATGCGTGATATTCCGGTGCCCCCAGTGATGATTTTTCCAAGCAATTGTGTTTTATTAGCTGAACCTTTGGGTGGAAGAACAGTGACAGTGCCAAGCTGAGACTAATAATCCTCCAGATCACATAGACTGCTACACACACGCAAACTGTGAAATTCCTGTGTCATCTCATGGTTCATTTTATGATCAGTAAAAAGAAGCAATCTCCCTCTTGTTCCACATACATATTCCGCAAAATACAAGCAGCTCATTTTTTAGTCCAGATGTCTCGGTAGGGGAAAGAAAAATCTCATTTTGCATTGGCACATGTGATGCCAGGAAATCTCTGCTTTCCCAGGGTGCTAGAAAATTAAAATTGTAGTAATCAACATTGGATCTAGAAAATGAGATACACAGTAGCTATTTGCACCAAATGAAATTGGCTTTTATTGGCTGTAGCTTTTTCCTATTCCACTCACCTCTCAGGTACCATCCCTTTTCCAACTTAACCATTAAGCAGAAGGTACCTCCCTTCTGCTGTTGGAGGCTGAGCTGGGATTAAGTGTCATTTTAACCGTCTAGAGAGAGAGATAGCCACATATTCCTTTGGGAAGATATCTGGGTTCAGAAGACCTTTTCACACCTCAGGGCTGAGCCTGGGCACCTCACTCCAGCTTTGCCCCTCTTGCCTGCAGGTTGTGATTGCCACCAATATCGCAGAGACATCGCTGACTATTGATGGTATCTACTATGTGGTGGACCCAGGATTCGTGAAACAGAAAGTTTACAATTCCAAGACAGGGATTGACCAGCTCGTGGTGACGCCTATTTCTCAGGTATGACGGCTTGTATCAACAGTTTTCCTGATAATCCTGATTAGGGCCTTTCTGAAACTTTTTTATGGTTATATATTTCAAACTTGTTTTCAAAGATGAACTTTTATGATACTGGGTACTATAATGACATGAGGGAAGGATTTTTTGTTATTTGTTTTTAATCTTTTTTTATCCCTGAAGTCTGATTGATCCTTGAAGTTTTTAATCTTTTTTTTTTTTTTTTTTTTTGAGACTAAGTTTCACTCTTGTTGCCCAGGCTGGAGTGCAGTGGCGCAATCTCGGCTCACTGCAACCTCTGCCTCCTGGGTTCAAGCGATTCTCCTGCCTTAGCCTCCCAAGTAGCTGGGATTACAGGCATGTGCCACCACACCTAGCTAATTTTCTATTTTTAGTAGAGACGGGGTTTCATCATGTTGGTCAGGCTGGTCTTGAACTCGCAACCTCAGATGATCCACCCGTCTTGGCCTCCCAAAGTGCTGGGATTACAGGTGTGAGCCACCACGCCCGGCCCTTTTTAATCTTTAGAATAGTATTTCACTATTAAAATGCCCCCGTAAGGCCAGACACCTTGGCTCACACCTGTAATCCCAGCACTTTGGAATGCTGAAGTGGGAGGATTGCTTGAGGCCAAGAGTTCTAAACTAGCCTGGGCAACATAGCAAGACTCTGTCACTATAAAAAATTTAAAAAAAATTAGCCTGGTATGGGGGCATGTGCCACCAGTCCCAGCTGCTTAAGAGTCTGAGGTGGGAGGATCACTTGAGCCCAGGAGTCTGAGGCTGCAGTGAGCTAAGATAGCATCACTGCACTCTAGCTGGGGCAACAGAGCAGACTGTGTCTCTAAAATAATAATTTGTTTAAATGCCCCATAAAACTAGAACATAAAAAAAGTTTGAATCCTAGTACCCTATATTACCTATTTTAGATGGAAAGATCAGTACTTTATTTTCTAGTACCTTGCTTAGCTACGAGATAGATATCTGAGATAATAATAAATTATATGATTTTCTGGTTTTTTGGTAATTATGGAATAATTTCCTGCCTAAATGACATTTAAAAATGAATTACCCGATCACTTTTTTGAGAGAAGTTTGGCAACAGTATATCCAAAACTTAAATGTTCATCTCTTTAACCTAACTGTTCTGCTTATAGAAATTTATCTGAAAGTTAGAAATGATTAAATACATGTCCAAAGGTAATAGAAAAGGATGTTCATCGAAGGATTGGTTTATATCAGAGGAAACCTGGAAAAAATTCTAAATGTATTCCAAAAGGGAAGTAGTTTAATAAATTATGGTATATTCATGCCATAGAATGTTGGTGGCATTAACATGGTGGTGTGTATCTATATTTAATGACATAAACATGTAACTATAATATTTTCTTTGAAAAAGTGAGCCTACAAAACAGCATGAATGGTATAATCCAATTTTTGTTTAAAAATAGATGGTGAGCATTTCTTCAGAGTATGTGTGAGTGAGCTGTGCCCAAGATTGAAAGCATGTAGTCTAAATGTTAGCCAAGATTATTTATGGGTGGTGCTACTAGATGATGTGCATTTTCTTTTATACTTTTATATGTTGTCTTAATCTTTTACAGTGGGTATGTATTACTTTCATAATTTGTGAAAGCCTTAAGGCTATTTTTATTTTGAAACTTAAGTAATAATAATAGCTAACACTTTTTGTTTTGTTTTGTTTTTTGAGATGGGGCCTTGCTCTGTCGCCCAGTTTGGAGTGCAGTGGTGCAATCTCAGCTCACTGCAACCTCGGCCTCCTGGGTTCAAGTGATTCCTCTGCCTCAGCCTCCCAAGTAGCTGGGACTACAGGCGCATGCCGCCATGACCACCTAATTTTTGTATTTTTGGTAGAGATGGGGTTTCACTGTCTTAGCCAGGATGGTCTCCATCTCCTGACCACATGATCCACCCGCCTCAGCCTTCCAAAGTGCTGGGATTACAGGCATAAGCCACCGCGCCTGGCCCAATAATAGCTAACACTTACAGTGTACTTAACGTCCTAGATACATGCATTGACTTGGTGCATTCTCGCATTGATCCTATGTGGTAGATATTATTTTCACAGATGAGGAACCTGAGGCACAGAGGGGTTAGGTGATTTGCCTAACATCACAGAGCTAGTGGAGCCAAGATTTGAACCTGGGTAGCCTGGCTCCAGCTTGTATGCTCTATACTACTTGTCAGGGTGGCGGTGATCAAAAAATTAGTTACACATGCCTGTCCTGATTTGGAGAGAGACATGTGTAGAATGCTGTAGAGTCCAGCCACTGTGTGTGATTGCTGCCTGGATTTGTGTGGTTAGTTGTCCTTTCATAACCTATCCTTTGGTTTGGAGCTGGCATAGTAATTTGTAAATCCTGGTACTGTTTGTAACAACAGATGGTTTTGTCAGAAAATGGCCCTCTTCAGATTGCTATTCATTGTTTCCTAGCAACCTATGGCTAAACTACATTTTTTTTAATTAAAAAAAAATCAGTGTTTTTGAAGTAGTGTTTTATTATTTTTGAAAAACAGAAGAAAAAAATTTACCCACCATCCTACTACCTCCACTGTTATTATTTTGCTGTTTTTCATTCCAGTCTTTTTTCATGTTTATTTCTTTCATGGTTGCAATTTTAGTAGTCAAGTAAGTATGCAGTTTTGTATATTTTTTTGAGTATTTAATTTTCCTATTAGAATAATACATGTTCAATATTTGGTAAAATCTAAAGAAAATAGACCTCATCTGCAAGCCTACTATCAGAGTTAGCCACTGTTAACATTTTAGGGTTTTTTTCGCCTAGTCATTTCCTTCTAGTAGTTGATATATAAAGACTTTTACTAAAATTATTTTACATTGTTTCGTAACTTGCATTTTGCATTTAATGCGAATGAACATTTTCTTCTGTCATTTAACATTGCAAACATGATTTTTATTTTTATTTTTTATTTTATTTTGAGTCAGGATCAGTCTTTGTTGTTGCCCAGGCTGTAGTGCAGTGGTGTGATTACGGCTTACTGCAGCCAGCCTCGACCTCCCCAGGCTCAGGTGATCGTCCCATCTGAGCCTCCTGAATACTGGGACTACAGGCGTGAGCCACCACACCAAGCTAATTTTTGTATTTTTTGTAGAGATGAAGTTTCAACATATTGCCCTGGCTGATCTCGAACTCCTGGGCTCATGCAATCTGCCCACCTTGGCCTCCCAAAGTGCTGGGATTATAGGCATAAGCCACGACGCTTGGCCTGCAAACATAATTTTTAAAATGACTGCAGAGTCATCATTGGGATGATTGACGTAATATGTTTATTTCACTTACATTTTTGGTCATAACTGTGGGGATGGTGTTCTGTCATCTTGTTTTATGCTTTCTCTTTTATATTGCGCCACACTATTTTGAAGATATATGTCTCAGATCTGTATAATATTTCTTCCATTAACCCTGCTTGTATTGCCTCCCTCGAACAAACTTCCCCGAAGTGCTGAGTATGGAGAGGGGAAGATAAGAGCATTGGTAGTCTTGGAAATGGTCCCAAAGGAAGTGAAATCAACCCCATTTCTGATTTTGCCAGTTGTTAATTGTCCCCCTTTTAACAGATATCCTGGGTAAAGCTGTTAAGCAGTGTTTAACAGATATGTTGCTTTTATATGCCCACCCCTCTAGGCTCAGGCAAAGCAACGAGCTGGCAGAGCTGGGAGAACAGGCCCAGGGAAGTGTTACAGGTTGTACACAGAACGTGCCTACCGAGATGAAATGCTGACCACCAACGTGCCGGAAATCCAGAGAACCAACTTAGCAAGCACAGTGCTGTCACTCAAGGTAGAAATCACTGTCTTGTTAAAATGGGTTGGTGGAACAGTCCAATCCTGGCCTTCATAAATGAATTTCAGTTTTATGAACCTTGTTAAATACTTTAGTAACCTCATGAAAGCAGTCCCTTTGAGTGAAATGCAAATGGCTGTGATAACAGCCTCTCACGGCAGGTCTGGGGCTAAGTTGGCATGTCTGCTGTGAACACACATTTTTTCTTACCATAACAACCAGCAGGATATTAGGTTGTAAAAGGTTCTAGTTAGGAGCATTTTCTAAAAGGAAATTAGAAAAATATAATCAATGCCAAACTGTGGACACACACACCTAACCTCAACCACTTTAGCGCTCAGATCCAATTCTGTTCTTTTAGAACGAGAGAAAACCCCCTGTTCAAAAACTTTGCAAGGGAACTGTCAGTACAGATTTCAGACTGGCTCTCAGGGGCTTGGTTTTCATTCTGAATCATTGTTCTTCCTCTCTCAGTCCCCAGTGAGGACTTCATTCTCTTTTGGCAGGAGGAGCTGTATGAGTAATTTCCCAGCTGATGGCGTTTCCCCCGACACTGATGCTACCCTGGAGCCCTGGTACTTTCTGGTGCAGAGTGCTCTGTTGTCATTTATTATTTATTCCCTGTCAAAGAGGCTAAAACAGAGCTTTGGAAAGAAAAAAGAAACCTACTCCAGTCTCTGAAGTGCCAACAGAGAGGCATCTGTGGCTTGGACTTCAGCTCCAAACTGCGACTTTGGGCAAGTTTATTTACTTTGCCCTCTGCTCTGTGTTCTGCTCTGAAAAAGGGGCTGTTAATAGTATTTGTTGGAAAGATAAGTGAGATAATGTAGGTAAAGGCACTTGGCACAGTGCTTGATGATTGCTAACATAATTCATCATAGTTATTATTCACACAATAAACATTTATTGAACACCTGCTGTGTTTATGGTCACAATCACTTTATGAGAAAGAAATAGAAAGCTTAGGTCCTACCACATCACACTTTATATACACTTGAATCGTGCATCATTCAGTCGTTTCTTTTATTCATCGAATTAGCTAATGTATTGAACACATGCTACATGCCAGGCATGTAGATTGCACTGTGGTGGTTTTGTGAACATAGTTTTTACCCAGTGTGAACTCTCTGAAAGCAGGGGCCATATCCTGGCCATCTTTATATCCCTCCCACCTAACATGGTATGAGATCCCTCATAGATATATAGTAGAAATGATGTATGCAAGAGACAGGACAAGTTGGTAGACTATATTATTATTATTATTATTGTAAAATACATAACAACATTTACTATTGTAAGCTTTTTAAAGTATACAATTCAGTGGCATTAAATACATTCAAGATGTTGTACAACCATCACCAACATCCATTTCCAGAACTTTTTCATTGTCCCAAACAGAAACTCTGTACCCATTAAACAGTAACTCCCCTTTCCCCCTTCCTCTATCCCTTGGTAACTACTCTTCTACTTTTTACCTCTCTGAATTTGTCTATTCTAGATAGCCTCATTTAAGTGGAATCATACAATATTCTTTTGTATCTGACCTGTTTCTCTTAGAATAATGTTTTCAAGATTTATTCATGTTATTTTCAAGGTTTATCCATTTATTTCATTCCTTTCTAAGGGTGAATAGTATTCTGTTGTATGTATATACCACATTTTGTTTATCCATTCATCAGCAGATGGACATTTGGATTGTTTCTACCTTTTGGCTATTATCAATAATGCTGCTGTGAACATTAGTGTGCAGGTATCTGTTTGAGTCTGCTTTCAGTTCTTTTGGATATATACCTAGAAGTGTAATTGCTGGGTCATGTGCTAATTCTGTATTTAGCCTATTAAGGAACCACCAAACTTTTCTACAGTGGCTGCAACATCTTACATTCCCACCAGCAATGCATGAGGTTTCTGATACCTCCCGTCCTCACTGACATTTGTTAGTTTCTGTTTTTTAAAAAAATTATAGCCATCCTAGTGGGTATGAAGTGATATTTCATTGTAGTTTTGATTTGCATTTCCCTAATTACTACTGATGTTGTGCATCTGTGCATCTTTTTATGTGCTTGTTGGCCATTTGTATATCTTCTTTGAAGAAATGTCTATTCAAGCTCTGTGCCTATTTTTTAAATTGAGTTGTTTGTCCTTTTGCTGTTGAGTTGTACATATTGTCATTTTGAGAGAGTGTTAGGGTTTTTTGTTTTTTTTTTTCTTGGAAGACGTTTTATCATGTTGCCTAGGCTGGTCTCAACTCCCGGACTCAAGCGATTCTCCCTCCTTGGCCTCCCAAACTGCTGAGATTACAGGTGTGAGCCACCATGCCCAACTGAGAGAATATTTTCAAAAAGTTTCCTGAGAAATTATGTGCTTTCCTTTGGGAGGCCGAGGCAGGCGGATCACTTGAGGTCAGGAGTTCAAGACCAGCCCAGCCAACATGGTAAAACGCCATCTCTACTGAAAATACAAAAATTAGCTGGGCATGATGGCGGGTGCCTATAATCCCAGCTACTTGGGATGCTGAGGCAGAAGAATCGCTTGAACGTAGGAGGTGGAGGTTGCAGTGAGCTGAGATTGGGCCACTGCACTCCAGCCTGGGTGACAGAGTGAGACTCTGTCTCAAGTATGTGCTTTCTATTATAATAGTCTGAGTTTTATGTGGCCCAGCCCTGGAAGTTACCGCCAGTCTCACCGGTGGCTTCCTAATTGCAATTGAAGAAATGGGAAATAAAGTAACAAGTAGCTTCCCCACATGCTGACACTGGCTAGACTGACCCTCTTATCACATGCCTTCTTCCTTTCTGTTCTAGGCCATGGGTATCAATGATCTGCTGTCCTTTGATTTCATGGATGCCCCACCTATGGAAACTTTGATCACAGCCATGGAGCAGCTGTACACACTGGGGGCCCTGGATGACGAGGGCCTGCTCACTCGCTTGGGCCGCCGGGTAAGGGACAGACTCAACTTCCTGTGCTTTTGGGAAGATTCCCTGGTCAGCCTTTCACATCCTTCGGTCTGTACAAAATCAGGCTGAGGCCGTGGATAAGCTTTGAGTAAAATTCTAAATGTTTGTTTTTAACCTGAATTTCTCCACTGTCACTTTAAACTGTTTCTTCTTTATACAAAAAGGTGTTCTGTTCATAATTTTGCCTGAGGATGTATTACTGAATGTAGCCTTAATTAGAAACGGCATCTGCAAAATTCTCATCTACCCCAACAGTAGTTATATGCTTGGTCACATACATCCCGTTGGAGTTTATTTGGGAAAAGAATAAACAACAGCATTCTTCTGATAGAGAAAGGCATCCCAAGGCATCATTATGCTTTGGGAAAATCTGTGTTGTTACCCACTCTGACCAAGGTCTTGCTCTGGTGAATCCAAATGTGTCTTCCACAGGGAAGCAGTTGTAGTCTTTTTTTGTCCCTCTAGATGGCAGAGTTCCCTCTGGAGCCAATGCTATGCAAAATGCTCATCATGTCTGTGCATCTGGGCTGCAGTGAGGAAATGCTGACCATTGTATCCATGCTGTCTGTGCAGAACGTCTTCTATAGGCCCAAGGTAGGAAGTTCAGATCCAAGTTTAGATGGGGGTGCCATGAAGTTGGGGTAGTTGGCCTGTTGCCATTCCAATGCTTGATGTGGACTTTTTTTTTTTTTTTTTTTTTTTTGAGATGGAGTCTCACTCTGTTGCCCAGGCTGGAGTGCAGTGGAATGATCTTGCAATCTCTACCTCCCGGGTTCAAGCAGTTCTCCTGCCTCAGCCTCCAGAGCAGCTGGGATTACAGGCGTGCGCCACCGTGTGCTGCTAATTTTTGTATTTTTAGTAGAGACAGGGTTGCACCATGTTGGCCAGGCTGGTCTCAAACTCCTGGCCTCAAGTGATCCTCTTGCCTCAGTTTCCCAAAATGCTGGGATTACAGGCCTGAGCCATCATGCCTAGCCTGATGTGGACACTTTTGATAGGGTCTTGTAGGGCTCCCTAGAATTGCTCCATGTTCAGTTAGTAGCTGTTGAGTCGGAAATGTTCCTCTGTCCCACTGCTTGGCAGGATAAACAAGCCCTTGCAGATCAGAAGAAGGCCAAATTCCACCAGACTGAAGGGGACCACCTCACCCTGCTAGCTGTGTACAACTCCTGGAAGAACAACAAGTTCTCCAACCCATGGTGCTATGAGAACTTTATCCAGGCTCGTTCCCTGCGCCGGGCCCAGGACATTCGCAAGCAGATGTTAGGCATAATGGACAGGTAAGCTGGAATCTGATGACTCTGCATGTTTGAGTTGAACCACCTTGAGTATCATGTCTTTTCATCTCTGTGTGTACCTATAAAGCTATAGGCACCTTTTCTCTTGCTCCTCACATAACCCTTTTCCTCCAGCTTTTCCATCTTTGTTATATTCCTTCTCCCCAAGTAAGGGTATGCCTGAGAATTACCTCAGATACCTAAGAGGAAGATTATCTGTTAGTTGTTGAAAAAAATGCTCTTTGTTTGCAACCCTCTGGAACATTATTACTGTGGAATTGAATACCTGTCTAAACAAAGTGTCTGTCTCTGAGTGCCTCCGTCTGCCCACTGTGTAGAGCTGCCTCTGTAGTACACTTAGGGCTGGAAGGAAGGTCCTGGTGACTACTCTGGGCACCCCAAGATGGATGTGTTGGGCACTGTCATTGTGAAAATAGACCTGTGAAAGCTGAGTGGGCTCATATCTTTTGTCCTATCTTGATAGACACAAGCTGGATGTTGTTTCCTGTGGCAAGTCCACAGTCCGAGTGCAGAAGGCCATCTGCAGTGGGTTCTTCCGTAATGCTGCCAAGAAAGACCCGCAGGAGGGTTACCGGACACTGATCGACCAGCAGGTGGTCTATATCCATCCTTCCAGTGCCCTCTTCAACAGACAGCCAGAATGGTAGGTGGACATGTCCCAGGGTCTAGGGGCTTTTCTGGGCAGAGAAAAACCTGTAAATTTCCTGGTATTTTGTGATTGTGTCTTCACTACTCCCAGTATGTCCTAGTATAACACTGCTTGCCTTTCTAGAGCAGCAGAAACCTGAATTAGGCACAATGTATCAAACCCTATGAGAGAATTAAAATCATAGGGGTGAGACCTAGTTGAAAAAAAAAATTGTGGTTTAAAAAACTACGTAGTGGCCAGGCACAGTGGCTCATGCCTGTAATCCCAGCACTTTGGGAGGCTGAGGTGGGCAGATCAGCCGAGGTCGGGAGTTCAAGACCAGCCTGACCAACATGGAGAAACCCTGTCTCTACTAAAAATACAAAATTAGCCAGGTATGGTGGCGCATGCCTGTAATCCCAGCTACTTGGGAGGCTGAGACAGGACAATCGCTTGAACCCAGGAGGTGGAGGTTGCAGTGAGCCGAAATCACCCATTGCACTCCAGCCTGGGCAACAAGAGCGAAACTCCATCTCAAAAAAAAAAAAAAAAAAAAACCAACTACCTAGGGGCTAGGCATGGTGGCTCACGTCTGTAATCCCAGCACTTTGGGAGGCCGAGGCAGGTGGATCACCAGAGGTCAGGAATTCCAGGCCAACCTGACCAACATAGTGAAACCATGTCTCTACTAAAAATACAAAGTTAGCCAGGCGTGGTGGCAGGCACCTGTAATCCCAGCTACTTGGGAGGCTGAGACATGAGAATAGCTTGAACCCGGGAGGCAGAGGTTGCAGTGAGCTGAGATTGTGCCATTGTACTCCAGCCTGGGAGACAGAGTGAGACTCCGTCCCAAAAAAAAAAAAAAAAAGAAAGAAAAAAACAACTACCTAGTGATGTAGTTTAAAAAAAAAAACTTGTTTTAAAGTAGCATTTTTAAAAAATTGGACTCTATCTAGAACCCTAATATAAAACTGATTTAAAACCACCATGTTATCACAGTAGAAGGGTTAGAAATGTGGCTCCTTGCATGTTTGGCCTTCTCCATCCCTTGTGGCAGTGTGAGGCCCCTCTTCAGAGCCCTAGAATTCTGTGGAAACATTCTAATAAACATCCTCACATTTTATAGAGCAAGAAACAGATTAGAGAAGGGATGTGATTGGCTCCATGTCACTTAACTAGTTAGAGCCAGAGCCAGGACTAGAATACATTCTCCTGAGACCTTTCTTGTGGTTAGAGGTGTGCGGGTGCTTCAGTATTGGGGTGTGGCTGTCATAAACAGACTGCAGTCTTATAGGTGTCAGGCAGGAGAGGTAATAGTATAAAATGTAAGCTCAGCTGAGGCCTACTAGGGACCAGGTTGACTGTAGAGTGGGGCCTATATCCAGAGGCTTGAGTACTATCTCTGTCCCCCCTCAGGGTGGTGTACCATGAGCTGGTGCTCACCACCAAGGAATACATGCGTGAAGTTACCACCATCGACCCTCGGTGGCTTGTGGAGTTTGCCCCAGCCTTCTTCAAGGTCTCAGACCCAACTAAGCTAAGCAAACAGAAGAAGCAACAGCGTCTTGAACCCTTGTACAACCGCTATGAGGAACCCAATGCCTGGAGAATATCTCGAGCTTTCCGACGGCGCTGAAAGGCAAGATTGTTCCTTTGCCTCTCCAGCAGCAGTAGCCAGGGCTTGGACTTATCGATGACAGGCTGGTCCTGAGGATACAGCTGTCCCGTGACTGACTGTCTTAACTGAGCATTTTCTCAACTCGACTCTCATTTCTTCCCTGCTGGTAAAATAGAAACAGGGATTTAAACCTGGCTTTGGCAAGAGCCTGCAGCCTCCATCACCCCAAGTCCTTGGGCCCAGTTGGGAGCTCATATCTAACACAGAGACACATTGCATCAACTTCAAGAAAGGGACAATTTGTGCAGCTCCAGGATGGGAAGGTGGAGTGGGTGAGCATCTTGTGCAGGGACATGGTGAGTGCCCTGATGCCCCAGCTAGCAGGAGCTACTGTGCTCATCTAAAGTGTTTGCCCCACTTCCCACCCCGTCTCCAGCCCCTGTACTTTGGCTTGACCTCGTGGAAATATTTATTTTCTTAAGGAAACAAAAATGGTTTTCTGTGACTGTTTTCTTTTAGCCGAAAGGTTAGGATATTGGCCTGGGCTCAGGGTGAGGGAGATTTAGTATCTGTGCTCTGGCACACATGATGAGAATCCCCTGAATCCCCTGAAACCAGAACGCAGGGCCTCTTTGCGCTCGGAAACGACGTACAACCCAGACTTCCAGCCTTGTCTTTCAGCATCAGCACTAGCCGGGCCGTGCTGGGGGATCACCCGATGATCAACCATGTCCTCTCCACAGAGCACTTCAGTCTGGAGGCCTGAGTGGCTACAGATGGCACATATTAAATACAGAAGGTTTCCCCTTGCTCCCTCCACCTCCCACATTCGCAATGTGCAGCATGTCCCATTTCCTTTTGAAACATACTAAGTAACAACACAGCTTTTATTTTATTTTGTTTTTATTTTTTTCCCCTGAGGTCCTGGATGGACTTTAACAAAGGGATTTTATGGTCAAAACCTCCCTTTCCCCACTCCAAACAGAAAACAAACATAACACCTCTCCTCTCAGCTGGTTTGTGCTGCCAGTATCTGTGCTGCAGGGCTTGTTCTTAGTGGTTTTTTCCTAGCACTTGCTTGGAGAATAGCCACCTCCTTGTGCCCTCCTCACAGCTCCTGAGGAGGGTTTTTTTTTTTTCTTCCCATAGAGATGGGTTCCCACTGTGCTGCCCAGGCTGCTCTCCAATCCCTGGCGTCAAGCAATCCTCCTGCCTCTGCCTCCCAAAGCGCTGGGATTACAGTTGAGAGCCACTGTCCTCTGCACTGAGGAGGCTCCTTACCTGGCGGAACATCAGGCAGGTCTTGCCAGGCCAGGTTTCGGAACTTACGGAAAGCTGGTCTGGATGTAGTGCTTGTAGAGAAGCTTCTGAGAGATTGGGCACATCCTGTTACGTTGCTGCTTCTCCTGTCCTTATGTTATTAGTAAGTTCTGAAGTGATGTAAATGCTAGAACTACTGTAGAACTGTATGCCAGACACTAAGAGAGACTATGTAACATTCCAGGATATAAAGGAATGTATGTTGTCACTGGGCAGCAAACCACACCCTAAAGACAATTCAGAAAGAGTCCGAGGGAGAGGAATATAGGCCAGGCAATCTGCTGGCTGCAGATCCCTGCCCCTTCATTAAGCTGAGTGCCTCCTGATTCTGTCTGAGTATTCGCCTTTGTAAGCCCAGGCCAGTAATCAAGGGGCAGGGCATTGTTGTGTGTTAACCTTGAAGGCCTTCTGGGGAGAGACAGTACAGGGACCTCAAATGAAACCAAAGGGGAAACGGGGACTGGGCACCCACCTCCCCAATCTCGTTTTGTTTTTGTTTTTGTTAAGACAGGATCTTGCCATCTTGCCTAGGCTGGCATCAAACTCCTGAGCTCAAGTGATCTTCCTGCCTCAGCCTCCTGAGTAGCTGGGACTACAGGTGCATGCCACCACACCTGGCTCCCAGTCCTAATTCCAGCCTAAATTTTCCCCATTCAGAAACACTCCTGGATATAGTGGCCCAGCCTGTCCTGACTGAGTGCCCAGCACTGACAATGTTGACACCTGGGGAGGGAGGGTTGGGTTTCAAGCTGAGGTTGAAAAGGGATGTTGAATGGGCTAAGGATAAGAGACAGCAGGGTTCGTTATCTTTTCTGGCTCAGGTGGAGGAAAAAGAAGGATCCCCATTCTGTGGGTGTTCCTTGACCATCTCTCTACGCTAGAGCTGAGGTCACTTCTCTGCTATGACAACATAGCTGGGTTCTGACCTTTTGACCATCAGGAAAGCAATGTCAGCAGCTGAGCTGAGCCTGCTCTGAGGGAGAAGGGGGGGGTCCTGTCCAGATGCAGAAGGGGAGCTTGCCTGCTGCTCTCACACAATGGAGCCCTTGTTTCTCTTCCTTGAACCAGTATTTCCCAAGATTGAGTGACAGCCCAGGAGAGGATGTGGGTCTCATGCAGAGAGCTGGGATCTTCTTGGCCATTAAAGTATATTGTTCACCCCCACCCCGCGAGAACCAAGCTCAGGAGTTGCCTGCCTCTGCACACATGCTGAGTGTGCTGTTTGTGTATATGGCAGGACCGTCCCTATGGGGCATGTGTGAGCTCCGCAGCTGGGTCAGGCTCCTCGGTCCAGGTTTACTTCATCCCGCCTGGACGTGATTTGGCTTTGACTGTCTCTCCTGCAGCCCAAAGCACTTCCTCCCTGTGGTTGCTGTAGCTGTCTCATTGGAGCAGTGCCTCTCCAAGTTTGAGGATTTGAACAAAGAACTGGGACTGGTGACTTGTTAATGAACAGTTCAGAGGGCAGAGGGCCATCATCTCAGCTTGTGGAGACCTTTCTTTCCCTGGATGCTGCTTCTCAGCTAACTCCCTCTCTCTTCGTGTGTGTACTCGGCCTTCAGGGTTTCCACCGATTTTTACACCTTCTTCCCACCACGATAGCTTGGCTTTAATGTGGAATTAAATTATATATTTTTAAAACCTGTTTTTAAAATTTTGTTTCTTGCACTAAATTATGTCAGTACATTGATATTTTGTGTTTCTAGGAAGAAGTAATGTTGCCTTTTATTTGTGGGTAGTAGTCGAGGGGCATCCCTTCCTGCAAGGGATGGTCTCAGGTTGGTGCTGGGCCAACCTGAGACATGAACAGAGTTGGGCTGGCCCAACCTCAGCACAGCTGCAGTTTCTATTTAACAGGAGAGCACCGGTTTTTACCTGAGCATGTCTCCTGGGCAGCGGTTTACATAGCAGCTGGCTCTAGAACCACCCATTCTGCCCCTCCCACCTGTTGTCACATCTCAGTCATACGTCCTCCATAGGTGTCACCATGTTGTCCACTTTGCCATTTCTACCTACCCCCAAAAAACTCAGCCTCAGGACTCTGATCTCTCCCAAATTTGGGCAAGGAGAATCTAGGTGTTTCCCACTCCCCGGAAGATCTAATCTCCACTGGCCAGAATCCAGGGCCTGCTCTAGCCTCTCTCTGTACCATCTGGCCTGGGAGCCTTTCTCCTTTGCCCCATTCTCCAGACAAACACTTGTCCCCAACCCCAGCAAAAGTAGCAACCTAGAGCTGAGGTAGGAGGGAGGACATGCAATTGGGGTCTATGTGGGACAGCAGGGTCATGGGAACAACTGGGATCACAGAAACCAAAGACCAAAACCCTGTCTGAGGAAGTCCCAGGAGGGAGACCCTTGCCACTCAGTAGCCCACCTGACCCGCCCACAGGGGCAGGGAGACTGCTGCTGGAAGCAGGCCCAAAGTGCACAAGGGGCGCCTGTCCAGGTTATCAAGTACCCCCTGTCCATTATTTCTGGATCCTCACACAGTAATGCTGGGAAGGGGGAAGGGCAGGTATCATTAAGCCCATTTTTCAGAAGAGAAACAGTCAGGTGAACTGCCTTTTTTCAAATCTACATGAGGATTTAAGCGCCAGGGCCTGGCCCCAAACCAGTCAGCTCTGCTTCAAGACCAGAGCTCTTTCTACCCCCAGGTCTGTTCCCACATGGCAGCAAAGAGGACACAGGAGAACTAATGGGAGAAGTGGGGGCCTTTATTAAGGTCTGGCAGATGTGGTGGAGGTGGAAGTACAAACCCAGGCCTGGGCCTAGGAAAGGGCAGAAGAAAGGCAAAGGGTCCCTTGGAGCAGGAACCCATCCCTCTCTGCTTATACCCAGCACCCCTCATCCCAGGTTCCTTTCTTCAACCTCCGCCTGCCTCTGGGAACACAGAGCACCAAGAACTGACAAACCGGGACCCTCCAGGGCCACAGCGTGGGGCAGAGTCCAGGCTTCTGTCTCCCCGCAGTGGGAGATCTGGGGAGCTCAGTGAACCTCCTCACCCTCCTGCCAGTATGAAGTTGGGAAGCGCCTTCTCTGTCCCCCAGAACAGAACAAACTCTTGTTCTCTGTGGTTGGGGAAAAGGTGTGGGGGGCTTGGACCTAGGAAGAAGCTGAGCTGAATTCCTCCAGGGCCCAGGTGAAACCCCCAGGGGAGTTTCTGAGACTCTAGACTTGCCATTTCTCCACTTTTCCTTCCCAATGACTCCGGTGAGCAGCTCAGAGTCTGGGCTAGGGCAACTGGTAGGACAGTGGGGATCTGCCCCAGAGACATCTGTGGGTTTCAGATGAAGGTTTCCCCAACACCAGATTCATTTATATGTACACAGGGCAGCACCCACCTGCGGCAGGGGGAACAGCCGCTGGGGGCTAGTAAGAGTAGCCACCCTTGGGGCCAAATGGCTGGGCGGGGCCAGCCAGCTCTGGGAGGTAGGCGGGGCTCTCATCCAAGTGGGACAAAGGGACTGTGTCCTCCTCACTGACAGGCCGGTCAAACTCAGCCTTGAGAGCTGGACGCTGATTGTCCGGGAAGGCCAAAGAGAAGAGGGCCTCGGGCTCACACACAAACTTGTACACGTAACGCTCACCAGCCACCTATGGGGAGAGAGAAGGTCTGGTCAGCCTGGCTAGCCGCCCAGCCTTTGTATGGGGTAAGGTGGGGGAGTGGGGAATGTGGCCCTTCTACCAGTACAGGCAGATGCTCGGGGCATTTCTCTCCCATGCTGGTTCCTGAGAAGCTGACTCTCCCTTCACAGTTCTTACTCCTTTTTCATCTCAACTTCTCCATGCTTGGGCTTCTCAGTTACAGTGTTGCACTTTTTTGGGGGAGGAGAACCTTGGGATTCTCCACAATTTCTTGTCTCTCTGACTGATTCATTATCTGATCCTACAAAGTTGCTGAGAACTGCCCTGCTGACCCTCTCCCCAGTCAGCTTCTCACAGCCACTGCCCCCCACCACCTTGTCCCTAGACCCACAGCCCCCACCTTCTGCATGATGCCTTTCTCATAATAGTATCGGAGCGAGCGGCTCAGCTTGTCGTAATTCATGGCTGGCCGGTTCTTCTGGATGCCCCAGAGCCTGGCGACCTGGGAACAAAACAGTTTTGGGGTAGAGATGCTACCTTGGCAGAGGAAAAAATGGGGGTAAGGTCAGAAAGAGCACTTGAGATTCTTGGTGCAAAGTGCCAAGCTAGCTCTGCAACAAAGCATCAGCCCACAGACTTAGGCTTGGCAAGAATTCAGGTTAGGTAAAGCAAGAATCATGATGGAGGCACGTGCCACCATTTCCCAGGTTCTCCCACCTCCAGGCTGTAAACTTTGGAAAGGAGGGCTGGGAACATCCGAGAGGCCCACCTCCTCAGGCTCAATGAGCTTGAACTCCATTCCCCGGCCCGTCCAGGCAATGAAATGGGCATTTGTTGGGTCATCCAGCAAGGCCACCAGAAATTGCCACAGCTGCAGGGCACCCCGGCGCTGGTAGGGCGGCCCCTCTCGAAATGCACCGACCCCTTCCTGCTTGATGTCTCCTGGGGAACACGAAAATAGGAGGTGTGGGGTTTGTGTCTTTTGGTCCCCCAAGCAACCGCCTCCCACCCGAGGGATTTCTCGAAGGGGTCTCCCCAGGTACTTTTCTATGGGTCCCACCCTCTTGCAACAATGAAACGTGATGTGACTCCTGCAGGGACACAGCGTGATAAGACCTTGACCCTCCCATCAACAGTCACTTCTCTGACCTTCAAATTTCTCAGGGACAACGCAGACATCATCTGGGAATGGTCGCAGAGGTTTCTCATAGCCATAGCCTTGTGGAGGAAATTGGGGGTTGCTCAGATCTGGGGGTTCACCGATGAGACCCCAGAGAGTCCAGAGGGACTCCTGGCCAGGGAGACCCTCCCCCATGGCAGCGCTCCCTCCCCCAACATGGAGGGCTTGGCAGGGGAAGGGGGGCTGCCTTACCCATGGCCCCGTCACCTGGAGAGGGCCCAGAGAAGCCCTCTGTGTGGAGGTACATTGATGCGCACCCGGTGACATCTGTGGGGGAAGAAGGGGTGATGTGAGAAGTGGCTTGGGGTGGAGCTCGAGGGCAGGGGAGGAGGAAGTCCTATCCACATTCAAGAATTTCTTCCTTCCAGCCTGCTTCCTGGTGACTGTTCTTTGCCCAGGTTGCCTGCCAACCACAAAATCCCAGGGAAAGTTCACCCAGAGGGAGTGTGATGCTGGAACCCCTCCTCAACTTGAGGGCTGCGGCTGAGGCCATGGAAGGCAGCAGCGGGGGCTGGGCAAGCTGTTCTGAAGGGCCCAAGCTGCCAGGGAGCAGCTGTTTCCTGCGAGTTCAGGGGGAGGAGGGAGGGTGAGATGAACGTCCGGGGAAAGAGTTCGGTGTCCACGCCTAAGACTCCCTCAGAATGGACAAAAATGTCCGGTCAGCAGGTCAGGTTCCCAGCCCTGTGCACGCGCGCGTGTGTGTGTGTGTGTGTGTGTGTGTGACAGAAACAGAGCGTGCGCCTGCATGCACCTGGGGAAGAGGCAGTGGGCACTGGGCCTTGTTTTTTCAGGTCTAACAGAGCACATTCCACTTCGTTTCATTCCATTCCATAGGATAGGAACCTTCCCACTCCACATCGGGAAGGCGGCTGTGTGAAGCCACCCGTTCAAGTTCCAACCCCTTCCCGCCCTCCCCCCACTGCACTCCCACCTATGAATGAGAAGATGGTGAAACATGACACCTCCGGGAGGAGGCGGGAGGGTGGGCTCATTCATGCCTCCATTTTGTGAATGGAATTCCTGACTCCATTCAGGAGTAGCTGGGGGGAGGGGCAGGAGTTCAAGGGCATGTAACACAATCCCCTCCGGTCTACAGCCTTTGAAGGTCAGCGGCAAGAGTGCCTCCCTCCTCCTCTCCCCAGCTCACTGCCAAGCCTGGCTCAGGCTTATGCCCTGGATTTGAGGACAGGAGCACCATCCGGTTCTTAGTTGGACAGCCTGGGGGGTTGTGGTTCATCCCCCTGCCCTTGAACGGTTGTGGGCACCACAAAAAGGGAAATTCTAAAGTTCTAGCTAGCTCTGGGCCTACTCTAATAAACTCAGATCTAGGGCTACTAATGTAACAAAAGCCAGGAGGAAAGAAGAAAAGGCAGGGTTTTCTGGACCCTTCCTGGGACTGGCCCTCCTTCGGCCCTTGAGGCTTTGAACTATAGCTATTTATGAACACAGGTGAGTGCATCTCACTCCAGTCAACAGCCAGGTGGAACTAGAATTTAAAGAAGTCCCTACTTCCTCTGCCCTTGCCTCTGGCCAGGGCATACATCAATTGGGAGGCTCAAATATGTAAGCCACATATTAACCTGTGCTTCTACCAGCTTGATCAACATGGTGAAACCCCGTCTCTACTAAAAATACAAAAACTAGCTGGGCATGGTGATGGGCACCTGTAACCCCAGCTATTCGGGAGGCTGAAGCATGAGAATCGCTTGAACCCAGTGGCACTCCAGCCTGGGCGAGAGAGCAAGACTCCATCTCAAAACAAACAAACAGAGCAAGACTCTGTCTCAAAACAAACAAAACAAAACAAAACAAGAAAACCCTGCCCTCCTATTGAGAACTAGCAAGAACCATGAGCCTGGCTAGTTTCAAATTCATGTTTCTCTTCATTCAAATCCCTTTGTATTTTTAAGCCTCTGTGGGGATAGGGACCAGACACATCCTATTCATCTTTGTATTTCCCAACTCTGCACACTCGTGTTCCTGTCACAGTAGTTTGGTCTTAATAGGTAATTAAAACCTCAAACACCTGTTAAATAGAAATAAATGCCTTAACTTCCCTATTAAGTCACAAGCTACCTGAGGGCAGGATCTACATCCCCCTTTATTTTAATTTTACTTTTTTATAAATAGACACGAGGTCTCACTTTGTTGCCTAAGCTGGCCTTGAACTAATTCCTGGGCTCAAACGATCCTCCTGCCATGGCCTCCTAAAGTGCTGGGATTACAGATGACTCACCATGCCCCGGGGGCCCCCCTTATCTTTTAATCTGAATATAGGTTTGCTCATTGAAAAGTAATAATTTGTCCGGGTGAGGTGGCTCATGTCTATAATCACAGCACTTTGGGAGGCCGAGGCGATGGATCATATGAAGTCAGGAGTTCGAGACCATCCTGGCCAGCATGGCGAAACCCCATCTCTACTAAAAATACAAAAATTAGCCGGGCACGGTGGCTGGTGCCTGTAATCCCAGGTACTCGGGAGGCTGAGGCACAAGAATCGCTTGAACCCGGTAGGCAGAGGTTGCAGTGAGCAGAGATCGTGCCACTGCACTCTAGCCTGGGCCAGAGCAGGACCCCATTTCAAAAAAAAAAAGAAAAAGAAAGAAAAATAACATTCTTTTGAAATTATGAAGAAAAAAAGTGGGTGGGTGGGTTGGATGTATGAAATGGTAAACAGCAATGTAAAAAAACTCGGGAGACATTCTGGGCTTAACTGAACACTTGATCACATGCCACCCTGCCCCACCCCAGTCTCTTACCTGAGTCGTAGGCGAAGTCCGTCTGTTCCTGTTTGATCACCACCCCCGCCCCTGGGTACCTGTGCCCATTGACCCCACCCTGGTCCACGGCTGGCTGGCCCGCCTGTTCATACAGGGGATCATGGTATTCTTGCTTAAAGCTCTGCTGGGGATAGGGTGGGCAGGGCTCCGACAGCTGGTGTTGGTAGGGGGCTGGGAGGGGTTCCCGGCCCCCTCCCTGAGATGTGAAGGAGTGGCAAATGTCCAGGGGCTGCTGGAAGACGGAGCTGGATGTGGTTGGATGGAGAAGGAAGAGAAGAGAACTTTAAATTAATCCTTCCTCGAGCCTGTTACTCCTAGGCTTTTAGAGTGGGCTCCGGAATGGGGGGTAGGGGGTTGGGGTGTCAGTATTTCTCCCTTTCTATTCCACTGCCCCCTGCCTCTACCACCCCACAGCTCAAGTCTTTATGGAGAACACTCAGGAATTGAAAAAACACCTGGGCCCATGAGCAGTGGGTTTCCCTGTCTCCTTACCTATGTTCCCCGAGGTACCCATGGCCAGGGTGGGGCTGGGAGGTGCCAGAGGATCTCAGGAAATTCCGTTGCTCTGCCCGGGGAAAGGGCTGTAGGGGCGACTGTCCAAGGGCACCAGGGGCAGGGGACTTGATGGCGATTTGTCTGGGGGGGTCATAGGCACTGGAGTTGAGAAGGAGACAGGGGTGAGGGGGCAGAGAAGCTGGAAAGCATCTTTGAACCCTTCATTCCTAGGAAAGCGAGGTCACAGGGATTACAGGAGAAGGAAGGATAGAGGGGGCTGAGAAGGGAACGGCAGGAGCCACAGACTCAGCCCTAGCCAATTCTTTTCTTTTTCAGAGACAGTCTCCCTCTGTTGCCCAGGCTAGTCTTGAACCCCTGGGATTCATACAGGGGGGATTTGTTGCTCAGAGCAATGGTTTAGGTGGGACAGTGGGCCTCTTGGTGGAAACAGAATCTGCTCTGGCCTCAGTATATATTCCTGAGGCCCTCTGCTGCGTTTTCCGTCTATTCAGAGGAAATCCTTAGCTGTATTGCTTCCTTACAAGTGCTAGAAAATCCTTTCTGTTGTCTAACTTGCATCTCAGCTGCTGCCTCTGCTCATGGGTGCCCCCTGCCTCCCTCCTCTGGAACCCTTCTCCTACCCTTCACCAGGTCCAGGCTGGGGCTCACCTGGAGTAAAGGCACTGCTCGCCATGGTGGTAGGGGAGTGGCGGCTTCCTGCTGCAGGACAGGGCCGGGTCTGTGCGGGGACTCTGGGGCTCCTTCTTGATCCTGGTGGTGGGGCTGTGGAAAGCTACTGTGGGGGTGGAGGGGACAGAGCAAGGCCAGAGCCTGTCACACAAGAGGCAGGCAGGGCTTCTGATACCTTCTGAGCTTTGAGGACCAGCTGGGTGACTGGTACAGCCTCCTTCCCTCTCTGGGTATCAATTTTCTGAGACCCGCAGTGAGACAAGAACATTTTGGCTATTTACATTATGTCTAGTTTATACATCAGACTAGTGTCTGATTATTGACTAAATAAACCATCTAAAGTTCAACATTTAGGCTGGGCACGGTAGCTCACACCTGTAATCCCAGCACTTTGGGAGGCAGGAGTCCAAGACCAGCCTGGCCAACATGGTGAAACCCTGTCTCTACTAAAAATACAAAAAAAAATTAGCCGGGGATGGTGGCGGATGCCTGTAGTCCCAGCTACTCAGGAGGCTGGGGCAAGGGAATTGCTTGAACCCAGGAGGCGGGGATTGCAGTGAGCCGAGATCATGCCACTGCACTCCAGCCTGGGTGACAGAGCGAGACTCCGTCTCAAAAAGAAACAAAAAACAAAAACATTTAATGCAACCCCAGGCCCCAGAAAACACTTTCAAGGAGTGAGCACCTCCAACCTAGGGCCTGTAGTTTTCCTGAGTGCCCTGGAAAATTCCAGGGGAGTGACATGTTTTCTTATTTGAGGATATAAAGAATCTTTCTTGGCCGGGCGCGGTGGCTCACGCCTGTAATCCCAGCACTTTGGGAGGCCGAGGCGGGCGGATCACCTGAAGTCAGAAGTTCAAGACCAGCCTGACCAACATAGAGAAACCCCATCTCTACTAAAATACAAAAAAATTAGCCGGGCGTGGTGGCACATCCCTTTAATCCCAGCTACTCGGGAGGCTGAGGCAGGAGAATTGCTTGAACCTGGGAGGCAGCGGTTGCAGTGAGCCGAGATCACACCATTGCACTCCAGCCTGGGCAACAAGAGTGAAACTCTGTCTCTAAATAAATAAATAAAAGAATCTTTCTTTTTCTGGTTGAGGTTGGATATTGGCCCACTTGAATGTCAGCTGACTAACATTATACACATGCTCCTACTTATCTGTGAAGAACACTGGCCTTTCCTGTGGCCCCTGCGGGGTTCCCAAACTCTGGCCACGAGGCTGAGCAGCAAAGAGTTGGTTCCAAGCCGGTGTGAGATTCAGTTTTAACCGCAGTCCAGTCAAATGCCGTTTGTAACCAACTATTCTCTGCTGTTTTTGATTCTTTGTGCCCCATTGTTTCACTGGTGAAGACAGTTGACAGCAAAGTATCTGACATTAAAGCAGGGTTTGTTTTTTGGTTTTTGTTTTTTTTGAGATGGAGCCTCGCTCTGTCACCCAGGCTGGAGTGCAGTGGCTCAATCTTGCCTCACTGCAACCTCCGCCTCCCAGGTTCAAGCGATTCTCATGCCTCAGCCTCCTGAGTAGCTGGGATTACAGGTACACGCCACCATGCCCGGCTAATTTTTGTATTTTAGTAAAGACGGAATTTCATCATGTTGGCCAGGTTGGTCTCAAACTCCTGACCTCATGTGATCCACGCGCCTCAGCCTCCCAAAGTGCTGGGATTACAGGCGTGAGCCACCACACCCAGCCTAAAGCAGGGTTTCTCAACAGTGGCACTACTGACCTGTGGGCCAGATAGTGTTTTATTAATAATATTGTAAGGAGCGGTCCTGAGCATCATAGGATGCTTTTAGCAGTATCCCTGGCCTCTCTATCCACTAGACACCAGTAGCACCCCACCCTCAACTGTGACAACCAAAAATGTCTACAGATATTACCAAATGTCTCTTGGGAGGCAAAATTGTCCCCAGTTTATGGAAGTGACTTAGAATACTAGAACTGGGGGCGGGCGCACTGGGCTCACGCCTGTAGTCCCAACACTATGGGAGGCCGAGGTGGGCGGATCACAAGGTCAGGAATTCGAGACCATCCTGGCCAACATGGTGAAACCCCATCTCTACTAAAAATACAAAAATTAGCTGGGTGTGGTTGTGCATGCCTGTAATCCCAGCTACTCTGGAAGCTGAGGCAGGAGAATGGCTTAAACCCGGGAGGCGGAAGTTGCAGTGAGCCGAGATTGTGCCACTGCACTCCAGCCTGGGTGACAGAGCAAGACTCTGTCTTGGGGGGAAAACAAACAAACAAACAAACAAACAACACTAGAACTGGACTCTGCTGAACTGGCCCAGGCCCCTCACTTCAGATATAAGGCAATGGAGAACCAGAGGGATAGTGTCTGCTCTAAGGTCACACAGCAAGAACATGTCAAGCCCCAGATTTCAACCAAGGTTTTCATTCCAGTTATTGCCTTGGTCTTTAAGATCAAACCCCACTGTGTTTTAGGAGAGAACAAGCTGCTCTCTTGTGATTCTCTATCCTATGACTCACTTCCTGCCATCCTCCACTCCCTATACCCTCTCCCCAGGGACCTCTACTCACGGTTTTCTGAATGGAAATCAGGAACAAACTGCTCATCACTGTCTGGTACCTGAGCTGCAGAGAGAAGTCAGAGGTGAGTTTGGGGCGGAGCCCTGGTTGTCCCCTGGGAGGCTCCATTATTACAGCCCTGCAGATTAGCAACAGCCAAGAAAGGACCAACAGCCTTTAGATCAGGGGTGTCCACATTGTAAGAATTGTCTTGGGCCACACATAAAATACACAAATACACTAACACTAACGATAGCTGATGAACTTAAAATCACAAACAAATCTCATAATGTTTTAAGAAATTTTACAAGGAATTTATGTTGGGCCTGGGCCGCATTCAAAGCTACCCTGGGCTGAAAGTGGCCCACAGGCCCACGGGTTGGACAAGCTTGCTTGAGACTAAAGGCTGCTCCACCCTAGGTCCTAGTGTCTTCCACCTCTGGGCTCCACTAAGACCCAGGAGGGAAGACTGTTCTCAGAACCTGTCTGAGCAGATTCCAGTCTTTCTTCTTCTAGATGCTTTGTCTTTATTTCCTCCATTTTTCTGAAGTGAAACAGCCTCGCCCCTCAGAGTTTACAAAACTCCCTTAAAGCTCACAACAGTCATATCTAGGATGGGCAGGCATTATAAGCAGTGGGATCCTGTGGATTTAAAAATCACATAGGAGGCGGCCAGGCATGGTGGCTCACGCCTATAATCCCAGCACTTTGGGAAGTCAAGGCGGGTGGATCACCTGAGGTCCGGAGTTCGAGACCAGCCTGGCCAACATGACGAAACCCCATCTTTACTAAAAGTACAAAACTTAGCTGGTCGTGTTGGCGGGAGCCTATAATCCCAGCTACTCAGGAGCTGAGACAGAAGAATCGCTTGAACCTGGGAGGCAGAGGTTGCAGTGAGCTGAGATCGCACCACTGCACTCCAGCCTGGGCAACAAGAGTGAAACTCCATCTCAAAAGAAAAATAAAATTAAATAATAAATAAAATCACATAGGGGGGTGGCTGGGCGCAGTGGTTCATGCCTGTAATCCCAGCACTTTGGGAGGCTGAGGTGGGAGGATCACTTGAGATCAGGAGTTTGAGACCAGCCTGGCCAACAAAGTGAAACTCCCATCTCTACTAAAAAATTAAAAAATTAGTCAGGCGTGGCGGTGGGCACCTGTAATCCCAGCTACTCGGAAGGCTGAGGCAGGAGAATTGCTTGAACCCAGGAGGCAGAGGTTGCAGTCAGCTGAGATCATGCCACTGCACTCCAGCCTGGGTGACAAAGTGAGACTCTGTTCCAAAAAATGAAAAATAAAGGCCGGGCATGGTGGCTCATGCCTGTAATCCCAGCACTTTGGGAGGCCGTGGTGGGCGGATCACGAGGTCAGGAGTTTGAGACCAGCCTGACCAGCATGGTGAAATCCTGTCTCTACTAAAAATACAAAAATTAGGCCGGGCGCGGTGGCTCACGCCTGTAATCCCAGCACTTTGGGAGGCTGAGGCGGGCAGATCACCAGGTCAGGAGATCAGGACCATCCTGGCTAACACAGTGAAACCCTGTCTCTACTAAAAATACAAAAAAAATTAGCCGGGTGTGGTGGCGGGTGCCTGTAGTCCCAGCTAATCCTGAGGCAGGAGTATGCCTGAGGCAAGAGAATGGCGTGAACCTGGGAGGCGGAGCTTGTAGTGAGCCAAGATCAGGCCACTGCACTCCAGCCTGGGTGACAGAGCAAGACTCCATTTCAAAAAAAAAAAAAAAAAAATTAGCTGGACGTGGTGGCACGCCTGTAATCCCAACTATTCCGGAGGCTGAGACAGGAGAATAACTTGAACCCGGGAGGTGGAGGTTGCAGTGAGCTGAGATCACACCACTGCACTCCAGCCTGGCGACAGAGCAAGACTCCATCTCAAAAATAAATAAATAAAATAAAAAAGGAGGATGACAGTGGGAGAGCAGGAGGCTGGTGACTGGGACCACTGCAGAAGGCAAAGGACACTGGCTGAGTACATAGGTGCCTCATCCCCTTAATGTGCAGCTAAGGAGGGGAGGGATTCCCAAGGTTGGTGATCCGAAGAGCTCTCCCAGGATGCCAGGATGGGTGGAGCTGGGTTGGGGAATAGGCAGGAAAACTGAAATACAGCAGCAGCTCATCCATGGCTTCTAACCTGAACATCAAACTCTGATTTCTAGTTCTTATTCTGGCCTCCCCAGAGCGGGGCTTCTCAGGTGGTTATACAGCTAAGAATCTCCCTTGATCCCAGAGTCTTGGCCCACTTTTGCCCCTCTCTCAAAAATAAATGGATCACAGCAGGAAATGTAGACACCAAGAAGAACTTCCTGATATTATTCCAGGAAGAGAGTGGTTCTAGGGTGATGCAGTGGAACCTGTAGCCCGAGGAGGCTGGACTCTCCTTCCCTGGAGACTGCTCTCTCCTTCCCTGGAGACTGCTCTCAGATTGGACAATGGGGAAACTGATAAAATGCCCAGAGAGGTCAAAATGGCTGGTGAGGGGTATGAGATGGCTAGAAAAAACCTCCACACCCCCGGCCTATACAAATACATATCCCATCTCTTTTGCTTCTCTCTAGGCTAAGGCTCCATCATTTCTTACTTGGATTTCACCCACGGCCTCTTACCAGGATACCCTATTTTCATTCTTACCTCCTATGGTCCCTTGCTCTCCACCTAGGTGTCACAGTGATCTTTTTACAACAGAAATAAAATCATTTCTCTCTGTTATTTAAAGCATGAAATCCAAACGCTTGCCCTTGGCCTCCAAGGCTCTGCATGACTTGGCCTTGCCTACCTCTCTGACCTGCCTCTCCTTGCCTGTGAATCTGCAGCACTCTGGTCTCCTTTCTAGCCCTCAAAGCTGCTGAGCTTGTTCCTTCTTCCCCAGATGCTTTCTTGCCTTTTTCTTTTTTTCCTGACCATCAGAGTCTCAGCTCACTTTGACATCTCTGGAGAGGCCTTCTCTGACCACCCCTAAACCAAAGTGGTTCCTCCTGGCTCTCTATTGCATCTATGTTTTGTTTTCTCCCTGGCACATATTGCCACCTGAATATATTAATTTATGTTTACCTGTTTGTTATCTACCTATCTCCTCCACCAGGAAGTTAAGCTCTGTGAGGGCAAGAGCTTTATCTTTTTTGTCATCTGATGCCCCAGCACCCAGCACAGGGTTAGAGTAGACGCTCAGTGCTGTTATTTCTTGACTACATGAATAAACATGCAATAATCGTTTGTCCTCAGGCTGGCAGAAGTCAGCACTGTGGGCCTGAGGGCATGCACTGAAGAGATCCTGACCATCCTAGCCCTTCCCTGCAGGCTCCCCCTCTCCACACACAAGGCAACACTAGAGGCAGGTCCTCTCCAGGAAAGCACATCTCACAGGGGATATTTTAGGTTGTGATATGTTGCTTGGCAAGAATATTCTTCAACAATTTGCTTTAAATATCAGAGGTGCCAAGTGTTTATAAACATAGGCTTATATTAATAGATAGTTGATTTCTTGACAGAAGCATTAGGGAGAGGGAGTTTAACAATCACAAGCCACCAGCAGCTAAACGAGAACTTAGGACAAGTCAACATAATAATACTTTGGTCTGAAGTGACCAAAGACATCAATGAGACATGAAATCCGCTGGCAAGAACAAACAGAAACACACAGCCAGCACACATCTTTTCAGGAGCACAAACACGGCAAAAAGACAACCATTCCCAAACTGGCCTGATTCAAGAGTCACCAGGACGTTGTTAAAAACACGATTACAGCCAGGTGTGGTGGCTCACGCCTGTAATCCCAGCACTTTGGGAGGCTGAGGCAGGCAGACGATCTGAGGTCTGGAATTCTACACCAGCCTGGCCAATGTGGCGAAACCCCATCTCTACTAAAAATACAAAAATTAGCCAGGCATGGTGGTTCTCGCCTGTAATCCCAGCTACTCTGGAGGCTGAGACAGGAGAATCGCTTGAACCCAGGAGGTGGAGGTTGCAGTGAGCCAAGATAGCACCAATGCACTCCAGCCTGGGCAACAGAGTGAGACCCTGTCTCAAATAACAATAATAAAAATAAAATAAAAACACGATTCCCAGTCCCCTCCTCCGGAGAGTCCCATTCCATAGGACTGGGGTGGGGCCCAGGCATCTGCATTTTAAAATCTATTATAAGGAAGTCTCCTGTGTCAGGCTTGAGTGCAGTGGCACAATCAGAGCTCACTGCAGCCTCTAACTCCTGGGCTCAGGTAATCCTTTCACTTCAGCCACCACAACCTTAAAAATAGGCACATTTGGATAGAGGGTAAGAGGCCAAATCTGTCCACCTGCCCAGGGATGCAAAGCCAGGCTCCCCACTGTGCCCTCTGGTCCATTCAGAGGCAACATCCCCCAAGGTGGCAGGAAGCTGGGGTGATGGGAGCAGAGTGACCAACATTTCCCTCCCTCCTACTAGGCAAGAAGGGTCCCAAGGGAAAGGGTGGTGCAGAACTCAGGGGTGGCTGACGCATTCCGGCCCCACCCCTGGGGCCTCATTAACTGCTACTTTCCATTGAGGTAATGGGCTGGGGGTATCTCTTGCTGGCGTCACTGGTGCTGGAGAGCAGAGAACCCTCAGCATCATCTTGCCTTTCTTCCTGCCTCGGGCCTGACAGTTTAACCAGGGACCCCTCCAGGCCCGGAATCCAGGAGGAGGCTTCCTCCAGCACACAGACCACACCCCAAAAGAGGTGGTGCCATCCTCTTCCCAGAGCCAGGAGAAATCTGTCCTAGCTCAGCCCCTCCCCCAAACACTGGCCTTCTCCCAAAGGGGTAGGCCAGGGCCCTCAGTCATCCAGAGACTGTCAACAGGATAGAAACAGGAACACTGAGCCTCGCGTTCCTGGAGAGCAGGAGAATTTTTAATTACCATGTTTCGTCTTAAGTGTACACCACTCTCTTTATTTATTTGTTAACTTGGCTGAGTCTTGGCTGCCAAGCCAGTGTGCCAGGGTCTGTCCCCAGCTCCATCCCGGTACTAAGATGGAGTTTATCTGTCTGGGGACGAGGCAGATGATTAAGGAGGGGGTGGGAAAAGTGCCAAGACAGCATAATGCCCAGAGAGAGAGAAAGAATTTTAGGGACTCTCCTTTCAAAAAGGGGGGTTAGTAAAAAAAGAGGAGGGGCTTGGGGGGTCTCCCAAGCTGGATTCTGGAAGAACTGAGAGGTTAAAACAGAGATACACTGAAGCTCACCATAGGTTAGCCACCCACACTACATATGCTCGGTCACCCTCTTCCCAGGATCCAGTCATAGGGTGAAGGGGGTAGAGGCATTCTCCAGAGCTTCTGCTCCATTGTGTCACCGCTGTCCCTTACCCTGCCCCCACCCTGGCAGCCTCTGTACTGGAAGGAACCAGTTCACTAGTTGTGGAGGGGACATATTTGTCCCCAAGAGTCTTCAGGAAGGGGAAGAGACAGAAAGATGGAGAAGGAGGCATTGTAGCTGGGAAAGATTAGGGAGGAGATTAACCTCATCCCTCCCCACAGACATGCCGAGGCACCAGTGTACATGCACTCGGACGCATATTCAGGGATGCACACACCCTAATTCCTTTTACTTCACTCTTGCAGCAGCAAGACAGCACAGGGTGAAATGTGCCCTCCATGCATGCCCTCCACACATGGGGTCTTTTTTTGACCTACAAATATGATTGGGACAGCCAAAGGGCAAAGGGACTGGAGCCCTTGGAGGAGGGTTGGGGAGCAGTGATTCCTGTGAAAAGGGGAGCGCAGATCGATCGATCCCTTTGAGAATCTGATAAAAGCTATGGGTCATTCTCTTCCTAAAAAAATCCATACACCTTTATGTATGGTGCACTTCCAGCAATTTTACACACAGTATCAGAGGGATCAAGGATCCCAGCAACCTATCCATAGGGCTTCTGGGAATCCACAGACCTGAGCCTCACACAAAGGGGTCATGGCCTAGAGTCAATGGCCCTTACTACCAAATAGACAACAAAGTCATTTTCCCCAAGGATTCAGGGCTCCTGACAAGCCTGGAAAGGAACCTTGGACAAAAAACCAGCATATCTTTTACCATAGCCAGACACATATTGGGCTCAGCCTGCCTGAGCCTGGGTCTCCCTGTAGCAGCCTGATTCTTTCCCCAACATCTCAACAGATCCCAGGCACCCCCAAATCAGACACGCCCTCCTAGCCTCACATCATTCACCCCTGTGTACAAAAACCCAACCCCAAGGATATGTGAGCTGCCTCCATAAAGCCGCACTCACACTCACCCTTCAACGCCCGGACGCAGGACACTGAACCTGCAACCACACTGGAATCTTCCTGTATCTGCCCGGCTCCAACCTGTGCCTCCTCCAAATGCTGTCTTCACAGACCCACCCACACTACCAGGACCCCCCTGCTGCTTCTCTTCAAATTGGGGCTTTGGAAAAAACCAAACTGAGAAAGGGAGGTTGGGCTCTGGTCCCCTTTCCTCCTAATGCGTCCCACCACTGGCAAGTTTCCAAAGAAGCTAGTCCCTCCCTGCCACCCCAAAGCTCCCCATGGGTTGCCGGGGTCACTGACCTGGTGGGAAGAGACAGGAGAGGAGGCTGGGGTGGTGTTGGGATGGTGCAGGGGGACAGGGCCCCGGCAGCTGCATCTGTCTCCGCAGAGAAAGTGAGAAGGAGCGATCGGCCTCAGCATCCCCCCCTCAGACCTGGCCATCCATCACCAGCTGGGAACCTGAGCTGCTCCCTCAGAAGGAAGGAGAGGGAACCAAGGAGATCCCAGCGCCCACCCCCCTCACCTCCGCCTTGCAATCCCCACCCCACCTCCCCACCCACTGGATTTAAATGTACAGGGCAGCAGCATGTAACTAACACACACACACTCTCTCTCTCTCTCTCTCTCACACACACACTTGCTGTCACACCGACACTGACACAGACAGACATTTGTACCCTCTCCAGACCCCTGGCCAAGGGGTGGGACTTCCAAGGTAGAGAGATGAGAGCATTTTCCTCCCCCTCCCATCTCAAACCCAGGCACAGATGGACCAGCTGCTGCCAAAATGCCAACCTCAGCCCACCCCTAGCTCACAGCCCTAGGAGCTGCCCACTGTGGGGACTCTCAGCTGACAGGCAAGGAATGAAGCCCGGTGAGCCAGAGAGAAATCAGGCACTGGGAAAGGAAGTCTTTGAGAGCCCACGGAAACTGACACCTCTGCATTCTTCAGCTCTAGCCCAGCTCCAGAACCTCAGAAGAAGGATGGGGAGACGGGGCAAAGCTCTGCCTGTAAATTGGAGCTGGGCATGCAGGACTTGCAGGGTCGGGGATGATGCACACAATACCCTCAGAACCTCCAGATCCCTCCAGCACTCACACAGCCATTCAGCCATTATTTCCACAAAATGTCTTGAGTGCTTGCTCTATGCTAAATAGTCATTCTGTCAACATATATATTTTTAGAATATCATAGTGGGCAAGACAGACCTAGTCTCACTCCAAGGATCTAGTCAGGGGTCATTTTCTTTTTACTCCGAGCTTCTATGGAGAGTTCCAGGGTAGTTGGATTTGAGCTTTAAAAAAATTAGATACCCAGGGTGGAGGGATGAGGAGATCCTAAGGAAAATACCTCAAAAAGACCTCAAAAAAGGAGTTCCTAGTGTTTTGGCTTCTTCATTTTCATAGTGTTAAAATAAACCCTAAGATGGGGGTAGTTAACCCTTCCCTCTCAGAGACTGTCTAAACCACCATTTTCCCTCCCACCTGCAGCCCCACCAGCGACACCCTCAGGCCCCACCAAAACGCACTGAAGAATCCAACCAGGAAACCTCCTGAACACACCACTTCCCCATCAGACCCAGCCACGGACCCAGCCACGGACCCCACCCCAGCCAGCTCACAGCTAACTCCCCAGCACACAGGAAGGGGGGAATTTGCCTGGAGGCAGAGGTATTCAAGCGGGATGGAAGAGGGAGGAACACTTGCTATTAGAATTACAATCAAGGCTATTTGGGGAGGGAGCCCTGGGCTCTCTGTGCCAAAGGACTGCCGAAAAGAATTATTTAAACTTTTGTTGTTCTTTTGGCTTGGACAGTAAATTGTTTGGTGCTGGGGGTTGGGAAGAAGAGAAACCCAGGGGATAAGAATCAATGCTTGGGCAACTCTGGAGGATGAGTGACAAATTAATTTCTCCCCCCACCCCCCACCAACAACACCCCAACATGCACCTTGGCCTGGCGGCTTCTGCAAAACAAACTTTACAAATGAAAATTTCAACCAGGAAAATGGGCCTGGGGCCAAGTTCCATTCAAATAAGCAAATACCCCACACAATGGTCTGATTCATCCTCAAGCCTAGTTACACAAGCCTGGCTCAGGGTAGAGAAAATAAATATCAATATAAGTGTCCACGCTGGGTGCTGGGGTGAGTAGAGTGGCAAGGGACCTGGGGAGAGGGCCTTGGAGAACTCCTTGAGGCAGGGAAGGGAGAGGAGAAGTGTAGGGCTTAGGGTGGAATACCAGGGGCTACGGAGTGTCCCCCTGTCCAGCCTCCCAAAATAGAAAAGGTCACAAAACTACTCACCTTCAGCGAGCCACGTCTCCTGGAAGTGACTTAGATCCTGGAAGAGATCTGAGGGGTAAATAGTGGAATTGGAGGTGAGGTGGAGGGGACGGTAAGAGAGAAGGGGCCCTAGCAAGACCCGGTGACTCCCCTGCCTTGGGAGTAGGGACCGAGAAGAATGACCAAAATCCCTTGGAGGGCGAGTTTTTTGGGGAAACAGGCGGGGGTTCCAGAATCGGCCGTGTGTGTGTGTGTGTGTGTGTGTGTGTGTGTGTGTGTGTGGCGGAGGAGGGTCGCGGTTTGTCTCTCTTGCTCTTTACCTTCAGAGTCGAGGGGCGGCAGGGAGCCCGGGTCCATGAGCTTCCCCAGCGGGCCGATCAGCGCTTCGCGCAAGCTCCCATTTCCGGGCGATTTCTGCGAGAAGCGGGGAGAATGCCCGCGAGTCACCCTGAGGCGCTTAGTCTGGGGGACGAGGTTGGGGTCCTCGGGTGACTCAGGGGCGGGGCAGCCCAGGACTCCGCTGGGACTGCGGGGAGGGGGGCTGTGGTGAGAGTAGGGGCTGGGTGCGGGGCGGGGCGGGCGTGGAGGCCGGCGCGGCGCTCACGCTGCTGAAGGTGTAGGGCACTTGCTGGTCCAAGTATCCGGCTTTCATCCTCCGCTCCATCCGGCCGCTCCCTCCGGCCGCACGGCCGGGGCCCCAAGCGGGGGCCGAGACCTGGTGGGGGAGGGGGCTGCGTTCGCACACCGTCCAGGGAGGGCTGCGATGGGGGCGGGGAGGGGGCAGTCCCAAGGCTCTGGGTCCGACGGCGAAACTTCTCCGACTCACTGGGGCGATGGCGAGGTTTCCGCCTGCCAGGCCGAGCGCCACCACCACTCCCCTCCCGCCAAAGGCCAAAGGAGGTCCCACCTGCTCCCAGGAGCCGGGCTCGCCGTTTCTGCTTTCTGCAGCCCTGCTTTACCCGGGCTCGGTTACATAAGAACGTGTGTGTGTGTGTGTGTGTGTGTGTGTGTGTGTGTGTGTGTGTGTACGCGCGCGCGCGCGGAGGAGCAGGCGAAGCGCACACCATCGCATGCCCACAACTCCCGCGCCCCCTCCAACCCTGAATCCCAGCACCTCCCACCCCCGCCCTGGAATCTGCGGAGGCGGGTGGTGAGAGTGAGTGTGGTGTGCATTGGAGGCGAGGCGGGGAATCACAGACACTCTCCCTCCCTTTCCCTCCCGCAGCCTCACCTGAGGCCGGGGCGTCTGGGCTGGAGCCGCGGGGGGTCCCGAGCATGCCCTGGAGCCCGCACCGAGGGCCGCGGGGCTAGGCCGGAGTAAGGCGGCCCCGGCCCCGGGTCCCCAGCGCACCGACTTGTTTTTCGGGCGCAGCAGACAGTTGTGAGCCCGGGGGAGCAGCTGATTGGTGCATTTCCTTCGCTCGGCCTCAGCTCTCCACCCCCCGCCCCGCCACACCGCCCCCCGTTTCCCTTTGTTTCATTGACTTTTGTGAATGGAACCCCAGGGCTGGGCACGCCCGCCAATCCGGAGAGTCGTCCGGCCTGGCCGGGGGGCGGAGTTTCCCAGCCGCGGGGGCCAATCAGAATGTAGGGGTTGGCTCCCGGCTTCATTCAGTGCTCCGGCTCCCATTCATAAAAAAATAAAACTCGCGGCTGGAGTTCATTCATAAAGAACCGAGAGAAAAAGAGAGAAGCCGAGGACCCCGCGGCTTCTTCACCGTCTCGCCACGGTCTTGGGTCTGATGCGCCGCGTGCTCCTCCGGCTGGCGTCTGCACACGTCTCTGCATCTGCGTGTACGTGGGAGTATGAACATGTCTGTGTGCGCCCAGGAGGGAGGCGACCGGGCTTGTGTGCCCAGAGGAACAATAATAACTAGCATTTATGAAGCGCTCCGCTTCCACGTGCTCATTTCGTTCCCATAACCCGGCGAAATGGATCGTTTGTATCTTACAGATATTAAAAATGAAACTCAGAGAGGGATGGTAACTCTCCTGAGGTCACTCAGCTAGTCAGCACCTCTGGGGTTTACAGCCTCAAATCCCTCACACTCTCCTGTACACCCCTCTGAAGCCATGATTAAATGAGTTAAGCTATGTGACAACTGATACACAGTAGGTGATCAATAAATGTAAACTGGCACAGAATCCAGGCTTTTCCTCAAGGGTCTGTTCTCTGCAGAGCTGTTTTGTGACCCACTTTCTACTGATTGCAGCAGAAACCAGAAGCCCCAGGGTAGATGATTTCCGAAAGTGTAGCTCCCTCTCAGCCATCTTCCCTCTTATCTGAGAGCCAGCAAAAGGAGCAAAAGCCCCAAAGGTTCTGATGATCTGGAGGCAGGATGGGTTTCAGTTTTAGCTAAGAAGCTGGTCATAGTCTCTGTCATCTCATCCATTCACCACTTCTTTCAATAAACATTTATCGTGTCAGATACAGTGCTGGGTTCCAGGCAAGCAGCTATGTCCAAGACAGACATCTGAGGGGACCTGGGGTGCTTGGGCTGTGGCCATGGGGGCACAAAGGACATGAATCCTCAAAGGCCTTTTTGCTGAGACAATTCTCTATGTCTCCAGCCTATGCACTCCTTTGAGGACAGCCTGATTTTTTATCCTGCCTGTTTGTGATAAACACAAAAGAATGTTCAAATGCCAGGCCAGCAGGAGTGGCTTCCCAAATTCATCTAACCTAACACCCGCCACTTTACAGATGAGGCAGTGGAGTTTCAGAGAAGGAAATGACACATGTAAGCTCTTTGGGCCTGTCTGGCCAGAACTAAGGCTAAAACATACAATTGCTGTTTAGTGTTCATAAGGGCTCATTCCATGAGATCTGCTTGTGCAAATGGAAGTAAACTTCCCTTTCTATAGGTGCTGTAATATTCTATAAGGCTCATGTCTATTGTCCCTCTCCTCCAGGAAGCCTTCCATGATAGCCTGAATCAGTTCCTTTAGCCATATACAACATTCTTGACTATATCTCTGGTGTGGATGTTTTTCATCCTGCCTCATGGTATAGACATCCTTATCTATGGAGAGCTCTCCAGAGCTCATTTGCCTCTGAAAGTCCTCCTCAGCCTGTTAGCATGCTTATGAGGGTGGCATGAAATGCTTGTGTAGTGAATAGGTACAATAAAGACCAAATTAATTGAGCTTAGCAGGAACCCTGCCCAAGGAAGGAGAAACAAGCCCAAGCAAATCCCAGCTTTGGGCTGGATGGAACCAGTTTAGAGACAAGTGTGAGTTCTGGCCAAGAGAAGTGGAGAGGAGGACAGAGGGCTCTTCCTGGAAGGCAGCTTTGATGTGGTCTCCATGACAACGAAGAAGAGTCCAGTAGGTCTTTAAGTTGGTACTGGGCACTTCAGTAGGATGGGACCTCTCTAGGGATGCCAGTGCCCCTCTGGTTCTGAGTTTTTTTGTTTTTGTTTTTGAGACAGAGTTTCACTCTTGTTGCCCACACTGGAGTGCAAAGGTGCAATCTCGGCTCACTGCAACCTCCGCCTCCCGGGTTCAAGCGATTCTCCTGCCTCAGCCTCCCGAGCAGCTGGGATTACAGGTGCCCGCCACCATACCTGGCTAATTTTTTGTATTTTTAATACAGACGGAGTTTCACCATGTTGGTCAGGCTGGTCTCAAACTCCTGACCTCAGGTGATCCACTTGGCTTCCTAAAGTGCTGGGATTACAGGCATGAGCCACCAAGCCCAGCCTTTTTTTTTTTTTTTTTTTTTTTGAGAGACAGGAGGGTCTCCCTCTGTCACCCAGGTTGGAGTACAGTGGTGCCATCATAGCTTACTATAACCTCAAACTCCTGGCTTCAAGCTATCCTCCCACCTCAGCCTCCCAAGCAGCTGGGACTACAGGCATGCACTATCATGCCTGGCTAATGTGTTTGTTCATTTGTTTGTTTGTTTTTGTAGAGACAGGGTCTCACTATGTTGCCCAGGCTGCAGGTTCTGAGTTCTTATATTCTTCTGGAGGGCCCCTGGCTCCCTGGTGAGTAAGTGCCCCCTCCACATTCCCAATCCTCTCCAGCCCTGGCAGAGGCTGAGTGGCCTTCCTCCCTCAGGCTAAGAGAAGATACTGCTGCTGTCACTGACCTCTGATTGAATGTCCAGGCTCAAAACAGTGATATTTCCAAGGGGAACATTAGCCTCTTACACCACTGGAAGTAGTTGGTGGGGAGGGTATAGAGGGGCTGGAATTTCTGTTGGGAATCGAGTCACAATAACCGACATGTACAGCCATGCCCTGCTGTAAGTGCATGACCTGCATTAACTCAGGCAACCTCATAACGATCCTGTGAGGTAAGTATTAGGATTTTCATTACCATTTTACAAATGAGGAAACAGAGCCCTCACAAACACACATCTACCCCAAGGCCCCCCACAACAGACTGAGGACCACCCCAAATGGACTCACAGGCATGCAGACACTTTGAACTCACAGACTCACAGGCATGCAGACACAACAGGCCAGATGGAGGCCACACCTGAGCCAGAGATACACAGGAACACTCTTGGATGCAGGACGCTCACAGTCCCCTCCTGGACACACAGCTTCGTGGACACATGCAGCGTACTCCCTGACACCCTCCAGCACATCTTTGGTGGGGGTTGCACAGGTAAATGCTTCTTTCCCGGCTACGCTAGTAGATTGGGGGCTGAGCTCTGACCTGTTTCCCAGGAGCCTAAGTTATAAAATGTAAATGTGAGGCTTTGATATGCAAATGTTCATATAAAGGCAGGCTGTGGCTTGCTCAGGAGACTGGAATATCAGAGCACTGTGATGAGTAGGGAGAGGAAGCTATAGATTCATCTGGATCAGACATCAAGGTGGCTCAGGAGCCATCAGAGAAGCAGGCTTTCCCCAGGGCAGGTTTCAAAGAATGAGCGGCATAGGGCTGGATTTGGTTCTCTGGGTTGGGTTAGCTGGGGACATCCTGTGGGTGACCTATGCCATGTGACTGTGAGAGAAGGATGGAAGTATCCTCAAGGCCTAGCTTCCTCATGGTCTGGAAGAGCTGAGTTCCAGAGCCTTAAAGGGTGGAATCCAGTGGGGTAACCTTGGGAGACAGCTCTGCAAGGTCAGATGGATGAGATAAATAGGGTCAAGTAATGTCCTATGTCCCTTTAGTGTCTCCCAGACTGGAGACACTAGAGGAATGAACCAGACAGAGGGGTCAGGTGGTGGGGATGAAAGATGGGGAGCCTGCGGTCCTCCCCATGGGCTGGTGGGTCAGGATGACCAAAACATGCCACTCTTTGACTTCCTTTTGTCTTGTGTCATTGTCCCCTTTTCACATTGCTTCCTCTAAATTACAGGGCTTCTGGATGATGGGTACGTGGATATGTACCCCTGAAATTAACTGCCTGCACCAAGATGCCTGGTGCACATTTTTCTTTTTCTTATGTATTTATTATTTTAATGTTATAGAACTAAGCAGATTTTTTTTTTGTGGAGGAGGTGCAGGGACAAGTTGTCACTATGTCACCCAGGCTGGAGTGCAGTGGAACGATCATGTCTCATTTGCTGCAGCCTCGACCTCTTGGGCTCAAGCGATTCTCCCTCCTCAGCCTCCTGAATAGCTAGGCCTACAGGTGCTCGCCACCACGACTGGCTAATTTTTAAATTTTTTGTAGAGATGGGGTCCCACTATGTTGCCCAGGATTGTCTCAAACTCCTAGGCTCAAATGATTTTCCAGCCTTGGCCTTCCAAAGTGCTGGGGTTATTATAGGCATGACCCATCATACCCAGCCTGGTTTTTATTTTTTAATCATAGATGTCTTTACAAATATCTTGTCAATATATATCACCTTCAACATGGTTGGAAAGGCACCACTTTTGGAGAACGTGCTGGGGAGGGAGGTAAAACAACTACTTCCCTTGTTCCTCTCCATCTTTTACTCAGCCTGAGATCTCTCTTGAGACTCCAAAGAAATGGGGCTCTCCTTCAGCCTGCTAGCTGGGAGTATATTGGGCTAAAGAGGAAGCGCACAGATAAAGCTGATGTCTTGCTCAATTCCTAGGGGCACCCTGTGGAGGAGGAGAGCAGTCTCCATATAAAAGTTCTAAAGATGAGGACTCTTTTTCCCTTGGGTGGTGCAGGCATTGGACGTCCTCAAGAATCTTGGGAGAAACAGAAGATCAGATTGTCCCAGCCTGACTCATGAAGGATTTCTTCTGGCAGACAGAGCAGACCGAGATGCAGTTAAGAGTTTGAGGTGGGAGGCCGGGCACGGTGGCTCACGCCTGTAATCGCAGCACTTTGGGAGGCCAAGGCGGGCGGATCACGATGTCAGGAGATCGAGACCATGGTGAAACCCCGTCTCTACTAAAAATAAAAAAACTAAAAATGGCTGGACGCAGTGGCTCACGCCTGTAATCCCAGCACTTTGGGAGGCCGAGGCGGGTGGATCACGAGGTCAGGAGATCGAGACCATCCTGGCTAACACGGTGAAACCCCATCTCTACTAAAATACAAAATATTAGCCGGGCGTGGTGGCAGGCACCTGTAGTCCCAGCTACTCGGGAGGCTGAGGCAGCAAAATGGCGTGAACCCGGGAGGCGGAGCTTGCAGTGAGCCGAGATCGCGCCACTGCACTCCAGCCTGGGCGACAGAGCGAGACTTTATCTCCAAAAAAAAAAAAAAAAAAAGTTTCAGGTGGGAGATTCTGGTTCCCTCCTCACCCCCACTTGTGTGTGACAGTGTGACATTCCCAGGAGTAAAAGAATGAACACAATGACCTCTGTGGAGCCAAATCTACAAGGGATTGTTTTAGAATTATTTATTGGGGAAGGAGTGTTACCTTCTGAGGAGCTGTAAATTGAACTTGTCAGGATCCCAGTGAGAAACATCTTAATTTTTTTTCTTTCTTTCTTTCTTTTTTTTTGAGACAGTCTCACTCTGTCGCCCAGGCTGGAGTGCAGTGGCGTGATCTCGGCTCACTGCAAGCTCCGCCTCCCGGGTTCACGCCATTCTCCTGCCTCAGCCTCCCGAGTAGCTGGGACTACAGGCGCCTGCCACCACTCCCGGCTAATTTTTTATATTTTTAGTAGAGATGGGGTTTCACCTTGTTAGCCAGGATGGTCTCGATCTCCTGACCTCGTGATCCACCCGACTCAGCTTCCCAAAGTGTTGGGATTACAGGCGTGAGCCACCGCTCCCGGCCACATCTTAATATTTTTAAACAAGGCTAAATAAATGCATCGTCCTTTCTTCTGGAATATTGTCCCAGGAGGAAATGTTGGAGCCCAGTGCTGGAAGGCTAGCAATCAAGGATGCCCCAAGGAGAGCAAGTTTTATTTTTAGAAGGTGCTGGTGACTAGCTTTTCATACTTGCTATTTGCAGTAGCTCAGGGCTCTCTCCCAAATGCAAAGCATTCCTTGTCCTGTTCTGTCTCCTCCTGTTAGATTTCAACCCTCTCTGCTTCTAGATGAAGCGCCCCAGCTCAAGGACGGGCCCTCTCAGAAAGCTGCAGGATATAACATTTTCTTTTCCTTTTGATTTTTTTCTCTTTCTGTTGAAGAGAGACAAACGGACAAATGTCAGCAGGCTGAAGGATGAGAATGGAATTGGTGCCAGTTGGGGAAAGTCCAGGATGCTCCCCTTTTTAATTAAGTACGGACTTGAATTATGAGGGGCCACAGAGCCTGCTGGGTGGGGCTCTGCTAAGGGAAGGCAATTTCTCTCGTTAAAGATTAAACACGGTTTATTCCACTTAGCCTCTCCTCAGCCCTCTGAGAGTGTCTGTATTTGCTCTTGTTGTCAGGAATAATGGGCAACCGAGTGGACGCCCCAGCTTGATAAGGCAGGGACAGAGACAGTTCTGTCAGCACTGGCAGAAGCCTGGGGACTTGACTCTTACCTGAATCTTTTTGGGAGAATGGTGGTAATGGGTTGGGGGGAGAATTCCTGGTTTTATTTCTGAGATTTTAAAAAAATTATATTTAATTATTATTTTTATTTTTATAGAGTCAGGGTCTTGCTCTGTTGCCCAGGTTGGTCTTGAACTCCTGGCCTCAAGGGATCCTCCTGCCTTGGCTTTCCAAAGTGTTGGAATTACAGGTGTGAGCTAGCACACTGGCCTTGATTTTTTTTTTTTTTTTTTCTAAGAGACAGGGTCTCGCTCTGTCACTCAGGCTGCAGTGCAGTGGTGCAATCTCAGTAGGCAGGTGCCACCACTCCCAGCTAATTTTTGTATTTTTTGTTTTTGTTTTTGTTTTTCTGAGACGGAGTCTCGCTCTGTTGCCTAAGCTGGAGTACAGTGGCACGATCTCTGCTAACTGCAACCTCCACCTCCCTGGTTCAAGCGATTCCCCTGCCTCAGCCTCCCGAGTAGCTGGGATTACAGGGGCACGCCACCACGCCCGGCTAAGTTTTTTGTATTTTTAGTAGAGATGGGGTTTCACCATGTTGGCCAGACTGGTCTTGAACTCCTGACCTCAGGCAATCTGCCCACCTCGGCCTCCCAAAGTGCTGGGATTACAGACATGAGCCACTGTGCCCGGCCGTAATTTTTGTATTTTTTGTAGAGTCAAGGTTTTGCCATGTTGCCCAGGCTGGTCTCGAACTCCCGAGCTCAGGCAATCAAGCCCTGAGCCAGCGTGCCCAGCCTTGTTTTTGTTTTTATCCAAAACACAAACTCTTCTCTCTCACTAGTCCCTGACTGCCCCCAGGCTGTAGGGTTTTCCTGAAACTCAGGGAGCTGCTGCTGTAGATTTATTTTTCTTGTTGATTCTCATCTATCCTACTGGCGACCCCAGCCCAGATTTATCTGGTAATTTACAACCACAGTTGTTAATTAATGATCTGGAGCCACAGAGCACAGAGCCCAGGAAATGATGCTCCTTCTGGGTAGGGGCGTTGCTTTCCTCTTGCTTTGTGGGGACCATATGCCTGGGTGGAGAAGAGGATGGCAGAAAGAAAGGATGTTAGGGGAACACATGCTGAGAGGACATAATACCTAACCAGAGGGGGACCAGGCATTCTGGACCCCAACTTGAGTTTCCAAAATACAGTGTTTGGGCCGGGCGCAGTGGCTCACGCCTGTAATCTCAGCACTTTGGGAGGCAGAGGCAGATGGATCATTTGAGTATGGCAAAACCCTGCCTCTACTAAAAATACAAAATTAGCCAGGCGTAGTGGTGCATACCTATAATCCCAGCTACTTGGGAGGCTGAGGCAAGAGAATTGCTTGAACCCAGGAGGCAGAGGTTGCAGTGAGCCGAGATCACATCATTGCACTCCAGCCTGGGCAACAAGAGCAAAACTCCGTCTCAAAAAAAAAAAAAAAAAGTACAGTGTTTGTATATGCGCTTTACACTTTATTGTTTTACTAAGCCTTTTAAGATATCTTATTACATTTTCCCAGCATTCCTCAAAGTAGGTATATTTAGTTCCATTTTATAGTTGAGCACTCTAAAGTCCAGAGAGTAATTTGCTTTATGTCACCCAGGGAGAGGGAACCAACCAAACCACCCGCTTCAGACTCCCCAGCTCCACGGAGTTCCAGAGATAGTGACTTCTGAGGGCTGAGTAAAGACAATAGCACGTTGTTCTTTCTAGCCTGATCCCCAGTTCTCTGGGATCCTGATCCCACCTGACCCTCCCCTTCTTGACATTTCCTTTTTATGTTCTTCCCCCACCCCACCAAACCCCACTTTCCTGTTAAGAAATGCCTGTTAGGATCTTGTTAATTGTGTATCTTACAATGTGGTTTGGCATTTTCTTAAATTGCATGTCACACATGAATGTCTTCCACAAAGGGAAAACTGATGGAGGGGGGAGCATTTTGCTCCCTAGAAATTGAGAATGTAAAGTATATTTAATTAAAATGATAAATCTGATATTCAGTTTTGTTTTTACTACTACTAAAACTAATCTATTTTATGCACATTTGCAGAAGGCTGCAGCCATCAAATCAGAGAATATTAGAGCTGTGAGGCACCTTGGAGATCTGTCTGGGCCAAATCCTTCATTGTAGAGACAAAGAAACTGAGTCTCAGATTGGGGAAGTGCCGGGGATGCGTGAGTGGCTGAGGTGGAGCCAGGCACTGCGGCTTGTTTTCCTGCGCACCACCTTCTCTCTCTGGCTTCAACTTCTGTGCATCACAGGGTGGGAGTCACCAGGCTCCGACTCCTCTCTCTTTTAATGTCTTCCCCCTCCCCATGCAAACTCATGCTGGGAGGGGGGATGGGCCTCTGGAGCTCCCCTTCCTCACCTCCCCAGGGGGTACTGTTTATTTTCTGTCAATTCTCTCCCTCTGGCTTCTCTGACTCCCGTCTTTTCCCAGGCAGGATCCTTGTTTGGCATGATCATTTGGTGAGATTTTATTATATTTTATGTATTTATTTTTGAGATGGAGTTTCACTCTTGTGGCCCAGGCTGGAGTGCAGTGGTGCAATCTCGGCTCACTGCAACCTCCACCTCCCAGGTTCAAGTGATTCTCCTTCCTCAGCCTCCCGAGTAGCTGGGATTACAGGCATGAGCCACTACACTGGGCTAATTTTTGTATTTTTAGTAGAGTCAGGGTTTCACCATGTTGGTCAGACTGGTCTTGAACTCCTGACCTCAGGTGATCCACCCGCCTCAGCTTCCCAAAGTGCTGGAATTACAGGTGTGAGCCACCACGCCCGGCCTGGTGAGATTTTAAATGGCATTTGGTTCTCTGTTTTCCCCTCTGTCCTTCTACAAGGTAGTAACCAGATCTCTGCTTTTATTGTCCCAGCTGTGCCTGCAGAGTTGAAAACAAGCTATTGAATCCACATTTTAGGTTGCATTTGCTTAAAACAACATTGTGCATTTGCTTAAGACAACATTGTGCATGTTGTAAAACATTTATTTATTTGAATAGATAAGATATCCACATAGCGGCCAGGCGCGGTGGCTCACGCCTGTAATCCCAGCACTTTGGGAGGTCGAGGCGGGCGGATCACGAGGTCAGGAGATTGAGACCATCCTGGCTAACACGGTGAAACCCCGTCTCTACCAAAAATACAAAAAAATTAGCTGGGCATGGTGGCGCGCGCCTGTAGTCCCAGCTACTCGGGAGGCTGAGGTAAGAGAATGGCACGAACCAGGAGGAGGAGCTTGCAGTGAGCTGAGATCACACCACTGCACTCCAGCCTGGGCAACAGAGTGACTCCGTCTCAAAAAAAAAAAAAAAAAAAAAAAAAAAAACCCACATGGCACAAAATTCAAAACTAATGTAGTACTCGCCAGTGAAATTTTTAAATCTCTCCTCTCTCTGTCCTCTAGCAGCTCAGTTTGCCTTCCTGGAGGCAGCCATTATGTTCAGTTTCTGGTGTATCCTTGGTGAGACGATCCATACATGTATATCCAAACCAATTCATACCTCACATACATACATTAATTAATTCCTTCCCCTTTGGTTACAAAACTTCTCCTGCATGATGTTGTCTTGGGGAAGTATCAACAACTGCTTAGTCATGGTTTGGGGCGTGCCAGGTTAGAGGCAATGACCTTTCTGATTTACGAGGTGGTGCTGGCTGCACTCATTTGGGTTCTGTGGGGAGGTGGCTTTGAGTTCCTCGGGGCCCAGTCTGCAGTGGCTATTGGGAGAAAAGGCCCCACCTTCCTGGGCAGAGAAGTGGAGCTTCCACTTAAAGAGGCAGAAGGAGGCTGTCAGAAGAGGGAAGGGTGAGTGTGTGTCTGTGTGCATGCACACACACACGCGTGCAGGTTATAGTAATCACTGTTTCACATCTTATTTTTAAGAAGTCAGAAGGTTGTGGTAAGAAGTGAGAATGAGGAGTCCCCTTTAAGGTGGTCTAAGGTTGTGCCCAAGACAGTTGGCTTGTTCCTTGGGAAATGTCTTTCAGGGCCTGAGGAGCTGGATAAAATGGAGGGAATGACCTAATCCATTTGGTCCAATTGATTTTTTTTTTTTTTTTTGAGACAGAAACTCACTCTGTTGCCCAGGCTGGAGTTCAGTGGCGGGATCTCAGCTCATTACAACCTCTGCCTCCTGGGTTCAAGTGATTCTCCTGCCTCAACCTCCCAAGTAGCTGGGATTACAGGCACACACCACCAGGCCTAGTTAATTTTGGTATTTTTAGTAGAGAAGGGATTTCACCATGTTGGCCAGGCTGGTCTCGAACTTCTGACCTCAAGTGATCCGCCTGCCTCGGCCTTCCAAAGTGCTGGGATTACAGGCGTGAGCCACCACGCCCGACCTCATTTGGTCCAATTTCTATCAGGAATCTTCTTTGTCATCATCTCCCCTAACTCCAACTTCAATACAGTCTCAACAAGCATTTACAGAAATACACTCTGCAAAAAAACATGTGCTAGGCTCAGAAAAATGTCCAGAGGCTCAGAAATGAGGAAGGCCCTTGCCCCTGCCCAAGGAGCCCGCCATCTCGTGATGGCATTATAGGTGTGTGGGGCTATAAGTCTTCAATGTTTTTGTGCAAAAGTCAGGGGCTGCCTTTCAGGAGGAAACAGTGAAGGGTGACGGCTTCGGTCCTGGAATTCCTATTCTTTTTTTCTTTTTTTTTTTTTTGAGGTGAAGTCTCACTCTATTGCCGGGCAGGAGTGCAGTGGCGCAATCTCGGCTCACTGCAACCTCTGCCTCCTGGGTTCAAGTGATTCTCCTGCCTCAGCCTCCCGAGTAGCTGGGACTACAGGCGCCCGCCACCACACCCGGCTAATTTTTGTATTTTTAGTAGAGACGGGGTTTCACCGTGTTGGCCAGGATGGTCTCTAGCTCTTGACCTCATGATATACCCACCTTGGCCTCCCAAAGTGTTGGGATTACAGGCATGAGCCACTGCGCCCGGCCGGAATTCCTGTTCTTTTAAGCCCATGTCTAATGCCATTTCCTCCATGAAGTCTCTCCTGGTGCATTTCTTCTCCCAGGGAACCAGCGCTCTCCTTCAGCTTTGTCAATGTAAGTTGTGAAGAAAGTATTTGTTGGTCGGGCATGGTGGCTCATGCCTGTAATCCCAGCACTTTGGGAGGCCAAGGCAGGAGGATCACTAGGTCAGGAGATAGAGACCATCCTGGCTAACACAGTGAAACCCTGTCTCTACTAAAAAAAAAATACAAAAAATTAGCCAGGCGTGGTGGCAGATGCCTGTAGTCCCAGCTACTTGGGAGGCTGAGGCAGGAGAATGAAGTGAACCCGGGAGGCGGAGCTTGCAGTGAGCCGAGATCGCACCACTGCACTCCAGCCTGGGTGACAGAGCGAGACTCTGTCTCAAAAAAAAAAAAAAAAAAAAAAAAAAAAGAAAGTATTTGTTCATTGGAAAAGATAAGGTCTCTTTCATGATGCTCATCTTCCCCAACCTTGTGTTACTATGAAATCCTCTGTGGATCTGGCTTGAGTCTCCCCACTGTGGATCTGGCTTGAGTCTCCCCACTGGATTAGAAGTTCCTAGAGAGCAGGCTGGGTGCCTCACTTCTGTGCTCCCTGTGGCACCCAAGCCTGCCCCTGGAACAGTCAGGGCTTTGCAAACTCCCTGCTGAAGCTGAATCAGAGGGAGTAGCTTTGTTCAGCCTCTGGAACTGAGTTCACAGCCAAGGAGTGCTCTCAGGAGAGATATGGAAGGACATGTATGGCCTGTAAGCTACAAAGTGCTTTTTTTCAATGACTGAAAAAACATTTTTTAAACACAATATTTTTTGACATGTGAATATATGAGAAATTCATTTTTTTTTCTTTTTGGAGTTTCACTCTGTCACCCAGGCTGGAGTGCATTGGCGTGATCTCAGCTCACTACAACCTCTGCCTCCCGGGTTCAAGCGATTCTTATGCCTCAGTCTCCTGAGAAGCTGGGACTACAGGTGCATGCCACCACGCCTGGCTAATTTTTTGTATTTTTAGTAGAGATGGGGTTTTGCCACATTACCCAGGCTGGTCTCCAACTCGTGTTCAGGCAATCCGCCTGCCTTGGCTTCCCAAAGTGCTAGGATCACAGGAATGAGCCACTGCTCCTGGCCGACAAATTCAAATTTTAGTGTGCAGAGATAGTTTTATTAGGACACAGCCATGCTTACTTACTATTTTAGGTTGCTTTGTGTTACAACAGGACAGTTTAATATTTGCAAGAGCCACAGTATGGCTTGAAAAGCCTAAAATATTTACTCTCTGGCCCTGAACAGAAAAAGTTCGCAGGCAGAGAACCTAATTCACAAATACTAGGAATCCACGTTGAAGGTTGGGCAGCCCAAGGGAGGTGGTCAAGTGTCTCTGGGCAAGGCAGGGGCAAGGGCAGCCCAGCAGGAAGCAGGAAGGGAACTTGCCTAAGGTTGCCCTGCTGGGAAGGGGTAGAGCTAGCCTGTGAACCCAGGCTTGTTTGCTTTCAGAAGCCAAATACCTGTCCACAGCCACAGAAGAGGCCTGGACTTTGGTATTTAAAGGAGAGATAGAGACCCTCCTCACTGAGAGGATCAGAGAAGACTTCTTGGAGGAGGTGGCATTGGAGCTAGCATTGAGGTGGGTAGGATTTGGGTGTGGGGCTAGAGGGAGGATATTCCGGGCTTAGGGAATATCAGGACCAAGGGCAGGAGTCTGGGAAGCACAAGGTTAAATTAGGGGAGGGGGAAGACTCTAGGGTGCGGTGGAAGGGAGTTTTGGGAAGTGGGGAGATAGTCCTTGGAAACCCTTGAGATATTTGCCTTGGAATTTTCTCTTTGGAATCTTGGCTCTGTGGCCCCAGGCCTGATGTCTTTGCCGGCTGGCCACGAAGCTGAGAGTAATTCCAGGCTAGCGTGAGAGGCCCTGGTAGGTCAGAGTGTCTGGTTGCCTAAGCTTTTGTACATCAGTGGCCTTGGACACGTTTTCCTGGATGCAGGCCTGGTCTCGGTGGCAAGGCTTTCCCTGAGTGGAGCCTGGGCTATCTCCCTGGTAGAGATTCCAAGACCTGCCTGTGAATTTTCCATGGGGCCATCACACCCCTGGAACTGAGGAAAGAAAAAGGGGGAAGTGGTTTTCCTTTGCAAGCATGAAGCTGGTGGCTTCTCCTTAGAGGTCCTAGCTGGACCCCATCCTCCCTTCTGGGATGGAGTGGAGGAAATTTTACCTTTGGGAACCTGGGAGGCCAAAGTTCTGGAGATTTAGCAGCTGACATCCCTAAAGGATAAGCCTTAGGCCTCCTGGCAACTACATCAGTGCTTAATAAATGTTTGTGAGTGAAGGAATGAGTGAGTGGGTGCTGGGGGAAGGGGTTTGTCCACAGGGGTGCAAAACAGGCCTCTACCTGCCAGACACTTCCTGTTTAGTCGGGGAGGTGGGTGGGAGGTGGCACTGTGCTGTTATAATAATAACATTTTTCATAACTGAGGTTTAAGCACTAAAGGCAACCCAGGATAGGTACATATCAACAGGAGGGCAGAGGAAGCCACTCCTGGAGGTGTTCCCGTTCTAGCCCACAGAGGCTCTGAGTTCCTGCCCTGCTTAGTGCTGGCTTGTCCTGGAAGTTCCATCATTCTAGGTGCTAGACCCTCACTTGGTCTCTGCTGCTCTCTACTGAGGATGGAGACTTCAGAACCATGACCTCGTGCAGAGGGATCACTGGTATATGTGGGTCTCCTGGGGGTAGAGGAAGGGGGCATTTGTGACCTTGGGTCCTGCTGGCCCCCCTCTGGGAGTTACAAAGCTTACTTTCTCTGCTCAGACAGGGCTGGGGGAGTGAGTTGTTCTTTTTGCCCAACCCAATTTCAGCAACTGCATGTGAGGGAGAACCACGGCAGCTTTGAGTCACACTCCTAGTGCCCTGCTTGTCCCATGGTAGGAGGGTGTCTGCTCATGCCTCCAAGTCACTCACTTCTCCAGGGCTCTGTAGCCCACCCCTCTTCGCTGGTCCCCTCAGGATCTCAAACTCTGGAGACCTCAAGTCATTCAGCTTTGACCCTGCTCTATTCCCTCTCCCAGGGCAGGCCGCTGCTACAGGGAAGGGAGCCCAACAGAATCGTCTCTGTGCAGCTTTGCACCATGGAGTCTCACCCAGCCCTCTATATTATTGTACCAAAACCTGGAGGCTCAGAAAGGTTAAGTGACTTGCCTGACTCACACAGCCAAGAATGGCAGTTGGAGCTTGAATGCCTGTGAACTTCTGTCTAGTGTATCAGTAGATTCAATGGACTGAAAACAGGAGACCTGAGGTCTGACCCAGACACCCATGTCCAGAGGCGCAGGGCAAGGAGGCAGAGGCTCAGTTGAGGAATCCTAGTTCCTGATAACAGAGATGACAGCTAAAGTCAGAGAAAGGAAGTTAAGAAAGAAAGGGATTGCTGGTGGTGAAGCTCTGGCTTCTCTATGCCTAGTGGCTGTTGATTCAAGATGCCCTCTGTGGCCGAACCTTTGGGGTCAGGTGAGGAGGAGGATAGGGCCTTAATTTAGACAGAACCCTTGGGCCCCTGCCTTCCAGTGGAAATACCAGGGTAATGGAAACTGCAAATAGGTGTTATACCTGGGGTTTCAACTAGGGTTCCAAACAGGAATATTCCTGGGGCTGGGGTAGAGGGAGGAGGTAGTTAGTAATTATTTCCATTTTATTCATTTATTGAGCAATTGCTACATGCCAGGCACTGTGTTAGGAGATGAGAATACAGGGTCAACGACAGTCAAGAACAACAGCAAATCTTTCATCGTTCATCATGTGCCAGGCTAAATGTTTTGCATGTGCTACTCATTTATTCCACATCATATATGTGTACAGCGTAGAGAAGTTTCTTTCTAACTTCTCTGTTAGAAAGTTTCTAAGTGTCTGGGCGCAGTGGCTCACGCCTGTAATCCCAGCACTTTGGGAGGCCGAGGTGGGTGAATAAACTGAGGTCAGGAGTTCGAGACCATCCTGGCCAACATGGAGAAACCCTGTCTCTACTAAAAATACAAAATTCGCCAGGCGTGGTGGCGCATGCTTATAGTCCCAGCTACTCGGGAGGCTGAGGCAGAAGAATCGCTTGAACCTGGGAGGCGGAGGTTGTGGTGAGCTGAGATGGCACCATTGCACTTCAGCCTGGGCAACAAGAGCGAAACTCCTTCTCAAAAAAAAAAAAAAAAAAAAGAAAGAAAAGAAAGTTTCCCAAAGTCACAGAGCTAGTGAATAGCAAGGGGAGTCAATGAGTAAGCTCAGGCCAGCAACCCTGCAAATCAGATCTCTCTCCAGCAGAGGTGTGCTCTGAGTGTCCCAGGGATTTGAGAGAGGGGCTCTGCTTGGGGAAGTGGGGAGGCAGCATTTGAGCCAGTCCTCATGGGATGAATGAAATTTCTTCCTAGGAGAGGGGAGAAGGTTCCAGGTTTAAAGAAGCAGCATTTGCCAAGGTGTAGGAGCCAGAAAGGAAATCCTAGGGGAGAGACAAATTTGGGGGTAGTCCTCAAAATTCCTACCCTCAGGCTAGGGAGTGTGAGCATTTTGAAGACCTTGTTTAGGAGCTTGTATTATATCCTATAGATCATGGGAGTCACTGGGGTCGGGGGCAGGGTGGCGGAGCATGGGTAGGTTAAAGCAATTCTGACTGAATCAGACCCTAGGCAAGAGGAAGGAGGTCACTGCCTTGGAATCTTCAAGAGTCGCTCATCCCTGATCCTGTCCCCCTTTTGCCACATAAGATGTGATGCCATCACTCAACTCATCATTCACCAACAAGCTATGGGGCCTGGAACCTTTCTATGCCTCAGTTTCCTCATCTGTAAAACGGCAATACTAGTAGTACCTGCCTCAGAGACCTGGGTGTGCAGGTAAATTGAGATGCTCTAGGGAAGCTCAGGCTTTCAGTAAGGGATCAATAAAGGCTAGTTCCTGTTATCAGATGTTACCTCCCCACCCTGTCCCGGGTCCAGTCAGCATCTCGAAGTCCTGACTCTCAGGAATGCCCCCACTCCGCCTACCAGTCTGATCTAAATCCCTCTGCTGCAGATGGAGCCCAGCTTCCCTGACAGCCTTTCAGGACGGGAAGCTCCATGTTTAGTGTTCCCCACCCTCGTCCAGCCTCTCTAATCTCAGCTCTTCCCTTTCCCCTCCCCTGTGATTATCATAAACCCTCTCGAGTTAGGCAGGCTTGGCTGGGCCCCATGCCCCTTTGAAGTCCCAAGCCAGGTTCCCAGCCTCACACACTGACTTCTGAGAAAGCTGCTTCCCATCAAATCCTGCCGCCAAAAAGACTCTCCTCTTAGGTATTCCTGCCAACTCCGTTTTATAATCTCCGTGCCGGGGAGGGAGGACAGTTCAGGCACTTTGTCTGCAGGAAGGAAGCAATTAAATTATTAGCACTTTGAGAAATTAAACGACATAACTTACGGCGGAATAAGTTTAGCCAAAAAAAAAAAAAAACCTTGTAATGTGAGAAAACAATTAAAAAGAATTATATAAGGTTGGGCTCGCTCCTTTATTGCAATAGAGTTAGCAGTTCATTGATTATCGTCCTGTTATAATGCAGCAGGATGGTGCGGGCTGCTGCGGAGGCAGCGACATTCAGGAAGCAAAGCGCTTAGTTGGGTCCTGCAAGAAGAAGAGGTGGGGGAGCTGAAAGGTTTTCCTGGAGGGCAAGGGGGAGGGGAGAGTGGGGTCAGAGGAGGATCACCAAAGCAGCAGCTCTTCTTCCCTTCTCCCTGCTCCTGCCTTGGTAGACATGGAAAAGAGCTAGTCAATTTCAGCAGTTTGTCAGTTGCTGGGGCAGTCAATTCCCTGTGCCCAAAAGATTCTTTTCCTAGGTATTCATCCAGTGAAATGTTCACACGGCTCCATAAGGAGATGTGGATGAGGATGATCAGAGCAGCCTCATAGGAGGCACCCTGGGTGTCCCTCACTGGGAGAGTGGAAAGGTCAAGTGGGTGGAAGCACCAAGGGGCGCCAGGTAGCAGCAAGAAGCACTGACGCCTGTACACAGAGCCCCGCGATAGATCTCAAAAACGTAGTGCTCCGCAACAGCAAAAAATACAAATTCTCTCTACCCGCAACGACATAGGGGAGTCTCCCAGACAAGTTGAGCAAAAGAAGCAAGACATGAAAGACAGGTACGATTCCATGCAGAGGAAGTTCAAGAAAAAATTCAATGAATGGGTGGAGATGGGAGCTGGAAGAGTGGGTACCTCAGGCAGGGAAGGGGGCAGTTTATTGACTGTGAAGGGACACAAGGGAAACTTGGCTGGGGTACTGGAAATGTTCTATATTTTGATCTCGGTGATGATTACACAGATGTATATGTAGGCTAAAAATCGAGTTTCATATTTCAGATCAGTGCACATTACTCACTTTACCGTATATATGTTATACCTCAACAGGAAAGGAAAGAGCAAACAAATGTTGTAGAGGAAAAAAATTGTAGGAAACAAAATATATAACACAATGCTATTTATGTAAATAAACCCCATGCCTACGAAATAACTACCCATCCTGAAAGAACTCAGCAAACAGATTGGGTGCAGTGGCTCATGCCTATAATCCCAGCACTTTGGGATGCTGAGGTGGGGTGATCGCTTGAGCCCAGGAGTTCAAGACCAGCCTGGACAACACAGTGAGACCCCATCTCTACAAAAAAATGAAAAAAATTACAGTGGCATGTCCTTGTAGTCCCAGCAAGTTAGGAGGCTGAGGTGAGAGGATTGCTTGAGCCCATGAGGTCAAGGCTGCAGTGAACTCTGATCTCACCAGTTCACTCCAGCCTGGGTGACAGAGAAGACCCTGTCTCAAAAAAAAAAAAAAAAAAAAAGGGAATGTATGAATGAATGAAACCAAGAGCAGGGCACTACACAGACCAGTTATGACAACAGGCCATGAACGGAGAGTATGGTAGACTCAACCCTCTCCTTCCGAAGTAGAAGCTTGTAGAAAAAGTGCTAATTAATCATATCAGGAGGTCTTTGGGCTGGGTGTGGTATGTGTAGGGTGTTGGGGCATTTTGATCTGGGGAGTGAGTGTAGATTCAGTCACTGATGCCTACCAGGAGGAAAGGGAGGTACAGATCTAGCATTTGTAAACTTCTCTGCAGTTTGCAAAGCAATGCCATGTCTACCACCTCAGAGAGCCTCACATAGGGTGTTTCCTGGAGGGAGTGAACTGGAGCCAGCCCGCCTGCTACCACCCCAAGATGGGTTTCCCTGGCAGGTGATCTAACCTCTCTGCATCTGGGCCATGGGGATGATAAAAAGAATGTCTAGAGTGAGAGGGGAGTTAGAACACAGTTTAGAGAAGGGGTCAGCCACCTTTTTCTTCTCTTTTCTTTTTTGAGACAGAGTTTCGCTCCTGTCACCCAGGCTGGAGTCCAATGGTGCGATCTTGGCTCACTGCAACCTCCGCCTCCTGGGTTCAAGTGATTCTCCTGCCTCAGCCTTCGGAGTAGCTGGGATTACAGGTGCCCGCCACTGCGCCCAGCTAATTTTTGTACTTTTAGTGGAGATAGGGTTTCACTATGTTGGCCAGGCTGGTCTTGAACTCCTAACCTCAGGTGATCCACCCGCCTTAGCCTCCTAAAGTGCTGGGATTACAGGCACGACCCACTGTGCCCGGCCCAGCCACCTTTTTCTATAGAAGGTCAGGTGGTAAATATTTTAGCCTTTGAGGGCCATAAGGTCTCTGTCATACCTACTCTGGAAGCAGCCATAGATGTAAATGAATGAGCATGACTGTGTTCCAACAAAATTTTATTTATGGACACGGACATTTGAATTTCATGTAATTTTCATATGTCACAAAGTATTATTCCTTTTTTTAACTTTTAGGTTCAGGGGTACATGTGCAGGTTTGTTATATAGGTAAACTTGTGTCACGGGGTTTTGTTGTACAGATTATTTCATCACCTAGGTACTAAGCCCAGTACCCAATATTTGTTTATTTATTTATTTTTTTAGAAATAGGGTCAGCCGGGTATGGTGGCTCACGTCTGTAATCCGAACACTTTGGGAGGCCAAGGTGGGCAGATCACTTGAGGTAAGGAGTTTGAGACCAGCCTGGCCAACATGGTGAAAATCCATCTCTACTGAAAATACAAAAATTAGCCAGGTGTGGTGGCACAGGCCTATAGTGTCAGTTACTTGGGAGGCTGAGGGAGGAGAATAGCTTGAACCCGGGAGGCAGAGGTTGCGGTGAGCTGAGATCGCACCACTGCACTCCAGCCTGGGTGACAGAGCGAGACTCCGTCTCAAAGAAAAAAAAAAGAGAGAGACAGGGCCTCACTCTGTTGCCCAGACTAGAGCACAGTGGCACCATCATGCTCACTGCTGGCTGGAACTCTTGGGCTCAAGTGATCCTCCTGCCTCAGCTTCCCAAGTAGCTAGGGCTACAGGCACATGCCATCACACCTGGATAATTTTTTAATTTTTTGTTGAGACAGAGGTCTTGCTACATTGCCCAGGCTGGTCTCGACTCCTAGCCTCAAGGGATTCTCCCACCTAGGCTTCCTAAAGTGCTGGGATTACAGGTTGAGCCACCACGCCCAGCTGTGAAGTATTATTCTTTTGATTTTTTTTTTCAAACCTTTTAAAAATGTAAGAATGATTCTCAACTTGCAGGCTGTACACAAACAGGTAGGAGGCCATAACTGCTGACCCCTGGTCTAGAGGATAAATGAGTTGGAGCAGTCCTTGGCACATAGCAAGTGCTCAAGAAACCTCAGTTATTATCATTCTCACCCCTGTTGTACAGATGAGGGGCAAAGTGACTTATCCAGGTTTACCAGGGAGTTCACGGCAGAACTGGGCCTCTCATCTGGATCTCCTGAGTCTCAATCCACTTTGAACAAATGCTCAAGAAGGAAAGAGTCTAAGTTGTACATGACATCCCTTTTTCCAGGGCCCACATCTTGCAGCACAAAGTCTGGCTTCTAGAGAGACTAGAGCTCCTCTATGCTCTTGTTTCCTGCAGCAGCAGTGTGCTGAATTTCCTGATGTGGATGTCATTATGGGTCATCCAAGTGCACCTCTAGTTACATTTATATAAAGTTCAAATCCAGGCAAAGCTAATCTGTGCTATTATTATTAGAAGCCAGGAGAGTGGGCGGGGCACGGTGGCTCATGCCTATAATCCCAGCATTTTGGGAGACTGAGGCAGGCAGATCACCTGAGGTCAGGAGTTCAAGACCAGCCTGGCCTACATGGTGAGACCCTGTCTCTACAAAAGTACAAAAATTAGCTGAGCTTGATGGTGGGTGCCTGTAATCCCAGCTACTCGGGAGGCTGAGGCAGGAGAATCGCTTGAACCTGGAAGGCAGAGGTTGCAGCCAGCCGAGATCGCGCCATTGCACTCCACCCTGGGCAACAGAGCAATACTCCATCTCAAAAATAAATAAATAAATAAAGAAGCCAGGAGAGTGGTTACCTCTGGAAGGAGACACATGGAGGCTTCTGGGGTTGAGGAAACGTTCTGTCTCTTGATCTGGGAATGGACTTCGTGAAAAGGCATCAGACCTACACTGGGTACATTTCTAGGCAGATGTTCTAATCCAATAAAATGTACATAGAAGTAGCCCCAGCCGGGCGCAGTGGCTCATGCCTGTAATCCCAGCACTTTGGGAGGCCGAGGCGGGTGGATCACAAGGTCAGGAGATCGAGACCATCCTGGCTAACATGGTGAAACTCCGTCTCTACTAAAAATACACACACATACACACTCACAAAAATTAGCCGGGCATGGTGGCGCGCCTGTAGTCCCAGCTACTCGGGAGGCTGAGGCAGGAGAATGGCGTGAACTCGGGAGGCAGAGCTTGCAGTGAGCCGAGATTGAGCCACCGCACTCCAGCCTGGGCAACAGTGCAGCACTCCATCTCAAAAAAAAAAAAAAAAAAAAGAAAAAAGAAAAAGAAATAGCCCTAAAGCCATCTTGGTGAAGCAGTAAACTTTTAGTGTTCACTTTTAGTTTTAGGGACAGGAAGCAGAACTGATGTCATCCAAGCACTATTGCTGTGCTGAGCAGCAAAGGACATCACCCACAAGCCTTGCAGGTGGGACAGAAGGTCCTCTCATCCATACACATCTGGCACCTTGACATAGAAAGTGCCAGTTTTGCCGGGCGCGGTGGCTCACGCTTGTAATCCCAGCACTTTGGGAGGCCGAGGCGGGCGGATCACAAGGTCAGGAGTTCAAGATCAGCCTGACCAACATGATGAAACCCCGTCTCTACTAAAAATACAAAAATTAGCCAAGCGTGGTGATGTGCGCCTGTGATCCCAGCTACTCAGGAGGCTGAGGCAGGAGAATCGCTTGAACCAGGGAGGCGGAGGTTGCAGTGAGCCAAGATTGCGCTACTGCACTCCAGCCTGGGCGACAGAGTGAGACTCCGTCTCAAAAAAAAAAAAAAAAGAAAGTGCTAGTTTTGGTTGGCCGGGTGCAGTGGCTCATGCTTGTAATCCCAGCACTTTGGGAGGCCGAGATGGGCGGATCACTTGAGGTCAGGAGCTAAAGACCAACCTGTCCAACATGGTGAAACCCTGTCTCTACTAAAAATATTTAAAAATTAGCTGAGCATAGTGGTGCACGCCTGTAGTCCCAGCTACCTGGGAGGCTGAGGCAGGAAAATCGCTTGCACCCCGGAGATGGAAGTTGCAGTGAGCCGAGATTGCACCACTGCACTCCAGCCTGGGCGACAGAGCAAGACTCTGTCTCAAAAAAAAAAAAAAAAAAAAAGTTTGCTTCCTTGGAGCGCAGAAAATGTGTGAGTGTATGTGTGTGACAGTGTATATGTGTGGTGTGTGTGTGAGATGTTTGTGTGGTGTTTATGTGTGAGTATGCATGTGTGAGATGTGTGTGCATGTGTGAGCAACTGTGATTGAGTGTAGGGTGTATTAATGGTGTGTTTGTGGGTGGGAAGTGTGTGTGAGTGAACGTGTTAATTTTGTGTATGCATGAGTGGATGTATTTGTGAGGATATGTGTGGTGTGAGCTGTGTGTATGTACAAGTGGTTATGATTGTGTTTGTGAGAGTGAGGTGTATGAGTATGTGTCAGTATATGTATGGGTTGTATACGAGATGTGTGTGTAGATATGATGGGTGTGTGTGTACCTGTGCATGGGTATGATTGTGTATATGTGTGTATATGTATGATGTGTGAGATGTGTGTAAGTGGGTATAAGTGTGTGTGTGAGTCTGTGAGAACCACCCTAAAACAGAGCCCAGAAACTTTCCTCTCCCTTTGGAGTTGCGATTTGGGACTTTCTGGGGGCCTGTGTGGGCGCACGTGTGTAGTGTGTGGTACAGCAGAGGTGCTGGGACTCATTTCTCTGGCTCGAGTGCCTGGCAAACACTTGCTGCTGCTCCTCCAGTGAGCAGCTTTTATGTGTTTTTGTAATGCATGTCCCTTGATTGCTGCAGATTTATGCAGAGAAAACGGGTTCTGGTAACGGGCCGACCCTTTTAGCTGTTGCTCATTTGGGTGGATCTCAGGCCCTCTATTTGTTTCTGGAGGGTTTGCTGCAATTCTGTCTGAAATGTGTCAAGCTTCCTGCCTACGAGAAGACATTTATTTTATTCAGATGATTTAATTCTCTCATTCAGAGGGAACAAAACACACATTTTGCATTACAGGGGCCTGAAGGAGAGAGTGAGAAAGACAGAGGGATGCAGAAGGTTGAAATGTGGTGATTTCAGCTGGAGCTGGGAGAAGACTTCTGTCCAAGGGAACACACTTCACAACTGGGCGTAGTTATGGTGGCCCAAAGAATAAGGGCCTGTCTTTGGGACTTTTCTGTGAAAAACAACTGGTCTCGTTGGTGAGATTTGAGAAAGAACATTCCCTCCTTCCACCCTCTGTCACCCAGCTTGGCCCTTCTGGAGATCGGGCTTCCCCCAGTCTCAGTCTCCAGCAGCAGAGCCTGCCCAGTGCGATCTCCTGGCCCACCTCTGTGGGCTCCTCTCTCTCCCTCCCTTGAACTTGACTGTTTTCCTTCCAAGAACACACCACACCTCTGCATGTTTCTCTCTATTGCTTGGAACATCCTCCTTCACTCTTTTCTTTCTTTCTTTCTTTCTTTCTTTCTTTCTCTTTTTTTTTTTTTCTGAGACAGAGTCTCACACTGTCACCCAGGCTGGAATGAAATGGTGCAATCTCAACTCACTGCAACCTCTACGTCCCAGGTTCAAGCGATATCCTGCCTCGGCCTCCTGAGTAGCTGGGCTTACAGGCACCAACCACCACACCCGGCTAATTTTTATATTTTTAGTAGAAACAGGGTTTCGCCATGCTGGCCAGGCTGGTCTCGAACCCCTGACCTCAAGTGATCCGCCCACCTCGGCCTCCCAAAGTGCTGAGATTATAGGCATGAGTCACCACACCCAGCCCTCCTTCACTCTTGGCCTACTTGTTGAACCCTTATTTGTCCTTGTTATGTCCTCAGTTCATACTTTGCTTTTTATGATGTGCTTTCCCATTTCCTCTCCCTTGCAAATATCTTTTTTTTTTTTTTTTTTTTTTTGAGACAGAGTCTTGCTCTGCCGCCCAGGTTGGAGTACAGTGGCATGATGTCAGCTCACTGCAGCCTCTGCCTCCCCAATTCAAGTGATTCTTGTGCCTCAACCACCCAAATAGCTGGAATTATAGTTGTGTGCCACCACGCCTGGCTAATTTTTGTATTTTTAGTAGAGATGGGGTTTTGCCATGTTGGCCAGGCTGGTGTCAAACTCCTGGCCTCAAGTGATCCACCTGCCTCAGCCTCCCTAAGTGCTGGCATTACAGGCATGAGTCACCACGCCCAGCCATCCCTTGCAAATATCTTGACTGTGATGCTCACCACACTGAGCTATAATTCTTTGCCCATGTGTTTTTCTCCCACATTCAGCCATCAGTTTCTCTTGGGTACAGGTTGTGTCTTATTCATCTCTGAATCATCAGATCCTAGTGCAGTCCTTGCCTCGCAGGAGATACTGGCCTAGAAGCTTGCTGAATGAATGAATGAATGAATGAGCACACAATCAGGAGAATGGACAGGATGAACTGCACAGACACCCACATAGTTCCTCACCATCCCACCTCCTATGCCAGAGTCATTACACAAATATTCACTCCTGCAAACGCATACTTCTCACCCATAACTCATGGTGGCTGAACTGAATTCTAACAATTGATTCTTGTTCTGCACACATTGGCATTTTGCTTTCAGAAGAGCTCTGGTAGCTGTAGCAGTCCTTTAATTCATTTATTTATTTATTTTTATTATTTTATATATATTTTTTGAGACAGAGTTTTGCTCTTGTCACCCAGGCTGGAATGCAATGGTGCAATCTTGGCTCACAGCAACCTCTGCCTTCCGGGTTCAAGTGATTCTCCCACCTCAGCCTCCTGAGTAGCTGAGATTACAGGTGCCCACCACCATGCCCGACTAACTTTTGTATTTTTTTTTTCTTTTGAGACAGAGTCTCGCTCTGTCACCCAGGCTGGAGTGCAGTGGCGCGATCTCGGCTCACTGCAACCTCCACCTCCCGGGTTCACGCCATTCTCCTGCCTCAGCCTCCTGAGTAGCTGGGACTACAGGCGCCCGCCACCACGCCCAGCTATTTTTTTTTTTTTTTGTATTTTTAGCAGAGACAGGGTTTCACCATGTTAGCCAGGATGGTCTCGATCTCCTGACCTCGTGATCTGCCCACCTCAGCCTCCCAAAGTGCTGGGATTACAGGCGTGAGCCACCATGCCGGGCCTAATTTTTGTATTTTTAGTAGAGACAGGGTTTTGCCATGTTAGCCAGGCTGGTCTCGAATTCCTGACCTCAGGTGATCTGCCCGCCTTGGCCTCCCGAAGTGCTGGGAATACAGGCATGAGCCACTACAACCAGCCTTATTTTTATTTTTAATTATTATTATTATTATTATTATTATTTTTGAGACAGAGTTTCACTCTCTCACCCAGGCTGGAGTGCAGTGGTGCAATCTCAGCTCACTGCAAGCTCCGCCTCCCGGGTTCACCCCATTCTCCTGCCTCAGCCTCCCAAGTAGCTGGGACTACAGGCACCCGCCACCACGCCCGGCTATTTTTTTTTTTTTTTTTTGTATTTTTAGTAGAGATGGGGCTTCACCGTGTTAGCCAGGATGGTCTCGATCTCCTGACCTCGTGATCTGTCCGCCTCGGCCTCCCAAAGTGCTGAGATTACAGGCGTGAACCACCAAACCTGGCCCTATTTTTATTTTTTTGAGACAGAGTCTTGCTCTGTCGCCCAGGCTGGAGTGCACTGGCGCACTGCAACCTCCGCCTTCCAGGTTCAAGCGATTCTCCTGCCTCAGCCTCCCACATAGCTGGGATTACAGGCGTCAGCCACCACACCCAGCTAATTTTTGCATTTTTAGTAGAGACAGGGTTTCATCACATTGGCCACACTGGTTTCGAACTCCTGAGCTCAGGTGATCCACCCACCTTGGCCTCCCAAAGTGCTGGGATCTGCACCCAGCCTAATTTTTATATTTTTAGTAGAGATGGGGTTACACCTTGTTGGCCAGGCTAGTCTCGAACCCCTGATCTCAAGTGATCCACCTGCCTCAGCCTCCCCAAGTAAGCCACCGTGCCTGGCACAGCTGTCCTTTTAGACAAGGTTTACCTGAGCAGCACAGGATGAGGGAGAAAAGTGGGACTGGAGGGGCATTCCAATGTTGAACCAAGACCAAGTTGGGGGGCTTTGAGCTTTGGGGTCCTGGTCGGAAATGGGCTACTCTGAATGTGGTAATGGACTGGGGCAGGAGGGCCTGTGGTGAAAAGAGATCAGTGACTCAGAGTAGAGAAGGATCAAAGGCTGCCTACAGATGCTATCTCTATATAGATGAGTGTTCCTGCAGGCAACCAGCCACTCCTCTGCTGAACCCTCTTAGGCTCTAGTGAGACCAAATACAAGTATCTGGCACATTGAATGAATGAATGAATGAATGAATGAATGCTGTTTGACCTTGAGCAAACTATTTTACATTTCTGGGACTCACTTTTTCTCACCTGTAAGTTGTGGGGGGTTGAACTAGACACCTCCAGGGTTTCCACTGCCACGTCTCCCATCTCCCCTTTGTCAATTAGTGGTACATGCACTGCACATGCATCAATATCAAAGTATATGATATAATCATATACTTACATCAAATATGAATTTTGCCGTCTGGGCGTGGTGGTTCATGCCTATAATCCTAGCACTTTGGGAAGCCCAGGTGGGCGGATCACTTGAGGTCAGGAGTTCGAGACCAGCCTGGCCAACATGGTGAAAACCATCTATACTAAAAAAATACAAAAATTAGCCAGGCATGGTGCCACACGCCTATAATCTCAGCTACTCTGGAGGCTGAGGCAGGAGAATCACTTGAACCTGGGAGGCGGAGGTTGCAGCGAGACAAGATCACACCACTGCACTCCAGCCTGGGCAGCAGAGTGAGACTCCATCTCAAAAAAAGGAAAGGATTTTGCCTAATTCCTCTTGGTAGCCCCTTGAACTCTTAGTAGAGGAGGATGGAGACTCTGGAGTCAAACAACCCTTGGTTTAAATTTTTGAGTTTGCCATTAGCTAACTATGTGATTTAGGACAGGTTTCTTCTCTTTGCTTCTGGGCTGTCATCCACGAAGTAGGAATAATAATCATTGTGTTTATCACTCAGTTACAAGCATCAAGTGAGATAATATGTTCAAAAGAGTTTTGAAACCTGCAAACGTCACTAAGGTGTTATTTATGATTATCCCACATAGGAGGTGATCAGGAAAGGCTCACTAAATGAATGGGTGACTTTCTGGACTTGCTTCTATTTTTACTCCAGCTCTGTGAACGTCAATTCTTTAGAGTTTTTTTTTTTTTTTAAATGGACTTTAACCTAACTCTGCAGAGACCTTGAGGCAAGGCAGCCAGGAGTTCCCCATCACTTCATAAAGCTCACCACCTAAGTGCTCCAGCTTTGTCCCTCTCATAAGTCAACAGGGTGGGTGGGGGCTGGGAGGGGGAACAAAGGAGCTGTTAGCAGGTAGGAGCAAATCAGCCCATCTCTGTGCAAGTCACCACCAATAAAACTTAATCAATGCAACCCCTTTTAAGTTGGTTGGATCAGTGACCCAGAAAATAGCTCCCCTGCAGAAAAGGAAATGATAGTCAATAAACTGAGACGTCAATGGGAAAAATCTATTAAAGAGAGTGAGATATCAGGAGACCTCTGGTGTTAACGGAGACCCTTTGGAATGGAGCCATGGATCCAAGAGCAAGTTTTTAACCCTCTCGAGGCCCAGAGTAGCCTCTGCCCCAACTCAGTCGGCAGCAGAGCCTGCAGCTTCTGCAGCTTCGCTGGGCCCCTGGGTCTCCCCACACCATATTGAGGAGTACCTGCTGTCTAATTTCTTTGTGCCACTTGCCTGTTCAAACTGGTGCTTTGGGGTGCACGTGTTCCCTCCTAGGTGGTCAGCAGGTGGGGTTGGCCTGAGGCTCTGTTTGGGGTGCTGCCTAGAGATGACACCTCTCTGGCCCACAGAGAAATGAGCTGGAGGTCTCTGCCTCAGTTCCCTCCGAGTTATAACACCTGCTCTGACCTGGGTGTTGGGAGCTAGAGGTCAATGCCTTGCCCTTGACCAGGCCTCCTGACACCGTCCTGCCAGTTAGCAGGAGCCACTCCTCTAGAGTTTAAAAGGAAGCGAAACCTGTCCCCAAGAAACCGGCTGAAGATAAGGTAAAGCGCATGGCACAATAGCGTTCGCGTGGCACAGTGGCGTTCGCTTGGCCTGCACACTGCTTCAGCGACTCTTCCAGCTCGCTGTCATCAAGCAGGGCAGGGAACGAGGGACACTGTGGTGGGCTGGTGGGCTTCAGGGTAAAGCTATGTTAAACAGAAAAACTTGGGAGCACATTGGTAGGAGAGCAGCTCTTGTGATAGTGTGTGCTGGTTCTGGGAATGCTGCACAGCCTGTGCCATGCCTGTTGTCACCAGCAGCACCAGGCTGCACATACTGTGTCTGTCTGTGTCTGTGTCTGTGTGTGTAGCTGCTGAGTTTGTCTCACAGAGCCAAGGCTGCTGCTAAAGAACGTCACCAACAGACAGTGACAATGTCTTCAGTAAAGGACATTTGGACATGCTGATGCATTGCAAATAAATGTGAAAATGTTAGAGTAAGTTTAAAAGGGGGCATGTTTACATGGAATTGGGGTGAGCTTGACAGGGCCTGGCTTGGGCAGAGGGTTGCAGGGAGCAAGACTTGTGCCTTTCCTCCTTTCATTTGCTTTTGGACACAACCTTTTGCTGGTGAACTCTCTGTCCAGTGACTACATGCACCCTTTATTATTATTATTGCTATTGTTTAATCTTTGAGTTTTACAGTCTCTCTTTAGAAACGGGAGTCACAGAGCCACGGTATTTATGTCATCTAGATCAGCCGACTGTAGGGGAGATATTGACAATTTCCTGGTCTATTTGGGACAGTTCCAGGGCCCACAGGTGGGTGACTGTGCTTCAAGAAGCCACAAAGCTCACACGAATCAGCTAAGATTAGCTTAGCTAAGATTAGCTAAGCTAAGATTAGTTGATCACAGATACATATCCCCAGATAGAGGTAAAGGGCATCCTCACAGCTCCCCCCTTCCTTCTCTCCTGCTGCTGCCCGTGTTGCTTATGGGAAGTCAGCTGTTATGGGGATAGGAGTGGTTAAATGCAGTGGGGGTTGTGAAAGATGTTCTAATATGTTTGTGGGGGTTGCTTATAAGCAATTTTATGAATATATAATTTTTGGAACTGGGCTGGTCCTGTTCCTATAACACAGGAACGCACCAGGAGAATCACTTTTCCTAACAGTATGAGAACCAGATGGGTCTCTGTCTTCATTCACCCCCTCAGATTGGCCATGGACTCTGGGAGGTTGGTGGGGGGTGTTTAGTGGTAAAAGAATAAATTGACAAATATGCCCCAGACACAGGAGTCGAGTCCCTGGTTCCTCTGAGTCATGAGTTTACGCCTTTTTTAGGGTCTGGTGGTTTTTCTTTGGCATTTCAGGGAGCATTCAGAAAGCACTGATGTGCCCTAAGTCAGCATGGTGAGCCCAGAGGCTAGGGTGAGGCTTCCTCCACTCCCATCCCAGGAGTAGGGCAGGGGTGTTCCTTAGAGACCTCGCTCTCTCATCCCCTTCAACTCAGTGACCCCCTCAACTGCAGAGGCCTGTGAAGATGGAGCCTGATGTAGCTGAGGATAATGAATACTCATTCCTGGGCAGGCCGCCTGAGCTCTAGAGTTAGGGGAGCTTTCTCGGAGTTTCACGGTCATCTCGTTCTAGCTGTGTGAAACTGGGCATCACTTTACCTCTCCGAGCCTCAGTCTCCTCATCTGTAAAATGAGGGCCGATAATATCTCCCTCACAGTGTTGCTTTTAGGATCAAACAAGACAAGGTATGTATAACATATTTATCGTGGTCACTGGCACAAAAAAGGAGCTTGGAAATGGTAGGTTTTTTATTATTTATTTATTTATTTATTTATTTATTTATTTATTTATTGAGACAGAGTCTCACTCTGTCACCCAGGCTAGAGTGCAGTGGCATGATCTCGGCTAACTGCAACCTCCACCTGCTGGGTTCAAGCAATTCATTTGCCTCAGCCTCCCAAGTAGCTGAGACTACAGGCATGTGCCACCATGCCCTGCTAATTTTTGCAGGGTTTCACCATATTGGCCAGGCTGGTCTACAAACTCCTGACCTTGTGATCTGCTCGCCTCCGCCTCCCAAAGTGCTAGGATTACAGGAGTGAGCCACAGCGCTGGGCTGGAAATGGTAGTTCTTTTACTCTTCCAAGACAGGGTCTTATTTGCAAAAACGAGCATCCTATGTTACAAGCTGTGAGTGAGGGATTTTTTGAAACAGAGTCGCTCTGCTGATAGGAATGCGTGTCCGTTGTAGAACGGGGTGGGGTGGGCAGGGGGCGTGTGTCCCTTGGGCTTTGACCACAGGGTGCCAAGTCCAGAGGTCTGTCGGGAGTTGTGTGCTGCTGCCACAAGGTGGCAGTGTTGGCAAACAAACCACATCCTCCACTGCTACGAGGCCTAGATGGGAAGAATTTTACCTCCAGTTTAAATTCTTTTTAGAAAGGGAATACTTAATTCCATGATTCTACACCTTGGGAATGGAGGCCCACAGAGGGGAAGAGCTTTGCCCAATATCACAGAATGAGTTGGTGGCAGAGCTGTGCCCTTTATCTGGGACTCCTGACAGTTTATTCATGAAACACGCATTTGCCATACTGCTCTTCCCTTAGCTTCATTCACATCCTTGGCTTGGGTTTGGGGGGTAGTGGGAATTACTTGGGGGCTCCAGAGTCCTTGGTTCAGTCTTTGCATCTCTGTTTTCAGTGGAGCTAGTGGGACCCAAAAAGGTTTACATGATTACCTGAGATAAATTGTGGGATCCCAGAGTCCCCAAGATCTTGACTCTATATCCACACCTCACTTAACGGTTTATCAGTATCCTAGTGACAGAGGCGATGAGAAACCCATGATCTCCCCTCCACCACCCCCTCCCCAGCAATAGCTTGTTATTCCCTTAAGTCCAGGGTGAATGGGTGGGGTGGGCTGGGCTGGTTTGTCTGCTTAGTCCCAGGATTAGGAGGACCCCGTCTGGCTGTGTTTGTTAAGGAGGCAGCCTGAAGTGCATTTGGCTTCTGCTACATGTCAGGAACTAGGTGAGTGCTAATCTCCTGACCCTCGTTGAGTAACTGGGAGAAGATTACACCCAACTCCCAGCTGAGGACGTTGAGGCTCAGAGGGGTGAAGTAGCTCATCCAGGACTTCCTGATGCTGAGCCTCTTCTCTTAAGGAGTTGGCCCAATAGGGTGAGGAGGGATGAGATGGCCCACCTTTATGATCTGTGTCCTCAGACCAGCTTCTTTGTCCTGCCACAGAAAGCCCCCTATGAATAGAACCTTCTTTGCACAAACTCCTTGCCTCCTGCCACTTCACCCCCTCCCCATTGCAGCTTCCCACGAGTTCCTTTCCAGAGCCGTCGCTTGCTGAATGGGTTGCTAGTGGAAATGTGGTTTTCAAATTTGGGAAATCTCCATTAAGTCCTTTTATTTAAGGAGGATGTCATTATCGCGCCTCCCTGAGGACTATTACGGTTCTATTAGGCAAGGCCGCAGACTTCCTAGGTACTGTCTGGGGTCTGATTCCTGGGCAGGAAAATGCAAGACAGGAAGAAGGGGAGGGGGGTTCAGAGAGAGAACAGAGGCTGGGGAGGGGAAGCAGAAAGAAGAAAGGAGGAGAAAGAATGAAAGAGAATGCGGGAGGGAAAGAGAAAGGAGTGAGGAAGTGACAGAGGGAGAGGCAAAGAGCCCCTCACCCCCCAGGCAGAGGAGAGAGGGCAGAGGAGACCCTGGGCCACTTGGCCATCCGACAGTCTAGAGGATTTACAATGAAACTGGACGCGAGCTGCCCGGAACTGGCTTCTCTCTTTCATTAGAGACAGGGGATCCTGGGGAGTTCTTCATGCCTTCCGGCTGCCAGCCCACCTTGGGGCCTCCACGTTCAGATTTGGGAGAGGCCTCAGTGAGGGCTGGGAGGGAGGAAGAGGATGCCCAGGGAGGGTGGTTCTGGAAACTAGGTCTGAGCTCAGTTGGCCCAGAAGGGTGTTGGCCTGCCTGACCACTCTGGTGAACATAATGTTTTCCCATTCTCTGCTGCCCCCTCTAGAAGGCAAGCTCCAGAAAAGCAGACCTTCTCTCTGTTCTGTGTTCTCTCTGCTCCCAGTCACTAGAACAGTGCCAGACGCATAGTAGGTGTTCCATAAGTGTTTGTGGAGAGAATAGTAAATAATAGAAGTGGAAACAATTCCACTGCTTCCCCATCCTCTCCCTTGCTGCATTCAGAGCAAAGGTGGATGGACCTCCTCTCTGTTCTCAGTAAAGGCTTGTGACCCTTTACACACACACACACACACACACACACACCCGGGCAGGAGGGTCAGGAATCGCATGGCAAGCAGCTGACACTGGCTTGGCCAAATGAGAAAGGAAAATATATATGCCCCTCCTGGGACCTTCTTGTTAGGGGGTTACCATCTGCGGGCTGCCTGCTGGAAGTGCTTTAGCCTCTGGGCAGGAAGGCTGATGTTCTGCGACAAACATCCTGGCTGGGAAATCCCCTGGCCCGTAGGTCCCTAGGGCCTGGGCAGCCTCCTTCCACGCCATCCTGCCCTCTTCAGACCTTCCCCTGGCTCCTGGGCCTGAAGCCGGGCCACCTCTCTCTGCCTCTGAGGGGCTCCCCCGTGAGAGCTAGCCCAGTGCCCCTGGGGCGTCCCCTCCCTCGGAGCTCCTGTGCTGAAGTGATTAATGAGGCAGGGACAAAGCCTTTCTTACCAGCTGTGTCAACATGCCCCTTACCCCGCGGCCCTGCTAGCTACAGGTATGGGGAAGCAGCCCCCCACCCCCACACCACTGCCCTAGGCAATTGCCTCCTCCAAGCCTGTTTGCCCCTTACCTGGGCTCTCTTCAGGGTCCCAGGCCTCCCACTGGGCCATCAGTGTCTGATGGTGATGATGATGATGATGATTTTATGATGCTTACAGCACTTGATGTTTGCTGAGAGCATGACTCTCCTTTTTCTCAGCTCCTCTTTCCAGCTGCCTGAGCCAGGGGATCAGGTGTGGCTGTCTTTGGGTGACGGGGAGCAACTGGGCTACAGTTGCTGGGACTGATACTGCCTCCTCTGTGAAGCCTTCCCTGATCACCTCTAGCAGGCTTTGTGTCTATCCCTCTCCTCCCGTCCCTTTGTGTGTGGAGCTCGTCTGTTCCCCTCACTGCTTCCTTAAGGGAGGAGATTCCTTCTCTGGGTATGCATCTTTGTACCTCATCCCTCTTTCCCCACACCTCCATTCTCAAGACAGCCTAGCACGGTGCTTGGCGCGTGCTATGTGCTATGATAAATACTTATGGAATGAACCAATGACTTGTAGATCTGGAATGATCTGGAATTCCATGGCGTAGGTCTGTGTTGTCTGTGGTTCTGCAGACTGATTACCTTGTGTTTGATCTGTCTCAGACCTGCCCAGGACCACACATCCTGCCTCTGGCCCCAGCTGGTCTTTGTGGGGTTTCTAGTGGTTGCTGCCCAAGGAACTCTGTTGGGGAGGACGGTGACCTTGTGCTGGGGAGGACGATGACCTTGTGCTGGGGAGTGGTGAGGGTGCGGTGGGGATTCAGAAAGCTGGAAGCAGCCACATGCTTTTTTTTTTTTTTTTAATGAACATTACATTTTAGAATAATGTTAGACCTATAGAAAAGCTGCAATGATAGCACATAGTTCTCATATACCCTTTACCCAGTTTCCCCTCATGGTAACATATTATGTAACTCTGGTACTTTTGTCAAAACTGAGAAATTAACGTTGGTACATTACTAGTAATTAACTCCAGTCTTCATTTGGATTCCACCAGTTTTTCCATTAATATCTTCATTCTGTTCCAGGATCTAATCCTGGATACAGCATTGTATTTAGCCTGCATGATTTTGAAGATGGTGTTTTATGTAATATGCATGCAAGTGTTGCTCTCTTCCTTATAACCTATCCGAGTTGTTTTTAGGTAAGAATAAAGGTTCTCCCTGCCAAACATTTCAGTAAAATATTGCCACCATGTTTATTTATTGTGGCTTTTTAGACTGTGCTGCATACTGCCACATGCTCTGTGGAGGGTGAAGCACCATTTTCAAAGGACAGTCTTAGGCCGGGCATGGTGGCTCACGCCTGTAATCCTACCACTTTGGGAGGCCGAGGTGGGCAGATCACTTGAGGTCAGGAGTTCGAAACCAGCTTGGCCAACATGGTGAAACCCCGTCTCTACTGAAAAAAATGCAAAAAAATTAGTCGGGCGTGGTGGCGGGTGCCTATAATCCCAGCCACTTGGGGGGCTGAGGCAGGAGAATTGCTTGAACCCAGAAGACAGAGGTCGCAGTGAGCTGAGATCTGGAGCGCCACTGCACTCCAGCCTGAGTGACAGAGCAAGACTCCATCTCCAAAAAAAAAAAAAAAAAAAAAAGACTCTAGGCATTTTTTGTATTCACAGCAGTAAAATCTCTGATTGCAGCTCTGATTTGAGCAAGAAGTAGGGATCATTGGCTAGTGTAGGGCTGGGAAGAGCAGAGGGGCAGTGGGAAAGGATGTATATTTGGGGACGATTTGAGGGGTAGAAGGTTCTCCAGGTGGGAGGCGACATGGTGTTTGAGTTGTGAGTGGAATAAATGTCCCGGGGTCCCCTGGTTCACTGGTCCCAGCTTTGTCTCTTCCTATTTGCTTATCTGTCTTTTCACGTGTATCTATTTGGTGCATCACAGTTGGTCCTGCTTTTGCTTGCATTCCTGGTAAACTGGAATAATTAGAGTTAAATTTTCAATTAGAATGTTAGCGGATGTTCTGTTAATAATAACAGTGGCGAACATTCCACCTCACTTTAAGCTTCCTGTGGAGCTAGGTCCTTGGAGTCCAGAAGGGCTGGAGGAGAAAGAAGCCGGAATACAGGAGGGGTGATGGGTCAGCTAAGGTCCCCACTCTTTGGCCTCCTCCACAGACTGGCTCCCTTTGTGGTTTGCACGTCTCTGAACAATGTCTGCTGATGTTGTCTTCCACACACACTGGCTTCTAATTCTCTCTCTCTGTTGCTTAGGCTAGTCTTGAGCTCCTGGGACCAAGGGATCCTCCTGCCTTGCCCTCCCAAAAGTGTTGAGGTTACAGGCGTGAGCCACTGCTCCTGACCCTGGTTTCTAATTATAATTGCCTCAAAAGGTTGGCAGGCTGGTGGGGCTACGGGAGGGTGTGGGAGGTATAGCACTTGGAATCTGGTTTTGGAATTCTTCCTATTTTTGAAAATATAGCCAGTGACATCTGGGAGAGTCCAGCTGAAGGCTGGAGGGCAGGGAGAGGGGACTGAAGACCTTTCCACTGTGCTGGGGACAGGACACCCTGCTGGGTGGGCCTGCGGTCCAAGGTCCAGGACACTCCCTCGGGCTTACATCCAAGGTCTCCCCAGGCCTGGCACTTACTGGAGGAGGCGGGCTCCTAAAGGCCAGCACGCAGTCAGCACACCAGGAGGGCACTGAGCATGGGCATCTCCTGAGCCCTCTGGAGAGGAGGCAACTCCTTTGATCTCTGGGTGGAGGGAGCCATGATGTGTGTAGTGGGGGCAATGGGCATTCACCACCATCTTCTTCCTAATTCTCTGCTACAGATTCTCTTCCTGATCTTCATGCAATAATCTCAAATGTCTATAAGAGGTGATCACTACCATAAGAACCCTTGAATAGTGGTTCAAAGCCTTGTCATTTCCCATCCCTAGTTGTTCCCCCAATTCAGACCATGTCATCAGGCAGTTGGCTTAGAAAGAAACATTTATTTATTTATTTATTTAGAGACAGAGTTTCGCTCTTGTTGCCCAGGCTGGATTGCAATGGTGTGATCTTGGCTCACTGCAACCTCCGCCTGCTGGGTTTGAGCGATTCTCCTGCCTCAGCCTCCTGAGTAGCTGGGATTACAGGTGCCCGCCACCACACCCGGCTAATTGTTTTGTGTTTTTAGTAGAGACAGGATTTCACCATGTTGGCCAGGCTGGTCTTGAACTCCTGTCCTGAAGTGATCCACCCACCTCAGCCTCCCAAAGTGCTGGGATTACAAGCGTGAGCCACCGCGCCCGGCCAGGAACATAGATTTATTGTGCCAGACATGCTTTGGGGTATCGCCTGCTCATTCCAGCCTCTGTAGGAGGGACCAGGCTAAACAGTGTTGGTGTCCTAAGTCCCTGTCTCTGCTCACTGCCCCCAGTGATTGGAGCAGAGGTGGGCAGTTTATCTAAAGACGGCCAACTACAGCCTGGCTAGTGACCCAAAGCCCTGCCCTGAACCAGGAGCTGGGTCAGTCACATTCCTGTCTCAACTGGGAAACAGAAGTTGGACCCACTAGCAGGTGGGATAGTAGTTGAAAGAGATTCCAAGAGGTTGAGGATGAAAAGCCAAAGCCTTATTAAGCCAAAGTGACAAGGGAAGTGAGAAAACAGAGTGAAAGAAGCTGTTGGCAGAGAGAGGAGAACAAGAGGACAGATGTCCAGAGAGAAGCAGAGTGACCACGAGTCAGGGGCCAACCGCCGTCACCCTTCTCAGTGGCTTTCCCATTCCCATTCTGTTTCTAAACTGCTAGCCACATATATCCTTGCCACAAACTCCCCTTTTCCTTGAGGTGACTTAAGGGGACCTCTGTTCCTTGTAGATAAATGAGCCAGACCAGAATAGAGATCTGTCTTGCCCACTCCTGGGAGCCTTGTTCCCACCTTCCAGCATCCTTCAGATGGTGAGATATTCTCTAGAACTTTGAGTTGGAACAGGGAGTGTGTTTCTCATGCATAATTTGTACCATGCTTCTGGTGGATTATGTGGGAAATGGGTTCTGGGGGTCTGACTGGGGAACCTAAGCACCATGAGAGAAAACGAGTCTTGAATTTTGACCAAGGCTCTCTGTGGCTGGGGTCTGAACAGGGTGCTCCTGTGCTGCCCAGTTGGGATCTCACTTCTCTTTCCATTGCGTCTCGAATCTAAAATGCTACCCAAGTCTCTCTCACTTTCTAAAGCCTGCTCATTTTCTCGCTACCTCTGGACCCTGTGGCTCCCACATACTACCACCTCTTTCCTCTTTCCCCAGAACTTATCGAAGGAGCTGTCCACACTCACTGCCTCCACTTCCTCACCTCCCATGGATTCCTCAACTCGCTTTCCACCCTTCCATGGAAATGATCTGTGGTTTAATGAGGTGCAGACTTTGGTCAATTTTGAAATTGCTCTTGCTAAAGTCATCAATGGCCAACTTGTCTTCAAACTACGGCTTGGTTCTTGTCCTCATGCTCTTCTCGCTCTGGTGGGTGGAACCCTTTCTCCTCTTTTCGTTTATAAGCTCTCCTGGTCTCCTGGATGTCACTCTTTCCTGCTCTTCCTCCCAGATCTCCCTTGCTGCCCCCTGGTCTCCCTTATTTCTTCCACTTTCCACTGTTGGCTTCTCACCTTCAGCTGTCTTCTCCCTCTAAACTCTCCCCGGGTCAGCTCACCCAGGCTCATATACCCTCTGCTCACACAGCAGTATCTCCAGCCTAAACTTTTCCCTGAGCCCTAAGCATATCATATCTCATCTGATCATTTTATCAGAACAATCTTCCATGCATGTCTGAGTCAACAAATCCCACAGACGAGCACATCTTCTGCTCCCCAACTTGTGCCTCCTCCCGTATTTACCTATTCGTATACGGTTACCACTATGTAAAATTGCCCAAATGAGAAAACTGGAAATCAAGCTAGACTCCTTTCTCATCCTCACCCTGCACATATAGTTACTCACTAAGTTGTATAGCTTCTTACCAGAAATCTCACTAAACTCCATCCCTGCTCTCTGTTTCCACCAGCAGTGCCTTGGTTCAGGCCTTTATCATTCCTCCCTGAATTAATGCAAAATATCCCAACTGACTTTTCTACCTCCCCACACTTCCAGTTTCAATCCCTCCTTTCCATGGTTGCCAGCATTCTCTTTCAAAAAACAGATCAAAACATGCCATCTTCTGTCTATAAGCTTCCAGAGTCTCCCCATTGCCAACAGAATAAAATCCCATTTTTAATCTCAGCATTCAAGGCCTTTCATAGTCTATGCTGAGTTTATTTCACCTGCCACCCCAGCCCATCACCTACTTTTTAATTTTAAAAATTTTAAATTAAAAAATTTTAATTAAAAAAAACTGTTTTGTAGAGACAAAGTCTCATTATGACGCCTAGGCTAGTTTTGAAATCCTGGCCTCAAGAAATCCTCCTACCTCAGCATCTCAAAGTGCTGGGATTACGGGTATGAGCCACCAGGCCTGGACCCATCACCTACTTTTACTGTATGCTTTGCTCAGCCTCCTGGCCTGTAATCACAATGCTTTCTTTCACACTCTGCCTTAGCACATACAGGTTCTTGTCTGAAAAGTGCTAGTCCGTCTGTCTCGCACAATTCTACTTGTGTCCTACTCTGCGAAATCCCTCCCCACTATCAGCTAAATAGTTGTCCTCTCTAAATTTCCACATTCCTTTATCTTCAAAGAGCACACATAGCTTCGTATTGCAGTTATTTTTCTTTATCTATCTCACTGTACTAGGCTGTAAATATTTTGAGGCCAAGGATCATGTCTGACTCAACCAATGCCTGGCAGTGTCTGGCATATATAGTCAGTGGATGCCTATTACTGAAGAAATTAACGAATGAACAAATGAATGAGTGATTTTGGTTTCTGGGCCTACGTCTTTCTTTTTTTTTTTTTTTTTTTTTGAGACGGAGTCTGGCCCTGTCACCCAGGTTGGAGTTCAGTGGCGCAATCTTGGCTCACTGCAAGTTCCGCCTCCTGGGTTCACGCCATTCTCCTGCCTCAACCTCCCAAGTAGCTGGGACTGCAGGTGTCCGCCACTACACCCGGCTAATTTTTTTGTATTTTTAGTAGAGACAGGGTTTCCCCATGTTAGCCAGGATGGTATCGATCTCCTGACTTCATGATCTGCCCACCTCGGCCTCCCAAAGTGCTGGGGTTACAGGCATGAGACACCGCACCTGGCTCCTGGGCCTATCTCTTCCTAGGCTGTGAATATAAACTGTGGTGAGTAGGGCTTGGGAATACATCTCACACCCTGTTTGTCAACATTTCCCCAGGACAATGCCTGGCACAATGCTCTCAGTGCTGATGCATTGGATGTGCAAAAGGTCCTGGGTTCAGGCCAATTTAGATTTCTTTGGCATGAAGAGCAGCAAATTAACATTCCTCTCTCCCTATTACAGATGAGACAGATGAGCTTAGAAATCTTAAACAACTCAGCAGGCTGGGCGCGGTGGCTCACGCCTATAATCCCAGCACTTTGGGAGGCCGAGGCGGGTGGATCACGAGGTCAGGAGATCGAGACCATCCTGGCTAACACGGTGAAACCCCATCTCTACTAAAAAATACAAAACATTAGTCGGGCGTGGTGGTGGGTACCTGTAGTCCCAGCTGCTCGGGAGGCTGAGGCAGGAGAATGGCGTGAACCTAGGAGGCGGAGCTTGCAGTGAGCCGAGATCGCACCACTGCGCTCCTGCCTAGGCGACAGAGCGAGACTCTGTCTCAAAAAAAAAAAAAAAGAAAGCTTAAATAACTCGTCCTAGGTGTATGGTGGCATCAGATAATCTAAGGGACAGGGGCATTAGGGGTTACTGACCAATGTGGAGCCCTCAGCACACATGGAATGATTGTGATCCCAAGCAGAATTAATGTGGGCACATTGTTCTCTGCAGGCTGTAGGTCTTCTCACTGGGGCTTGTATTCCAGGAAGGGGCCTTCTCTGGCTGGCCCAGATTTAGAGTGAGGGGAGTGAGGAACTCACCACAGGCCCAAAATGTAAGGGGCACCGAGTAATCAAGATAAATAAAATTTAATGCATTTTTTTTTTCTTTCAGAGACAGGGTCTTGTTCTGTGCCTCAGGCTGGAATGCAGTGGCACAGTTATGGCTCACTGCAGCCTGGAACTCCTGGGCTCAAGCAATCCTCCTGCCTCAGCCTCCTGAGTAGCTGGAACTACAGGCATGTGCCACCACGCCCAGCTAATTTATTTATTTTTTGTAGAGACAGGTTCTTGCTATGTTTCCCAGGCTGGTCTTGAACTCCCGGCCTCAAAAAATTTTCCTGCCTAGGCCAGGCATGGTGGCTCACGCCTGTAATCCCAGCACTTTGGGAGGCCGAGGCAGGCCGATCACAAGGTCAGGAGATTAAGACCATCCTGGCTAACATGGTGAAACCCCGTCTCTACTAAAAATACAAAAAATTAGCCAGGTATGGTGGCAGGCACCTGTAGTCCCAGCTACTAGGGAGGCTGAGGTAGGAGAAGGGCGTAAACCCAGGAGGTGGAGCTTGCAGTGAGCCGAGATTGCGCCATTGCACTCCAGCCTGGGCAACAGAGCGAGACTCCATCTCAAAAAAAAACTTTTCCTGACTCAACCTCCCAAAGTGCTGGGATTACAGATGTGAGCCACTGTGCCTGGCCTAATGCAATATTTTTGTTGTCAGTAAACTACAGTCTGTGAGCTGGCTGCCTGTTTTTTAAAACAAGGTTTTATTGGAACCAAGACTGAGATTAGGGTGAGGTGAATGAGACACGATATTGAGGGAAGGGTTGGATCTTGTGTTTATTTGAAATCTTAATATTTTGTTCATCATCAATTTTTACATTAATTTTGATTTTTTTTTATTTTGAGATGGAGTCTCGCACTGTTGCCCAGGCTGGAGTGCAGTGGCGCGATCTTGGCTCATTGCAAGCTCCGCCTCCTGGGTTCACGCCATTCTCCTACCTCAACCTCCCTAGTAGCTGGGACTACAGGCACCCGCCACCATGCCCGGCTAATTTTTTGTACTTTTAGTAGAGACAGGGTTTCACCGTGTTAGCCAGGATGGTCTTGATCTCCTGACCTCATGATCCACCCGCCTTGGCCTCCCAAAGTGCTGGGATTACAGGCGTGAGCCAATGCACCTGGCCAATTTTGATTTTTAAAAATTGCGTTAAAGTATTATCTATCTTGGACCGGGCACAGTGGCTCATACCTGTAATCCCAGCACTTTGGGAGGCTGAGGCAGGTGGATCACCTGAGGTCAGGAGTTGGAGACCAGCCTGGCCAACATGGTAAAATCCCGTCTCTACTAAAAATACAAAAATTAGCCAGGCATGGTGGTGATGCATGCCTGTAGTTCCAGCTACTAGGGAGGCTGAGGTGGGAGAATCGCTTGAGCCTGGGAGGCAGAGGTTGCAGTGAGCCGAGATCATGCCACTGCACTCCAGCCTGGGGAACAGAGTGAGATTCCATCTCAAAAACAACAAAAAAGTATTATTGTATTTGTCACTTTTCACGCTGCTGATAAAGACATACCTGTGACTGGGCAAATTACAAAAGAAAGAGGTTTAATAGAGAATTCACAGTTCCACGTGGCTGGGGAAGCCTCGCAATCATGGAAGAATGCAAGGAGGAGCAAGTCACATCTTACACAGATGACAGCAGGCAAAAAGAGAGAGCTTGTGCAGGCAAACTTCTGCTTTTTTTTTTTTTAAACCATCAGATCTCATGAGACTCATTCAGTATCACACGAACAGTGCAGGAAGATCTACCCCCATAATTCAATCACCTCCCACTGGGTTCCTCCCATGACACGTGGGAATGGTGGGAGTTACAATTCAAGATGAGATTTGGGTGGGGACACAGAGCCAAACCATATCAGTTATCTATCTTGATTTCTGAGTTTTGGGGCACTCCCTTAAGTTGTGTTGGAGGCAAATGCCTTAATTGTCTCTTAGGGCCTTCCCCCATTGTACCGTGGGTTCTAAGATGGGCAGCTGCCAGTAAAGACTGGGCCCTGGGGTTCAGTTCCCTTGGTTCCCTGGCTGACTGCAGCCCCAAGCAGCCTGGACAAAACAGCTGTGGGCAGATACTTCCTGTCCCTCAGGAATTGTTGCATGAGGTTTTGGTTTGGCTTCTTTAGGAAATTAGGTCTCCCTTCATCCACTGGTGTTTCTTTGTTGAACAGCTGTCATCAGCCAGCCACCAAACGTGACAGAATTGGGTTTCTCACACTGTTGCCCAGGCTGGGGTGCAGTGGTGCAAACATGGCTTACTGCACCCTCAATCTCCCAGGCTCAAGTGATCCTCTCATCTCAGCCCCACCAAGTAGTTAGGATTACAGGTGTGCACCACCACACCTGGCTAATTTTTGTACTTTTTGTAGAGAAGGGGTTTCACCATGTTGCCCAGGCTGGCCTCAAACTCCTGAACTCAAGTGATCTGCTTTCCTTGGCCTCCCAAAGTGCTGCAATTACAAGCACCGGCCTGGCTTCTAAATGTCTTCTAAAGCCTGCCCTCCTCTGCATCCCCACTGCCCTGCTTGTCAGCCCTGCTCTCTTCTGACTGTCCTCCTGCCTCCAGCCCCACCCCTTTCCACACCAGCCTTCACAGTGCCACCAGGGTCACCTGGACAAAGTGCACATATCCCCTTGGTGTTTCCCTGCTCAACTCTCCAGTGCCCTCGGCACGGAGTCCCAATGCAAAGGCAGTTTCACCAATGCCCTGACCTGACAGACTTTCTCCTTGATCAAACCTGAGTCAGGGTCCTCTGGGTCCTCTTTTTGACAGCATCTTGACCTTGGGCTGTGTCCTTGGGCAATTTAGTCCAGTTGTAGCATGAATCCTGCCAGGCCCATTTAGCAAAAATCCCCTATCCTTCCTATCTGATGAAATTCCTCATCCTCCACCCTTGATATCGCATCACCCTGGCCTGCCTTCAGCAGGAATCCCCTGGCCTGAATGCTTCTCCTTAGTGATTTTCCATCCACTGACCCCACCCTGTTCCTTGGCTATAAATCTCCACTTGTCCTTGTTGTCTTTGATCGCTTTTCCCTATTGCCAAACCCCAGTGTAGCAGCCCCGCCCCCCTTAAATAAGATCTTCCTTACTGTCTTTAATAAGTGTTAAGAATAATTTTTTCTCAGCCGGGCACGGTGGTTCATGCTTGCAATCCCAGCACTTTGGGAGGCTGAGGCGGGTGGATCAGCTGAGGTCAGGAGTTTGAGACCAGCCTGCCCAACATGGTGAAAACCCATCTCTACTAAAAATATAAAAACTAAAGGCGGGCGTGGTGGTTCGTGCCTGTAAGCCCAGCACTTTGGGAGGCTGAGGCAGGAGGATCACAAGGTCAGAAGATCGAGACCATCCTGGCTAACATGGTGAAACCCCGTCTCTACTAAAAATACAAAAAATTAGCCTGGTGTGGTGGCGGGCGCCTGTAGTCCCAGCTACTCAGGAGGCTGAGGCAGGAGAATGGCGTGAACCCAGGAGGCGGAGCTTGCAGTGAGCCGAGATCGCGCCATTGCACTCCAGCCTGGGTGAGAGTGTGAGACTCTGTCTCAAAAAAAAAAAAAAACCATATATATATATATAGTTTATATATATGGTTTATATATATAGTTTATAGTTTATATATATGGTTTATATATATAGTTTTTATATATATAGTTTATATATACATATATATATAAACTAGCCGGGGGTGGTGGTGGATGCCTGTAATCCCAGCTACTCGGGAGGCTGAGGCAGGAGAATTGCTTGAACCCAGGAGACGGAGGTTGCAGTGAGCCAACACGGTGCCACTGGACTCTAGCCTGGGTGACAGAGTGAGACTCTGTCTCAAAAAAAAAGAATAATTTTTTCTTTAACAGAACAAATTGCCTCCCTGAGTCGGACCAGCTGCCCGTGGATCCTACGCTGCAGTCACACCAGACTCCTCATGTTGTGGGGTAAGTGTGTCCCCTTTCTTTCCTGCTTCTGTCTTTATACACACAGTCCCTTTCCTTTGATACGTTTTCTCCTCTCGTCTGCCTCTGAGCCAGCCCCAAGAGTCTTCTCCGTGCTTCCTGACTCCTCTCTGCTTAGCTGTTACCCCATTTGTTCCTCTGCACCATAGTTAAACCTATTTACAGGTCTGTGTCCCCCACCAAACTGTGAGCTCCTTGAAGGCAGGCGATGTCCATTTTGTATCCCCCCGAAAACCATCCCCCTACCCCCAGTACAGACTCTGGCACAAAATAGGCATTAAGTAAATGAATGAAGGAATGAATGGATGGAAAGGATGCCATTGTAGGGGGGAAAGAGTAATATCTATTACTTTTATTTAAAAAAAACTTTTAATTTCCACTTCTAGGCATATATCTTTTCCTTATCTGTCACAAAGTTCATGGCTTGAGATCCCTATAACAAAAGATAGATTAACAAGAGAAAAGCATACACATTTATATAATAAGTTTCCGTGACATGGGAGATGAAGACCCAGGGAAATAGGGAATACTGTGTATATTTTATGCTTAGGTTTAATGAGGAGTAGAGCGTTGTGTAGAAACATGATGGACGAGGCCAGGCGTGGTGGCTCACGCCTGTAATCCCAGCACTTTGGGAGGCCGAGGCGGGTGGATCACTTGAGGTCAGGAGTTCAACACCAGCCTGGCCAACAGGATGAAACCCCGTCTCTACTAAAAATACAAACAATTAGCTGGGCATGGTAGCGCACGCCTGTAATCCCAGCTACTCGGGAGGCTGAGACAGGAGAATTGCTGGAACCCAGGAGGTAGAGGTTGCAGTGAGCGGAGAACACACTACTGCACTCCAGCCTGGGAGACAGAGCGAGACTCCATCTCAAAAAAAAAAAAGAAGAAGAAATATGATGGAAGAAAGGGGGTATGATCTAATAGTAATCAACTTGGGGGAGCTTAGCAAGGCCTGTTTCTTCAGATTCTTCTCTGCTTCTTCATTCCTTTCCTCTGGATATAGGGAGGACCCCTCTGGAATGAGGGTCTTATGACCTACTTTAGAAGAAAGACAGAAAATTCTTTCATGATCTGCTTCAGGGGAGAATAGTAGCAGCAAGTCAGAGAGATCTTCCTCCTTCTGCTGCTTTTGCCGAGGTGCTGTATTTTGGGGTAGCATGTCCTGAACTCCATCACCATCTTGTTTGCCCCTTTAGGATCTGCCAGCAAGATTTTGAGCAAAATCCTAATCTCTGGCCTCATTTTAGAGCTTGTAGCATCAGGTTTGGAGGCTAGGGGTTCCTGGTGCCCCAGCACCAGAGAGGAGGGTGAGAAGGCCACCTTGGGAGAGCTGGGCCATTTCAGGGGAGGAAATTAAAACTAAATTGCATTAATTGGTTTTCATATTGAACCCTGCTTCTTAAGTGTGCTAAATGTCTGGTTAAACAAATAGCTAAAAAGATAGAATCACTTTGCTATCATTTTTTGTGGTAAGGGAAAAGACAAAAAAACAAAGATGTTGATTTAAGATATAGCCTAGGGCTGGGGGGCTGGGGGAAACCTGGTGAAGGCTCCTGTTGTTTGGGGTCGGAGGTCGCAGGAGCAGCGGCTGCCTGGGGATCAGGCTCAAGGTTCTGGAATGATGGAAAAACCTGGCCTGACGCTTTTCCTCAGCGGACCCTTCACTGGCTAACAGGAGCCAGCTGAGCGAACACAGAGGCGCTGTAACCGGCGCAGATCCCAGCTTCCTCTGAAATTTCCAGGCCTCTTTTTTCCTGTCGGATTCCAGACAGATGAAATTTTCCTGGCCCCGGCCCATTCCTGGCAGCATCTCCCCTCTGAATCATCATAAATCAGGGCTTGGCGGGGAGCGGTGGGATTTTCCTGATTTTCCTGATCGACACGCTGCTGCCCTGGTAAAATGGGGCTCCGTTTCCAAGGCTAAAAATAGCTCTGGGGTGCTTGCCTGAGTTCTCCCCATCGCAAGTTGCTGCTTCGTATTGTAAATATTCATATCTGTCTATGATTATTATTTCATCGAGAAGGGCTGTGGACGTGCAGATGCGGGCCGCTGGGGGCCTCGGTGGTCTGAAGTGACACCATTGTTCACAGGATCATATGCGGGGGCCTGTGCATTCCTCAAAGCCTCCATCATCCAAGGAGCCCCCAATTAATTTCAATACAAACACCGGATATGGCCTCCCCCGCGCCTTTGCAGCCATAACACATGAGGTCATGCTGCTTTGGTTAACCCGAGGAGTTGCAGAGTGAGATGGGGAGGCTTCTAGGCCCCAGGGGAGGCCTGGGGTATCTGCCCTGCCTGGTTTAGGCGAGGCTGTTTACTGCAATGGGGTCTACGGCACACCCACACTCTCTCGCCTTCCTTCACTCAGAAACTGAAATCTCTGATTCCCGATGTCTCTTCCCAGCCACTCTCCCCATCTCTAGCCACTTGGCTGCCAACCCACCACCCACCCCTGTGGTTCTTTGCAAACTCCTTACCCTCCGTGCTCTTGCATACACAGCTTCATTCACCTGGGGCATCTTTTTACCTCTTCATCAGGCTCCTTCTGGAAGATTCACCTCAGGAGTTTCTTCCTTCAGGAAGCATTTCCTGATCACTCCATTCAGGGTTAAGTACTGTTTTCTTGGCTGGGAGCAGTGGCTCATGCCTGTAGTCTTGGTACTTTGGAAGACGGAGGCAGGCGGATCACTTGAGCTCAGGAGTTCGAGACCAGTCTGGCCAACATGGTGAAACCACATCTTTACTAAAAATACAAAAATTAGCTGGGCACAGTGGTGCATGCCTGTAATCCCAGCTACTCGGGAGGCCGAGGCAGGAGAATCGCTTGAACACAGAAGGTGGAGGTTGCAGTGAGCCGAGATTGCGCCAATGCATTCCAGCCTGGGTGACAGAGTGAGACTCCATCTCAACAACAACAACAAAATTAAATTTAAAAAAAAAGTACTTGCTGGGCGTGGTGGCTCGCGCCTGTAATCCCAGCGCTTGGGGAGGCCGAGGCTGGTGGATCACCTAAGGTCAGGAGTTCAAGACCAGCCTGGCCAACATGGTGAAATCCCATCTCTACTAAAAATACAAAAAAGTAGCTGGGCATGGTGGCAGGCGCCTGTGATCCCAGCTACTCAGGAGGCTGAGTCAGGAGAACTGCTTGAACCCGGGAGGCAGAGGTTGCAGTATGCCGAGATCATGCCATTGCACTCCAGCCTGGGCAACAAGAGCAAAATTCCATCTCAAAAAAAAAAAACTACCACTTTCAGCCGGGCAGGGTGGCTCACGCCTATAATCCCAGCACTTTGGGAGGCCGAGGTAGGTGGATCACAAGGTCAGGAGATCGAGACCATCCTGGCTAACACAATGAAACCCCATCTCTACTAAAAATACAAAAAAATTAGCCAGGCGTGGTGGTGGGTGCCTGTAGTCCTAGCTACTCAGGAGGCTGAGGCAGGAGAATGGCGTGAACCTGGGAGGCGGAGCTTGCAGTGAGCCGAGATCACTGCAACTGCACTCCAGCCTGGGCAACAGAGGGAGACTCTGTCTCAAAAAAAAAATTCCACTTTCTCTTCTGTGTTCCTACAGCTTATTGATTCTCAAACATTAGCCCTCATCAGAATCGCATGGAGGGTTTGCTAAAACACCGATTGCTGGGCCCCTCCCAGTTTCAGAATCAATAGGTCTGAAGTAGGGCTTGCACATTTGCATTTCTAACAAGATCTCAGGAGACACTGATGCTGCTACAGCCCCCTGTGATCACTTCCTCCATTGGTGGAACTTACCCTGCTGTGCTGCAATTACCCGCCTTTTTCTTTTCTTTTCTTTTTTTTTTTTTTGTTTGAGACAGGGTCTCACTCTGTCACCCAGGCTGGAGTGCAGTGGCGCCATCTTGGCTCACTGCAACCTCTGCCCCTGGGTTTAAACAATTCTCCTGCCTCAGCCTCCCGAGTAGTTGGGATTACAGGTGCCTGTCACCACACCCGGTTAATTTTTGTATTTTTAGTAGAGACGGGGTTTCACCATGTTGGCCAGGCTGGTCTCAAACTCCTGACCTCAAGTGATCCACCCGCCTCGACCTCCCAAACTGCTGGGATTACAGGCGTGAGCCACCTGTCCGGCCACCTGCTTATTTTTTGTTCCCTCCCACTGGGAGGGCTGGGACTGTCTTTTCCATTTCTCTATCCTACTGCTTGGCAAACAGTGAAGCTGATCACTGGAGGTTTGTTGACTGAATGAATTGTGGATTTGGAACCAACCTGCTAGTTGTAGAGCTCAGTTGAGGGGAGGAGGTCTGCTGGTGAGAGGGCTGGTTCTCAGGGCTTTTGGGGTCATGAGTATGTTACCTGAAAGGGGGCCCAATCCAGATCCCAAGAGAGGATTCTTGGACCTTGCAGAAGAAAGAATTCGGGGCGAGTTTATAGAGTAAAGTGAAAGCAAGTTTATTAAGAAAGTAAACGGGCTGGGCGTGGTGGCTCACTCCTGTAATTCCAGCACTTTGGGAGGCCGAGGAGGCGGATCACCTTAGGTCAGGAGTTCGAGACCAGCCTGATCAATATGGAGAGACCCCATCTCTACTAAAAATACAAAATTAGCCGGGCGTGGTGACTCACGCCTGTAATCCCAGCTACTCAGGAGACTGAGGCAGGAGAATCGCTGGAACCCAGGAGGTGGAGGTGGCAGTGAGCCAAGATCGCGCCATTGCACTCCAACCTGAGCAACAAAAGCAAAACTCCGTCTCAAAAAAAAAAAAAAGAAACTAAATGAATAAAGAATGGATACTGCATAGGCAGAGCGGCGGCATGAGTTGCTTGACTGAGTATGCTTATTGTTCCGGTTTTTTTTTTTTTTTTTTGAGACGGAGTCTCGCTCTGTTGTCCAAGCTGGAGTGCAGTGGTGCAATTCAGCTCACTGCAACCTCCGCCTCCTGGTTTCTAGCAATTCTCCTGCCTCAGCCTCCCAAGTAGTTGGGATTACAGCTGTGCGCCACAACATCAGGCTAATTTTTTATATTTTTAGTAGAGACAGGTTTTCATCATGTTGGCCAGGCTGGTCTTGAACTCCTGACCTCAAGTGATCCTCCTGCCTCAGCCTCCCAAAGTGCTGGGATTACAGGCATGAGCCACCACACCCGGCTATAGTTATTTCTTTATTATATGCTAAAAAGGGATGGATTACTCATGAGTTTCCTGGGAAAAGGGCAGAGATTTCCCAGAACTGAAAGTCCCTACCCTTCTTAGACTATATAGGGTAACTTCCGGAAGGTGCCATGGTATTTGTAAACTGTCATGGTGATGGTAGGAGTGTCTTTTAGCATGCTAATGTATTATAATTAACATATAATGAACAGTGAGGACGACCAGAGATCACTTTCGTGGCCATCTTGGTTTGGGTGGGTTTTGGCCATCTTCTTTACTGCATTCTCTTTTATCAGCAAGGTCTTTGGGACCTGTATCTTGTGCTGATCTTCTGTCTCATCCTGTGACTAAGAATGCCTAACCTCCTGGGAATGCAACCCAGCAGGTCTCAGCCTCATTTTGCCCAGCTGCTACTCAAGATGGCGTTGCTCTGGTTCAAACACCTTTGACAAGTGGGGATCACCCCAACCCCCCCAGGTGAATGAGCACAATTCCCTCTCCCCACGCAAGTCTCCCATAAAGTCCAAAACAAGAGGGTCACTGATTCACAAGTACACAAATACACAAGTCATGAAATTCCATCCTTGTAAAGGATGCCAATCAGAGATGCCAGAAGGAGAAATGGGGAATCAGGATTTTAACTTGATTTTCTTCCTCTGAAACCTGGAAATGCCAAGTGATGAAAGGATACCAGAACCCCGGCCTTTCCTTTGAATTAGGTCTGGACCCCAGCCCCCTTTCCTGCCATCTTATGCTCTGGCCACACAGTAGGGCAAGATCTCAATCCCTGCCCAAACTACAAACTCCTTGAGGACACATCCTAAGTCTTAATAATCTTGAGAACTACTCCTTCACCTTCCACATAAGGATCTGTGTTTTCTTTCCTTTTTTTTTGAGACAGGGTTTCACTCTGTCACCCAGGCTGGAGTGCAGTGGCATGATCATGGCTCACTGCAGCCTCGACCTCTTTGAACTCACGTGATTCTTCCACCTCAGCCACCCAGGTAGCTGGGACTACAGGCACGCACCACCATTCCCAGCTAATTTTTGTATTTTTTGTAGAGACAGGGTTTCGCCATGTTGGTCTCAAATTCCTGGTCTCAAATAATCTGCCCACCTCGGCCTCCCAAGGTGCTGGAATTACAGGTCTGAGCCTCTGCGCCCCACTGCCTGGATCTATTTTCTATAGTTCCTTCAATGTATCGTTTCATTCACACCTCCAAGCCTTTGCTCATGCTGTTTCCCCTGCTCAGCATTCCTGTGTTCCTTCTTTGCAGGTGGACATCCAACTCACTGATTTAAGACTGAGTCCAAATGTGGCTACTTCTGGGCAGGTCTTAGAGGCTCATTTGCTTCTCTGGGCTCTCACATGGTGGCAGCTTTACTGCCATGGGTCTGGTTCCTGTACTAGATGGGTTGTCTCGTTCATTCTTTATGCCTGTTCTCCAGCCTCTAGCACTGTGCCTGGTTGACGGTGGGTGTTCAGTTGGGGCATTTGGAAGTGGATCACACCTGCTCATCTTCCTTAGCAGCTCTTGTTTGAGGTAGATCAGGTTGGGGCATTGCTCCCACTCTTAGACTGCCAGAGCTGCTTGGCTGAATAAGGAGTCTCCTTCCCCACTCCTCATTCCTGTCTGCTAGCCACATGCTCAGCTGGAAGGGATAACTGGTTGGGGTGAAAGAGGAAAGAGCCAGGCAGTTGGTGTTGCTCAGGGAGTGAGGCCTCTAGACCCCAGCCAGAGAGGGTTCAAAGCCCGGTTCTACTTCTGACCACCTGTGTCAATTTGAGCAAGTCATTTGTTGTTATTGACCCTGAGTTTCTTCTTTTGTAAAATGGGGATAATTATGTGGTTTCCAAGGCTGTAGGAAGGAATAAAGATGACATACACCAAGCTTCAGGTACAGGCCTTGGCATGGGCCGCCTTTCCCTCTTCATCAAAGCTTCCGAACAAGGACTTTCAGCTTTCTCTTGTAAGTCTCAGCAATGGTCAGCTTTTTTTTTTTTTTTTGAGACGGAGTCTTGCTCTGTCGCCCAGACTGGAGTGCAGTGGTGTGATCTTGGCTCACTGTAAGCTCCGCCTCCCGGGTTCACGCCATTCTCCTGCCTCAGCCTCCCCAGCAGCTGGGACTACAGGCACCTGCCACCACGCCCGGCTAATGTTTTTGTATTTTTAGTAGAGATGGGGTTTCACCGTGTTAGCCAGGATGGTCTCGATCTCCTGACCTCGTGACCCGCCTGCCTCGGCCTCCCAAAGTGCTGGAATTACAGGCATGAGCCACCGTGCCCGGCCAGCTGCAATGGTCAGCTTTACACATGCCCCTTCCTTAATTTTCTTTCAGTGACAGAGAACAGCAGTCTGAGAGGGGAGTCCATCAGGGCTAGAAGCAAGCTGCTCCACCCAGGCCAATTTCAACTGGAAAATGAGACCTTAGATAGGAGGGAGGAAAAATTATTAAAGGATTAAATCCAGAATAATCCTATAAGCCCCAGGAGGCTCAGAAAGCAATAAGCCACAGACTTAAAATCTGGTCTATGAAGTCACGGGGGTGGAATCAGCATCCGAAGGCAGGGAGCGGGTTTCAAGTGTACACTGTGGTCAGATCTTTGCTAAAATATGGCCTCATTTTGGCCACTTGGACAGCGTTTTGTTGGTTTTTTTTCCCCCTCATCTTGTCATGGTTTTTAATAACAATGAGCGAGCTGCAGGAGTGGGGGAACTCTTGCTAAAATTCCATAAAAATAAAAATTTAATTAAAATACACAAGTCGTGAAATTCCATCCTTGTAAAGTGAGACATCTCAGAACTCTGCCCTGAGCCGATCTCGGTCCCTGGGGTCCCAGGTTCACGCTGGCTCCTCCTTGGGCCCTGTTAGAGAAGACACAGCCTCATCCAGGATCCTTGTTGCCAGCAAAGGGAGGAGGCGTCTTCCGATTCCTCCTCCAAACTCTCTCCTGGGTGAAAGAGATCCCCAGTGTCCTGCCCTTAAAGGCCAGGAGGGTCACAAGGCTGGGATGAAGGGTATTTCATGGGACTGGAGGCAGGCCCCTGCATGTGAGCTGTGGGAGGGACTGAGCACCTAGCCTTTTGGGGAGAAAGTGTGGTTTTCACCTTTTCCTAGGCAGAAGGAGGGGCATAGACCTGGCCACTGAAGCCCAGGAGTCTTGCATTCCAGTCTCAATGACATCACAATTAGCCGGGCAACATGAGCAACTCACTTCTTTGTGGGCCTCAGTTTCTCCATCTGTAAGATGGGTTGATTAGGCTAGACCAGGGATTTTCCAAGGTGTACAATGAGGAGTTTTAAGGATTTCACAAAACCCTCCTTAGCACCTCTCAGGAGTCTTGGAGGGTCAAGGCTCTCCTCCTCCTGCCCCCTTCCCTGCCTCCTTTTGTCTGTTTCACAGATTGGGCTTTCCTGTAAGATTTTGTTTGAACAAAGGGTGCTGAGGCTGAAAATGCTTGAACACCTCCGAGGATCCTTCTGGCTGGAAGGGTCTGTGATCTGCCCTTTAGTGTCTGGCTCTGCTTCTATCTGGCAGCTGCTTCCTGCGTTAGTGCATGAGGGCCTCGCCCCTCCCACTGCCATCTTTTTTTTGCTCTACTATTCTGAGCCATGGAACTCCAAGAATCTGATGAAAGCTACCAATCCTCTCCCTGGAAAAATATACACAGGAAAATATATATGCATACAGTGAAAATATAACTATTGGAGCATCCAGATCCCTTTTGATCAAGAACCTGTCTTTGTTTGGGAAAATTACTTGACGGGACTATGGGCCCCAGGGCAGGGTATGAAAGGCAGGAGCAGAACCAAGGGAGGACCCTGCTGCTCTGCGTAAGAAAAGGGTTAACTTCACGGATTATCTCACCACCCTGCAGGCACTGCCCTTGCTCTGCTCTGATTGACCTAGACAGAAATCAGCCCTTCTCCATGACATCAATACCAGAAGCTGTGTTGTAGACTTGGCTAAAGGTTTGAGGGCCAGCAAAGCAGAGTAGATTGAACCTCCTTTGTATTTAGTCTTCTGGTAGTGAGTGATTGAATCTCAACTCGAATTTCTTGCAAGAGGCTGGGCGTGATGGCTCACACCTGTATCCCAAGCACTTTGGGAGGCTGAGGTTAGAGGAACACTTGAGCCCAGCAGTTTGAGACCAGCCTGGGCAAGATGGCAAAACTCCATCTCTACAGAAAAACAAATTTAAAAATTAGCAAGGCATGGTGGCATATACTTGTTGTCCCAGCTACTCAGGAGGCTGAGGCAGGAGGATGGCTTGAGCCCGGGAGGTTGGGGCTGCAGCGAGCCATGATTGTGCTTACTGCACTGCAGCTTGGAAGACAGAGTGAAACCCTGTATCTAAAAACAAAAAAACCGGGCCCGGCGCGGTGGCTCACACCTGTGATCCCAGCACTTTGGGAGGCTGAGGAGGGTGCATCACCTGAGGTCAGGAGTTCGAGACCAGCCTGACCAACATGGTGAAACCCCATCTCTACTAAAAATACAAAAATTAGCAGGGCATGATGGCGGGCACCTGTAATGCCAGCTACTCAGGAAGCAGAGGCAGGAGAATTGCTTGAACCTGGGAGGCAGAGGTTGCAGTGAACTGAGATCGCACCATTGCACTCCAGCCTGGGTGACAGAGCAAGACTCTGTCTCAGAAAAAAAAAGAACAAAGAAAGGCAGATGGAATAAGTTGACTCATCTTACTGGGAAGTTGCCAGTGGAGCCAAGATTGTGAGTTGCACAACTCAAAGGGGGCACCATTCACATTCTGGCAGCTCTCACATCTGGCTCAACTGGATCTAGGGACTCAAAGGACACTTCTCTTCTTGTCCCCCTGTCTCTCTTGGCTCAGCTTCTTTTGACCTTGGCTTCAGTCTCTTTCCCCGTAAAGAGGCCTCTTCCCTACAGTTGAGAAGATGGCCCCAATAACTCTAGACCTACTGCACACCAGCCTAGTAACACCTGTGGCTGGGTGGGCTGGGATATCATAGATGGCAGAACTTCCAGAAACATGGAATTGGGGAAAGGCAGTTCTCTGTTTTTACCAGATAGTGAAAGGGACACTAGGCAGGAAAAACAAACAAACACACACACTCACACACACACACACACACACACAAATGTAACATGAACATCTACTCTGTCTTACTGATCCTTGAACATCTAGCCAAATCTGCAACACACTTGTATATGAGTGATTTTTTTTTTTTTCGCAAGGGAGTCATGGAGAAGAGAACAGAACACGAGTAGTACCTGCAAGATGACAAGATGATTCACAGACTGAATTACCTTGGAAGATTGTAGAGCCAGTGATAACCAGGAAGTCATTAGCCAGTTCCCAGAATCCCTGGGGGGCCTGAGAGTGGGGTGCATGTGGGATGGAGTAGATGCTGATTTTATTTGAACTCAAAGGATCAGGTGTGGTGGCTCATGCTTGTAATCCCAGCACTTTGGGAGATCGAGGGGAAAGGATCAATCACTTGAGGCCAGGAGTTTGAGAACAGCCTGGGCAACATAAGGAGACCCCATTTCTATGAAAATTAAAAAAAAAAAAATTAGCCAGGTGTGGTGGCACATGCCTCTAGTCCCAGATATTCAAGAGGCTGAGGCGAGATGATTGCTTGAGCCCAGGAGTTCAAAGCTGCAGTGAGCTATGGTTGCACCACTGCAATCCAGCTTGGGTGACAGAATGAGACCCTTACTTAAAAAAAAAAAAAAAGTTGGATATCTTGGCTGATGTCTGGATTATACACACAAAATACTGCATACAATTCTGGGACTTCAGGATCTCCCAAAACTCATGCAGTGGAGAGCCCCCATTTTGGATCCTATCTCTTTTTTTGGTTCTCACTTTTTTTTAACCACTCTCATCGGTGTACTTCCTCTCACGCCACAGATTCCAGGGCTGAGGCCCCCACCCCTAACACTCAGGCCCCTCTAGCTCTACTCTGAGATGTGATACATACACTCCCTGGGAATTTTCTGGACTGTCCTCAAAGGACCACTGGGCAATCCTGGCATTCTGCATTTGTACCAGTTCTCCTCTCCCTCAGGATGATGCAGCAGTCCCAAGAGAATCAAAAGTCTCCTGCTACCCCCACCCCTCCCGTCCCCACTGCTGAGAACCTGTCCTTCCCGATGATGTCATACCTGGCACATGGGCCTTAGCTAGAACTAGCAGCTGCGGGTCACCCACTGCAGGCCGCTCCTGGCAGGGGAGCAGTAACAACTTGGTCCTGAGCCTGAGCTGCTGCAGGATTTACTACTACCTGCTTTTCTTGGATCTGACAACTACAGAAAGCGTTGGAGAAAGGATTTTGAATTTGTCCCAAGAAAATAATTCAAAAGAAGAAAAGCACTACAGGCAAGAAGGTGTCCACTGGTATGGTAGTGACACTAATCACCAACAACCTAGAAGTCCAGTAATGAGAAGAACCAACATTTGCCCTGCATTTCACATTACTCCGCCTGCCTCCTCACGATTACCCTGTGAGCTGGGTAGGCACTTGGTCCAAGTTTACACAATGAGTGAGTAGCCGAGCTAGACTTTAAGCCTGAGCTCTCTCAACTACGCCACTATGATGGTATTCTCTCCCTCTGATTTAACCACTTGTTTTATGCAAGTTAAGTTAGTTACAAATGCCTTCTACTGATTGCTGGCTTACTCTGTGCAGGGCATTGTACCAGATGTGCCACAGACGGGCTCTCATCAAGTCTTTCTCCAAACCCTGTGAGATGGATATTATTTTAAAGATGAAGAAACTGAGGCTCAGAGTGGATAAATTATTTGCCCAGATCACAAATGTGTTTTAGGTTTTGTCTGATTATTATAACTATCACAATGATGAATTACATTTTGATTCCAGCTTTTTTTTTCTTTTCTTTTCTTTTTTTTTTGAGACGGAGTCTCACTCTGTTGCCCAGACTGGAGTGCAGTGGCACGATCTTGGCTCACTGCAAGCTCTGCCTCCCGGGTTCATGCCATTCTCCTGCCTCAGCCTCCCAATTTTTTATATTTTTAGTGGAGACGGGGTTTCACCGTGTTAGCCAGGATGGTCTCAATCTCCTGACCTCGTGATCTGCCCGCCTCAGCCTCCCAAAGTGCTGGGATTACAGGCGTGAGCCACCGCGCTGGGCCCTCTTCTTTTTTTTTTTGATACAGAGTTTTGCTCTTGTTGCCCAGGCTGTAGTACAATGGCATGATCTCGGTTCACCACAACCTCTGCCTCCCGGATTCAAGCGATTCTCCTGCCTCAGCTTCCCAAGTAGCTGGGATTACAGGCATGCGCCATCACGCCCAGCTAATTTTGTATGTTTAGTAGAGATGAAGTTTCTCCATGTTGGTCAGGCTGGTCTCAAACTCCAGACCTCAGGTGATCCACCCGCCTCAGCCCCTCAAAGTGCTGGGATTACAGGCATGAGCCACTGCACCCCACCTCCAGCTTTTTCCCTTCCCTTCCCTTCCCTTCCCTTCCCTTCCCTTCCCTTCCCTTCCCTTCCCTCCCTTCCCCTCCCCTCCCCTCCCCTCCCCTCCCCTCCCCTCCCCTCCCCTCCCCTCCCCTCCCCTCCCCTCCCCTCCCTTCCCTTCCCTTCCCTTCCCTTCCTTTCCTTTCTTTTCTGTTTTTGAGATGGAGTCTCACTCTGTCGCCCAGGCTGGAGTGCAGTGTTGTGATCTTGGCTCACTACAACCTCTGACTCCCAGGTTCAAGTGATTCTCCTGCCTCAGCCTTCCAAGTAGCTGGGATTACAGGCACGCGCCACCATGCTCAGCTAATTTTTGTATTTTTAGTAGAGACCAGGTTTCGCCATGTTGGTCAGGCTGGTCTTGAACTCCTGACCTCAAGTGATCTGCCCCCTTGACCTCCCAAAGTGCTAGGATTACAGGTGTGAGCCACTGCACCTGGCTGGCTTTTTTCTTTTTAAAAATTATTTCCTTGGAATAAATGAAAATTATTTCTCCTCTCTGAGCCTCAGTCTATCTGCAAATAGTGACTACTCTGTAGGGTTATAGGAGAATGAGGTGAGGTGTCCTATGTAAAAGGACCAGGCAAAGATTGGCATTTAATGAGTCTCCATCAGTGTGGGGTTCCTGCCTTCCTTTTGGGACCCTTGAGAGCAGCTTCTGTATTTGCTCATCATTTTAGTCAACAAGATGGTTCAGGGCTGGGTGGATGCTTGACCACATATGCAGATGGCTCAGAGCTGGGAGAGTAAATGAATACAGCAAATGCAAAATAAAGTCTGCAGGGTCCTCACTTGGCCAGGGCAGGCAGAATGACTGTTTTCTAGAGCTACTGTAAAGTCCTACATTTGGGTTTTGAAAATCAGTGTCTCCGCTGGGCAAGGTGGCTCACACCTGTAATCCCAACATTTTGGGAGGCCAAAGCAGGAGGATCACTTGAGGCCAAGAGTTTGAGACCAGCCTGGCCAACATGGTGAAACCCTGTCTCTACTAAAAATACAAAAATTAGCTAGGTATGGTGGTGCACACCTGTAGTCCCAGCTACTGGGGAGGCTGAGGCAGGAGGATTGCTTGAACCTGGGAGGCGGAGGTTGCAGTGAGCCGAGATGGCGCCACTGCACTCCAGCCTGGGTAACAGAGAGAGACTCTGTCTAAAAAAAAAAAAAAGAAAAAAAAATCAGTGGCACAATTATGCAATGGTGGGTGACTAGGCTTTCCTTACAGTTCATGGGGCATAGACCTAGGGGTTTTAGTCAACCACAAGATCAAAAGAAAATTGTCTGTGAGATACATCCGTTAAAATACTAATGGCATCTTGGGCAGGAATCAGGGACAGTGTCCATCACACAGGGGGAAACAGTCCCACTGCACAACCACATCTAGAGTGTTCTGACCCATTCTAGGACCCATATTTTAGGAAGGACACTGATATATTGGAGTATATACAGAGAAAGGATGGGGAAGGTGACAGAGCAGGAGCACCGTCATCTCAGACAGACACCGTCACTTTAAGTTCCAGCTGCCTTTCTAGCCTCATGCATTTCAGGGAAATCACTTCTTTTCTAACTACAAACAGCCAGAAAGAGCAGACAGTAAAACAGATAAGACAGCTTGGGCACAAAGGGAGGTGGGGGAAAGTCTCTTGGGTAACTGCCAAACTTTCCCCTCATACAATAAGGCCCCAGTAAAATAGTGGGCCTTAATAAGCACATTCCTTTCCCTTCAGGTGCACTAAGACAGGGAAGCTAAAAGCAGACTCAGGGGTATGCCTGCAGCTGCACAAAGATGTATGGGAACAGACACACAACTCTCCCTCCCAGATAAGCACAACAACAAGACACAGAAGCATTCCAAGCCTCTGATAAACTCTCCCACCCTGAATCCTTAAAAACTCTTAGTCTGTAAGAGAGTGTGCCTCCCACCTAACTCAGCCAGAAGCTCCTCTCATGTTTGTTTTCTCTAAAATAAACCTGTCTTGACTGGTGAGCCACCTTTCATGTTTCCTTCCTCTTTCTTTAATTCTTACAGAAGGGTCTGGAAATAAATGGAGGCTGAAGGAACTGAGATGCTGAGCTGTGTATTAGTTATTAATTGCTGTGTAACAGGTTATCCCCAAACTTGCTGGCTTAAGAAACCATACACGTATTATCTCACAGTGCCTGTGGGTCAGGAATCTGGTATGAGTGCTCTGCTCAGGGTCTCACAAGGCTGCAGTCAGGGCTTTGGTCAGGGCTGTGGTTCAGGGGAGGAGGATTCGCTTCAAAGCTCATTCTCATGGCTGTTGACCAGAGACATTAGTTCCTGCCCTGTGCTAGGCAGCTCGACATGACAGTTGGCTTCCCCCAGAGTGACGGCTCTGAGGGACAGGAAGAAAGAGCAAGCAAGATGGAAGTCACAGACTTTTGGTCACCTAATCTTGGAAGTGACAGCCCACCACTCTTACCCTGTTCTGTTTGTCACTATGTCCAGCTGACACTCAAGAGGAGGGGGTACGAGAGGTGGGGCTCCTTGGAAGCCACCTTAGAGGCTGCCTACCACAGGGGAGGAGGAGGGAATACGAGGTGGGAGGGGAGGACAGAGGACAGACATGCTCTTTATTAAGAAGGGGCGGCTGTTGAATTGCATGTGGATTGTGGACATAGAGGGGAGAACTCATGAGTGAGAAATGGCAGGGAGGCCTATTCAGCTGGTGTGTCAGTTAGAACTGCCCAATAATGGAAAGGACTGCCTAGGTAGATAGTGAGCTCCCTGTCACTGGTTGTATCCAAGCAGAAGCTGATGCCCTGTCAGGGAAGTGGTAGAGAAGGTTCTGCTTTGGGGGGCAGGCTGTACTGTCAGGCAAGCCTCTGATTTTCTGCCGTTTGAACTTTCAGGTATTTGGAATTTAGGAATGATTAGTGAAGCAATCTCTACCTAATCATAGCAGAATCTACTTAAATAGTAAGCTCTTTCACTTTTTGAAAGTAGGATTTTCTACAACGTGGTAGCAAGTGGGTGGGACTATCTTTTGAGCCTCTGTAATAGGCCAAGTACTGTATCACTTACTCCTGCTAACAACTCTCCCATCTCACAGTCAAGCTCCTAGGATTAATATGGTGGCTCCAGAGTGATGGGGACCCAGGCTCCTTCTTTCTTTTGCTCAGCCAGCCTTAGAGCATTGCCTTTGTCTGCATGGCCCAAGACAGCTCTCCACCACTTCTGTATTCCCAAGCAAGGATAAAAGAAGGGTGTAGGAAAAGGTCTGACTATTTTTTATATTTGTCTGCGGACAGTTTTTTGTTTTTTTTGTTTTTTCTGAGATGGAGTCTCACTCTGTCACCCAGGCTAGAGTGCAGTGGCACGATCTCGGCTCACCGCAACCTCCACCCCCTGAGTTCAAGCGATTCTCCTGCCTCAGCCTCCTGAGTAATTGGGATTACAGGCACCTGCCACAGCGCCTGGCTAATTTTTTCGTATTTTTAGTAGAGACAGGGTTTCACCATCTTGGCCAGGCTGGTCTTGAACTCCTGACCTCGTGATCCACTCACCTCGGCCTCCCAAAGTGCTGGGATTACAGGCGTGAGCCACCACGCTCGGCGACTGCTGACAGCTTTTAAGCCCTACCCTCTCTCTTCACTTTGTGCCCATGTCTGGCTAGCTGAAAAAGCCCAGGAAAGTTAGCATGGTGGTACACTGGAGGCTGAGGATTGCTTGAGCCAAGGAGTTCGAATCCAGCCTGGGCAACATAGGGAGACCCAATCACAAAACAAAGAAATCCCGGCCAGGCACTGTGGCTCACACCTGTAATTCCAGCACTTTGGGAGGCCGAGGTGGGCGGATCACAAGCTCGTGAGATTGAGACCATCCTGGCCAACATGGTGAAACCCCGTCTCTACTAAAAATACAAAAATTAGCTGGGCATGGTGGCGCGTGCGTGTAGTCCCAGCTATTCAGGAGGCTGAGGCAGGAGAATTGCTTGAATCTGGGAGGCGGAGGTTGCAGTGAGCTGAGATCATGCCACGCACTCCAGCCTTGGCGACAGAGCGAGACTCTGTCTCAAAAAAAAAAAAAAAAAGCAAATCCCAGGAGTTCCCTTCTTTGGTGTCAGCAGGAAGTTCAAGTCACAAACTTGATCCCTCACGCCAGCCCCACCCCCACCCCAATTTTATATTCACCATAAAAATGCAGGACAGGTGAGCCCCCAAATTGGGGCTTAGACCAGGCGGGTGCTTAGCTTCACCCAAGAAAGAATTCAAGGGTGAGCCAGTGGTGTAGGATAGCAACTTTTTAAAATTTTTTTTATTTTTGAGACGGAGTCTTGCTCTGTCATCCAGGCTGGCATGCAATGGCGCAATCTCAGCTCACTGCAACCTCTGCCTCCTGGGTTTAAGCAATTCTCCTGCCTCAGCCTCCCGAGTAGCTGGGACTACAGGTGCACGCCACTATGCCCGGCTAATTTTTTGTATAATATATATGTATATATTTTGGGTCGGGCACGGTGGCTCACACCTATAATCCCAGCACTTTGGGAGGCTGAGGTGGGCGGATCACCTGAGGTCAGGAGTTCAAAACCAGCCTGACCAACATGGTGAAACCCCATCTCTACTAAAAATACAAAAAAAAAATTAACCAGATGTGATGGCGCATGCCTGTAATCCTGGCTACTTGGGAAGTTGAGGCAGGAGAATCGCTTGAACCCAGGAGGCAGAGGTTGCAGTGAGCTGAGATCGTGCCATTGCTCTCCAGCCTGGGCAATAAGAATGAAACTCTTTCTCAAAAACAAAAAACAAACAAACAAACTATATATATATATTGGAGACAGAGTTTCGCTCTTGTTGCCCAGGCTGGAGTGCAATGGCGCGATCTCGGCTCACTGAAACCTCTGCCTCCTGGGTTCAAACTATTCTCCTGCCTCAGCCTCCAGAGTAGCTGGGATTACAGGTGTGTGCCACCACACCTGGCTAAAATTTTTTTTTTTTTTTTTTGAAATGAAATCTCGCTCTATGGCCGAGGCTGGAGTGCAGTGGTGTGATCTCGGCTCACTGCAAGCTCCGCCTCCCGGGTTCACGTCATTCTCCTGCCTCAGCCTCCCGAGTAGCTGGGACCACAGGCGCCCACCACCACACCAGACTAATTTTTTTTTTTTTGTATTTTTAATAGAGACAGGGTTTCACCATATTAGTCAGGATGGTCTCAATCTCCTGACCTCGTGATCCGCCCGCCTCGGCCTCCCAAAGTGCTGGGATTACAGGTGTCAGCCACCGCACCCGGCCAATTTTGTATTTTTAATAGAGACGGGGTTTCTCCATGCTGGTCAGGCTGGTTTTGAACCCCCAGTCTCAGGGGATCCACCCATCTCGGCCTCCCAAAGTGCTGGGATTACAGGCATGAGCCACCGTGCCAGACCAATTTTTTGTATTTTTAGTAGAGATAGGGTTTCACCATGTTGGCCAGGCTGGTCTCGAACTCCTGACCTCAGGTGATCCACCCACCTCGGCCTCCCAAAGTGCTGAGATTTACAGGCATGAGCCACCACACCCAGCCTTGGATAGCAACTTTTATTGAAGTGGTGGTGTACAGCAGCAGCAGAGAGACTGCTCCTTGCGGAGTATGGCTACCTCATAGGCAGTGTGCCCAGAGTGGCAGCTCAGAGGCAGTTCTGCAGTCATATTTATACCCACCTTAGTCATATGCAAATTAAGGGGCAGAGTATGTATGCAGAAATTTCTGAAAAATGGGTGGTAACTTCTAAGTTGTCAGGTTGTTACCATGGAAAGGGACAGTAACTTCTGGGTGTTGCCATGGCAATGGCAAAGTAACATGGCACAGTGGAGGCCATGTCTTAAAGAGAGGTGCTTTCCCCTCCTTCCCTGTTTTAGCTATTACTCAGTCTGATTCATTGCTGAGCCCCATCTCTGGAGTCAAGTCCCACCTCCTACCTCAACATGACCAAATCTAACTGCAAGCAAGGCTGGGAAATATAGTCTCTCTTGGGCAGCCATATGCTCAGCTGAAATTCTAGTCTGTCGTTAATGGAAGAAGAGGAGGATGGATATTTGGGGCCACATCACCTTTCTGTTGAGGCAGAAACTAAGACACAGAAAGGCTAAATAGGCCGGGCACAGTGGCTCACACCTGTAATCCCAGCACTTTGGGAGGTGGAAGTGGGCAGATCACTTGAAGCCAGGAGTTCAAGACCAGCCCAGCCAACATGGTGAAACCCCATCTCTATAAAAATACAAAAATTAGCCAGGTGTGGTGGTGTGCACCTGTAGTCCCAGCTACTCAGGAGGCTGAGGAACAAGAATTTCTTGAACCTGGGAGGTGGAGGTTGCAGTGAGCTGAGATCACGCCAGCCTGGGTGGCAGAGCAAGACTCTGTCTCAAAAAAAAAAAGAAAACAAAACAAAAGAAAAAGCCTGGTGCAGTGGCTCAGGCCGTAATCCCAGCACTTTAGGAGGCCAAGGATCAGCTGAGATCAGGAGTTTGAGACCAGCCTGGCCTGCATGGTGAAACCCCATCTCTACTAAAAATACAAAAAAAGGTAGCCAGGCGTGGTGGCGCACGCCTGCAGTCCCAGCTACTCAGGAGGCTGAGGTAGAAGAATCACTTGAACCCGGGAGGCAGAGGTTACAGTGAGCTGAGATCGTGCCACTGCACTCTAGCCTGGGTGACAGAGTGAGACTGTGTCTCAAAAAAAAAAAAAAAAAAAAGGCTAAATGAATTGCCCAAGGCCACAGAGTCAGAACTCCATGCCATCAGTCCTGGTGCCATTGCAGAGAGAAGTGCCACTGTTACCAAAACACTAGGCATTTGGTCTAGGTCCTGCTGTTCGCCACATAGAAAGCTAATGATGACTGAGATGACAAATATTGTCAAGGAAGAAGACTGTAATCGGGTCCTACAGCTGAGAAGTTGGGAGCTCAGTCTCAAATCCATCTCCCCAGTGGACTAAAACTAGGGGTTTATATAGCAGGGAAGAAATGTAACAATGTTCAAGATAACAGGAACTAGGGAGGGGCAAGGAAGCAATCATAATGAATAAGGAATGGGCATCTATCTCAATGTCCGGATGTGGCGATCTGGTGAGTTTCAGTTCTTTGATACTTTTTTTTTTTTTTTTTAGAGGCCTGAACTTCTTTTCCTGAGGAAGGAACTCAGATAAAAACAAATGTAAGTTTCAAGCTTTAAGACCAGAAGGGGCAATATCTATGTTTATCCAAAAAAACTGTCTGTTTATTGGGTAGGTCTCACCACTTTGTCTCCTGAATGTCTTCCCGAGGAGACTCTGATCTCCTTGAGGGCAGGGCATGTGCCTTTCCTGTCTGGAAGGCACCTAGTAAATGCCCAATAAGCATTGGTTGTTATTGTGAAAGAGCAGTAACTGATTCACAGCTGCTTCCATAGCACTTCCTGGACTCCAGCACTCACTCCGGACCAGGCTCAAGTTTCTGGATGGGTAGGAGGGCTGGCTGGGAACAAAAGAAAACAAAGGAAAGCTGATTTGGTTCTTTGTTCTGTGTAGCCCTGTGCTAAGCTTCCCCGTCCTCCAGCAGCTTGCACAGACCCTGGTTCCAGCACTTGGAGTTTTACTGCAATAATGCTCCATTATTGCTGTGTTAGAGTGTTATTATGTATTTCCATGTCTGTCCCTCCCCCTAGACTGGAAATGCCTTAAGGTTTCTTTAGTCCCAGGACCTAGATCAGTGCCTGGCATATAACAGGTGTCTTGTAAATGACCGTTGACTTCATGAGTGGGTTTTATGTATTGTATTGTACTGTAGTGTATTCTAGAGTATTGTATTCTAGAATATTGTATATGTTTGAGACAGTCTCACTCTGTCACCCAGGCTGGAGTGCAGTGGCATGATCTGAGCTCACTGCAACCTCCACCTCCCAGGTTTAAGTGATTCTTGTGCCTCAGCTTCCCAACATAGCTGGGATTACAGGCGTGCACCACCACACCCAGCTAATTTTTGTAAGTTTAGTAGAGATGGGGTTTCACCATGTTGGCCAGGCTGGACTTGAACTCCTGGCGTCAAGCAATCTGTCCGCCTCAGCCTCCCAAAGTGCTGGGATTACAGGCATGAGCCACCACGCCCAGCCAAATTTTTGCATTTTTATAGAGACGGGGTTTTGCCATGTTGGCCAGACAGGTCTTGAACTCCTGGCCTGAAATTATCCACCTGCCTCGGCTTCCCAAAGTGCTGTGATTACAGGCATGAGCCACTGCACCTGGCCTGCATGAGTGAAGAACTGAAAAAGGAGGACAGAAGGAAGGTTGGGGACAGGATCGAGGTTTAGCAGGGTGTCAGAACCACCGTACTAGCCAGTTTTACTGCAATAATGCTCCATGACAAGCCCTCCCAGAACACTGGCTTACATCAACCAGTGTTTATTCACATATTTTCCCCACTCATGAGTCTGTGAGTGGGGAGTCGCCACTCATAAGGCTGGCTCTGCTGGGGCTGAGCTATACTTGGCTCTGGGCTTAACCTTAGGTATGCTCCGTGTGTTTCTTCCCTTTCTTGGGCAAGTTGCTGTTTGGCATGTGCCCTTCTCATGGTGAATGGCAGGAGTGGAAACATGGTGCCACTTCAGGCTTTACCTTGGAACTGGCATGCTGTTGCTTCTCACATCCCATTGGCCCAAACTGGTCACATGGCCAAGCCCAATGCTGCTGGGTAGGGAAATATATTCCACCCACTCTCCTGCTCCAAGGTCACAAGGTAAGTCACATGAAGAGCTGAAGAACAATCTACCACAGCTTCCCTGAAACAAAACCCAGAACCTCTTATGTTCCTCCAGTGAGAAACTCTAGAAGAGTGGCTGCTGGTCCCTGAGTGCCACTTGTGGTCCTGATAGCCCTTTCCTCCTGGGTTTATGGCAGAAAGAGACAATTGTCCCCATTGCCCATTGCCCCTTTCTTTCTTTTAGTAATAGAACACTCCAGGTTTTAGTTAGGCATGTGGTGCCCACTAGGGGCCACATTTCCCAGCCTCCTTTGCAGCTAGATGTGATCATGTGACTAAGCTGTGGCCAATGGGATGATGCACAAATGCCACAGGCACCTCCTGATGACAGTTGGTATGAGGAAGCTGCATGTCCTCCCTTCCTCTGTCCTCCTTGCCTTGGGCTGGAATGTGGGCTCACATGGATGGTGAGGTAGCTTCAGCCATGAAGACAAGGACAACACTCCAGGATGACGGAGTAACACAGCAGAAGGAATCTGGGTGTTCACACAAGCTCCTGGTGTTTGCCCTGGTTGCCTGCCCAACCCTGGTCCCTAAAGTGAGAGAAAAATAAAATTCTCTTCTGTGTTATATTTTTGTTTCTTCCAGCATCTTAGCCTGTATCTCAACTCACATAAAGTCCCTCACTTGTCATCCCTTTGCTGCCCCTGCTCTGGCACCTAAACACCCCTTGCCTACCTTTTATCTCCCATTCACCAACGTGTGGACCCAAATCCCTTTTCTTGATTTTCCTTAGCAAAATGGAGACAGGATGGAGTTTTTAAAAATCGTAAACTACAAAGAGTAGTCAACGGCAAAATAGAACCCAAGAAATGAAGCAGAAAGCAATCAAGTTTCCATCACAGAGATACCTCGCCCCATCATGGCCATTACCCAGGGCAGTGTGATTGGGCTTTGCCCAGGGGGCTGGAAATTTAGAGGATATGGAATTTAAAACAATAATTGCGGAAAGTGATGAAAGTGAAACTGTTGTGACATTTTTAACATTTTGACAGCACATGCACCCCTGCATGACACAGAAACAAAGGGATTTGGCCCTTCCATAGGAAGCTTCCAGAAGGCCTGTGGTTAATAACACCTCCTTCATGATTCCTAGATGGAAAACCAAAGTTGGTTTGAGGGTGTGTTTCAGACCCTTGCCTGAGGCAGCCGAAGTGCCAGTTAGAGCTCTGTGTCCTACCAAAGGTGACTCACCCCATGGACTCTGCACCTTTTCACTCTCACCTTTCAGAATTTCCAACTATTCCGATTTCATGGCCACTTTTATGGAGCTTCTTGATCCGCAAACTTCAGGCTACTTCCCTCCAACCCACATCATCTTATCTCCTGCCCTCTCTGACCTGGGCTCCTGGCCATGACATTTCTTTCTTGGCCAAGACCAGGAAAGTTCCCCCTAACTCTCTGGAACCCTTCTTCATCATGCCAGGTTCCATTCACAGTGACTTGTGTCATCCCTAGACCATTGCCAGGAATCTGATGATGAGTCCAAGAAATAACCTGTGACCCATATTTTCCAGAGTCCTGCAGGAATTTGACATTTGTAGATCTCAAAGTCTCACAATTGCTTTTTTTTTTTTTTTTTTTGTCTTTTTTAGATGGTCTTGCTCTTGCTCTGTCGCCCAGGCTGGAGTGCAGTGGTGCAAACTTGGTTTACTGCAGTCTTAAGTCTTAACCTCCTGTGCTCAAGTGATCCTCCTGCCCCAGCCTCCCAAAGTGCTGGGATTACATGCATGAGCCCCCATGCCCAGCCCAACAATTTCTTAATTATACTATAGCCTTTGCTTCCACAGGAAGGAAGGGAGGAAGAAATTATTTTTTTTTCCGAGACGGAGTCTCGCTGTGTCGCCCAGGCTGGAGTGCAGTGGCGTGATCTCGGCTCACTGCAAGCTCCACCTCCCGGGTTCCCACCATTCTCCTGCCTCAGCCTCCTGAGTAGCTGGGACTACAGGCACCTGCCACCGTGCCCGGCTCATTTTTTTGTATTTTTAGTAGAGACCGGGTTTTACCGTGTTAGCCAGGATGGTGTCGATCTCCTGACCTCCTGATCTGCCCGCTTCGGCCTCCCAAAGTGCTGGCATTACAGGCGTGAGCCACCGCGCCCGGCCGGGAGGAAGAAATATTAAGGGAACATCTAGTATGTGCTAGATATTTTCCTATTTTCTTTCTCATCTAGCTGCAAGATCATATGATAACATGAGACAGCAGAGAGGAGAAGACCCCTGTCTCACAGCCAGTAAGTGGTAGGGCTGAGGTTTGAACTCGGGTTTCTCCAACTCCAAAGCCTGGGCTCTTTCCTTCATGCAGTCTCCACACAAGAACTTGCACAGGTGCTCAAGGGTGCTGAGGAGGAGTGTTTGGTTGAAGATGCAAGAAGAGAGAGAGATTAAATGGGAGTGGGCTTAGATGAGGGAGGAAGAAGATGATGGGGAAGGAAGGTGGCAGACGGACTGAGTGATGGAGAAGGGAGGTGGGGGAGGGAAGGGTCACAGGGTTCTGCTTTGACAGGGATTTGGGATCCCAAGAATGGAGCTTTTTTTCCACACTGTGCCTTGCTGGAATCACCTCACGTCCCCACATGCGATGAGCTCATCCTTCTCTTGGCACCACCTGCCTCTCATCTTGGCCCTGGCTGGGACGCACCAACGTTTCTGCAGGAGGAATAAAGCAATAACAGGAATCTCATTTTTCTCCTTAAAATAATATCTCTCTGTTCTGCCAGCAAGCAGGGAGCTACTCCTGCCAGCACTCCAGTGGGAAGCCTGTTCCCAATCCGATAGGATTAGTCTGATACTGGCTTCCCAGGAGCCCCCAGTAGCCAAGGCAGCCCTCAGGTGACCTTGAGCTCCTGGCTACAGATCCCCTGATGTCCTTCTCAGCCCCCAGATAGTCACTCACCTCCATGCCTCCATCCCAGGCTCTCCAGGGCAAAGGGATGCTATTCTCACTAGTCCCAGGCTCCCCTAGCTGGTAGCTCCTTCACCATCTCTCTAGGACCTAACCAATTTCCTACAAGGAAAGGATCACTGGAAAAACCATTTTGAACAGGAAGAATTTAATTTTTTTGCAACAGGCTTTCCCCTCTTTAAAGAAAAGAAAGAAAAAAGAGTCCTCATTTACCTAAAGGTCTGAGTGCCTGGAAATTTCTTCCCTGTGTGCACATTACCCACTTCCTGGCTGCAGGGATGGAAGGACTCGGAGAATTCGAAGGATATTAAACAGATTCATAATGGACTCAGCAGTATAAACATGTCTCAAGTGCAGACAGAAATGCCACAAGCTCCTACTTGGTTTAATGAAAACATACACCAGTTGTGTCTGTGTTCCCATTTTACAAATAAACAAGGTGGGGAGATGGACTCGGAAATTGTCCCTGGGGAGCCAGGTGCCTCTGTTCATTGCAATTTCAATGGCTTCTCCTGCCCACAAACAACTCGGAAAAGAACGCTTAATGTAGCCTTGCAGATCAGTGCCAAAAGGCACAGCAAATGGGAGACGCCTGGCCAAATGGTCCGCAGCCATTCCTGTTCTTTGTGGTGATGCTCCGCGTGGCTGGGGGCTCAGGGGCCCCGAAGACGGTGTTACCAACCGAACAGCTCCAGGCAGCAGGATGTACACAGGACGGTGCATTGGGAGGCCTGGGTTCAAATCCAGCTTCTGTTCCCACTGCCAGCAGGCTATGCCATCCCAGGCACCTGACTCCACCCCTCTGCCTCCAGCCAGGTTTGCCTCATCTGTGAAACGGGGTAACAATCCCAGACCTGTGTCGCCGCATGATCGCAAGGGCTCTCTGAGACAAGGTGGGCCAATGTCCTGGGTTAAGATGTAAATGACTTCAGGAATGGCCATTTTTCTCATTTTAATTCAAAATCAGTATTTCCTATTACTGGTTCTTTCAAATCTAGAGCTGGAGGGACTGTGTCACAGTCAGAAAGTCTAAACAAGTCGAGGCAGGATCATTGACTCAAAGGCCAGCATGACTAATTTGGCCCCATAGCTAGTTAGTTCGGTGCTAGGAACATCCACCAAACCAGTGAGCTGGCTGGGTTGACCCGTGGGTTTGGTCAAAACGGCTGCCTGGTTGTTCCAGCAGGGGCACGGCCCACATCTGGACAGGGAAGGAAGATAGATGTGGACATTGGAGCCAGCATGCCTGGGTGTTGCTGTGTGACATGAGGCAAATTCTTGAACCCTCCTGTGTCCTGGGCTCCTCATTTGCCAAATAGGGACTAATAGAAGGCCCTCAAAGGAGACTTGGAGGATGAAATGGTGGAGTTGTGTGAAGCGCCCTGGACAGTACCAGCCCCCAGCAAGTGCTCTGCAAGTGTTAGGTAATATTTGTGTCAGGGGAACTCTAGGCATTAACAGCAAGATGTTTCTAAAGAATAAAAGAAATTCTCAGATAAGGAAACCGAGGCTCCTAAGTGGGGCACGATTTGAGGAAGTTCACACAAGTTCAACTCGCATTCAACTGACATTTTCCAGGCACCGTGATCATAGTAATCATCGCATGGTTAACATTCAGGGATCCCTTTCTCCATTCCAGGAAGAGTGCAAAAAATATCTTGTGCTTTAAAGAATCAAATTCTCACCTCTACTCTGTAGGGAAAACACCATTATGCCCATTTTACAGTTAAGGATATTGAGGCCCAGAGAGGGAAAGGACTTTTCCTGACCTCAGGCAGCTGGTAGCTGGGATTAGCCCATTTTTCTTCCCCAGAATGCTCGCTACCTCTTTGGCTAGGCTTGGGCACCTGGTTCTTTATTCTTGGCCCAGACTCCAGTGCTCCCTGCTTCACTCCCTGTGGCTTCTTCCTCTGTACTTCAGGCTTCCCAGGGCCTGGGTGTGCAGTCTCACCCAGCGTGGGGACATGGGACAGGACAACTTTGAGCTCAGCCTGGGGCCTGGATCTGTGTCCAGGTGGGCGTCACTGTGTCTCCCCTAATCTCCTTGTCCAGCACTACATTTTTCATTGTGCTTGGTGAGTGCTTGCAGCATTTTTCCCCCGCAGGTTTTTGGCCATGCTCATGTCCAAGGCTCTAAGGATTCTCTGTTCTCAGATAATAAATAACAAGTTTCTAAGTCTTCCAGAGAGGTGGGAAGGGAGATGCTCAGCAGCTCCAAGGCCTGAAGAGGCCTTGGACCTAACCCAAGAGTTCCTGGCATCCTGGTTCATCTGTCCCCAAAGATACCTACTTTCCCACCTCTCTGGCTGGTGTGTACATTATCCCCAAATTCTTCCCAAGGAAAATAAAAAACAAGAGTGGAGAATCAGAGAGAGAGAGAGAGGGGAAAAAAATACCAAACCCTTGGGAAGAGAATAATTATTCCTCTTACTCATCATCACTTTATAGTGTAGAGCAGAACCTACTGTCCTAGACCAGGCAAGAGAGGCCCCTGGCCTGAGTCTTCACTTTATAGCTGCTCTTGCTTTTGCCAGCCACGCCCCTCTCCATGGGGTGAGGAGTCCACAGGGAAGGGATGTGCCCGTCTGGAGCCAGCACCCGCTGATACACCGTGCTGGGTGTGCCTGGACCCTGGAATGTCCTGCCCCAATGGCCCTGAACCCACTTCCAGGATCTGCATGGGCTTCTTCCTGGAATCCATCTTCCCCAGGCCCCCGCCACCCCACCCCCAGTGTGTGCACCTCTGGGCTGAGGGGTGTGTGTGTGTGTGTGTGTGTGTGTTAGACATTAGGGCTAAGGCATCCTCATGCATCTGCCTGAAGCCCTTGCTGTGCAGGACGGAGCTGGCAGGAGGAAGGGAAGGGAGAATGGGCCATGAGTAAGGGCCAAAGGCTGGCTTCTCCCCATGCTGGGGTGTTCTACATTGAATTCCAAAGAGTCCAGGGACTCCAAATTCAAACCTGGCCTTCCAGGGTGTTATGACAGAATATTTGTGAGAGTTGGAGGATAAAACATTTCATTTACGAGTTTACTAAAGTTGATTTTTTTTTAGCTCTTTAAGTATTTAGACATATGTAGCTGAACTTCATCTACACTCTTGCCCCAGGCCCTGCAATTGTTAGGAGTTGGTCTGGTTTCCACATCCCTTTTCATCTCCCTACAGACACATCTCCTTCAGTCACCATAGCTGGGTATAATCACTTGCACTTACAAACGAAGAAGGCTCTGAGGCTCCGGGAGGTTAAGAACTTGCCTGACTTGGCCGGGCTCAGTGGCTCACGCCTGTAATCCCAGCACTTTGGGAAGCTGAGGCGGGTGGATCACGAGGTCAGGAGATTGAGACCACAGTGAAACCCTGTCTCTACTAAAAATACAAAAAATTAGCTGGGTGTGGTGGTGGGCGCCTGTAGTCCCAGCTACTCGGGAGGCTGAGGCAGGAGAATGGCGTGAACCCGGGAGGCAGAGCTTACAGTGAGCTGAGATTGCGCCACCGCACTCCAGCCTGGGCGACAGAGCGAGACTCCATCTCAAAAAAAAAAAGAACTTGCCTGACTTTGCATAGGTGGGAAGTGGCATAAACTGGACCCAAAACCAAACCCCCCAACCCCACATCTGGTTCTTCCCACTCCCCTGACCACCCCCATGCCCTGCCTTGGAGACTCTTTCCCCTCTAGGAGGTGGTACCTTTCTCCTCTGTGGGTGCCCAGGCTGAGTGGTCAGTCAAGTGGAAGAGGCACATGCAGGCTTGGGGGCGGATATAATAAAACAGACTCACTCCAGCATGGGGGGAGAGCAACAAGGCTCTTGTTTCTCTTCCTTCTAAGTAGGTGCTCTTCCCCTGTCTTAATTGGGGGCAACCGAGAAGAGCACCTACTTAGAAGAAAGAAAAACGACAGCCTGTTGCTCCTCAGATTGGTGATTCCTGATAGCTCCTGTTTCAAAACCATAACCTCATCAGGCCCCGCTTCCCAAAGCTCCCCTCTCCCAACAAACAGAGTTTTCCATTGTAGAGAAGGGAAGAAATGCGGCTCTAATCCCCTTCGTTCCATGATTTCATCTCCTTCTCTCTCTCTTCCCTGGGGACTCCAGGCAATCACGTGGAGGAGGGAAGGTGGGGCGGGGAGGGGAGCCAACACTGTCTTCGCATGATCTGGGGGGTCATCCAGGGCTTTGGGCAGAAATAGGGGAGCTGGAAGGTATAATCCATCCCCTCCCTAGCAGCCAAGAGAGCTGGAAAACTGGGAGTCTTCCATGAGGCCACCCTCCCTTAACCTCCCCACTGGCCCACATGCCACTGATTTCACCTCCTTGACTCTGTCCCCAGTCATGTATCATGAGTACATGTGTCATGGATCCTCTTGCTGCCTGAGCGCAGACCTCATCATTTCTCACTGAATTTTGCAACAGCTGCCTCAGTGGGCCTCTCAGACTCCAGTGCTGTCTGCCTTGGGCCTGTCCTCCACCCAGCTGTCCCTGTGATTCTCCAGGTCATGCCCCAGGAGCTCTGCAGCACCAGCAGGGTGAAGCCCACACTCCAAATGGTGCCCAAGGCCCTGCCTGTCCTCTCCCCACCTTCTCTCCAACTCAGTCATCACAATCTCCTCTTGCTGCTTTCTTTTTTTTTTGAAACAGGTTCTCACTTTGTCACCCAGGCTGGAGTGCAGTGGTACGATCATGGCTTACTACAGCCTCAACCTCCACATGGAAGGTTCAAGCAATCCTCCATCCTCATCCTCCCACATAGCTGGGATTACAGGTGCAGGCCACCACTCCTGGCTAATTTTTAAAATTTTTTGTAGAAATGGAGTTTTGCAATATTGCCCAGGCTGGTCTTAAACTCCTGGGCTCAAGTGATCCACCCACCTTGGCCTCCCAAAGTGCTGGAATTACAGGCATGAGCCACCGTGCCTGGCCTTCCTTTTGGCATTTTATGATCCGTAACTCCAGATTCCATAAGGTGCTGTTCTGGTCTCTACAAGGCTGCTCCTGTTGCTTTCCCTCCTCCAGGAAGCCTCCATACACACATGCACACACACACACACACACACACACACACACACACACACACACACACACGTATGCACAGGCGGGACCACCACTTCTCCTTGGGGCTTCTGTAGAGTCCTCTGTGCTTCTCTCTCTCTCGTGTGCACTGACCACGTTTTCCTCCAATCATCCTCTTGTCTCTTACCCACTAAACTCCTTGAGGGATACATGGTTTCTGCATTTTTGCATTTTTGCTTTCCCAGGTCCTACCAAAGCTCTTGGCCGATCAGCCTTACCCCATGCTCCCACACACTTAAGGGAAGCAGGCAGACTCTCTGCTCTTAACCCTGTGCTTCCTATCCACACCTCCCAGCCTATCCTGCTGCCTGGCACGACCCCACTGCAGAGCCCTTCATTTCTTCCATCTAAAGATGACCCTGACCCTACCCCTTCCCCGGCCCCACCTCTTTCTGCCCCGTGCTGCCTAGGGCCTCCTCCAGCCCGCTGCCCGCCCACCCTGGGCTCTGCTGACACAGGGCTGCTGTGTGTTTTACAGACTTGCAGCCCTTGTTTGAGGTAATACAGAGTTTCCAGGAAAGAGCCACATAGAATTGAATATCATATTTACATATATTTTTTTAATTTTTAAATTTTTTTTTTTTTTGAGACAAGGTCTCACTTTGTCACCCAGGCTGGAGTGCAGTGGCACGATCTTGGCTCACTGCAGCTTCTAGCTCCTGGGCTCAAGCGATCCTCCCGCCTCAGTTCCCAAGTAGCTGGGACTACAGGCGCATGCTACCACACCCAGCTAATTATTTTTTTTTGTATTTTTCGTAGAGATGGGGTTTCACCATGTTATCTAGGCTGGTCTCGATCTCCTGAGTTCAAGCGACCCACCAGCCTCAGCCTCCCAAACTGTTGGAATTACAGGCATGAGCCACCACGCCCGGCCTGAATACCATCTATTGTTAGATCGAGAGTCAACAAACTCTTTCTGGAAAGGGCCAAATAGTAAATATTTTAGGCTTTGTGGGCCAAGAGCAAAATTAAGACTTATATAACAACAGAGAAAACACATTTTCACAAACCTTTTATTAACAATTCAAAACAATAATAATAATAGAAAGAGAGTTATTTTGGGGAAATGACATTTGGCTTAACTGAGGTTCAAAGTTGGTGTTCCTTCTCATCAAATTGCTTGCAAATGTTCATCTGTAAAAACCATTCTTAGCTCACAGACCCTACAGAAACAGGTGTGGGTTGGATTTGGCTGGTGAACCATAGTTTGCTGAGTTTCATAGTCTCTTCAGCCATCCCCAGCCTCTCTAACCCTCCAGTGCTGGCCCTGGCCTTTCCTCTCATTGCCTCTCCAGACTTTTCCTCTCATCTGCTGTCCACCTGTCCTCTCACTCCACCCCAAGGCTTCCCCGCAGACTCTAGGAGAACTGTTTTTTTGTTTTGTTTTGTTTTTTGAATACCGAGTATTTAAATCCTGTTAGGCTAAATTTTTCCTATCTTGGCCAGCAGTCAGCAAGCTGCAGTTTGTGAGCCAAATCTTAGTCTCCTATCTGTGTACATTTGGTGAGCTTAGAATCTTTTTTTTTTTTTTTTTGAGACAGAGTTTTGCTCTTGTTGCCCAGGCTGGAGTGCAGTGGCACAATCTCTGCCTCCCGGGTTCAAGCAATTCTCCTGCCTCAGCCTCCTGAGTAGCTGGGATTACAGGCATGTGCCACCACTCCCAGCTAATTTTGTATTTTTAGTAGAGACGGTTTCTCCATGTTGGTCAGGCTGATCTGAAACTCCTGACCTCAGGTGATCCACCTGCCTTGGCCTCCCAAAGTGCTGGGATTACAGGCATGAGCCACCGCACCCGACCTTCTTTTTGGTCTTTTATTTATTTATTTATTTATTTGAGATGGAGTTTCGCTCTTTTGCCCAGACTGGAGTGCAGTGGCGTGATCTCGGCTCACTGCAACTTCTGCCTGCCAGGTTCGAGCAATTCTCCTGCCTCAGCCTCAGAAGTAGTTGGGATTATAGGCACCGCCCCCACACTATGCCTGGCTAATTTTTTTTTTTGAGATGGAGTCTCGCTCTGTCACCCAGGCTGGAGTGCAGTGGCGCAATCTCGGCTCACTGCAACCTCCACCTCCTGGGTTCAAGTGATTCTCCTACCTCAGCCTCCTGAGTAGCTGGGACTACAGGCACATGCCACCATACCTGGCTAATTTTTTTTTTTTTTTTTTTTTTTTTTTGTATTTTTAGTAGAGACGAGGCTTCACCATACTAAGCCAGGATGGTCTTAAACTCCTGACCTTGTGATCCTCCTGCGTCAGCCTCCCAAAGTACTGGGATTACAGGCATGAGCCACAGTAATTTTTGTATTTTTAGTAGAGACAGGGTTTAACCATGTTGGCCAGGCTGGTCTCGAACTCCTGGCCTCAGGTGTTCTTATCTCAGATTGGGCTAGGTCCTGGGTGGGGTTAGGGAGGACAGAGGAGGAAGCTTTTCTTTCCTAGCCTAATAGACCCATTAGTAAGGCATTTCTCACCTGTGAGCCAGTGGTTCTTCCACCCATTCCAGGGAGCTCGGCTCTAATGCTGTACCTGGGCCTCATTGCCAGAGAGTCTGGTTTAGATGGGTCCCCAGAGCACATTAAGCACTGTCCTCTGCCAAGGTGCTCAGACTGCAGCTCCTGTCATGGGGACAAGGATATCTTCTTCCTGTTCCAGAGTCAGTGACCTTGTGGTGTGACAGATGCCACGGGGCCACATGTGTGCAGTGGAGTGGGAGCCCAGAGGAGGGGTACCAAGTGGTTCTGAAGGAGTCCTGTGTGAGCATCACCAGGAAGTGGGGGTTTCTGAAGTGACCCATCCGGTTTCCAGAATGAATTTGTCAGAGGTAAGGACCAGAGATGTCCAGAGTTTCCTGTGAGTCTGCACCCAGGCAGGTGAAGGTGGTAAAAAGATTCTGATCAGATGCTAGCAGCCTGGCTGGGCGCTGACCTGGAAAGCACTTTGTCAATCCTGTGGGCCATGGATGTGAGGGTGAGAGATTGCACCTGCTTGAGTCTCTGGCAGAAAGGCTGCCTTCCTCTATACTCTCAGGGGAGAGGGGCTAGCGTTTCTGAGGGCCACATAGAGCCAGACTGACCCTTCAGGGGCAATTCTCCTCCTTCTTTTTATTATGAAAAATGTCAAATGTACAGAAAAGCAGAAAGATGAGTACGCCATATACCCACAACTTAGACCCAACAAGAGGCGACATTTTGCCATTCACTTCTCTCTCTCTGTCTTTAAAATCATGTATTAAGCTGGGCACAGTGGCTCATGCCTATAATCCCAGCACTTTGGGAGGCTGAGGTGGGCGTATCACTTGAGCTCAGGAGTTTGAGAACAGCCTGGCCAACATGGCAAAACCCTGACCCTACTAAAAATACAAAAATTAGCCGGGCATGGTGGCTCACGCCTGTAATCCCAGCTACTTGGGAGACTGAGGCAGGAAAATTGCTTGAACCCAGGAGGTGGAGATTGCAGTGAGCTGAGATCATGCTACTACACTCCAGCCTGGGTGACAGAGTGAGACTCTGTCTCAAAATAAATAAATAAAATAAAATAAAACAATATATTAAAGTTGGTTCTCTTTTCTTTTGGCATACAGTTCTATGAATTTTAACTCATGTATTGATTTGCAGAACCACACCATAATCAGGATTCAGAACAGTTCCATCGCTGCCCAAACAACTCCCTGGTGCTACCTCTTTATAGACATGCCCTGCTCTCATTGGTCACTCCTGGCAGCCACTGATCTGTTCACCATCCCTACAGTTCCCCACTCACACCCCTTTTTTTGATACAGGGTCTCATTCTGTCACCCAGACTGGAGTGTAGTGGCACAATCATGGCTCGCTGCAGCCTCGACTATCATGGCTCACCACAGCCTCGACTTCCCCATCTCAGGTGATCCTCTCACCTCAGCCTCCCAATTAGCTGGGATTACAGGTGCACACCACCATGCCCCACCAATTTTTTTGTAGAGATGAGGTTTCACCATTTTCCCCAGGCTGGTCTCAAACTTCTTGGCTCAAGCGATCCACTACCTTGGCTTCCCACAGTCTTGGGATTACAGGCGTGAGCCACCGTGCCCAGCCAGTTTTCTCTTTTGGAGAGTGTCATATAAATGGAACCATACAGTATGTAAACTTTTAACATTGGCTCCTTTTACTCAGCATGATACCCTTGCCCTTTATCCAAGTGATTGTTTGGATCAATAGCCTTTTCCTTTTTGTTGCCAAGTATATTTCATTATATGGATGTACCACAGTTTCTTTGTTCATTCACCTCCTGAAGGACATTTGGGTTGTTTCCAGTTTTTGATAACTATGAATAGAGTTGTTATAAACATTTGTGTACAGGTTTTCACATGAACATAAGATTTCAGTTCTCTAGGTTAGAAACCCAAGCATGCAATTGCTGGTTCATATGGTGTGTGAGTGTTTATAAGAAATTGCCAAATCATTTCAACCATTTCAAAAAATTACAGACACCATGACATGTCCCTCCTAAATGTTTGGACATACATTTCCAAGCACGAGAATTTCTCTCCTCAAATCACAATGCTATTATCATAAGCTAACAAGGGTCTCTGAAACCTATTTAAAAACAAAAGGCCGGGTGTGGTGGCTTGGCTGGGTGCAGTGGCTCACGCCTGTAATCCCAGCACTTTGGGAGGCTGAGGTGGGTGGATCACCTGAGGTCAGGAGTTCGAGACCAGCCTGGCCAACACGGCGAAACCCCATCTCTACTAAAAATACAAAAATTAGCTGGGCATGGTGGCGCACACCTATAATCTGAGCTACTTAGGAGGCTGAGGCAGGAGGCAGGAGAATTGCTTGAACCTGGGAGGCAGAGGTTGCAGTGAGCTGAGATTGCACCATTGTACTCCAGCCTGGGCAACAAGAGCAAAATTCGGTCAAAAAAAAAAAACAAAAAAAAACCATGGAATTATAATTTAGCAAAGTTTCAGGGTACAATATCAGGAAAAATCAGTTGTGTTTCTATACTCCAGCAATGGGTAGTCATAAATTTAACCCAGGAGATGAAAAACATGTACATTGAAAACTGCAGTACATTGCTGAAAGAAATTAAAGACGTAATTAAATGGAAAGACATCTCATGTTCATGGATTGGGAGACTTAATATTAACTTAATATTGTTAAGACGGCAATACTTCTCAAAATGATCTACTAACTCATGATGATTATTTTTAGTTGTCAACTTGACTGGATTAAAGGACACCCAGATAGCTCATAAAGCATTATTTCTGGGCATGTTTGTGTTGGTGTCTCTGCAAGAGAATGGCATTTGAATTAAGTGGATTGAGTAAGCAACATCTGCCCTCACCTAATGTGGGTAGGCACTATCCAATTGGCTAATGACCCAGATAGAACAAAAAAGCAAAGGAAAGGTGAATTAGCTTTCTCTCTTCTGGAGCTGGGACACCCTTTTTCTCCTGCCCTTGGACATCAGAACTCCAGATTCTTAGGCTTTTTGGCTTTCCTGGTTCTGAGGCCTTCAGACTTGGACTCAGTCATGCTACTGAGCTCCTTGGTTTTGCAGTTTGCAGATGGCGTATTCTCAGCCTCTGTTAACTATATGAGCCACTTCTCCTAATAAATCCCCTTTCATCCATATCGCACTCTCTCTCTCTCTTCTATTTATTATCTATCTCTGGAGAACCTGAGTAATACAAGATTCATTGTAGTCTCTATCAATATTCCAATTTTTTTTTGTAGAAATGCAAAATTCCATTCTCAAATTCATATGGAATTGCAATGGGCCTGAATAGTCAAAACAATATTGAAAAAGAGAAAGTTAAAAGACTTACACTTGGCCGAGCACAGTGGCTCTCACCTGTAATCCCAGCACTTTGGGAGGCCAAAGCAGGTGGATTACCTGAGGTCAGGAGTTTGAGACAAGCCTGGCCAACATGGTGAAACCCCATCTGTACTAAAAATACAAAAATTAGCCGGACATGGTGGCACGCACCTGTAGTCCCAGCTACTCGGGAGGCTGAGGCAGGAGAATTGCTTGAACTTGGGAGGCGGAGGTTGCAGTGAGCTGAGATTGTGCCATTGCACTCCAGCCTGGGCAACAAGAGCAAAATTCTGTCTCAAAAAAAAAAAAAACACAACAACAACAACAACAACCCACAATGAAATACCACTTCACACCCACTAGGATGGCTATAATTTAAAACAATGGAAAATGGCAAAAGTTGGCAAGGCTAGGAAGAAATAAGAACATTCATATGTTGCAGGTAGGAATGTAAATGTAGCAGCTGCTTTGGAAAACATTTTGATGGTTCCTCAAAAAGTTAAACATAGACTTAGCATGTGACCCAACAATTCCTCTTCTAGGCATATACCCAAGAGAAATGAAAACATGCCCATACAGAAACTTGTACACAAATGCTTATAGCAGCATTATTCATATTAGACAAAAGGTGGAAACAACTCAAATGTGCATTAATGAATGAATAGATAAACAAACTGTGGTATACAAATGCAATGGAATATTATTTTGCCACAAAATGGAATGAAGTATCAGAACATGCTCAAATGGATGAACCTCAGAAACATGCTAAGCGAAAGAAGCCAAGTACAAAAGGTCACACATTTTATGATTCCTTTTATATGAATATTTAGAATAGGCAAATCTATAAAGATAAGAAACAGATTAGTGATTGCCAGAGGGTTGGGGAAGGGAGTATTGGGTGTGATTATTGAAATAGTATGGGATTTTTTTTTTTTGAAGTAGAGACAGGATCTCACTCTGTCACCTAGGCTGGAGTGCAGTGACGCAATCATAGCTCACTGCAGCCTCCACCTCCTGGGCTCAAGTGAACCTCCCACCTCAACCTCCAAAGAAGCCGAGACCACAGGTGCATGCCACCATGATCAGCTAATTTATTTTTATTTTTTATAGAGATGGGGGTCTCACTATGTTGCCTAGGTTGGTCTCAAACACATGGGCTCAAGTGATCCTCGTCCCTTGGCCTCCCAGAGTGTTGAGATTACAGGCTTGAGCCACTGTGCCCAGCCTTTTATTTTCTTGACTTTAACTTTTTCAAGAGACTGAGCCAGTCATTCTCTAGGAATTGTCTATTGTTTCCTCATCTTGTTTAGCTCGCTCCCCATTCTCTGCCCTTGTAAACTGGAAGTTAGAGCTAAAGACCTGAGTTAGGTTCCTTACCACTTTTGTCAAGCACACTTCTGGGCCATGTAGGGTACATAAGGAGGCAGATCACATGGCTACACTACCATTTGTGATGCTAAATTGATCACTGGATTAAGACTGGGAAAGCCAGATTTTTCCATGGGCAATGTACTTTTTTTTTTCTTTTTTTATTTTTTTTTTTGAGACGGAGTCTCACTCTGTCACCGAGGCTGGAGTGCAATGGTGTGGTCTTGGCTCACTGCAACCTCCGCCTCCCAGGTTCAAGCAATTCTCCTGCCTCAGCCTCCCAAGGAGCTGGGACTACAGATGCATGTCGCCACACCCGACTAATATTTGTATTTTTAGTGGAGACGGGGTTTCATTATGTTGGCCAGGCTGGTCTCAAACTCCTGACCTCGTGATCTGCCCACCTCAGCCTCCCAAAGTGCTGGGATTACAGGGCATGAGCCACCATGCCCAGCCAGCAATGTTCTTTTTTACCCTTTGCTGCTGACCAACCATCTAGGGTGAAACTGGCAGCATAGGCGAATATCTAGTTTCCCTGAAGAATCCTCTTTGAGTCTCCCCAACACCCCTGCCATGTAAATTATTATATCTCATTTTATGAATAAAGAAACTGGTTGGGCGCGGTGGCTCACGCCTGTAATCTCAGCACTTTGGGAGGCTGAGGCGGGTAGATCACCTGAGGCTAGGAGTTCAGGATCAGCTTGGGCAACATGGTGAAGCCCCATCTCTACTGAAAATACAAAAAATTAGCTGGGCATGGTGGCTCATGCCTGTAATCCCAGCTACTTAGGAGGCTGAAGCATGAGAATCACTTGAACCCGGGAGGCAGAGGTTGCAGTGAGCCAAGATCGTGTTACTGCATTCCAGCCTGGGTGACAGAGTGAGACCCTGTCTCAAAAGGGGGAAAAAAAAAAGAAAAAAAAGAGAAACTGAGTTTCAGGGAGACTCAATAATTTGCCCAATGCATGGAGAGATAATTTTGAGATTTTCACTTGTATTGGTTTCCTTCCCTTTATTCTGCCCTTTTGCACGTTGCCCAATGCCAGCAGACGGCCTGATGTACTTAGGTACCCTCACAGGGTGGACAGGTTCTACCTTCCCAAATGCAAGCAGCTCTGGCTGGCCCTGCCTATTAGCACGGTCCTGTGAAGGCTGAGGACACAGCTTGAGACCCTGAGGACAGTGGTAACTGGAGAGAAACGGGCACGATGGGAAGAATGCCCCCTGCCCCCTCCCCCCATCTCTCCTCCACCCTCCACTACCTAAGCCTGTTGTAAGCAAGAGGAGCAGACCAGATCTCCTGGAAAGGAGAAAAAAAAAAGAAAAAGGAAAAAAATTCTCCCATCTGTTGAGTATTAACCTCTGAACCATTTAACCAAACATTGGCTTCTCCTGTCATTTGATAAGGTGTATCCAGCAAAGGGAGATGAGAAAATTGGGAGGTTATTCTTTTAAATTACATCAGCAGGGGGTTTGTTCCTGCCGCAGAGCTCGGAGGGTCCCGTCTGGGACATCACATCACCACTAGCACACTCAAGGACAGGCTTGAGTGCTTCCCTCTGCCTGGGAGTTCAGGCATTCACAGGGATATTAAAAAAAAAAAAGAAGAAGAAGTAAGAGGGTTTTGAAAATAAAGTCCATGCACGGCAGGCTGTCTGCCCTGAGCCAGCACTGTAGCAAGGGGTGATTATGGAGGAAGGAATGGTTTGTGTCACCGTCACACGGAAATGTCCAACGGCTTTTCTGCAGAGACAACACCTCTCAGTCTTCCAGAGACTCTCTGCTCAGACTTCCGGAGCTGTCGGGGACCTCCAAGGCCACTCCGCCTGTCCCAGCCCCCCTTTGAGTTGGGTTTCTCGGCAGGATGGGCCAGCGAGCAGTCTAGACAGATAGAGACCTTCAGTGCTGGCCAGCTGGCTTCTGCTGGCAGGTCGGACCCGTCGTGAGGACATCAAGCCCTGGACAGAGGGCAGGAGCCCAGACTTTGGCTGCTGTCTTTGGTCTAGCCCTCCCTCCTGTCCCTCTTCTGAACTCCAACTGATAAGAGCAGCTTATCTCCCTAGGCTTAGGTCCTTGCTGAACTAGTCCCTTCTCTCTGGGCCTCAGTTTCCCCATGAGTGCAAGGAGCTGGATGGGAGGGTCTCCAAGGGCCTATCAACTCTGCTACATAGTGGTGTTTGATCTTAAGATTCCTTTGGCCGGGCACGGTGGCTCACACATGTAATCCCAGCACTTTGGGAGGCTGAGGCAGGCAGATTGCCTGAGGTCAGAAGTTTGAGACCAGCCTGGACAACATGGTGATACCCCATCTCTACTAAAAATACAAAAATTAGCTAGGTGTGGTGGTGGGCACCGGTAATCCCAGCTACTTTGGAGGCTGAGGCAGGAGAATTGCTTGAACCCAGGAGGCGGAGGTTGCAGTGAGCCGAGATTGTGCCACTGCACTCCAGCCTGGGTGACAGAGTGAGACTCTGTCTCAAAAAAAAAAAAAAAAAAAAAAAGGCTGGGCGCGGTGGCTCATGCCTGTAATCCCAGCACTTTGGGAGGCCGAAGTGGGTGGATCAGGAGGTCAGGAGATCAACACCATCCTGGCTAACATGGTGAAACCCTGTCTCTAATAAAAAATACAAAAAATTAGCCGGGCGTGGTGGCGGGCTCCTGTACTTGGAAGGCTGAGGCAGGAGAATGGTGTGAACCCGGGAGGCTGAGGTTGCCGTGAGTCGAGATCGCGCCACTGCACTCCAGCCTGGGTGACAGAGGAAGACTCCATCTCAAAAAAAAAAAAAAATTCTCTGGTGGGGGGAAACACCTATTCTCTACCTTTCCTAGTGACTCACAGCCCATTTGTTGAAAGTCTTCCCTGCCATCTTTTCTAGCCTCATTTCACTGAAACTTCACTCCTTTTTTTTTTTTAAGTGGAGTCTTGCTCTGTCACCCAGGCTGGAGTGCAGTGGAGCAATATTGGCTCACTGCATGCTTGGCCTCCCAGGTTCACGCCATTCTCCTGCCTCAGCCCAGCCGAAACTTCACTCCTTTTATCTGGTCCTTGGTTTCCAGAGCCAGTGAGGTCTTGCCTACCTCTTCCCCTGGACTCACTAATCTATCTCTCATATATCACTTCTTCCCCAGTAAAGGCAAGGGAAAGGCAGCCCACTCTCCCTGTTCACTAACTGAGCTCCAGGTTCGGGGCTGGGCTCTTCCATGTGTGTTAGCTTATTTAAACTTCACAACAGCTCAGAGCCATGGATGAAGTCCCACTTCAGGTGAGGAAAGTGAGGCTCAGAAACAACGGCTTGGCCAGGCTTCCACACTAGGAAGAGGAGGAGCTGGGATTCAGAGAAGATCTGTTTGAGCCTAAAGGCCAGATTCTTTCCACCATATCATATAATACCTTCCCTGAGTCCCTTAGTCATTGGGGCTCTTCCTGAGCAAGATTCCTTCCTGGAAGAGACTCCAGGCATCTTGAGGACAGGGGAGGAAGAACAGCAGAGAGGCAAAGCATGGAATCTTGTTCCAAAGACCTAACCCTCCTTGGGCAGACAAGGGAAGAGAAAGGGAAGTACTCAAGGCTCAGAAACTGGTCAGGACATGGCAATAATAAACTTGAGCCCAGGGTTCCACTGCATGTGACTTCACACCTAATCCATTTCCCATCTCAAGTGATGTCAGGGTGTTGCTGACCACGGTGGCTCGCCAGAGAGGGCTCTGTGGTGACTTCCTTCCAACAGCTCAAATGACACAACGCAAGGCACGCCATTTCCAACACAGATTAGGTATGTAATCTTGAGCAAGAGGGGGCTCTGAGACCACCCTCTGTTAGAGCCTTGGTTTCCTCAACTGCATAATGGGCATAAGATTATCTACCCACCTCAGCAGGTTGTGGTGGACAACAACAGTGAAAAGACTGCACTAGCTTTGATGTCAAAAACACTGTTTTGCCAGGTGCAGTGGGTCACACCTGTAATTGCAGCACTTTGGGAGGCCAAGGAGGGACAATTGCTTGAGCCCAGGAGTTGGAGACCAGCCTGGGCAACACAGTGAGACCTTGTCTCTACAAAAAATTTAAAAATTAGCCGGTGTGGTGGTGAGCACCTGTAGTCACAGCTGTTTGGGAGGCTGACATGGGAGGATCGCTTGAGCGCAGGAGGTTGAGGCTACAGTGAGCTGTGGTCGTGCCACTGCACTCTAGCCTGGATGACAGAGGGAGATCCTGTCTCAAAAAAATAAAAAATTGTTCTTTTTCTTATTCTCTCATAGTGCCCATCCCAAGTCTTACCTGTAGCAGACACCTGGCAGATGTTTATTGGATGTATACCAGCCACTAACCTTTGGACCACCCTTGAGATCTTATGAGCTTATTGAATGTTTCCACACCTCATCTTCTTCTTCTTCTTCTTCTTTTTTTTTTTTTTTTTGAGATGGAGTCTCACTCTGTTGCACTCCCAGACTGGAGTGCAATGGCGCGATCTCAGCTCACTGCAACCTCCGCTCCCGGGTTCAAGCAATTCTCCTGCCTCAGCCTCCTGAGTAGCTGAGATTATAGGTGTGCACCACCATGCTCAGCTAATTTTTGTATTTTTAGTAGAGATGGGGTTTCACCATGTTGGCCAGGCTGGTCTTGAACTCCTGACCTCAGGTGATCCACCCTCCTCAGCCTCCCAGAGTGCTGGATTACAGGTGTGAGCCACCGCACCCGGCCCTTATATTCTTTAGTTATCCCAACAGCCTTTCAGAAGGCAGGGTTTGCCCTTGCTCTCATTTACAGATGTGGAAACTGAGGCTGATCCTTTGTGGCTTCCAGCTTGCTGAGGGGTTAAGGTACTTTTCGGAGCCCTCTGCTGACAGTTCTCTGTCTTCTTGTTCTTTGGAGAGAGCAGCCAGCTGCAGCCCAGATGTGGAGACCCGGCTGGCCGCAAAGGAGTTAGGTGGGTGGGAATAGCCTACCATTTCCTCTCTTGAAGACAAATGGTTCAGGGGCCATTGGAGGCTCTGCAGGCTATGCTGTGGCTGGATTAGGAGCCTCCGTGGGGCGGGAGATGTGCTCATCCTGAAAACAGTTCCTGCCTTGTGAGGTGGCCACTTGGAGGATGGAATCAGCGGACAGGGTGCTCAGTAATCTCCCTCCCCTTCGCCTCACACCACCACTCTCTGAATAGCTTTGTTTAGGCCCTAGGCCCCAAAGGTCCTCATCCTGGCCTGTGAAAATGAAGGGATGCTAAAGAGGGTGCCATCTTGGCCAACATTTTGTTTGGCCAGGATTTTGAGCCCTCTCCTCTGGCCATGGAGTGAGCAGATACACACACAAACTCAGAAAACACCCACACAACGCACACACCTACAGGCTCATAGATGTGTGCACACACAGGTACACACACACGCACATACACATGTGTACACATATGTGCGTACATTCACACCTCCAAGGAGCAGCCATGAGCTTCCCCAGGCTCTCAGAGCTGCGTTAAGCCCCTCAGGAGAGGAGGAAAGGAAGCTGCGTGTCATATATCATTTCTCTCCAAACAGGCAGTGTCCTCTCTGCCCAAAGCAGGGGTGGGGGTGGTCGGCGGCCATGAACTGGTCTCTGGAAGGAGCCCCTCTGGCCCATATTTCACAGACACCCCAGACGGAGCCTGCTGTCAGGAGCGCTGTCTAATTTCCTCCCGACTGCCGGCCCGGATCCCCCCAACAAAGAGGGGCATTGTGTCCTGCCCCCACCCCTGGCATCTGCTCCACAGAGATCCGGCAGGGGATGCACAGAGGGGATTTGTGGGATGAAGGCCCCGCATCCTGTGCCACAGCCCCCAGAAGGGCCACAGATTCTTGAGTAGAAAGAGCCTGGTCCTGACTGAGGGGTCCCCCCAGGCTCATGGGCCTCGGCCACTCCAGTGTCCCCACCAGCAGTCTTCTCGAGTAATAGCTTCTCCTCATGCCTGTCAGGGAAGAGGTGTGTGAACGGGAGCAGCTGAGGATGAAAGGGCATTTGAAGGGGCCCAGGCCTCCCCCACCCTCTCTTAGAAGAAACACAGCCTTCAGCACTTGGTACCGGCTTCTGGAGGGGGACTTGCCTGCTTGGCAGGCCTGCAGGGCACCTCGCTGTGGAGAAGAGACAGTTGTGCCTGGTTTTTCTGTACTCTAGATCTTTCACGGGCTGGTCATGTTGGGAAGGAAAAGTGGGGTCCTAGGGGGCAGAGCCATGGCAAGACAGGATGAAGGGAGGGTGGACGGGTCAAGCTTAACAATGGGCTGAGCGCCCTAGGGACTTCCTGGGGCCTTCACTTTCTGGTTCCTTCCTGAAGAGGCTGCTCCTCCCCAGCTGCCCCTGGGTGAAGATCTGAGCGATGCCTCCCATGGAGGGGGTGTGGGTGTGAGGGGATTGACATAGTGGCTGAATCGGTATTGTAAGATGTGCTTAGGGGCTGTCATGTGTGGCCACAGTGTGAAAAGTTCTGTTCTGGGTTAACGCATCAGAAGCAAATCTGGATCTGGCATCCTCCAAGCCCTTGACTTTCCCCACGATCCCCTACTGCCTCTCAGCAGCACTTCTTTTTTGGTATAGCTTGGCGCTTTGAAAACGTTTTGCCCATAGTATCTGTTTAACCTTTGTACTCAAGGCAGAACAAGGTATTAGAATGCTCAGTTTTTTGCAGTTGGGAAATCGGTCCAGGGAAGATGGGTGGTTTGCTAAAAGTCACGCAGCAAATGAGTAGAAAAGCAGGTACTGAAGCCTAGGCCTCCTCCGGGCTCCATGCTTGTGCTGACACTGTGTTGCAGCCTCCCTGAAGAAGCGGAAGAGCACTCTGACTAGAATCTGGGGTGTGTGTGTGTCTGTGTGTGTGTGTGTGTGAGAGAGAGAGAGAGAGAGAGAGAGAGACAGACAGACTGACAGAGGGCACTCATTCCCACTTGGAGGGCCCACTCTGAGGCAGGCACCGTGCGAGGCATTCTGTAGACCTTACCCCATTTTCCTGGGGACAGTCTGACCGTCTCCACTCACCCTACCTAGGACTTAACACATAGTTAGAACTCAAGTAATATTTTTGTGGAGTGAATGAATCAATCTAATCCTCCTATTAGCCTGTGAGTAAAATATGATCTGTACTTTGTAGGAGCATTTTTCAACAAGTGTTTATCAAGCACCACTACTTCTGCAGGCCACTGGATGAGGAAACTGAGGCTCAGAGAAGATGAATGACTCCATGCAGGCCACACAGCTAATCTGTGGCACAGCCTGTGTCGGAACTGCAATCTATCAGTGTCCAAAGATGGTGTGTGTGTGTGTGTGTGTGTGTGTGTGTGTGTACGTGGGGGTAGGGTGAGAGCCGTGTGTGTGTGTGTGTGTGTGTGTGTATGTGTGTACGTGCGGGTAGGGTGAGAGCAGTGGGGAGGGAAGGTGATAAGAAACACAGGATTTCTCTTCCTGCAATGCAGAGAATTTTTTTTTTTTTAGGAGATGGAGTCTCGCTCTGTCGCCCAGGCTGGAGTTCAGTGGCACCATCTCGGTTCTCTGCAACCTCCACCTCCTGGGTTCAAGCGATTCTCCTGCCTCAGCCTCCTGAATAGCTGGGACTACAGGCACACATCACCACGCCCAGCTAACTTTTTGTATTTTGGTAGAGGCAGGGTTTCACTGTGTTGCCCAGGCTGGTCACCCACCTCGGCCTCCCAAAGTGCTAGGATTACAGGCATGAGCCACCATGCCCAGCCAATGCAGAGAATATTTTAAAGGAAAATAACCTGAAGATATCATGGTCCCACCAGGCAGTCAGCCAGCTCAGACACAGGCCTGCAGCTCTCTAGCCAGGTGCACCGGGTGCTTTAGACAGGATTTGTGTTCCTGGAAAACTGGTTTTAAATCATTTTTTAAAACACAAATAAAACCATCCTTTACAGCCACTGGGGAAGCCTGCAGCTTGCTGGGAGGCTGCAGCAAGGTTTTTTTTACCAGGAGTAATTTTTTAGAGCCTTTGGATCTGTCCTACTGGATTTTCTCAAAGCAGGGTAAATCTGCTGGATGGTGGAGAAAGCCAACCATGAGGCTCTCGCCAAGATGAGCACAGACTCAGTGGACTTTCATCCTGGGGGTTCTCAGACCCTGGCTGAGCCTGTTCCCTTCCCACTAACGCTGGATTGAAGCCCAGCCGTGGGCCCCGGCTCTGGGGACAGGCTGGAGTCCTGAGCCAGCAGCTCCGGTTAGGAAATTAATAAAGAAAGAGAAGCTCTCGCAGCCAGGCCCACGGTGAGAGACGAGTTAGGTCATGTCTCTTTCTGTTCAATCGGATATTAGTCCCAACCCTGATGTCACCTTGAAGCTATTAAGCGTCACCCTCAGAGACGTGCGTGAGTGGCTCACAAACCTCTTATCAGGCACACTTCTGAGTCTCGCTGTTGTCAGTGGTCAGGCTCTGGAAGCTGTTTTTTTTGCCAACCATGGGTCAAAGAGGAGAGGTTTGTCCAGACTTCAGACAGAGCTCAGAGAGTGGGGGAGGGATTTGCAGAGAACCTTGGCCCCAGAGAGTTCCCTGGGGCTGTAGAAACAGGGTGACTGTTCAGTGCCCCTCTTCAAGGGCATGGCCGGCCAGACCTGGTGGTCTCTGAAGCCCTGACTGCATCAAGCCACCTAACCAGCTTCTGGACTGAGCTTCTCCTACACTGTCCACATGTCCAGCAATGGGCAGTTTTGAACCGAGAAGTCAGTGATGTCAATAGTTTAACGGTTCCTCCATCCATCCATCCATCCATCCATCCATCCATCCATCCATGTGTCCACTCATCCAATACTATCTATTGAACATGTATTATGTGCCAGGCATCATGTGGTAGCTGAGAATAAAATGGTCAGAGAAACACATCCCTTTCTCTTTCTTCCAGCTTATAAAGCAGACCATAAATGAATAAGCAAACAAAAAATAGAAGAATGACAAATTGTGGTAGTGGCCATAAAGGAACACACACAAGTTGGGAAGATAGAGAATAAAGGAACAGTCATGGCCACAGGTAGCATTAGAGAAGGGCGTGGATTTAAGATTTTTTTTTTAAGACGGAGTCTCGCTCTGTTGCCCAGGCTGGAGTGCAGTCATGATCTCAGCTCACTGCAACCTCTGCCTCCCGGGTTCAAGTGATTCTCATGGCTCAGCCTCCCAAGTAGCTGGGAATACAGATATGTGCCACCACGCCCAGCTAATTTTTGTATTTTTAGTAGAGACGGGGTTTCACCGTGTTGGCCAGACTGCTCTCGAACTCCCAACCTCAGGTGATCTGCCTGCCTCGGCCTTTCAAAGTACTGGGATTACATGTGTGAGCCACCGCGCCCAGCCGGATTTGAGATATTTTTCAAAGTGTTTCAAAAATATTCAGGTAGCCAGGGTTGGCAGCAAATAGGACTGAGAAGGGGCAGCCGGTGAGAGAAGGAACATGGTGAGAGCCCAGCACCACGATGGCCAAGAGATGACATGACTGACCAGTGCCTCACTGGTGTTGTGAGGGATTAGCAGGCACAGGCTCCTCTGTCTGGGCAGAGAATATATAGCTCTTAAGGGCAATCATTTCCACCCAATGGAAGGAAAGAAAGCCACCCACCATGGGCTTACCCAGTTACTGGAAATGTGGTTCTTTGGGGGTCTGGACAGAAAAGAGTAGATCTCTCCCTGACACTGATTCTCATCTTTGAATAGAAGAACTATCAGAAATGCACGCATCCATCTCAGGACCTGGCGCAGGCAGGTGAGCAGATTTCTGAAGGCCTGAGCCCCTCTAGGCCTTTTCCTTTGGAAATGGATTCCCTACTCGCTTGCTTCATCTCTCTCTTTTTTCATATCTCCTCACCTCTCTCAGCAGGTCAGCCACACACTCGCTCGTCCCTGATGCTCTCTCAAGGATGGAGAAAACCATTACTGAAAAGTTACTGTCTGGGAATTCTCAGTTGTTTGGATTCCTACCAAGCCACCATCTCTGGTCACACTCACTGGTTCCCATCAAGGAGTTGCCAGTGGGTGGCCTTGCTTCCTTCATGCAGCTTTGCCCTCGGGAGAAAGTGGAGGATTTTTACCAACTTGAGGAACAGCTGGTCCCAGCTACTGCTCACCCAGTGCAGGTCAATCAAACACCAACGCTGAAGAGGGAGAGGAGTGCATGGAATGTTCAAAAGAAACCAGAAACCTCTTGATTGCTGTGTGCATGTACTTTTAATTTCATGATCAAACTCTCCTCAGTGGGCTTATTAACTGGGTTTATTGGGGAAAGGAAAATTCTCACACTGAGGTTTTTTTCTGATGGTTTTAGAAATTGGTGAATGTTGCTGCCTCGTGTTAGGCATTGATCTACTATTGAAAATTAGTTTGGGCTGGGTGCAGTGACTCATGCCTGTAACCCCAGGGCCTTGGGAGGTGAGGCAGGAGGATCCCTTGAGGCCAGAAGTTCAAGACCAGCCTGGGCAACATAGTGAGACCCCCATCTCTACAAAGCCATTTAAAAATTAGCTGGGCATGGTGGCTCACACCTTTAGTCCCAGCTAGCTACTCAGGAGGCTGAGGTGGGAGGATTGCTTGAGGCTAGGAGTTTGAGGCTGCAGTGAGCCATGATCACACCACTGCACTCCAGCTTGGGAAACGAAGTCTCTTAAAAAACAAAACAAAACAAAAAAAAAACTTGGGCCATATTTATATTTAAACTTCCTGCGTGTTCCTTTAGAGTGCTCCTAGAATCCATAAGTCCTTGGGGCTCCAGGTGTGGGAGAGCACTCCAGACAGAAGGGAATGAGCCAAGGAATGGAGAAATCACATGGCCTATGGCTGTGGAATGGAAGGTGGCTTGGTCTTGCTAGAGCCCAGGATTTGTGGCGGAGGTGGTAGGTTGCGGCTGTGGAGGTGGTCAGGGGCTGGATCATGGAGACCTGTGAAGGCTCTTTATTTTGTAGGTGAGGAAAGCTACCGATAGGTTTTAAATTGGGGGTGACAGGGTTGAATTTTTTTTTGTGATCACTCTACAGGCTGAGAGGGGATGGGATTTGAGCAGCCTCAGATCAGGAGGGAGAGCTCTCAGAGGCTCTAATTCAAGTGAGACATCAGCAGCCAGAAGGAAGGCAGTGGTGGTGGGAAGACAATGCCGTGGGTGGGAGAAGTATCTATGTGGGAAGTAAAATGAGCAGGCCCAGGTAGTGGATTGGTTCGGAAAAGCAGAGGTCTGTATGACGATGTGCCCCAGGTTTCCAGTGTGAATGAACAGGTAGGTTGTGGTGTTGCCAGCTAAAGTAGAAGAATCAGAATGCAGGCAGTGGTGCTCACCCAACTGCGGGAATGGCGATTTCCCCTTCAGATATCGGAGTTTGAGATGCTTATAGTCATCCTAGGTGGCAAAGGGCAGTAGGCAGCAGAATAGAAAAGCTTAGGCACCCAGATCAGGCATAGGAAGTGTTGGCCTGGGGCCAGAATGCGTCAATTCCAAACCCAGCTTCATCACTGGAGTGGTCAGTTTTCACGAGCTCGTGACCCACAAATCCCAGTGGCTTACAGCAACAAATGTTTATATCCTCACTGACATCTGTGAAGGCTATGGGGTCAGCTTTGGCTTTGTTCCATGTTTTTCTCCTTCTGGAACCTAGGGATCCTCCATTTCAGCCTCGTACAGAGGGAAAAGAGCAGGAGTACAGCCGTGTGATGACCCGTAAAGCTTCTGCTTGGATACAGCACATATCCTTCTGCTCACATTCTATTGGCCAAAGCAGGCCACAAGGACAAGCTGATGTCAATTAGGTGAGGAAGTGTGCCCTTACCGCGGCAGGTGCATCATATGGCAATGATCAGGGAGGCATGTTCCCCAGTGGAGAGGGAAGAAGATAACCAGGCCCAATAATACAATCCACCCCAAACACTAACCACCATAAAACCTTGGGAGTTTACTCAGCTTCTCTCCGCCTTGGTTACCTCATGTGTGAAATGGGAATGACGGTAGTACTACCTCTTAGGATGGCTAAGAGAATTCACTTAGTTTGTACATGTAAAGCGGAACAGTGCTCAATATGGCGCAAACACTATGTAAATGCAGGTGAATGAAGGGGAGGGGATAGGGGTTAGTGTTCCATAGGCAAAGGGTCTCAGTTTGGGAAGATGAAAACGTTCTGGAGATGGATAGTGGCAATGGCTGCACAACAATGAGAAAATGTTTAATGCCACGGGACCGTGCACTTCAAAACGGTTAAAATGATAACTTTTATTTTATGTTAGAGTATTTTACAACAATTTAAAAAAACATAGGCCGGGCGTGGTGGCTCATGCCTGTAATCCCAGCGCTTTGGGAGGCTGAGGCGGGAGGATCACCTGAGGTCAGGAGTTTGAGACCAACCTGGCCAACATGGTGAAACCCCATCTCTACTAAAAATACAAAAATTAGCCATATCCCAGCTACTCAGGAGGCTGAGGCAGGAGAATCGCTTGAACCCGGGAGGCAGAGTTTGTGGTGAGCCAAGATCACGCCACTGCACTCCAGCCTGGGCGACAGAGCGAGACTGTCCCAAAAAACAAACAAACAAAAAAAGTAGGTGGATGGGATCATCTGGGGAGAGATTGAAAAATAGGGAAGGTGGCGGAAGAAAGAGAAAACCTTGAGAACCAGCTGTGAGAGCAGAAGCATCGAGAAAGGGGCTTGCATGGGGGACAGAGAAGGAACATCTAGGACAGATGAGGAAAGCCAGAAGAGGGTGATGTCCCCTGAAGCCACAGAGTTGAGTTTCCAGCAGGAGGGTGGACGGGGGTGACTGAGCGTGTCCATGTTGCTTGGCTGTGAACCTGAACCTGAGCCACTGAACCCACTTCCATTTGGCACCTTCATTTTGGTGGGTCTGCCTGATTCCAGGTCCTGGTGATGTCACTTCCAGGCACTGCCCACACCTGGCCCAGGCTGCCTCATTGCAAGATCCTGGCCAGGTCTCCCCTCCTGCCTCCCTCTCTCCCCTCACCGTAGCCAGTCCTGTTTTGTCCATTGTTGACATCTTGGTGAGACAAATTGTTTTTTAGTTAAAAAGACATAGAGGCCAGGCGTGGTGGCTCAGGCCTGTAACCTCAGCTCTTTGGGAGGCCAAAGCGGGTGGATCACCTGAGGTCAGGAGCTGGAGACCAGCCTGGCCAACATGGAGAAACCCCATCTCTACTAAAAATACAAAAATTAGCTGGGCGTGGTGGCACATGGCCGTAATCCCAGCTACTCAGGAGGCTGAGGCAGGAGAACCCAAGAGGTGGAGGTTGCAGTGAGCCAAGACATTGCTCTCCAGCCTGGGCAACAAGAGCGAAACTCTGTCTCAAAAAAAAAAAAAAAAAAAAGACAAAATATGGGATATTTTTTCTTATGTCATTTTTTACTACTATTAATATACATTTTTCTACCTTGAAAAATAAAATCTCCAAACTTTGAATTTAAACATTAGGGATGGTTACTTTGTGGTCAAGATTCCTTTATTAACAAAAGAGTTCATCTTTTGTTTATAAAACATTGACTATTTGATAGGTCATAGTTTAGGGAAACTGAAAGCTAAACTTTTACAATGAGAAATGAAGACCATGCATTTGCATTGGAGAAAAATTTTTTTTTGGCACCAATTATATTTTGTACCCACCTTTTGAAAAACTAAAGGGGGACAGCTCTGTCTAGATCATTTCTTCCCTTTTTCTCTTGCTTCTAGACATTGTCTGGTCAATCAGAAGGTTGCACACAAGAGCTGTGGTTGTTCGCTCTGCAAAGAAAAAGGCCTGGGAACTTTGCTTTTTATTGATTTTATTTCTCCGAGAGTTTTCTTACAAAGTGAATTGAGCTCGCACAATTAGCTTGATGTAATCTTAAGAAAATATATGAAGTATGCTTTAGAAAAAATCATGCTCTAACCAGCCATCTCATTTGGCAATCATTTTCCACAGCTCTTGCCCTTTTTGGGGTGGGGAGGTGGGGTTATTTTTACATGTGAATGATTACATCTGCGTACAAGAGATCCAAACTCACGTTGACCTCCCTCTGCAACACCAGCTGGTGTTGGGAGACAGAGCGCTGAGGCAGCCAGGGCTTCAGTCCCCCATGCTCTTTGGCCATCAGTCCTCAAATGTCATCTCCAGAAGACCTGGCTGAGGTCTGGGCAGTCCACACACAAAAACCTAGCATTTCCTCCCACAATAACAGCATTTGTAGAACACACAGCAAGAGCTTAAATCCATCCCATGGAGGAAGAGGGATTTTCTTGTCCCCTTTTGCAGTCACAGGACACTGTCACTGGAGAACCTTCCACTCCAGGGTTCCACATCTCCAGGCCCTCACCCAGCAGCCCTCCTTATTATCTCCCCTCCCCTCCAGAATGCAGGGGACACTTTCCAGCCTCTACGTTGTTTTCAGCTCCTAGTTGTTCAGCCCAACAACTCAGCATCTGGACAGGTTTTCAATCCAGAAATCGTGGATTTAAAAGGAGTAGCTGCTCCTTTTCTCTGGAGCACAGCCCAACAGCCCCTGCTGTATCCCTAAATTGATTTTGATTTTGAAGCAGCAGGTGCTGTCATGGGTTCATTCTTGTCCACCCAGTCAAGCCTGTGTGGACGGGCCTATATGGGGACACCGAAACCTACATCGGGCTATTTTTCTGTCTTCTCTAGTCAGTTCTCAGAAGTGTCTCCACTTAGCCAACAAATTTGGAGACAGGGATGTGTTTCTGGCTTGCAGCAGCTGAGTTGCTGTCCTTGACTCTCCTCATTCTGATTTTTCTTGGGGTTTCGGGACAACTAAGGGGCCCCAAAGCCTCAGATGTGCAGCCTACAGAGGAAGGTGGGCAAGGGCGTGTGTCTCTGTCATTTCCTTCCTTTTGAAGCATTTACTTTCCGAGTCGCCAGCTGGTTCCAAAGCTCCTCTCCCACCAGGCCAGGTGGTGTCCAGACCAGGAGGAGGCCTGGCTGACCTAGGAGAACAGCGGTAGGAGGAGGCATGGGTGGCAGCCAAGAGACGCTGAGAAGCAGTATCTCTGAAGCTGTTTCCAGATTCATCCGGCCCGGTAGGATCTCTGTCTGATTCCATGAGAGTGTGGGAGCAAAGGCCCTAGGGAAGAGGCTGCTAAGAGGCTGGACAGAACTTCCTAGAAAATCCTAAGACTCCCAGGAATGCTGGGCAGTTTCATATCCAAGAGTCAGGGAAAGATGTGGAGAGGCTGCCCTGGCTGGGGAAGGAAGAGGGTGAAGGTGGGATTGGGGTGGGGGTAGTTGGGTAGGGGGCTCAGTCCTTAGTCATTTTTCCTCCATGCAGAATCTCACTCTGAACTTGGAGAGGCTGTGGAGTCCCCATCCTCAGGGTCCTGCCCATTGGGGGAGATGGGCTGACCTCCCTTCACACGCTTCCACTTCATCCTTCGGTTCTGGAACCACACTTTGACCTGGGGGAGGAAGCAAAGGAGCCTGGTCACTCCAGGGCCGGTGTGACCTCCTCCCCATGTCAATGCTTAGGCTAGCCAGGGTGTAACTCCAGGGACCCCAGCTTGAAACCATCACTTACCACTCCCTACTCCCTCAAAGGCCCCAGGAACTAGGACCGAAGAGAGGACATACCAATCTGCCCAGAGGTCTGTCTTGTGGCTTCGGATAAAGCCCCAGACGGGGGAACATGTTCTAAAAGCACTCTGCATTGGCCCCACCCCCTTCACATGCCCTGCCCTGCCTGTGCCAGGTCCCCCTGCCCCCTACCTCCATTCCCCAAGGGTCTGGGAGCAGAGGTCATCAGCCTTATCCTTAGGCACATTTATAGAGCACTTTTTGGTTTAGATAGCTCTGGTAAGCACATTTTCTCATCTGAGCTTGAGTATTACCTGCAGGATTATGATCCCATTTTACAGATGGAGACCCAGAGGTCCCAGGGCTAGGAAAAGTGATAGAGGCAGGATTTGAATCTAAGTCTTCTGATTCAATATCCAGCCCTCTGGCAGAGTGCTCTGTCAACTGAAATCTGCTATCAAATATTACGGTTATTATTACTATTATTCCGTATCAGAGCATGGGTGTGGGGGTGTGGGGTGGCTGAAGGGAAAGTCCAAAACAAAGGGCCAGGGAAGTTTTTCTCAAAGTGTGCCCAGGAACCAGCTGCATATCCAGATCACCTGGAGAATGTACTAGAAATACAGATTCTCAGGCCCACTCATTATGGTAAAATCTCTCTCCGGACCTCCAGAATCCACATTTTGAACAAGTGCCTTGGGGGATTCCAACATATACTCAAATTTGGGAATAGCCAGACCGTAGGTCCCAACCTAGCTGCATGTGAGAATCACCTAGGGGGCCTTTGAAAAATTCTGAGGCCTGTATCCCATCCTAGGCCAATTAAAATCATCCCTAGGGGTGGAGCCCAGACATCAGCACTATTAAAATCTCCCCAGGGGCCGGGCGCAGTGGCTCACGCCTGTAATCCCAGCACTTTGGGAGGCCGAGGCGGGCGGATCACCTGAGGTCAGGAGTTTGAGACCATCCTGGCCAACATGGTGAAACCCCGCCTCTACTAAAAAAAAAAACAAAAATTAGCCGGGCGTGGTGGCGCACGCCAGTAGCCCAGCTACTTGGGAGGCTAAGGCAGGAGAATTGCTTGAACCCAGGAGGTGGAGGTTACAGTAAGATCGCGCCACTGCACTCCAGCCTGGGCGACAGAACGAGACTCCGTCTCAAAAAACAAAAAACAAAAAAACCCAAAACTCCCCAGGCTATTCTCAGGTGTGGCCACAGTTGAAAACCGCTGGACTGGCTGGAGGAAGAAAAAGGAGAAGGTCCAGGGAGGGGTGGTGGGAAAGGAGGGAAGGGAGGGAGATGAGAGAGCAAAGAAGAGGAGGGGCCCACCGGGGGCGCACCTGGCGCTCAGAGAGGTCCAGGTTTACCGCAATCTCATATCTGCGGAGCCGAGTCAGGTAGTTATGATGGGCAAACTCTGCCTCCAGCTCTCGCAGCTGCTCCTTGGTGAAGGCCGTCCTCTCCTTGCGGGCTTTGCTGCTGCCCTCCGGCTTCCCTCTGTTCTCCTGGTTGTCTGGGGAGAGAGGACCCCAAACAGGAAGACATGGGCTGAGGGAGACTCCATTCCCTTTCTTTTGCCCTTGAGCAACTAGGCAGTCTTTACCAGTCTCCCTTATTTTTACAGGATGCTGAGAAAAAAGCTACACTGTCCTTTTTATTCCTTCTGGTGTCTTACCCATATTAGAATTGGGAAGATTTTTTATTTTTGGTTTCCAATCTCAGGTACCTGCCTCCCACCCTCCCCCCACCCCAAACTTTCTTTTATTCCCAAAGCATAAGAAGCTACTCTTGGCTGTTTAATGACCTCTACTCCCCAGCCCACCCCCCAGCATGACATTACTGGTGGCCATAAGCTTGAGGGGTGAGATGCTCTAAAACAAAGCCTCAAACTATGGTCCCCAGATCAGCAGCATCAGCATTACCTGAGAGCTTGTTACAAATGCAAATCCTAGCCTCATTCCAGACCTACTAAGTCAGAAACTCTGGGGATGGCACTCAGCAATCTATTTTTACAAACCCTCCAGATGCGTCTGGTGCACAGTCAAGTCCGCTGCTCTAAGACCTCACCACTCAAAGGAGTGCCTGGGTGCCAGCAGCATCAGTAGCACCAGGGAGCTGTTCAGACCTGAAGGATCTCAGGCCTGCCCCAGACCTACCTACGGAATCAGAATCTGCCCCAGAGGGCCAAGTCTGGAAAGCCATCTGGAGCCCTCTGAAGCAGGCTGCATGTTAGATTCAGCGGGGCTCAGTCATAACTGCCAACAGGGTCAGGGGACACACTCTGTGCCAGGTGCTGTACCTGACATATATTAGCCTCTTATTCCTCAATAGCCCAACCAAGTGGTTCTAGTATTAGTATCACTTTATGGACCAGAAAACGAACACAGAGAAGTTAAGCAAATTGCCCAAGTTTATTCAGCCAGGGGGTGTGGGAGACAAGAATTAAATTCAGGCGATTTGACACACACATACTGTTCAAATGAAAAGTATGTAGGGGCCAGGCGCGGTGGCTCATCCCAGCACTTTGGGAGGCCAAGGCGGGCGGATCACGAGGTCAGGAGCTCGAGACCAGCCTGGCCAACATGGCGAAACCCCCGTCTCTACTAAAAATACAAAAAATTAGCTGGGCGCGGTGGCACGCCCCTGTAATCCCAACTACTTGGGAGGCTGAGGCAGGAGAATCGCTTGAACCCAGGAGGCGGAGGCTACAGTGAGCGGAGATCACGCCATTGCACTCCAGCCTGGGCGACAGAGCAAGACTACGTCTTGAAAAAAAAATTTAGGAAGGGCTTACAAACGGTAAAGTCCTGAACAAATAAAAGGGGCTGAATGGTTATCTCTTGAGCAGACGGGTGGGAGGCAGCTCTACCTTCACTTTAATGAATGGAGGTGGTGGGTGGAGAGGAGGTGGGAAGAAGACCACACACTTACACAATTAACTCGCAATGCATGCCACGTGGCCAGGGAATGGCTGCAGGAGCCCGGGGCTCTAACATTTAAAAGACGTTTGCTTCATTAATTATCTTTTTTTTTTTTTTTTTTTTTTTGAGATGGAGTCTCGCTCTGTCGCCAAGGCTAGAGTGCAGTGGTGCGATCTCGGCTCACTGCAAGCTCCGCCTCCCGGGTTCACACCATTCTCCTGCCTCCGCCTCCCGAGTAGCTGGGACTACAGGCGCCCGCCACCACGCCCGGCAAATTTTTTTGTATTTTTAGTAGAGACGACGTTTCACTGTGATAGCCAGGATGATCTCGATCTCCTGACCTCGTGATCTGCCCGCCTTGGCCTCCCAAAGTGCTGGGATTACAGGCGTGAGCCACTGCGCCCGGTCCATTTTCCTCATTTTATAGACATGGAGGCTGTGGCTCCGAGTGAGGTGCTTTACCGAAACCTGCGGCCCAACGTCCTGCTCCCTGAAAGACCCATCTCTGCCTTGCCGGCGAGGAGTGTTGGAAGGAGGGATCTTCTGTTTTCAGAGGCCGGGTCTAAGCTACCTGGGGGACTGGGCTGGGGAATTCAGACCCCCTAGTGTAAAGCAGAGAAGCCGCCTATGCAGTCGGCTAAGCAGCCGCATTGGGAGTGGGTGGCGAGGCAGGAACCCCACATTAACCCGGCGATCCACTTTGGAGCTTTGAGCCTAGCTGGTTCCCCTCCCAGCACCCCCCTCTATTGCTTTCCACTCAATCCCTTTGTATTTCAGTTTCCCCGTCCTCCGCCTCCGCGCCCCACTGCCTTGGGCTGGGCGACTCTCTAGCAGGAGGCGCACGGTAAAGTGATTTGGGCGCCTGGCCCACCTCGCGCTGCGCGTCCGTGGCCTCCGCCGGGGGATGGAAGGGGAGTGGGTGCCACCGTTCCGGGAACTCGAGAAGGCGGGGGAGGGGCCCGATAGTCCCGGTGCCCGGGTCAGGGGTGTCGTGGCACCCTGGCCCGGGGGTCCGCGTCCGATCCGGGTTGGCCGCCCGCGGGGCGCGCCCGGGGAGCAGGGCAGGGGGCCGAGTTCCTGGCGCGGGCTGCCTGCCCGGCGGCCTCTGGCTCCAGGCCGGAGAAGGCAGGTCCAGACCCCTCCGGAAGCGGGAGCGTGGGCAGCAGGGAAGGACGCGCAGCCCCGGGCCGGGGTCCCCGAGGAGCCCTCCGGCCTTGGCCGCCGCCAGCGCCGCGCCCCCTCCTGGCAGCGGGCCGGGGAGGGTCGGTCACGAGCGGATGACGGGCTTCCCGGAGCACAGCCCGGCCCACGGGCCCGGAGAGAGGCAGGAAACCCGGGCTTAGACGACGGGCGCGGTCGGGGACTGGTTTCCCAATCTTCTCCCGTCCCGAGGCTTAGTGTTTCCCAGCCCTTCCTTTCCACGGTTGCGGGGAGTGGATAGCCCAGAGGACCGCAGAGGCTTGAATCCTGAATCTCCATGCTGGAGACTTTGAGGAAGTCACTTAGCCTCTCTGGGCGTCAGTCTCCTCATCAAGAAATTGAGGAAATTTCACCTACCTCCTAGGGTTATTGGAAGACCGAACGAGTTAATATGTGTGTGCAACATGCTATTAAAATCTAAAAGTGGCCAGGCAAGGTGGCTCACGCCTGTAATCCCAGCACTTTGGGAAGCTGAGGCGGGCGGATCACCTGAGATCGGGAGTTCGCGACCAGCCTGACCAACATGGAGAAACACCGTCTCTACTAAAAATACAAACAACAACAAAAAATTAGCTGGGCGTGGTGGCTCATGCCTGTAATCCCAGCTACTCGGGAGGCTGAGGCAGGAGAATCGTTTGAACCTGGGAGGCGGAGGTTGCGGTGAGCCGAGATTGCGCCATTGCTCTCCAGCCTGGGCAACGAGAGCAAAACTCCGTCTCAAAAAAAAGAAAAATCTAAAAGTGCTGGACAAATATATTCTCCAATTTATCAGCTCCACGAGATGCCATTGAAGGGCTGGGATAGAAACAGATGCACTTCTTGAAGGTTTCTGTGTGTGCCCAGAGGCATCTGCGGCTTTAACCTCACCACACAGCGGCCTATGAGTGGATACTGTTCTTACCCCCTTTAGCACTCTTAACATGGGTTTGTGTGATAATTTGATTAATAGCTGTCTCCCCAGGGAAACACTTTTTCTCACCCTAGCATCTAGCCATAGTTGCTTCTGTACCTGGCACAACTGACCCCTACCGCGCCCCCAACCAGTTCTGCACATAATTCTCCTAGAGAGAAGAGGAAAAAGTACTTGCTAAGTATTTGCTAAATAATCCTGTTATACAGAAGAGCCAGCCTCAGACAGGCCCAGGAAATTGCCCAGTGTGCCTGACAGCTTTTAGGTGACAGAAGGGAGATTTGAACCCAGATCCATCTGATTAGAGCCAAGGCTCTCCATATCTCCTGGCTGGCTGGCTCAGGTTGGGGCCTGGAGCTGGACCATGGCAGCTGGGCTTGTCACCCCTTCCAGAGGTCCTGGGGTCACCACCCTGTTTGCTACCCACATCTACCCTCCTCCAAGACCTGCTTAGGTGTGCACAGGTGCCCCATGATGTCCCCCAAATAACTTCCCCCACCCCAGTTCTGCAAATAGGGCAGCTGACTACTGCCAGCCAAGCTATGCCCCATCCCTGGCCACCTCTCCTCTCCTGTCTCTTATTGCCCTGATTTAGCCTCTGGGGTTCCAGTGCCGATTTCCAGCAGAGGAAACAGGAAGAAGAAGTCTGGGTTGGGAACTGACGGTCTCAGCTAACTCCCTGTGTGAACCTGGGGGCAATACCTACTAATGGTGGGTGGGATGGATATTGGCTCTGGGAGGGCGGTTGTCCCTTGTCAACTTCCCAGAGTGGGATCAACGTTCACCACTGTTGGAAATGATGAAGGGACCAGAAGTATGGGAAGCAAGCTATGAAAGTTGAAGTGGAAGTTACGCTCTCTTTGTTCTGCAACAGTATTACAAATTGCAATATATTCAGCAAGATGGAAACACTATGAGCACTTGCATGCCGTTTCTGGGAGCTGTTCGGTCACCCTGCTCATGGGCACAGTTCCTGTGCACCCTGCCACATGAAAGTAACTCATGCTGGGTGGGGCGCAGGTGGCTCAGGCCTGTAATCCCAGCACTTTGGGAGGCCGAGGCGGGCGGATCATAAGGTCAGGAGATCGAGACCATCCTGGCTAACATGGTGAAACCCCGTCTCTACTAAAAATACAAAAAATTAGCCAGGCGTGGTGGCGGGCGCCTGTAGTCCCAGCTACTGGGAAGGCTGAGGCAGGAGAATGGCATGAACCTGGGAGGCGGAGCTTGCAGTGAGCCACGAGTACCACTGCACTCCAGCCTGGGCAACAGAGAAAGACTCTGTCTCAAAAAAAAAAAAAAAAAGAAAAGAAAAAGAAACTAACTCATGCTTCCCAAGATGGTCTGTTCCCAGGATAGTACAACTTTGTTAGGGAGGCTTCCTCTCCTCTGTGGGCCTCAGTTTCCCCATGTGTAGAAGTATGGGATTGGACCGGATTCTGTTTCTGCCAGGGAGCTGGTGTCAGAATTCCTTCCTGGAACATAAGCCTTGATGCCCTACACTCCCTACTCTCTCTTCCATTGAGAACCCTTAGCCTTGATGAAGTCTGAGGCTCTTCCAACTTCACGTATTCTTGTCTCAGCTCCTAGTTCCTCCCTTCAGTCAGATCTGAGGTCTTGCTGTGTGCTCTGTTCCAAAGCCCTCCCCAGCCTTCCCACAGCTCAATGATCAGGGCTCTGCTGGGCCGTTTCTCTCTCCCTGCCTTGAGCTGTGTGGAGGGAAGTTATATATGCAGACGTGTCGGAGGACCTGTTGGTGAACCTGGGCCTTAGCACTCATAGGTGAGTGAGGCACCGAGGAAGAGCTTTTGGATCTTGGGCAAGTCCTTTAGGTTCTTGGAGCTTCAATTTCCTCATTTGCAAAGCAGGAATAGCTACACCCGCTGTGCTTATCAGGCTGAGAAGTAACAGGAGCTGGATAGCGGGCGTTAACACCTAGCACAGTGCCTGGCATGTCACTGAAGCTCTGTTCACAAGAACCATCAGAAAGAGTTCTATTGGAGATTATATCTGAGATGACTCACGGGCAGAGTTAGAGCACTATGCTCCTTAAGGCACCACATCTCCAGACCTGTGTGAAAGGGTTATCTTTTAAATGTCTGGCCTTTCAGCTTTTTTTTTTTTTTTTTTTTTTTTGAGGCTGAGTCTCACTTTGGTCACCCAGGCTGGAGATTGGTCACTGCAATGGCGGGATCTCGGCTCACCGCAACCTCTGCCTCCTGGGTTCAAGCGATTCTCCTGCCTCAGCCTCTGGAGTAGCTGGGATTATGGGTGCCTGCCGCCACACTAGGCTAATTTTTGTATTTTTAGTAGAGATGGGGTTTCTCCACGTTGGCCAGGCTCGTCTCGAACTCCTGACCTCAGGTGATCCACCTGCCTCGGCCTCCCAAAGTGCTGAGATTACAGGCATGAGCCACTGCACCTGGCCTAGGCCACTATTGCTGCAGCCTTCAGAGTTCCACAATTCCAGGCACAACAACTAGATGTGTCACATGGCAATCCACATCACTCCTGCGCTGCTTCTCTCTTGGGGGCCGCAGATGCCTCTTCCAGAACTGCGGAGGGAGGATGCTGGCCCTCAGTGGGCTGCCTCTGTGATTAGGAAGGAGTTGCCCCACCCCAGCCCCTGCATAGCCCTCACCCTCTGCTGGAGCAGGGCTGTGAGGGAACAGTCAAATGCCCAGAGAAATGCAAACGGTGTGCATGTGATTGCGGTTTCCACCATGAGCTTCCACACCATCCAGGGCAAATTATTTCATATGTAGCTGCCACATTTGGCAGGCCTTCGTAAAGTGAGCAGACAGCTTTATCAGAGCTACAGGGAGGTTCAGACAGACCCATCCCTGTCTGAACATTTCTGGAGTTCTGTACTCTACAGTCCAACTCTGAGGGCACCAGTTTACATAAATTAATATCCAAATCAGACAGGATGCCAAATGCCTCACATTCAAATAGCACTGTGCAGTTGACAAGGGATTTCTTTCCTCCAAAGAGAACTTCTTTTAGGCTTTCACAGATACTACAGAATCATAGAAAGTAGAGGTGGGAGGGACTTAGAGATGATCAATGTCACCTTTTCATTTTATAGGTGAGCTTAGAGAAGGTAAGGAACTCCTGTAAGGACACACGGCAAGTTAGGGGCAGAATTGGGCCTAGAACCCAGATTTTCTTGTTAGGAAGCTCTTTCCACCCTATTGGGCTGTCTCCTATTTTATCCTCTTAATTATTCCATTAGGTAGGTAAGGTACACATTAGCCCGTTGAACATATGAGCAATTAAGATCCAGAGACTAAATGACTTGCCCAAGGCCCCTGGGACCAGTCTAGGGCTATAGCCTCATGTCACGCTGCCCTCGGGGGAGGATGAGTATGGAGGCTGTGCCTATCTTAGGGACATTGTCTGAGTCTGGGTTCAGATCTCTCTCCCTGGGACTCCCCAGAGAGGGAAAAAGAAGGGAATATTTGGAGCATGACATCAGTAGGTGAAACCTTGGCAAATCCTCGGAAAACGGTGTCTGTGGCTTCCTGCACTGTCACAGCATAGACACTTTGATGTCCCCGTAAGCTCTCCTACTTTCAGCCTCAGAAGGAGGGGTCAAAGCCCGTCGAAATAGACAAGACTGGGATGGAGCCAGCCCGAGACTGGTTGGATGTTCACATCCAGGATCTCCCTGGCTTCCTGGGGTTGGCCTGACTGTCTCACTGAGCCCTGCCCCACCCCAGTGTCCAGGCCCTTTTCCTCTCCTGTAGGTGCCTAAAGAGACATCGGCAGGGCTCCCAGCCTCTCTGGGGCCAGGGAATTCAAGGGATATTTCATGGGAGAGAGGCAGGTTCTTCTGGAATGAAAATGCGTAATGCTGGCTGGGCGCGGTGGCTCACACCTGTAATCCCAGCACTTTGGGAGGCCGAGGCGGGTGGATCACGAGATCAGGAGATCGAGACCATCCTGGCTAATATGGTGAAACCCCATCTCCACTAAAAATACAAAAAAATTAGCCGGGTGTGGTGGCGGGTGCCTGTAGTCCCAGCTACTCGGGAGGCTGAGGCAGGAGAATGGCATGAAACTGGGAGGCCGAGCTTGCAGGAAGCCTAGATCGTGCCACTGCACTCCAGCCTGGGCGACAGAGTGAGACTCCGTCTCAGAAAAAAAAGTCTGGTGCTATAGTCTTTGCTGAGAGTCCCAGGCGGGGTGGGTTGGTGAGGGGGAAGCGCAGCAGCTTTCAAGAGGGGATGGGGAGAGGCATGGGTAGTTCTGGGTTTTGTTTATAAGTTCCATATGTCACCCTCAGCTGTCACCAAAGGAAGTGTGGGCTTGAGACCCAGGCCCACTGCTCACGCTGTTCCTGTACCTCTGCATGCAAGAAAAACAAGGGGGAAAAAAAAAGAAAAGAAAAGGAAGGGGGTGGGTCCTGGCCAGAGGCCAGGGAGCCAAATTGGGTGAGAAGCCCAAGTTATGGGCAGAGAGGGAGTTGGGGAAAAGGGCCAGCTCTGGAGGTCTGCAGGGGCTGTGAGTCCTGTCTCTCAGGCAGAAAGGATTCTCTGCCTCTGAGTTATCCCCCCTCCCTGGGCCCAAGTGCCCGTGATTTATTCAAGCCAGAGAAATAGGTGAGCGGGCAGGAATCCTGAGTCCCTAGCATGGGAGAGTGGCGGAGCAGAGCTGAGGTGACCCCTGGGCTGACCTTCTTACAGCTCACGGGCTCATTGGATCTTTCCCTCTTCGATGTTGGTCAGGATCCTGCTGCCTCAGCAGAAACGGACTTTCTCCAGAGTTTCCGACTATACCTGATCAGGGGCCTGAGCAGGCCCAGGCGTGGGATTTGTGCTGGAGCCTCTGAGTTCAGATGGTGGCCGAGGCCTGGGTCCTGCTTTGGGCTCTGAGCTTTCTTTGCTTGTCAGAAGAGGAGGTCAGGAGCTCTAATCAGGAGGCCGGGGATGCCCAGAGGGATACTGGCTGAGTGTGGAGTTGCTGTCTCCCCTCCCACGCTGGCCACTCTGGACCATAAAACTTCTTCCTCACTAGGGGTTCTGGACATGGACTCGGGACAAGAGGAGCTGCTGCAGCGGTGCACCCCTCAAACCACACCCCACCCAGCACTGCCACAACCCTAAGCCAGTAGCATCGTCAGAGTCAGGCAGGCCCGGCTGACAGCAGGGGGCAAAGACTTCAGCAGAGCTCAGGACACTTTGGCCTGTTTTTGAACGTGGGAAACCTGATGCAGCCAGCCAGCATCAGGGGAGGACTTTAAAGAGAGAGGGGTGCTCATATGTGGGTTTGGGAAAACTGGAGCCAGGGGTTACCAAGTGTTGGCTGTGGACTCTACATCTCTGATATCATTTAGTCTCACAGCTACCCACCTTATGAAGTAGGTACTGTTACCCTCATTTCTCAGAAGAGACTCAGGGAGGGTTAGGACTCACCCACGTCCACACAGCCAGGAAGTTGTGGATCAGGGACCTGAACCAGGGCTACCTTGTTAATTCGCTTGACCTTAGTCTCTGACCACCCTTCCTCCTATTACTGTACCGTGGCCCAGCAAGAAGGTGAGCATGGGCATGAGGTCACTTGTATGGGACTTGGCATCACTCTGGCGACCCAGGTGACACTTATTGGGGTTGTCCATTTATTTCATTCTCATCTCTACTATTGCTTTTTTTTTTTTTTTTTTTTTTTTGAGACGGAGTCTCACTCTGTCGCCCAGGCTGGAGTGCAGTGGTGTGATCTCGGCTCACTGCAAGCTGTGCCTCCCAGGTTCACGCCATTTTCCTGCCTCAGCCTCCCAAGTAGCTGGGACTACTGGCGCCTGCCACCACGCTTGGCTAATTTTTTTATATTTTTAGTAGAGATGGCATTTCACCGTGTTAGCCAGGATGGTCTCGATCTTCTGACATCGTGATTCACCAGCCTCAGCCTCCCAAAGTGCTGGGATTACAGGTGTGAGCCACCGTGCCCAGCCTACCATTGCCTTTTTTTTTTTTTTTTGAGACGGAATCTCACTCTGTCTCCCCAGCTGGAGTGCAGTGGCACGATCTTGGCTCACAGCAACCTCTACCTCCCTGGTTCAAGCGATTTTCCTGCCTCAGCCTCCTGATTAGCTGGGACTACAGGTGTGAGCCAACACGCCCAGCTAATTTTTGTATTTTTAGTAGAGACAGGGTTTCATCATGTTGGTCAGGCTGGTCTCAAACTCCTGACCTCAAGTGATCCACCCACCTTGGCCTCCCAAATAGCTGGGATTACAGGCGTGAGCCACCGCATCCAGCCCATGCCTCTTTTCTCCTTTCCTCTGTCAAACAGCTCCCTTCTTTAGAGATTCACTCCTAAAACTGCCTCCACTTTTTTTTTTTTTTTTTGAGACAGAGTCTGGCTCTGTCACCCAGGCTGGAGTGCAATGGTGTGATCCAGCTCACTGCAACCTCCACTTCCCAGGTTCAAGCGATTCTCCTGCCTCAGCCTCCTGAGTAGCTGGGACTGTAGGCGCATGCCACCACGCCCAGCTAATTTTTGTATTTTTAGTAGAAATGGGATTTCACCATTTTGGCCAGGATGGTTTTGATTTCTTGAGCTCATGATCCGCCCACCTCGGCCTCCCAAAGTGCTGGGATTACAGGCGTGAGCCACCGCACCCGGCCAACTGCCTCCACTTTTTATGTCTGTACTTGTTGGTGTAAGATAGGAAATCAGGGATCTGCTTGTGGCTAGAAACAACTTCCTGTCTCAGTGGAAAAGCTCTACCAGCCGACAGGACCCTGAGCTAGGAAAGCTCTGGGGTCAGGCACACATCTGGGTGCTGCTTTCACTAAAGGGGTTTTCAACTGAAGGGTCTGTGCCACAGTTTGAACCTTGTCCCTTGTTCCTGTCCCCGTACAGTCCTGTACAGTCCCTATAAGGGCAGAATTGTGCTTCCCTCCCCAATTCCTATGTTGAAGCCCTAACCCCAGTACCTTAGAGTGTGTCTGTATTTGGACATAGGGCCTTTAAAGAAGGGATTAAGTTAAAATGAGGCTGTTAGGGTGGGTCCCAATCCAATCTGCCTGATATGCTTATAAGAAGGGGAGATTAGGGGCTCATGCCTGTAATCCCAGCACTTTGGGAGGCCAAGGCGGGCGGATCACCTGAGGTCAGGAGTTCGAGACCAGCCTGGCCAACATGGTAAAACCCCTGTCTACTAAAAATGCAAAAATTAGCCAGGTGTGGTGGCACACGCCTGTAATCCCAGCTACTTGGGAGACTGAGGCAAGAGAATCACTTGAACCTGGGAGGCAGAGATTGCAGTGAGCCGTGATCACGCCATTGTGCTCTAGCCAGAGCAACAGCAAGACTCTTGTCTCAAAAAAAAAGAAAAAGGAAAAATTAAAAATATGGTCAGGTGTAGTGGTTCACACCTGTAATCCTAGCACTTTGGAAGGCCGAGGCAGGAGGATTGTTTGAGGCCAAGAGTTCAAGACCAATCTGGCCAACATAGCGAGACCCCTGTCTCTATATTTTATTCTAATAATAAATAATTTTTTTGGAAAATTAAAAATATAATTACTACATAATATAGCAATTTCCCTTCTAGGTATACACTCAAAAGAATTGAAAATACACTCTCCAGCCGGGTGCAGTGACTCACACCTGTAATCCCAGTGCTTTGGGAGGCTGAGGCCAGTGGATCACGAGGTCAGGAGATTGAGACCATCCTGGCTAACACAGTGAAACCCCGTCTCTACTAAAAATACAAAAAATTAGCCAGACGTGGTGGTGGGCGCCTGTAGTCCCAGCTACTCGGGAGGCTGAGGTAGGAGAATGGCATGAACCCGGGAGGCGGAGCTTGCAGTGAGCTGAGATCGCGCCACTGCACTCTAGCCTGGGTGACAGAGTGAGACTCCGTCTCAAAAAAGAAAAAGAAAAAGAAAATACACTCTCCAGGAGGTATTTGCACACTCATGTTCATTGCAGCATTATTCACAACTGCCAAGAGGTGGAAGCAACCTACATGTTCATCAACAGATGAATGGATAAAGAAATTTGGTGGCCGGGCACAGTGGCTCACGCCTGTAGTCCCAGCACTTTGGGAGGCTGAGGCAGGCAGATCACAAGGTCAAGAAATTGAGACTATCCTGGCCAACATGGTGAAACCCCGTCTCTATTAAAAATACAAAAATTAGCTGGGCGTGGTGGCGTGTGCCTGTAGTCCCAGCTACTTGGGAGGCTGAGGCAGGAGAATCACTTGAATACGGGAGGCGGAGGTTGCAGTGAGCCGAGATCGCGCCACTGCACTCCAGCCTGGCAACAGAGTGAGACTCCGTCTCAAAAAAAAAAAAAAGAAGAAAGAAATTTGGTATATCCATACAATGGAATGTTATTGTCTTCAGAAAGAAGGAGGCCAGGCATGGTGGCTCACACCTATAATTCCAGCACTTTGGGAGGCCAAGGTGGGAGGACTGCTAGAAGCCCTGAGTTCAACACCTGCCTCGGCAGCATAGCAAGACCCTGTCTTTCTAAAAAAAAAAAAAAAAAAAAAAAAAAGAAGAAAATCCTGTCACTTGCTACAACCTGGTTGAAACTTGAGGACATTATGCCAAGTGACATAAGCCAGTCACAAAAATGACAAACATTGCATGATTTCACTTATGTAAGGTATCTAAAATAGTCAAATGTTTAGCAAGAGAAAGAATGGTGATTGCTAGGGGGTGGGGGAAGGGAAAAAAGGTCGTTGTTTAATGGAGATAGAGTTTCGGTTTTGCAAGATTAAAAGTTCTAGAAATCGATTGCACAACTACTGTACTGTATCACTTAAAAACTGTTAAGACGGTAACTTTTATGTTATGTGTATTTGACCCCAATTTTTAAAAAAGGAGATTTCAAATATAAGATGTCCCAGGTAAGAAACCTCAGAAGAGTTCCTTTATGAAACAACTGCAAGCTAAAGTGAGAAAATCAACACAGATTCTAGCAGATACTAGACTTCGACATTTCTTAACTGTAGCTTTCTTTGATACTATGTTATATGCAAATGTAGCTATAAATTTTTGAAAAAGAAGAACAAAAATATTCTTGGAAGGGGTTGTTTTTGAGCTGGGTGGTTTTTAAGTAGGACTTCAACAGGCAGAAGTACGGGGAAGGGGAGAGTGCTCTAGGCAAGGAGAAACCACCAGAGCACAGTCAGAGAGGGGGAAGAAAATGCAGGATGTGTTTGCAAGGTCAGTCCCTGGGTGTGGCTTCGTGGCAGGGGTAGTGGAGGGGACCTGGGGCGGGGAGGTGGCCTGTAAAGGGGCATCAGGAGGGAAAAGAGGAGAGAGGCCTATTTGTGGAGTTTTATACCTTAGGCAAATTTGTGGTTGGGCGGAGGCAGGCATAGAGCAGGTCTTGCAAAGAGAAATTGGGGCAGGACAGCTCTGGGAACACACGTGTTGGAGCTGAAGAAGGATGAGACAAATCACGTCTGATTAAAGGCATGTCTCAGCAGAGTGAGGACGTGAGAGCAGGAGGGAGCAGTGCTGAGTTCTAGCACCATGGCTTTCCCAGGCGGGCGATCGGATTCACCTGTAGCCACTCTAATCACACGCAACCTTCCCTTGAACCCCATGAGGAAACCACCGCAAAATCCTTCATTCCCATAAATTAAAGACAACCACAGTAGCAAGGACAGTTTGGGGGAAAACAACAGTGGCCTCACAGCTGTCCCTGCCAGCAGGGGTCTTTAATCCCCATTGGCCTGGGGCTGGGAGTGGTTTGGGTAAGATAACACCATGCTGGTCTCCAGGGTGGGGAAGTGCCAAAGGCCAGGAACCCTGCTTTCTTTCTTTCTCCCCGTTTGTTCATTTTCTTTCTTTCTTTTTCTTTCTTTCTTTCTCTTTCTTTCTTTCTTTCTTTCTTTCTTTCTTTCTTTCTTTCTTTCCTTCCTTCCTTCTTTCTTTCTTTTCTTTCTTTCTTTTTCTTTCTCTCTTTTTCTCTCTGTCTCCTTCCTTCCTTCCTTTCTTCCTTTCTCTCTCTCTTTCTTTCTTTCTTTCTTTTTTTTTTTTTTTTTTGATGTAGTCCCGCTCTGTCACCCAGGCTGAATGAAGTGCAGTGGCGTGATCTCTGCTCACTGCAATCTCCACCTCCCAAGTTCAAGCTATTCTCCTGCCTCAGCTTCCCAAGTAGCTGGGATTTACAGGTGCCTGCCACCACACCTGGCTAATTTTTTTTTTTTTTTTTTGTATTTTTAGTAGAGATAGGGTTTCACCATGTTGGCCAGGTCAGTCTTGAACTCCTGGCCTCAGGTGATCCGCCTGGCTCAGCCTCCCAAAGTGCTGGGATTATAGGCATGAGCCACCGCGCCCGGCCAACCCTTGCTTTCTTGATAATTTCTTTGAGTAGATCAGCTCCAGATTCTACTGGGAGTGAGCGGGGAGCAGTTGAAGGAGATGGCAAAGGAGGAAGGAAGCGCAGAGAACATTCCTCTTACAATAAACTTTCCATTTCTGGAGGCTTCTCAGCCACTCAATATGGGGTGCATTTGCCAGGCCCAACTCACCCCATAACCTCTCCGGCAGGTCTCTGAGCTCCATGCTCCTGATGACAACTGGAACAAAATGATTGCCAGAAGTTCTCTAGACTCAGGAATTTCTGAGACAGCATAATTGAAATATTCAATTCCACCATCCCCATAAATATAGAAATATTTGTCAGACCTTATATTCTGAAGGCTGGTTCAGGAAATATGGGCCTAATACCATTTACAGCTGCTATTTATTGAACTCTTACTATGTGCCAGGCACAGAGTTAATCTCATGGATCACTGCATCTAACCTTCACAGAGAGACTCTCTATGGAAGGGGCTACTGCTATATGCCCATTTTACAGCCAGGGAAACAAAGGCTGGAAGAAGTTATGAACTTTTCCAAAGTCATGCAGCCAAAAGTTGCCGTGCTGACACTGCAGCCTGTCTGTCTGGCTGGGAAGAACTATGGAAAACGCGTTTCTGATCAATGCTGGTTAACCTTCCAGGGACCACTCAGCCTGGACTTGGGGAGGCCCAAATGCAAGGGCATGCCCAACCCCTCTGTAGTCAAGATCAATAATATTTTAAGGAAGGCCGGGCACGGTGGCGCATGCCAGCACTTTGGGAGGCCGAGGTGGGCTGATCACGAGGTCAGGAGTTTGAGACCATCCTGACCAACATGGTAAAACCCCGACTCTACTAAAAATACAAAAATTAGCCGGGAGAGGGGGCGTGCGCCTATAATCCCAGCTACTCAGGAGGCTGAGACAGGAGAATTGCTTGAACCCAAGGGGCAGAGGTTGCAGTGAATTGAAACTATGCCACTGCACTCCAGCATGGGCGTTAGAGTGAGACTCCATCTCAAAAAAAAAAAAAAAAGAATATTTTAAGGCAATATTTGTAAAAATCAAAAGTAATGCAAAAAATTGATAATGAACAAAATATCACAATTTTGGAGAGGGGATCCAATTATAGACTCAGGATTGGCAGGGTTGGGTGGGGGGCTCTCTGTGGGTTTGCCTTTTCTGAGCTGAATTCCAGATTCCTGGAGTAGGTCATGAGCCTTGCGTCACTTTCCCCCTTCTTTGGGCTCTTACAAAGCTGATCTTTCTTGCCTCCTTCCTCCCCTTCAGTTAAATTCCAAAGGAGGATGCAAGCATTGCGGCAATAAAGATTTCCATGCTGAACAGTGAGTTTGTCTGGAATCACAGGGGGATGAGTGAGAGTCAGCTCACTGGGCCCTGCCTCATCTGCTGCTGGTGCTCCTGAGGGGACCCTTAGGGAAGCCCAGGGCCCCTGCGGATGGGAACCTCCCTCCACCAAAGTCTGACCCTGAAGCATGCAGGCCGTTCAGCCGAGGGTGTCCCTGTACTCCTGGGTGGCCAGCTGCTTAGTGTGAATGGTCTCTCTGCATTGCAGGGCCATCGGCCACTCGCCAAAAAGAGAGCTGGTGCATTTGGGTTTTGCTGAGACTCGGAATGCTGGAAGATTCTGCCTGAGCCCAGCAGGCTCTTGGCTTTGCTATCCCTTCCCAATGCCCTTGGCTGTCAGTTCTCTGGAAAGTGGCAGAGAGGAAGGAGCCACAGTGCTGCGTGCCGCCACCAAGGGGAAAGCTCTTCAACCAGGTTCAGAGCCAAGTCGCTGAGAGTTGCTTCTCATCCTTAGCACATTTCCTACCAGGGGCAGGATGAGTTAATTTTCGGGATGGGGATCTAACTGGCTGGCGGTTTAAAGGGCCCTTCTATTTAGCAGCCATGAGGGCTGCTAGAGTTCCTATCTCCCATTGAAGAAGGGGCTTCTTCAAGCAGACAGACCAAACATCATTTCAAAATGAGGACTGCATTTGAAATCTACTGAAGGGGGTGATACCGGGGGCCTGAAGCCTGGGGTTTGAGCTCACTTCTAGGGTGACCAATTCTTCTGTTTGCCTGGGACTGTGGGGTTTCCTACGACAGGATTTTCAGTGCTAAAACTGGAAAAGTCCTGGGCAAATGGAGATGAGCTGCTCACTCTAGTTTGACCCCATTCTTTCTGTGTTCTCACCAACTTTCAGTCTTTCATTTTGCAGATTGAGAGAATCAAGGTACTAATAAAACCTGCTGTCCCCATCTCCCAAACCCGTGGGACTCAAAAGAGCTGACGTCAGTATCCCATGGCACCTTAAGCCTCCCCATCAGGGCACATCCCACTGCTGACACACCTCTGCAGGCCTCTTCTTCCTCTCAGTTTGAGCTTTCTTGGGTGAGACCCCTTTATTCATCTCAGAGCATTCCTGGGCTTGGCTAAGAGCAGAAACTCGGGAAAGCTGTGCTTATAAAGCAAAGCACAAAGCATTCCCACCTGTTGGTTGGTGTCCTTCTTTTCTGTCCTGCCCTGGTTAGCCCCATGGGAAGGTCCTCTACAGGCTCCGACAGACAGGCGTGCCCCTGAGGGCGGCTGTCAGGAGGAAAACAGGGCAGCACGGGCAGGAGGCTTGGTCACTGCTTTGTTCTGAACGAGGCCGGGACAAGGAACCAGACAAAAGGTGGACAGGTATAGTGAGCAACCAGGGAGGGCCTGGTGGGGAGGTGAGGAAGCAGCAGGTCCCCACCCTGGGGAAGAGAAGGGCTTTAGCTGGAATCTTAACAAATAGGCCAATCTCATCCTCCAGCCTCTGGGACTCCAGCACGGACTCCCTTGGCTGCCTGCCTCCCTGACTCTCTCAGAGGCTGCCCATCCCTTGCAGCTCCTTGCGGGGCTGCCTTCCTGGGGGGTCAGCCAGATCTCAGCATGCTGAGTTGTCTGTCCCCTTGGCCTGGACATGGCCCAGCTCCGCAGGGTGATATCTGGTGGGCAGTCTGCCCCAAACCTCAGCCCTCCATCTCCCCCTCACCCCTTGATTCTCCCATCCCAGCCGCAGGCCTGCTTCTCTGCCTCTAGGCTCCTGGACACATAGGGTCTTGGCTTTGGGTGGCCACCCAGGGTCCCAGCTTCAGTCTTAGCTCTCAGAGCCTTAACCTCAGCTGAACTTCCCTGGTAAGCGAGCCCTGTGGCTCTAGGACCACTTGGGGCTGGCCAAAGCATGGTGGGGAGGAGGATGACTCAATGGCAGCCTGATTCAGGAAAGCCCCTCACCAGCCCTCGCCAGTCTGCACCCAGAGGATCCATTTCACGTGTCCTCCAAATCCTGGCTGATCCTGTTTCATTCTCTTGCTGGACACCCTTTCTGGGGCCCAGGAGTGCTGGGACACAGACATGGTCCCCATCACCAGAGAATCCTAGAACTCTCAGTGGAAGAAACCCCAAAGGTAACTGGTCCAGTCTCCTGCATTTGGATGGACTAGACAGAAATTCATGCTCAGAGCACCTAGGCACAGAGAGGGTGAGTAACTTCCCCAGGGTCACACAGTAAAGGAATGATCAGCTGCTCCTGAGCCACCTACCTGAACTCTCCTTTCTCCGCCTGGATGATTTCTTCTCTGTCTCATTGGCAGTGCTCCCAAGCACCCCGTAGTCATCGCCTGGGCCTCCTGTGGTGTCCACCAGGCCCAGGCTGCTGGTCCCCATTTCCTTGGAACCCCCTGCCGGGCCTGAGTTGGGCCTGCGCCGGGCGTCTGAGACAGGGAAGTGCCAGTTGGGGGACTGTGGGAAAGCGGGGTGCTGCTCAGTGAAGATGTGCTCCTCCTGGGGCAGGCTGTGTGGGGTGGCTGCCAGGCAGGAGGCTGAGAAGTCAGGGTACGCTGCCGTCGCTGTCGCCAGGAAGTCTGGTTTCTGGTGGAAGGAGAACGGGGTGGGCGGGTAGTGGGGTAGCCCTGAGGCCCCATTGCCTTCCGAGTGGGGGTTTCGAAGGCAGCCCCAGACAGGGGCTGGGGGCTGGAGGCTCCTCATGCAGCTGCTGGCCGCGGGATCCATCTGCTGTCCGCTGCACGCCTCGGTCCTTTCAAAGATTTGATTCTTTATACTTTTTATGTTCAAATTTTTAAAAATGCAAAAGAAAAAAAACTAAATAGGAGGGAAAAATGTTCAACAGAAAATTTACCCCAGGAACCAAAAAAAAAAAAAAACCCAAAACTAAAGTCTCTCCTTAAAGTACACACACATGTGGCCAGCTACTCCTATGTGTGTGCACACACCTATGTCGGGCTTGCTCCTGCCCCTCCAATGCACCAGCCTACCTACTGGGATCCCCTGTATGTGTATTTGTCGCCAATGACACTAAACATTTTCACTGTCCCAACCCAGACGCACCAGCTGACGAGGAGTTCGTCCTGGAGCCCAGAGCAAATGCCTGCAGAGGGCTGGACCAGGGCTGCTGGGACACACTTTTAAATCCTGCGGTGGGGAGAGAGTGACAAATTTCTGAAGTGAAATGTGAGAGAGGAGAGGGAGGGGTTAACCCACACACACAAGATCCCCTCCAACCAAAACCCTAGCAGGCAACTATTAATCATCAGAAACCTTATATGCACATCTAATGGGATTTGCAGATGGAGACTTTTAAAGAAACATTGTCTGTATTTTTTTTTTAAGGAAAGAGAGCAGCACACACACACATACACACACACCGTCTTTAATGTGCCTCCTGTAACACTATGAAGTTATTTTTATTGCACTGTTAACAAAATTCCCCAAGTCTTGGATTTAGAAAAAGCCTTAAGTCAGATCCAGAATCCATCAAATGCCAAATTCCAGGGAGTGAAGTGAGGAATAAGAGCAAGAGACAAGCTTGGTGATTGCATTTGATTTAAAGGCCCTTCTACTGCTGCCTGCGAAAAAGGAAGGTGGATTAAAAGAAATCTTTTTTGCAAGTCTCAGCGGCCCACTGTGGTCTGCAGTACAAAGAAAGGCACACTCTAGAAAAAAAGAATTTCTCTCTGCCCAGAGTGACATTCTCACTTTCTCAGTAACTTAAAAAAACAATCAGATTCTTCCTTCCGCTCTTTAACCTCCAACATACATGCCAATTAGCCACACTCTTCTCTAGAGAGGTTTCAAGTCATTTTTCTTCACAGCAATGGCAAGGCTCTTAAATAAGGTCCTTGAAGTTTCTTCGGGTCTCCTCCCACCTGCTCCCTGCCCCCTTCACCTCCACCCACCTGCTTCCCTTTCTCATCCCCCAGAGGCGGAGGCTTCCGAGGAATTTGGGGTAGGGAAATAGGAATCAGGGGCTCCTCATTCCCCAAAGGAGCCTCTTTGGCAAGCAGGCACGTGGGTCTCCGGGCTGGTGCACATCACAGGGCAGCCAGCCCAAGTGCCATCTTGATGCCCAGTCTTCCTCATGGCTGCGCCCTGCTGGTCTCTCAGAGGGTTAATGCAATTTCTTGGAGGACGACATTCCTAACACCCAGGGGCCAGAACTCCTTCCCCACTGGTTATTCCCATGGCCCAGAGCAGCAGGATGGGGGCAGAAACAGGCATGGACCTTAACAGCAGCGTCTCTGCTGGCTGCTTCCAAAGACGGCGAGGGTTCCCTGAGGAGGGGCCCCTAGGTCTTAGCTCTGCAGCCTGGAGGTGGGGCCCTGGGGGGTGGGTGCAGGAGATGCTCCTAGGAGGAGCCGAAGGGCACCCAGGGATGTGGAATGAAGCCACGACTGGCCTTTAATCCAGAAACTCCAGTCAGATACACATCCTGGGAGCAGGAGCAGCTGTAAAAGATGGGGAGGGGTGTACATATGAAAAGATGTGCCCTCTTCTGGAACAAGCGGTCAGAGTGTTGTAGACCAGTAGAGTGGATGGGGTCATAGCTGTCAACCAGACTCATCTTTCTGCTTTGCCCAGGGCTTAGCTGTGGCACACACAATTCTCTGAGCCTCACAACTTTCCTAGGATGGGTAAGTAAGAATTATGTCTCCATTTTGCAGATGACAAAACCGAGGCTCAGATGGATGACTGGGCTGCCCAGACTCACACAGCTAAGAAATGGTGGAATCAGCACTTGGCCTCAGGTGTCCTGCTGTTCAGTTTGGAGCAGGCCAGATGCAGAGGAGGAGGCATGGGGTTTGAGGTTAGACGGGTCTGAGTTCAAGCCCCAGGTCTGCCACTTCCTGGCTGTGTGCCCTGGAACAAGTCACCTTATCTCTCTGAACTTCTTTTTTTTTTTTTTCTTTTTGAGATGGAGTCTCGTTCTGTCGCCCAGGCTGGAGTGCAGTGGCATGATCTCAGCTCACTGCAAGCTCCGCCTCCCGGGCTCACGCCATTCTCTTGCCTCAGCCTCCCGAGTAGCTGGGACTACAAGCACCCGCCACCACGCCCGGCTAATTTTTTGTATTTTTTAGTAGAGACGGGGTTTCACCGTGTTAGCCAGGATGGTCTCAATCTCCTGACCTCGTGATCCGCCCGCCTCGGCCTCCCAAAGTGCTGGGATTACAGGCATGAGCCACCATGCCTGGCCATCTCTCTGAACTTCTGTTTCCTCATCTGAGATGACAGTCAGAGTGGGATCTGTGTAAGGCACTTTGCACCTTACACATTTTTACCCCCACGGATTCCCACAAAAGCCTTCTGAGGCAACAGTCATTCTCATCAGCTCCGTTTCTCTCTCTCTCTTTTTTTTTTATCAGCTCCGTTTTTCAGCAGAAGACTCTGATGCACAGATAGACTGTGTAACCTGCACAAGGCCACACAGCAGGGAAGCGGCGGACCCAGGATTCAAATTGAGGCAGCCCAGCCCACAGACATTTGCAAATCTTCAATGAAATCCTTTATGTAGGCCAGGCACGGTGGCTCAGACCTATAATCCCAGCACTTTGGAAGGCTGAGGCAGGCAGATCATTTGAGGCCAGGAGTTCAAGACCAGCCCGGCCAACATGGTAAAACCCCGTCTCTAATAGAAATACAAAAATTAGGCCGGGCGCGGTGGCTCACGCCTGTAATCCCACCACTTTGGGAGGCCGAGGCGGGTGGATCATGCGGTCAGGAGATCGAGACCATCCTGGCTAACACAGTGAAACCCCGTCTCTACTAGAAATACAAAAAAAAAAAAAAAAAGGCGGGCGTGGTGGCGGGCGCCTGTAGTCCCAGCTACTTGGGAGGCTGAAGCAGGAGAATGGTGTGAACCCGGGAAGCAGAGCTTGCAGTGCACCGAGATCACGTCACTGCACTCCAGCCTGGGTGACAGAGCGAGACTCCATCTCAAAAAAAAAAAAAAAAAGAAATACAAAAATTAGCTGGGTGTGGTGGCACATGCCTGTAATCCCAGCTACTCGGGAGGCTGAGGGCAGGAGAATCGCTTGAGCCTGGGAAGCAGAGAGGTTGCGGTAAGCCAAGATTGTACAACTGCACTCCGGCCTGGGCGACAGAGTGAGACACTGTCTCAAAAAAAAAAAAAAAGAAAAAGAAAAAGAAATAAAGAAAGAAATCCTTTATGCAAAAGGCAGAGTAAGTAATGGACAAATGTGGCTCCCTTCCTAGCACATCTATTTCTGGTTAACCTCGATGATCCCAAAGGGTGAACCTGGGAATGGGGAGTTCTGAGGAAATTCTACAGAAACAGCCTTGTGAGGTCCTTTGTGGGGGGCACGCTGTGCTGTGGGGGTTCTGGAAGGAATCCGTGGGAGGCTGGGAGGAAGATCTGGCTTGTCAGCTTCCCTAGGAAAACCTTCCCCTGGGCTGGCCGCAGGCTGTAACCGGATTCCTGCTCCACCTCTGCATCTGGCCCAGGGACCTCATGGCAGGGAGGCCCAGCGCCTGGCCCTTTGCCCCTGGACGGGGTGGGCCCTGGGTCATGGTGGGGTGGGTGGGGAGGTCAGGAGGGCCATGGGGAGGGGGCGCGGTGGGGTGCTTTGCCCTGAGAACACAGGCCTCTGGCACCCCGGAGCCCCCGGCAGCTGCTGGCGTCTGTCAGCCACCTTGCGGGGCGCGGCCGGGGGCTGCTGGCCCCTACATCTTCCTGACAGGCCCCTCTTCTGAGGCCAGGAAAAAACAACAACAGTTCCTCCCCTCACGGCAACCCATTTGTTAGATGAAGGCCGGGCACCAGCACCTTTAACCTCCTCAAAGTCAGCGTTTCCCTGTCAAGGCCCCACAGGGCCAGAGACAGAGATGGATGGAAGGAGCTGTGTGTCGAAAAAGCCCTGTGGCCTCATGAGGAGAGCTCTGTTTTCAGGAAGGGAGGGGACCCCGGTTTCTGATTGTTGGGGAGAATAAGGGGAGGAAGAGGAAAAGTGTGAGTCACGAGGAGGTCCCCCAGGGGCGTGGGGGGGCCCAGGAGGGCTTTCAGCCTGGCCACACCTGAGCCATCACGTGGAACTTGCGGAATGTCTCCCATTGTGCGTGGCAGGCAGGCGTGTACTTGGCAGGACAGGGCTGCTTCTGTTTGTGGCCACCCCACCCCCTTGTGCTTGGAGAGGCAGGGTGTCAGGGCAAGGCCCTGGACCTGGAGGCAGAAGACACGGGTTCAAGGTGTGACCTTGCCTGTTACCGGCTGTGTGGTCTCAGGCAAATCACACCCTTCTCTGAGCTTCATTTTTCTCACTGGCAAAATGGAGTTGACAGTTCCGGCCTCACCTGGCGGTTAGGAGGATAAATGAACTGCATCTGAGAACAGAGCTGGCTGACTATAAAGGGTGATGCATGTGAGGAATAGCTTGTCCTTAACTATGCTGAACCACTGGGCAGGACACAGCACAATGTAGGTGAAGACGGCTCATCCCAGCCCCCAGATACCTTCTATGGCAACATAACACAAGGGTCCAAATCATGGCCTTGGGAATTGGGGGCCTGTGGGTTCAAACCTCAGCTCTGTTTTTTTGTTTTTTGTTTTGAGACGGAGTCTTGCTCTGTTGCCCAGGCTGGAGTGCAGTGGTGGGATCTCGGCTCACCGCAACCTCTGCCTCCCAGGTTCAAGCGATTCTCCTGCCTCAGCCTCCCGAGTAGCTGGGATTACAGGTGTCTGGCACCATACCTAGCTAATTTTTGTATTTTTAGTAGAGATGGGGTCTTGCCATGTTGGCCAGACTGGTTTCCAACTCCCCACCTCAGGTGATCTGCCCGCCCTGGCCTCCCAAAGTGCTGGGATTACGGGCATGAGCCACTGTGCCTGACCTCAGCTCTGTTATTAATAAGCTAAATGGCTTTGAGCGACTTGCCTTATCACTTGAGCCTCAGTTTCCTCATCTGTAAAATGGGGATAAACTTCTTCCGTCCGCATGAGGATGCTGAGAGACGTGAGTGAGGTGGTCTATGAAAGCTCTTGTCATAGCCTGGCATGCAGGGGTAACATCTGGATGATGAAGATGATGATACCTGAGATTTTTGCCTTACAGACAACTCCAGAGAGCCCTGTGAAATATTTATATGCCACTGAACAGGGCACAAGATGAAGCCATTAGCCTGCGCTTACATAGTAGAATGTGTGAATCAGATGAGATGCTTGGTCTCTAGTAAGACCTTAAGGGATGGACAGAAGACAGGCAGATTTTGGATATGGTATACGTGGCTGTGGGCTAGCGTGTTTACTACTGGGCCTGGGATGTATTTGGAATGTACACATGTGTCCTTTGCTTCTCAGAACACTTTGAGGCAGCAGAGTTACTACTGCCTGCCAGCCTGCCTCACAGGGTTTTTTGTTTTGTTTTGTTTTCTTTTTTTTTGAGATGAGTTTCACTCTTGTTGCCCAGGCTGGAGTGCAATGGTGTGATCTTGGCTCACTGCAACCTCCACCTACTGGGTTCAAGCGATTCTCCTGCCTCAGCCACCTGAGTAGCTGGGATTACAGGTGCATGCTACCATGCCCGGCTAATATTTTTTATTTTTATTTTTATTTATTTATTTATTTTTGAGATGGAGTCTCGCTCTGTCACCAGGCTGGAGTGCAGTGGTGCAATCTCGGCTCACTGCAACCTCTGCCTCCCAAGTTTAAGTGATTCTCTTGCCTCAGCCTCCCAAGTAGCTGGGACTATAGGCACGCGCCACCACACCCAGCCAATTTTTTGTACTTTTAATAGAGACGAGGTTTCACTATATTGGCTAGGGTGGTCTTGAACTCCTGACCTCAGGTGATCTGCCCGCCTCAGCCTCCAAAAGTGCTGGAATTACAGGCATGAGCCACCGCGCCTGGCCCTGACAGGGCTTTGTAATGCTCAAATAATATGATCCAAGGGTCAGAGTTGAGTAAACTATAGAACATAGTCCTTGCATTCCACCCCAGGGGCCCAATAACGAGGTCTTTCTCTAAATCTCAGAAAACACTAAGCTAAGGGAGGTAAGTTCTGCAGATGGGTTTTCTCTGTGTGTGTGTGTGTGTGTGTGTATACATATATATATACACACACACATATATATATATACACACATATATATACATTTAAACCTTTGGTGCTCTACTTGTCTGCTACCAAAATTGTAGGCAGATGACTGAAAAATGTAACACACAGAATGGCCTGCATAGAAACCTGGCTCTTGGAAGTCATATGAGTCAGTTTCCTCAACTGTAAAGTGGTGGCTCACTGTACAGACACTCAGTAAGCACCCAGCAAATGAACACCTTCCAGGGGTTCTGTATTGGAGTCAGCTGTATAGAATGAAAACAAATGACAAAAGGGGAAACACACAGAGTTTATTATTCTCCCCCATAAAAAAGGCCGGAGGTGACAGTCCAAGCTGAGATGGCCTCTCCCCCAGGCACTGTCTCTCTACTTTGCCCCCCTGCGGCACCTTGTTCAGCTGGCATGTCAGCATTCCACACAGCACGAAGGAGGAAGGACAAATGGACTCTCCCCATCTCTCTGCCCACTGCCCCCCTCCCCACAACCCGTTTAAAAAATAGATATGGGGGGCCGGGTGCGGTGGCTCGTGCCTGTAACCCCAGCACTTTGGGAGGCCGAGGCGGGTGGATCACGAGGTCAGGAGATCGAGACCATCCTGGCTAACACGGTGAAACCCCGTCTCCACTAAAAATACAAAAAATTCTCCAGGCATGGTGGTGGCAGGCGCCTGTAGTCTCAGCTACTCTGGAGGCTGAGGCAGGAGAATAGCGTGAGCCCGGGAGGCGTAGCTTGCAGCAAGGCGAGATTGCGCCACTGCACTCCAAGCCTAGGCGACAGAGCGAGACTCCATCTCAAAAAAAAAAAAAAAAAAAAAATAGACATGGGGGCCTGGCGCGGTGGCTCACGCCCGTAATCCTAGCACTTTGGGAGTCCGAGGTGGGCGGATCACGAGGTCAGGGGTTCGAGACCAGCCTGGTCAGCGTGGTGAAAATCCATCTCTACTAAAAATATAAAAATCAGCTGGGCGTGGTGGCGCATGGCTGTAGTCCCAACCACTCAGGAGGCTGAGGCAGGAGAATCACTTGAACCCGGGAGGCGGAGCTTGCAGCGAGCCGAGATCGTGCCACCACACTCCAGCCTGGGCGACAGAGCGAGACTCCGTCTCAAAAAAAAAAAAAAAATAGACATAGGGTCTTGCTATGTTGCCCAGGCTGGTCTTAAACTCCTTCCTTGAGTGATTCTCCCACCTTGGCTTCCCAAAGTGCTGGGATTTACAGGAGTGAGACACAGTGCCCAGCCTCTCTACATTTTTTTTTTTTTTTTTTAAGACAGACTCTCACTCAGTCCCTCAGGCTGGAGTGCAGTGGTGTGATCTCAGCTCACTGCAATCTCCACCTCCCAGGTTCAATTGATTCTCCTGCCTCAGCCTCCCAAGTAGCTGGGACTACACGCCTGGCTAATTTTTGTATTTTTAGTAGAGACAGGGTTTTGTCATGTTGGCCAGGCTGATCTCAAACTCCTGACCTCAAATCATCCACCCGCCTTGGCCTCCCAAAGTCCTGGGATTACAGGCATGAGCCATTGTGCCCAACCCTCCCTGCCCTGTTTTAAGGAGGGTCCTGTTCAACAATTACTCTACAGACCAATTGCCCGCAACTATATACTTGGCAGTGAGGAACTGCTGGGGAGGCTGGGAGATTCAGCCTATAGGCACCTTGGTGGCCCTAATAACTCTTTTATCTTCTTCTTCTTCCCCATCAGAACCTGTTCTCAAGGAAAAGAGCTAAGGTAGGCTGCCAGATAAAATGCTGAGGTAAGTCTGTTCCAGAAAATATTGGGACATAGACTAAAAAATTGTTGTTTGTTTATCTGAAACTCAAATTTAACTGAGTGTCTTCTTTTCCCCCTAAATCTGGCAATCCTAATCCAAGGCTAAACTCATTTTCAGGACGCAAAAGGCTCTGGCCTTACCTTTTGAGTCAGGACGTTGCACTTTGACAGAAGGCTCTGGAAGGAAACTTTAAAGGGAGCCTTCCAGAGGGAAATGCGGTGTTGGGGTAGGTCTGCCTTTGGCTATGGGCTTTCTGGCTGCCGGAGGGCCCAGGGTCCCCCAGGAAAGCCTTCTGTGGAGGTCTTTTGAGAGAGACAAAGCAGAGGGGTGGAGGAAGGGCGGCTCAGGTGGAAGGAGTGAGGACAAAGGTGAGTGCCCCTGGGCAGGAAGTGCTGAAAGAGAGAAGGAGGGAGGCCACCAGGCCTGGGCCTGGAGCCAGCCTGGGAGACTCCCAGCCGCCCACTTCTCGGGGCCTCCCTTTTCCAGCCCCTTGCTTTCGAGGCAGCAGTGCCATTATTTGGGGAAACCAGCTAACCAGATAGGACAGCAAACCGGGGATTTATGTGGTGTGGGAACAGCTCAGGTTTCCCTCCCTGTTTACCCAGCAGTATTTTTTAAAACAGAAATCAGCGTGTGGGTAACCGCAGCTGTGAGTTACTAGCTCTGGCTGTGAGGGCTGGGGTGGGGGGAGTCTCTTCAGAGCCCTCTGTCCACTGGCCTGGGAGCTACTGAAGGAATGTGCCTCTCCCCATCCCAGGCCAGGTGGAGAAGGTGGCCCTGCGGAAGTTCCCAGATCACTGCCCACCTCACCCTTCCCCTCCCGACGAAGGCCAGCACACCTGGGGGAGGTGTGATGATGGTTCAAGGTCTAAAGCTTTAGAGATCAGTCAGTTTAGGGGTCAGAACCCATGGAGCCAGGCAAGTAAACACAGGTTCCCCAAGCCAGCTGGGAGGGAGACACCTGGGTGCCTTTGATGGGAGAAAGAGGGGGCCAACAGCTACTTGGCACTGGCCAATTTTCCCTTGCATGAACATGGGCCCAGTGTAACCAACCATATCTTTCCATTTGTCAAAAAAAAGCCATATTTCCAGATTTTTTATAGGCAACCTGTCAACTTTTAAATGTTGGCAATGAATTCAAAACACTGCCATTCAATTAAAAGCAGCCCAGAACATGGCACGACTGGTTCTTGGAATACCAATCTGCAATCTCTGATCTTGTCCAACTCTCTCTGCTCCCCATTTTACAGATCAGGAAGCTGAGGCCCAGAGAGGCCTAGGGACTTAGCCATGGCTGCAGCAGTTGTTATTGGGAATGCCATGAGGCCAGGATGCCTGTTATGTGTTCTTTGCCCAGCCTAGCAGTTTGGCTGGCTTGGCTATGCCAGAGGTCTCACCATGCAGTTCTCAAGTGCTTCCTGAGCATCTCTCATTTGCATAGACATGACATTTACAAACACATCCATCATCTACTTGATTCTGGCAATGACACCGAGGGAGCAGAACTGGCATTAATCCATTTTTTTTAATGGTGAGAACACTGAGGTTTGGAGAGGCTGGTGACCTGCCAAAGTCACAGTCCTAGAAAGGGCTGCAGCCAGGGCCTCCAATTACAGATCAAGGGTTTTTCCACCCCCAAACTCAGTCATCTCGTAAAAACGTCAGGCTCCTTGGGGAATACAGCTTGAGATGGATAATCAACTCCTCCTAAAAGGGAACCATAAATGGATGAGATACTTGGGTAAACTGAATATTCTTTGTAACTTAAAGTTAATTGAAAATCCATAGGTTATCAATTTTCCAAGCAGGAGAATAAAATAGAAGGTATTTCAAAGAGCAATTATAGTAGGCATGGCTTAATCTTTCTTTGATGATTCTGAAGGCATTTCAGGGGAATGTAATGCCTTAGGGCATCATTATGAACACCAATAATTACTGTGTAGGGCTGTGACGCAAATTCTCATCAATCCCCTCCTGGCTGTCGGGGTGTTTTCAGAGAGGATCATGCAGGGAGTGTGAACGTGTGCCTGTCTGTTTCTTGCTGCTCTCTCCGCCTTTGTCAATTTCAGGGTGCTGTTGTGGAAAATGCAGTGTCCCTGGAAGGGGGAGGTCACTTAACCTTAATGAGCTTCTGTTTCTTTATTAAAATGGGGTAATGCAGACTCCTATACTCACTGTCAAGGTTTTGTGGGGCTCAGATGTCAGTGTCAGAGCAGGAAGAAACTTTAGATCATGATATGCACCAGCTTCATTCTGCCATGGAAAAATCTGAGGCCCAGAGAGGTTAGGAGCCTCGTCCAAGGTCACCCAGCCAGGGAGAGGGTGCTAGAACCTGGGTTTTCTGCTTCCTAACCTCTTTCCTGAATATAACACTATGGAAGAAAAAGATCTGGAGGAACGGAAAGATGAACACATGATTACACATGCAAACAATACTGGGGTCTCTCTGATCAGAGAAGGTGTGATCTTCCAGCCTCAGGAGAGGGGCCATCCAAGTCCTGGAGGAGGTGAACCCCTTAGTTCAGGGCTGGGAGTAGCCTGGGGGCAGCAGAGACACTGCTGTGAGGTTTATAGTTTCATGACTGTCAGAGCTTTTTAAAATGTGGTAATTTTAAGTGTGCAGCCTCCCAGGGTCTTTCTTCTTTTAATTGAAGAAATAAACCATCTCCCCTAAGGCATGCTTGGCGAAGGAGAAAGGCAGGTGCAAGGCTCACAGAGGAGAGCAGCAGCCTAGAAGGGCTCTGTGTCATGGGGAAGTAAAACATCCCAGAAACAGAGAGCAGAAGGCCTTGACTGAGCCCCAGGAGAGGCAGGACACCAGGGGTGCACACCCATAAACACACACATACACATGTATGTCTCCTCCCTGGAGCCTGAGAGTCCCTATATACAGCAGGTGCATGTGGGCCACACATCACACAAAATTGAATACAGGCAGGCTCAGAGCACCAGCACACACGTATGTCCTTGACACCCTTAGAGATACTACTAAGCACGTGTGTGTACCTGCTCACCCATATGGCAGAGCCCCTGGATCTGGGCAGAAATGCCAAAGCAGGGGCAGGCGCGTGTGCGCGCGCACACACACACACACACACACACACACACACTAGCACAGCCACAAAAGCTCAATCCACATCCAGCATTCCTAACAACACACACACAGCTAGACACGCTAGGAGACACATCAGGACAATGTTTCCACTCCCGCTGCCATACACATATGCAGGTCCACATTCACCAGTGGGGTAGGGTAGAGTCTCATCAGTCCAGACTCGCAGACAGCTGGACACAGAGGTGATCTCTGAAACCCAATGTCTACACACTGTGGTCTTTGTTACACACACACACACACACATTGAAATGATGTCCTCAGCCTTTGGTTATTTTTGGTTTCTTCTGAGCTGGAGTTTCACTCTTGTTGCCTAGGCTAGAGTGCAGTGGCGTGATCTCAGCTCACTGCAACCTCCACCTCCCGGGTTCAAGTGATTCTCCTGCCTCAGCCTCCCAAGTGGTTGGGACTACAGGCGCCCGCCACCACACCCTACTAATTTTTGTATTTTTAGTGGAAACAGGGTTTCACCATGTTGGCCAGGCTGGCCTTGAACTCCTGACCTCAGATGATCCTTCCGCCTTGGCCTCCCAAAGTGCTGGGATTACAAGCTTGAGCCACCGCACCCGGCCGAGCCTTCGGGTATTTTGAAAGCTGAATGTGTGGTTACATTTTCTTTTCTTTTTCTTCTTTTTTTTTTGAGACGGAGTCTCTCTCTGTCACCAGGCTGGAGTGCAGTGGCGCGATCCTGGCTCACTGCAACCTCTGACTCCCCGGTTCAAGTGATTCTCCTGTCTCAGCCTCCTGAGTAGCTAGGATTACAGGCATGCACCACCACGTCCAGCTAATTTTTGTATTTTTAGTAGAGCCAGGGTTTCACCATGTTGGCCAGGATGGTCTCCATCTCCTCAAATCGTCATCCGCCCGCCTTGGCCTCCCGAAGTGCTGGGATTACAGGCGTGAGCCACAGTGCCCGGCCTACGTTTTCAAACAGCAATAGCATTCGCCTCCTCTGTCAGTTTAACCCCCATCACAACTCCCACTTTTGGCACCTAAACAGTTAATTTCCCAGTTCATGGGCCTTCAAAGTCCTGCTCTAGTCTCTGGAGGAACTTTCACCTACAGAGGAAGGTGTAAGGGAAACTAGTTCATGGATTTAAGTAGAAACATTTTAGGTGTAGCTTTCACATACAGAGGAGTGAGAAAAAACTGATTCATGGATTTAGATGGAAACATTGTAGTATGAACCCAGCGGAGGGTCTGGGAGCGCCTTCTGGTGGTGAGAATTAGAACCGCAGCACTTTCTGCAATGTGCCCAGGCCAGAAAGCTCTACCTTCTGATAGGACCCACTTCTGACCCTAGAATGGGGGAACTGATGGAGGTGTCAAGCCACTGTGGTCCCACAGCTGCATGCAGGCACAGGGGATAGGAAGAGAGCTACCTACAGGTTACTAAACCATTCCCTTTTAAAACAGCACCAGGCTTATGTCTACTCTGCGCTTCCATTTTCTAGGTTTTAAGTGGAAGATATGTGAACACCCAGTGGGCTGGATGGCTGTCCCTGCTACAAGTCTGTGATGTCTCCGTCCAGTGGCAGAGCTGGAAGGCAGGTGCTGTCGGGGCTGCATCTGCCTTGTTCACCAGCATAGGCCTAAAACCATGGAGGGGGTGCTTTGGCTTAGATCCCCACTTGGCCTGTGTGTGTAAGAGGCTCTCAGGCACCTTAATGCTACATCACCAACCAAACCTCCTGATGATTCTTTTAGGTTCTCCGTTTCCAGGCAGATTCACTTCTGTAGATTTATTTATTTATTTTTGAGACAGGGTCTGGCTCTGTCCCGCAGGCTGGAGTACAGTGATGCAATCTCGGCTCACTGTAGCCTTGACCTCAACTTCAAGTGATCCTCCAACCTCAGCCTCCCAGTATGAGGGACCACAGGTGTGCACCATCACACCTGGCTAATTTTTGTACTTTTTGTAGAGACGGGGTCTCACCATGTTGCCCAGCTGGTCTCAAACTCCTAGGCTCAAGCGATCCACCAACCTTGGCCTCTGAAATGCTGGGATTCCAGGTGTGAAGCACCGCGCCCAGTCCCTGACTTCTGTAGACGTTTGTATTGTTTACATCTACTGTGTGCAATGTACGAGATGCAGTCAGGTGTCTGGATGGACCAGGGGATCTGGCATCTTATAGACTTGGGTTTGAACCCCAACTGAGCCATTTACTGGCTGGGTGACTTTGGGTGAGTTCTTAAACCTCTCTGACCCTTAAGGTGGTAACAGTATCACCAGTGAAGTTGGTGCACACAGCAGGGCCCAAACTGACATCTCACAGCACCCAGCAGGTCACTGTGGGCATGATAGGATGATGGGTCACTGTGCCAGCCCTGAAGGAGTTCAAGTCCAGATAGGGGAAGGTGGTGGACCAGACCCAGACAGAGATTCTGAGTCGCTGCTGAGACTGGGTGAGGGTAGTGGGTACATGGGAGGACATATAGCCCGGCAGCCCAGGGCTGGAGTCCACACTCAGGTTGGGGCAGCCTGGTCTGCCTCTCCTGCAGGAGACTTTTCCAGGCAGGCTTGTCCCTCCAGAATGCACGAATCAAATCCTCTCAGGATCAGTCTCATTTTCCTCGTGCTGGGGGAGCAGGCTACTCACAGAAGATGTTGTTGCAAATGTAAGAATCACATGTCGATCCACAAACTGGCATTGAGCAGCTACCTAGGAGATCAAAGAAACTCTTACTTTGGGAGCTCCTGCCAGGGCTCTTTGGGAGGTCTGGCTAGCTCTGGAGGAAGAGAATGAACTTGGGGAGGGCGTGGAACAGATGAGGACGCAGGCACTGCCATTCAAAGAGGAGAGGTCTCCCGGACAGGGCTGGCCTGGGCAGGCCCAGGGAGGGTGGGGCTGGAGCAGGGACTTGAAAAAGGGAGAGGGCTCAGGAGACTCAGAGGAGGAGGAAAGTGTGTGAGCAGTAGGCAGGGTGTGTGTGTGTGTGTGTGTGTGTGTGTGTGTGTGTGCACGCGCGCGCATGCAGGCCTGTGTAGGGCTGGGAAAGAACAAAGCAAAAGGGTGCACAAGGCATCCAGAAGCCAGGGCAATGCAGAACAGGAACAAAGCAGTTTGGCTCAAGGGGAAAGTTCTGATGGAAAGCAAGGAAAGAGAATGTTAGAAGGGCTGAGAGCCAGAATGCCCAGTATGGGGTACAGAGGGCAACAGAGGGGCTGATGTTGGTGGCGAGGTGGGGAGGAGCATTTCACAGGGAACTGGGCAGCTCCAAGGATGGGCTGGAGGAGGGACGGTCCTAAAGGGGGTGGTGGGAGACAGGCAGTTAGTGATGGGGGGAGAGAAATGCTCTGAGGGGGGCTGCTGTAGGCAGGGAGGGGCAGGTAGCAGGAGGCAGAGGGTTGAGCCTGCAGAAGCCCGGAGCAGTCTGTAGCTTTCTAATGCTTCCTAGGGAATTCTGCTGCTGAGTAGCCATGGGTTCAACAGGTCTCTAGGATTTGCCTTGAATTACTGCCCTGAGGCCCCCTAAGTCTGGGGTCTCATAAATTCAGCGGGGAGGGCACACCTGTGTCTGAGTCTGAGCAGCCCAGAGCCCCCAGTGTTGTCAGTGAACAGCTCACTGAACTTGCAGAGCAATTAAATCCCAGGGCAGAAGAAAGAGCAGGAGGGCAGGGTGGCCCCCAGCTCCCTCCCATCCCGGGTTTGGGGAGAGACACCTCTGGCCTGAGACTCCTCGTGGCCTCTAACAAGTCTTGCTCTCTCTCTCTTTTTTTTTTTTTTTTAAATTATTGTCTCCCGCCCTCCTTCCTTCTTCTTGGGAATCAGAAAAGAAACCTCAATGCCTGGCTTTGCCCCTCCCTGGCTGTGGTCAAGCCATGTGACATTTAGACATTTCAGAGCCTCCTGACTCCTGAGGCTGGAGACAGCATGAAGCCAAATGGGCTTGGCAAACAGAAGAGAGGGGCAGTTAACATTCTCTGCAATGCTCTCTTACTTCCCGTTTAAACACCCCTCCTACTCGGACACAGACCCCCAACCCCTGTGCCATTGTGCTCACTCCCACCTTGGAGGGGTCAGGCTGTGGTGAAAGGTCAAGGTGAAAAGTCATGATGATCCTATTGCTGCCACCTCCCTGGGGTGAGCAAGATTCTGTGGTGGCTCCAGCTCTCCCATGGCAGTCCACACAGAGGCTGTTCCAGGTTCTGGAGAGGTCACTTGGTGTGACCTGGGAATCTGCATCTTTTCTCTGCCAAAGCAGAGGGCATTGCAGCAACCACACCTGGGTCCCAGTCCTCAACAAAGTCCCTCCAGCTCCCGCTGCTGTCTGCAAGGTTTGGTCATCTGTCCCTGCATTGGAGAAGAGTTTGCACTGTGAATCTTGCCTCCACCAGGGAAGGCTGGTAAAAGTCCCTGCCCCGGGGGCCCTCATTGCTCCAGGGTGCATCTGGGGGCCAGACCTGTGGACCCTCACCCTTGAGCCTCATTTTGTTCCTCTTAGAACAAAGCCATTTCTGGTAAATAGGTTTGATGGGTTTGGCAGCAGGGAAGGCACAGAACCTTTCACGATTAGCAGGCTCATGACAATTTCTCTTTAGGCAAGAGAGAAGGTTGAGGAGGAAAGACTGGCAGGGCTTGGAGAGCTGGAAAGGAAGAAAGGCCCTACAGGCCTGGGGATCCCATCTCTGACCACCGACCCCAGCCCCCAACTCTCATAGACTCTGATTTGATATTCTTATTTACCAAAGAAGCTGCATGTATTTGCATATCAATTCTCTTTCCCATATCGACACGCAGGGAGGCTTCTTCGTTTTGGATCAACCAGAGATCACCAATGTCTGCAGGGTGCTCAGCCCCTGGTACCTTGGTCACTCTAGGCAGCCTCCTAGATGTGCCTCTTAAGATAGGTTTTCTGAAATGGGAGAGGACCACGCCCCGCCCCCCACCATGGACTCTGGAGTCTGCGGCGCACAAATCCTGCGATTTTACAGATGGGGAAACAGAGGCACGGAGAAAGTCTCAGCTTTCCCACGGCCCACTGGGACCAGAACCCAGGTCGCAGGACGGGGACAGCCACCTCCTTTTTCTCTCCTTGCAACCAGCCTGAGCTCGCTCAGCGGGTGGGGGCTGCCGCTATCCAGAGCACCCTGTTTCTGGATGCAAAATAAAGGCCCAGGCAGTGTTTGGCCCTCCTCTGCCCACAGACTTTGGCTCCAGGGCAGTCTCCGAGAGAGAAGCCTTGGGTCCCACTGGTCCGAGCTCTGCGTGCTGAGTCTAGAGGCTGCAGTCTCTAAGCCGAAACTAGCCCAGGCCTCACAGCCGCCTTCCCGCCGGTCTCCCACTGCCTTGGCGGGGCGCTGGCGCCCTCTGCTGGCCAAGTCTCGCTCTGCGCGCAAACGCCCCAGAAATCAGCCGGAAGTTCCCTGGGGCCCCACAGGAGTGAGGACCCACCTGGATTCACTTTGTCATTTTTTTTTAGCTGCATGACCTTAAGAAAGCTAATGAACCTCAGAGCACTACCTGTGAAGTGGAAATAATAGCGCCTACACTTCAGGGTCGGTGTAAGGATTGCATAGAATACCGTATAGAAAGCACCCAGCACATTGTAGGTATGTTTAATGGTAGCGATTATTAATAATGCCCAACTCACATGGTGAGATGAGATCTGAGAAGCCTCCTTATAAAGGTAAATGATAACCAAGTCTTGTTGCAAGGCAGCTGGTGTGTTACTAATACATCATGAGGTGGTGGGCCCTCTGGGGACTGTCAGGAGACAGCCTCTGTTTTATTAGGAAATAAAACAGAATCTGGTCTGCTCCAGTTTTCTTCCTTTTATTTACTGCATTAGAAAACTTTCATTTTATTTATTGCCTATTCTGGGGGTTGAGGGTGAGGGGAAGGCATGACTCCAGCCAGGTAGGATACAAAAGTATCTCACCCCCCAGGAGGGGTTTGAGGACCGGCCCTCCGGCTTTTAGAGAAGGGCAGCTGGCTTCTGTTGCTAACGATTTGGATTTGGCTTTTAACAGAATATCAAGGTGAAAGTGAAAGGAGCTTTTCACTCCTTGGAGAGTCAAGAGGGTGTGGGGTGGGACCTCCAGGGGAATGAAGAGTGAGCGAGGGTGCTGGGGGGATCCCAGACCTAGGAATCAGATCTGGGGAAGGGGTCTGCAAGACCCCTCCATGAGTCAAGAAAAGCCGGTGGGTGGATGGTGAGAAGGACCAGTGAAGACACTGTTTGCTGGAGTTGTCCCAGCCAGTGGCTATGACTGAGACTGTCCCATGGCGTGTGCCCAGGGTCCTGCCATTGGATGATGGGACATTCTTTTTTTTTTTTTTTTTTTTGAGACGGAGTCTCGCTCTGTCATCCAGAGCTGGAGTGCAGTGGCGCAATATCAAAGTCGCTGCAGCCTCCACCTCCCGGGTTCAAGCAATTCTCCTGCCTCAGCCTCCCAAGTAGCTGGGATTACAGGCGTGGGCCACCACATCTGGCTAATTTTTGTATTTTTAGTAGAGATGGAGTTTCTACTCCATCAGGCTGGTCTCCAACTTCTGGCCTCAAGTGATCTGCTGCCTCGGCCTCCCAAAGTGCTGGGATTACAGACGTGAGTCACTGTGCCTGGCCTGGATGGAACATTCTGCTCTTTCTCCATCTGCTGCCTACCCATGATGTCTTGGGACTCCTAGAACCCTAAAGGAAGCCCCTGGACACGCAGGAAGGTGTGGAGAGGAGTTCTCATACTTGCACTTGGGAGGAGGGCTCAGGAGAAACAGAGGCTGGCAACACCCCCTCACACACTGGTCCTCTGGAGGGCCAGTGTCTACAGACACTGTGGACTGAGTCCACAGAGAGGAAAGGGTCCTGCCTTCATCAGAACTGCTCAGCAAGCAGTTCCATCCCAGGGGGTCCTGCGAGGTAAGGGAGGGGCAGCTAGCTAGGTGAGGGGCTGAGAGAGTGGGGAGGGGAAAGAGGGAAGAAGAGAGTGAGAGGGAGAGGGAGGGACTGAGCCGATTCTCAGCTCCTTGACCGTTTGCTGAGCTCTGTCTGAGTGGACAGATGGTCCCAAGTCAGGCCACACCAGAGTGGCCTTTCTGCTCCCCTACACCCTGCATTCCTCAACATTGCTGGCCCCGGAGAGACTTTCCTTCAGAGAAGCAAATGGCTGGGGAATGGTGAAAGACACTGCAGAGAAAAGAAAGCACAGCCTGCTGCCCTGGGAATTAACATGATTTAGGAGACCTGCAGGTCACCCCCTCATGACTAAAAGCCATCCTGGAATGAAGGTCTGTGGCTATTTCTAGGCAAAACTGTCTGATAAGATAAAATAGCTCAACTCCTGACCATTAAGTCGTGAAGGCCATGGCCATCGTAAATCTCATCTTTCCGGCCCTCTGGCCTGCATGCAGTGCAGCCCAGCCAGTCGGTGGCAGCCACCTTGGTAGGAAGGGCCCTCATCCTCCTGGCTGTGCCCCAAGGACTGGGCAGGCTTCGGTGCCAAGGGTAGTGCGAGCACTTGAAAGCCGCCCTGTATGTTTATTGTTTTCCCCAGGTGATCCAGAATTACTCCCGAACTCTACCAGCTGAAATCCTCCTCAACTCACATCAGACAAGACGGCCCTGCCACTTACCTGTCAGATCACTTTGGGCAGGTAAGCTCATTTTCCTGAATCTTTACTTCCACACCTTAAAATGTGAGCAATACTATCTCCCTGGCAAGGTTGTTTGTGAGGGTAAAATGAAACAATAATCACGGGTGCATCCTGGAGCTCTTTCTTACAAGGCGTGCCCCCAAATCTGTCCCCTCTTTCTGAGGATGCCCTTCCCCTATTGTCTCCCTGGCCATTTCCTACCCATTCTCAAGGGCCATGATCTCAGGGAGTTCTCCTGACTCACCCAGGCATATTGGATCTCCTACGTACTGCTACGACTGCACACAGGTGCAGGAAATGGCTGTTTGCTTTGCGTTTGAGGAACTTGGAAAGGGAGACGTGGTAGGGAAAGTAGTGGTTAGGGGCACTTTCAGACTGAAGGATGTGGGTTGGGGAATACGGGATTCTTGGAGTTGAGGACGCCGCTTCTCTCGTCTCTAGCTAATGTGAGAAAGACCCTTCTGGACACTAAGCCTGCAATTCCACTGGTGGCTACCAGGTGTCCGTGGTGTCCTGGGGCGGGTGTAATGAGAGCGGGAGCCTGTGAAACCAAAAGCATTGTTTTTATAAATTCAGCACTCTTCAATCCCTATTAATAAGGTTAGCGGTGCAGTTCTTGCGTCTCCTGCCCTGCCTCACCTTGCAATCATATTCATTGGCATTCCTTTCTTCCAAGAACCCACCTAGGAGGCCTTGCAGGAGATATCTCTGGTGCTGGCTGTTCCTGCAGTCTGAAAAGCCAGTTAAGATACAAATATGTGAGAGGACACTGCTTGAATCTGATTTCATTTTTTAAAAAGTTTAATTATTCACAGACTTTGCTTCTTTCTGACTAGTAATGTGACACCTGTGACTCAGTTCAAGATGGTGTGTGGTGACCTTGCAGTTGAGAAGCACTGAGCGCTATAGCCATGCCAAGAAGGTTGCCCTCCTGGGACCAGCAAAAATTCCATCCAGGGGGCCATCTCTGTCAGGCTTGTCCTGACTATCTTTTTGGAGAGGCGGCAGAGTGGAGTGGTTAAAAGCATGATTCTGGAGCCCAGCTACCTGGGAGCAAAGCTCGTCTCTACCGCTTACCAGCTCTGAGAGCTTAGGCAAGTGACCTATTCTCTCTGTGCCTCTGAGTTTTCATCTGTGAAATGGGAGTAACAATAGTCCTGTCTCACAGGGTTGCTGGGAGGCTTGAATGAGTTAATGTCCATGGGGTGCTGAATCAGTGCCTGGCATACGGTGAAGGCCATGTGAGCAGTAAATATTATTATTATTAGAAAGGTTGGCTGGGCGTGGTGGCTCACACCTGTAATCCCAGCACTTTGGGAGGCTGAGGTGGGCAGATTACGAGGTCAAGAGTTAGAGACCAGCCTGGCCAACATGGTGAAACCCCATCTCTACTAAAAATACAAAAGACATTAGCCGGTATAGTGGTGCGTGCTTGTAGTCCCAGCTACTCAGGAGGCTAAGGCAGAAGGATCGCTTGAACCCGGGAGGCAGAGGTTTCAGTGAGCTGAGATCACGCCACTGCACTCCAGCCTGGGCAACAGAGTGAGACTCCATCTCAAAAAAAAAAAAAAAAAGAAAGAAAGAAAGAAAAAAAGAAAAGGTCCCAACCTACTCACTTATTGTTCACTTGCATCAAATGCTAGGTTCAGTGTATTGTTCTTGTAAGATTAGAAATGGAGAGATGGGTCAGAAGGGGTTGGTCAAAATAGACCTCTCAACCCAAGCAGACAGGGCTGGCTTCATGGCCGGGCAACCATGCAGGACCCAGGGCTCTAAGATAAGAAAGGCACGTAGTTTAATGCTTTGCTGTCCCATCTTGATACTGTTTTTTTTTTCTTTTTTTTTTGGAAATGGAGTTTCACTATTGTCACCCAAGATAAAGTACAATGGCGTGATCTCAGCTCACTGCAATCTCTGCCTCCTGGGTTCAAGCAATTCTCCTGCTTCAGCTCCTTGAGTAGCTGGGATTACAGGCATGTACCACCACACTCAGCTAATTTTTGTATTTTTAGTAGAGACGGGGTTTCACCATGTTGGCCAGGCTGGCTGGTCTCGAACTCCTGATCGCAGGTGATCCACCCACCTCGGCCCCACAAAGTGCTGGGATTACAGGCATGAACCACCGTGCCTAGCTGATATTCTTAATTTATGAAGGAAGGGCCCCAAATTTTCATTTTGCACTGGGCCCACAAATAACGTAGCAGGTCCCACAAACAAATTCGTCTAGATTCAGAGGGCCCCTTGCCTTCCTCCTCTGCTCACATTCGTTCCTTTCTCCCATCACAGGCGGGTACCCTACCTTGGGGGATTTGCCCCAGAATAAGCCTTTTTTTTCCCTTCTAACATTTTAATGAAAAATTTCAAGTGTATAGCAATGTTGAAAAGATTTTATAGTGAGCACCCATACACCTGCCACCCAAAGTCTACCATTAATGTCTTCTGGACTTACTTTTGCCGTCTTATTCATACTCTGCCTGGACTGTCCTCAGCTACAGGACTCACATCTCTTGCCGACAGCTCTAAGGCTTCCAGTCCTGCTGTCTGGACCAAGAAAGGCTTCCTGGGCTCTGAGTGTCAAATGGCGGCCTTCAAGGAAGGGGAATGGTGGAAAAGGCCGTGGGGGGTTTTGGAGAAATTGCTAGGGAAAGACTGGCACCAGAGTTCCACCAGCCCAGGCAATGGGGGGTACAGAACCCATAAGATGAGTTCTAGAAAAGCAAGGAAGGTTTCGTTCTGGAGTTTGTGGACTGAGGTTTCCATTTGTGACTAGGATTCTCATTGGTTCCTTATGTAGTTTCTTACGCCCTGCATAGTCTTCTAAGCATTTCTCACAGACGTGGTCTGGGGGCGAACACCAGCAGCCCTGAGAGGTGGCTAAAGAGGAGATTCTTCTCTCCACTTCACATCGTAGGAAACTGAGTCTCAGAGGTTCCTTCCCTGGCCTGCCCACAACCCCAGGGCTAAAAGAGGCAGACCAAGCCCAGGGCCTTGAACCCCAACAATGGGCCTCTTTCTTTTGATCCCATGATAGGGGTGCAAAAGCATTGCATTCCCCTGGGTAATTTGAAGAAAAAACCCAAAAAACTCCAACTTTGTCTCCAGGAAAAAGAGGGTGTCTGGGCTATGATTTACCTCTGAGGGTGTGGTTGCACTGAGCGTGATCACACTTCAAAGGGTTAGATCTCATTTCTCTGCCTTTCTAGCTTGGGCCCAGGGCTCAGAAATGTGTGGACTCCCTCACAGCCCCTCCCAGCATCCCTGCCCCCTCCCAACTGCCTTGGGCAGGTGACACCTGTATTATTGCTAAGGGTTAAAAAGCCCCCAAATCAATAAAACCCATTAATGAGTGTTGGTACCTCGAAGGCTACAGATAAATCCCTTCTACTCAGTGAGTTCAATCCCATAAAACAGCTCTCCCCTTTCAATCCTAGCATTCATTTGATAGAAAATGTGGAGAAATTTTAAAAAGGTGACTTACTAATTGCCTGTAAAATAAAAGGCAGATGGAAGCTTTATTACAGTTGAAGGAAGTCGGGAATATTAAGGTAAAATGTCAAATAACAATTGATTTTCCTTAGACATAAAGGGGCGATTTATGGCTTCCTAGTTACTACAAACGAGAAATTATTTGAAGTTCTGAAAAGTATGAGGAGAAATAAAGATTAAATAGAAGATGAAATCATAGGGATTTCTCTGGGAGGTGACTTCAGTGCCCCTGGGGACTAGAATTCATGTGGCCAGTGGCCTAGCCAGCTGGGGCTTGGCAGTTTCAAGATTTAGAGGCAAGGTGTCTCTGAGGAGCGGGGAAGTGGCTGTTTGCTTTGTGTCTGAGGAACTAGGAAAGAAAGATGAAGATAGGGAAAGTTGTGGTTAGGGCCAATTTCAGACTGAGGGATGTGGGATTAGGGGATTCTTGTGGATGGGCCTATAGCTCTGCTTCCTGACTAGCAGATACTGGGGATCTGGGGAAGGGAAGGGTGAGCTGCCTTTCCTGGGACTTCGATGGCATCCTTACAGTCAGGGGACACTGTCCTTGCTGGGTCCCGGACATCAGTGTCTATGTATCCCTGCAAGCCACAGCACTATCCAGGCCCTCTGGTGGCTTTGCTTGGTCTGGGCCAACCTGGTCTCCACACTGACAGTCAAAGACGAGGAGAGGAAAAAGAACTCACGGCTAGGCGTGGTGGCTCCTGCCTGTAATTCCAGCACTTTGAGAGGCCGAGGCGGGTGGATCCCTTGAGCCCAGGAGTTTGAGACCAGCCTGGGCAACATGGCGAAATCCCCGTCTCTACAAAAAATAGAGAACAATTACCCAGGAATGGTGGTACTCTGGAGGTTGAGGTGGGAAGATGGCTTGAGCTCGGGAGGTTGAGGCTACAGTGAGCTGTGATTGTGCCACCGCACTCCAGCATGGGCGACAGAGCAAGACACTGTCTCAAAAAAAAGGCTCATTTCCAGGCTGCCAGGCTTATGTTAGCCTGGGGTCCCGCAGGAGCTGACCTGAGACAAGTACTTGAGGGCAAGTTGTTTGTTTGAGGGATGCTCACAGGAAGCTCCAGTAGGAGGGTAGGGAGGTGACCCAGGGAAGGAAGGCAGCTTACAGGGGCGTGTTGTCAGGAAGGGCACCCCGGCGGGTGACGGAAGCTTAATTTTGCTGGGAAACTCAGGAGCCAGCATGGAACCTGCACCTCAGAGTTATCCCACTGGAAGGATGAGGGAGCGGGTACTTATACACCAACTCCATCCCCGTCCTTTGTTAAGGCTGCTGGATGGAGTGGGTGGGACACTCATTCTTCAGCACTCCCAGGGGCCCTCAGGCTGTCAGAAGTTAGGTCCGTTGGGCTCCAGGATGAGGGGACCCCCAGAAGATGCGGGAGGGCGTCCGCAGCATCTGCCTCTGTGCTTTCCCTGTTTATCTGAATCCTCATAATTCCCGCCACATGCAGATCAGAGCCCCCAGCTTTATGGAAGAGAACACAGGTTTGGAGAAGATAAAGAGCATTCCCACAACTAGGAGGTGGGGAAAGCTAGGAGTTCAGCCCAGAGCTCCCTGACTTCAAAGTCCATTCTCTTTCTACTTCCTGATTTTTTTTTTTTTTTTTTTTTTTTGAGACGGAGTTTCACTCTGTTGTCTAGGCTGGGGTGCAGTGGCACAAACTTGGCTCACTGCAGTCTCTGCCTCCTGGGTTCAAGCAATTCTCCTGCCTCAGCCTCTCGAGTAGCTGGGACTACAGGCGCCCGCTACCATGCCTGGCTAATTTTTTGTGTTTTTAATAGAGACAGGGTTTCACCGTGTTGGCCAGGCTGGTCTCGAACTCCTGACCTCAGGTGATCCGCTTGCCTTGGCCTCCCAAAGTGCTGGGATTACAAGCACGAGCCACTGTGCTCGGCCTACTTCCTGATTTTTGTATAAGACACATCCCAGCAGCATGGTAGACTGAAGACTCCTGGGCCCACTCTCAGAGATTCTGCTCTGGCAAGGATGTGTTTATTGGTGAGAGGGGTGTCCAGGAATACGTGCCTTTTTTTTTTTTTCTAGAGACAGGGTCTCGTTGTCCAGGCTGGAGTGCAGTGGTGCAATCATAGCTTACTGCAATCTCAAACTTCTGGGTTCGAGCGATCCTCCTATCTCAGCCTCCTAAGTAGCTGGGACTACAGGTGCACGCCACCATGTCTGGCTAATTTTTAAATTTTTTCTGGAGTTGGGGTCTTGTGATGTTGCCCAGGCTGATCTTTAACTTCAGGTCTCAAGAGATCCTCCCACCTTGGCCTCCCAAATTTTTGGGATTACAGCCATGAGCCACTATGCCCAACTAGAATATGCACTTTTTTTTTTTTGAGACCGAGTTTTGCTCTTGTTGCCCAGGCTGGAGTATAATGGTGCGATCTCGGCTCACCGCAACCTCCCCCTCCCAGGTCCAAGCGATTCTTCTGCCTCAGCCTCCTGAGGAGCTGGGATTACAGGCATGTGCCACCATACCAGGCTAATTTTGTATTTTTAGTAGAGATGGGGTTTCTTCGTGTTGGTCAGGCTGGTCTTGAACTCCTGACCTCAGGTGATCAGCCCCGCCTGCTTTGGCCTCCCAAAGTGCTAGGATTACAGGCATGAGCCACCAAGCCTGACCTTTTTTTTTTTTTTTGAGACAGAGTCTTGCTTTGTCACCCAGGCTGGAGTGCAGTGGCACGATCTCGGCTCACTGCAAGCTCTGCCTCCCAGGTTCATGCCATTCTCCTGCCTCAGGCTCCCAAGTAGCTGGGACTACAGGCACTTGCCACCACGCCCGGCTAATTTTTTGTATTTTTAGTAGAGATGGGGTTTCACCGTGTTAGCCAGGATGGTCTTGATTTCCTGACCTCGTGATCCACCTGCCTTGGCCTCCCAAAGTGCTGGGATTATAGGCGTGAGCCACCGTGCCCGGCCTTTTTTTTTTTTTTTTTTTTTTTTGAGACAGGATCTTGCTTGGTTGCCCAGGCTGGAGTGCAGTGGCCTGATTACAGCTCACTGCAGCCTCAATCTCCTGGACTCAAGCAATCCTCTCACCTCAGCCTCTTGAGTAGCTGGGACCACAGGTGTGTGCTACCACACCCAGATAATTTTTGTGCTTTTTGTAGAGACAGGGTTTCGACATGTTGCCCAGGCCGGACTAAAATTCCTGGGCTCAAGTGATCCTCCTGCCTCAGCTTCCCAAAGTGCTGGGATTACAGGTATGTGCCATCGTCACCAGCCAGAATATGCATTTTCTTTTTTTCAGACGGGGTCTCACTCTGTTGCCCAGGCTGGAGTGCAGTGGTGTGATCTCAGCTCACTGCAACCTCTGCCTTCTGAGTTCAAGCGATTCTCCTGCCTCAGCCTCCCAAGCAGCTAGGATTACAGGTGTCTGCCACAACACCCGGCTAATTTTTGCATTTTTAGTAAAGATGGGGTTTCACCATGTTGGTCAGGCTGATCACAAACTCCCGACTGCAAGTGATCCGCTTACCTCGGCCTCCCAAAGTGTTAGGATTACAGGCATGAGCCATTGTGCCTGGCCGAATATGCACTTTTAATAAGCATCAGCCAGGCTAGGCAGGCCGGGGGCCACACTCGAGAACATTTGCACCACAGCCACTGGCTACCTGCCCCTTTTTCCATAAGGTTCCACTGCCCTCTCTCCCCTCTATCTGGGTCTGTTCTTCAGGTTCTTCCCTGGGAGCTCTCTGAGTGACATAACTGTCCCCAAGTGCTGGGAGATGGAGAGAGGAATCACCAGACTGGAGCAGGCCCCCAGAGCGGAGATGGGAAGGGGAGGCTGGTGTTCTGAGGCTCCCGAGGCAGTGAGAGGTGACCGGAGGCAGTGAGAGGTGACCGAAGACAGTGGCTGAGAACCAGGGAGGGGCTGCGGGAAAAAGCCCTGGGTGCAAGTCGCTCTTTCCTTAGCGTCTTTGAGAGGAGGGATGGGGAAAGGTGAGGTACTAGGGAAAACCATCTGGAAGGAGGTCAGGCTGCAGAAAAGCTGCAGGAGTCTGGGGGACTAAGAAAACAGTGGGAGACCCCGCTGCAGCCCAGCACGTGAGGGTGAGAACGTCATGAATGAGGGAAGAGCAGGCAGGGGGTGGTGGCCTTGTGGCCTCTGGAGAGGAGGAGCCACATGACTCTGGGGTGATCTGGGGTGACCCTCAGGGTAAGGGTACCTCCCTAGCACTGAGTACAGAGGGAAGCCTACACTGCCAGGTGCAGTTTCCCTGGCAATGCTTCTCCTTCTAACACTATGTGAGTTTCCTAGTGCTGCTGTAACAAACTGCCATAAACCAAGTGGCTTCAGAGAACACAGACGGACTATGACAGTTGTGGAGGGAAGAAGTTTGAAAAGCGGGGTGCCCGCAGGCTGCAGTGCTTCTGCAGGCTCCAGGGAGAATCTGGTCCTTGCCTCTTCCAGCCTCTAGAGCCTGCCGCACTCCTTGGCTCATGGCCCCGTGTCATTGTAGCCTCTGCTTCTGCCATCACATCTCCTCCTCTGCCTCTCCTGCCTCCCTCTGTCCTTTATAAGAACGCTTTTGAGTATATTGGACCCATCTGGATAGTCCAGGATAAATCCCTCCATCCTCATATCCTTAATTTAATCACACCTGGAAGGTTCCCTTTGCCACATAAGGTAACATATTCACATTGGGACAGTTAGGGGATTGGGATGTGGACATCTTTTGAGGTGGGAAGAAGGAGCTGGGGTTCTTTTTAACATTTTTTTGAGACAGGGTCTCTGTCACCTAGGCTGGAGTGCAGTGGTGTGATTGAGACTCACTGCAGCAGCCTCAACCTCCTGGGCTCAAGTGATCCTCCCACCTCAGCTTCCTGAGTAGCTGGGACTACAGGTGTGCACCACCATGCCCAGATGATTTTTGTATTATTTTAATATTTTGTACACATGGAGGTCTTTTAATGCTGCCCAGGCTGGACTCAAACTCCTGGGCTCAAGCAATCCTCCCGTCTTAGCCTCCCAAAGTGCTGGGATTACAGGTGTGTGCCACCAGACCCAGCCCGGACCTGGGGTTCCTGTCTCATGTCAGCCTTAGCAATCTGGGTGACCCTGGGCAAGGCCTATCCCCTCTCTGGGCCTTTGTTTCTCCACCTGTGCAATGAGGCTGTTCCCTCTGGCTCCTTCACTCTGAGTTTTTCAGTTGGGAGAATATCTTGGCAGGGAGCAGAGGTCGGCGGGGGTGGTTGTCATTCCATTTCAGGGCCTCTCAGAGTCCTGCCGTGGTGTGCACTGTGTGTGTGTTTAATTTTCTACATTTGGATGTGATCCTAATCCAATAAATGCTTAGGAGACTTCTATAGAATAGATTAATTTTTACTAGAAAAAAATATAATTGGCTGATGTTAAGGCTACTGCCCTGACAAATCTGCCTTGGCCATATATCTGAGAAGGTAAAAGACCCGCTACGCTTGCACATAAATATGCCATCTTCCCCACAGGCCCTGGAGAAGCACCCCGGGGAGGTTTCCCTTGGTGATTTATTCTTCATTAATAAGCTCTATGCTATATTAGGATCAGATTTATGACTCTGCCTTTCTAATATTTCTGACATTTCATCTGAAAAGAATTACAAATGAAATCTTGAAACTTTGCCACTTCTCCCTGCTAGTGCTCTGGCACTCTGTGTCCAAGGGGAGATGGTGGGCTGGGGAGACCCCAAGAAGCAGGGACAGAGGCATGTTTCTCAGGGAAAGGAGCGATCAGCTTGACTTTGGGAGAGCTTTATTCAGTTTGCAAGCAGCTTGGGAGGTGAGCGGTTCAGGCGAGAAGGCTGCAGACCAGACCACAAGCCCAGCAGCAGCAGTGATGCCTGTAACATGTATGAGATGGTGGCAGGCACATTCATTCATTCAACAGCTATTTGTTAAGCACTTTACTGTGTGCCAAACACTGTGCTGCTTGGTGCTTGGGATACAGGAAAGAATAAAAGTGAAGCAGTGATGAAGATCTTGGCCTTCATGCATATGGTGTTCTAGCAGAGGTAGGGGAGTGTCAAGCACTGATGAATGAAAATCCTGAATAGGTAAAATATATCATATGTTCACACGTGGTAAGGGCTATGGCAAAACAGAAACAAACCCTCCACACAGGGAAAAGGGAACCAAGAGTGCCGGGTGGTCAAGTTGCAATGTTAATTAAGAAAGCACTTCAACTCATCAACTCAAGGAACCGTATTATCCCCATTTTACAGATGAGGACGGAGGCTCAGCGTGGATTAGGAGCTACACAAAGACACAAAGGGAACTTTGCACAACTTGAAAGTTTGCAAAGTGCCGTCTGAGCCATTAGTCTCCCTTCTCCCCACTGACTGCCCTACCACAATCACATGGGGACCATAAAAATACTGTTGCCTGGGTCCCGCTCCCCTGAGGCTTTGATTCAATTGGTTTGGATGCAGCCTGGGACTTGGCATGTGACTCTTGTGGTGCCAGGACTAAGAATCTTGTGTGAACTCCCAGCACAGCCTCTCAGGCCTCTATTTTCTCACCTGCAAGATGTGGGTAAAAATATTCACCCTGTACTGCAAGAGGATGTCAGGAGTGAAGGCAGAAACACAGCACCAGCCCTCCAGGACCCCCAACCCCTCCCCCACCCCAATCCTTCACCCCTGTTGTACCTTCTGACCTCAAAGTGGCTCTGATTATTTCACTCCCACAGGCCACTGGCTCAGAGGTATAGAGCTCACCTGTGGCAGATGGAGATGCGGATCTGAGGCTTCTGATGCTGCCACACCCAGCGGCGCCCCCCAAATTCCGGGCCCCTGGATGACATCTGGTCTGTTCCTGCAGCATCAGAGCACAATAGAGCCAGCCACCAGTCCCAGCCCTGCCTGCATCCCATCCATTCCTGGGTGCCTAACCCCGAGGATCCCCTGGCAGTATGATGCGGACCTGTCTTGGATCCCAGGGATATGCTGGCCACGGGGAGGAGCCGGAAACCAACCTTTGTGTCACTGTGTAGTGACAAGTGCCTTTGGAGGTCACAATAGCCAGTGGTGATTTCTACCACTGCCCCCAGCAGCCAAGGTGGCAGAGGAGCCCTGTCAGTCACCCCCATTCTGTTCATGGTCTCACGGTGGGCTCCACATGGGGGGTGGCAGCCCTCTCCCCCACCCCACCCGACCCCTTTCGACAGATAGGGTAATACAAATACAAATAACACCAAAAGATTGAGTTGCTGGGCAGAAAGGGACCAAAGGCCAGTGTGTGTGTGAGGGGTGGGGGCAGGGCAGGAGAGGAGCAGCAAAAGGCTGTGACCGCCTGGCTGAGCACTGGATACTCACTGAAGGGCAGGGAGGCTTCCTGGAGAAGGAGACCTGGCAGGGGCTGAGGGAGTGATGCCAGGCATGGGGGTTTGGAGGGACCCCAGGCATGGCATGCCTCCATTCCTCCCTGTGCTATCCACTCTATATAAGGGGTGCTGTGCAGGGAGACAGCTTGCATCCAAGCAGGGAGGCAGGGAGGATGAGAGGCAGAGAGGAGCCCAGCTGGGTTGATGGAAAGTCTGGGAAATGCAGGAAATCCAGGAGGGGGAGAATGATTCCAAGCTGTGGCCTGTGATGGGCCTTGAAACCAGGTGTAGGCACTTGGATCTGATCGCTGGGGAGCCAGAGCTGCTTCCTGAGCAGCAGAAGGGCAGGATGCGAATCAGACTAGGGGCAGTGGGAGGAACTGAGAGGCCTCAGGTCACCGGAGAAAATGCACAGGGCCGGGAGGCAGAGATGCTCCTGTTTTCTTGCTCTGGGGCTCAGGACAGTCAGTCACCCTGAGCTTCAGACTCAGCTCACTCATTTTGCAGAGATCCTGACGGCGATGCTTCAGGATGATCTGGGAAGAGTCAATGAGGTAAAATATGTGAAATATGCCTTGAAAACTACAAACCACAGCACATGTTCTGTTTTTGCTTCTGCTTGATGGACTCAGTGAGATGGTGGGGACAAGAATTAGAGAAGCCCATGAGGAGGCCAAGGGGCACCAAATAGACCCACCAAGGACCAGTGGGGACTTAGAGAAAGGATGAGTCAGAGAGAAATGACAGGAGCAGAAGGCAGGCCTTGTATGGAGGATGAAGGTGAAGATCATACACCATTAAACTTGAGAAAGAGGCGGGAGGAGCTGCCATTTCTTGAGTCTACTGGATGCCAGCAGTAGTGCTGGGCAAGGGCTTAACAGGTGGGGAAATCGAGGCACAGAGAGGTTAAGTAGCTTGCCTAAGATCACCCAGTTAGTAAGTAGCAGAGCCTGGCAGCTTAACTCCAAAGTCTTTGTACTAAAGCCAGATTTTCCAAATTTGCCCAACTGTAAGAATCACCTGGGCCTGTAATCCTAGCATTTTGGGAGGCTGAGGTGGGTGGATCACCTGAGGTCAGGAGTTTGAGACCAGCCTGGCCAACATGGTGAAACCCTGTCTCTACTAAAAATACAAACAATTAGCCGGGCGTGGTGGCAGGTGCCTGTAATCCTGTAATCCCAGCTACTTGGGAGGCTGAGGCAGGAGAATTGCTTGAACCCCAAAGGTGGAGGTTGCAGTGAGCTGAGATTGCGCCATCGCACTCCAGCCTGGGCAACAAGAGAGAAACGCCATCTCAAAAAAATAAAAGCCCGGGAGTTTATTACAGATGCATATTCCCAGGCCCCTCCTACGGAGGTTTTGAGTTAGTGAGTCCAAGGCCTTCTGCCTCTTCCCAATGTATTCATTATGCACCATCATTACTCTTGTTCAGATACAATGTGAGTGATAGCTTGTCTCTGGCAGCACAGCAGCCACACCCAACCAATCCAGACCTCAGTCATGAGGGTGCCAATCACAGCTAACATTTTTTTTTTTGAGACGGAGTCTTGCTCTGTCGCCCAGGCTGGAGTGCAGTGGCACGATCTTGGTTCACTGCAGCCTCTGCCTCCTGGGTTCAAGCGATTCTCCTGCCTCAGCCTCCTAAGTAGCTGGGATTACAGGCACCTGCCACCATGCCCGGCTAATTGTATTTTTAGTAGAGATGGGGGTTTCACTATGTTGGCCAGGCTGGCCTTGAACTCCTGACCTTGTGAGCCACCTGCCTCAGCTTCCCAAAGTGCTGGGATTACAGGTGTGAGCCACCGCACCTGGCCCACATAGCTAACATTTAATCAGCACATACAGGGCCATGCTCATCATTTTTTGCGCACAATGCCATTTAACCTTCACAACAGCCTGTGAGAAGGTGTGTTAGCCTCATTTTACAGAGGAAGAAACTAAGGCCCAGAGAAGTTATGCAACTTGCCCAAGGACACACAGCTTGAAGGAGCTGAGGTTTAACCCGTTTCTACGGGGTCTGAATCCTCCTTACCACCCCTATCTCCCCTGACTCCCAGGTTGTGTTTGGTGTACTTGGGTAGTGTCCAGCTGACAAATGAGATGTTTTAGCTTCAGACAGTCTATGCCATGTAGAAATGCACCCAGGACTGTGCATATTAGGGAGGTTTGCAAATGTGTCCACATTAGATAATTTTTCTCAAAATGCCCCTCACTGAACTTCTGTCATGCAGTATGTACTGAGCACCTGCCTCTTGCTAGGTCCCGGGAGAGAGGATGAAGAGGGCAGAGCCCCCACCCTCAGGGGACCTGAAAAATGGGAGTCCTTTGTGCTCATGGAAGCAGGGCCTTGGGGCCTCAGCACTATGGACATTTGGGGCCGGGTAATTCTTTGTTGTGGGGGGCTGTCCTGTAGATTGCAGGATGCTCCGCCGCATCCCTTGCCCCTGCCCTCTAGAAGCCAGTAGCACCCTCCAGTTGTGAAAGCCGTAAAATGTCTCCAGACATTGCTCCCAGTTGAGAGCCACTTCATTAAAGAAAAAAAAATAAAAAAGATTTCTGTATCCTCTATACATGGACTGAATTTCACTGACATTTCTCTAAAATAACTGAATCTATTTCTATACTCATTTTTTTTTACCAGCTGCCATTTTATTTATTTTTCTTTTCTTTCTTTTTTTAAGAAACAGGGTCTCACTCTGTCACCCAGGCTGGAGTGCAGTGGCGCAATTATGGCTCACTGCAGCCTCGACCTCCTGGGCTCAAGCAATCCTCCCACCTTAGCGTCCCCAGTAGCTGGCACGCCACTGTGCCCGGCTATTTATTTTATTTTATTTTATTTTTTTTGTGGAGACAGGGTCTCCCAATGTTGTTCAGGCTGGTCTCAAACTCCTGGGTTTAAGCAATTCTTCTGCCTTCATTTCCCAGAGTGTTAGGATTGCAGGCGTGAGCCACTGCACCCGGCCATTTTATTTCTTAACAAAGCACAAATCAAATGTACAATGCAGCTAGATTTTCCTTTATAAATAATGTCTAATGGATTTGTTTCTGTCAGCTGCCTAGAACATTCTGGTATCCCAGACAGAAGTGCAACACCAGGTGGAGGTGTTGCAGCTGAGAAGTTCTGACCAGCATACCAGCACCCCCTTAAAAGCTGTCTATACTTGCGGTTCTCAGCTAGGCTGCCACAGAATCGCCCAAGTCTTAAAAAAACAGGTCTCTGTCCTACTGCTTGAGATGCTGGTTCTCTAGGTCTGAGGTTCTGGCACCTGTGTGTTTTTAAAACTTTACAAATAATTTAAAAGCGCCTTCAAGTCCACAACAACAGAATATTTCCCTCCACTCCTCATTGTCCTGGAGTTCTCTAACAGTGCAGTTCTACAACTGGACACACGATGTCGCTTTTCAGCCACAGTTCTCACTAAGCGGCCCCACAGGGCGGCAGGTGCCTTCTGCAGAGAGAGAGAGAGGGCCTTGGCTGACAGGCCAAGACCGGGCATCCTGGCTCCTCCTCTGTACAGACTTTTCACAGATGTGAACTCTCCCTACTCCCTGTCTTCTGCCCCCAAATGAAGCCTCTCAGCTGGCAAGAGCTGAGAACTACCAAGCGAGCCATTGCTAATTTCTATTGTGTTTGGAACCACAAAAGGCAGAATTATTAAGGCTGTAAAGGACCTCAGAGCATCTGGTGCAGTGAGTTTCCAACTTGTGAAAATCTGATGTGATCTCGGACAAGTCACTTAACCCCCTGCCTCAATTTCTTCATCTGTAAAATAGGATAGGAATATATCTTGCCCGTCTGATTGTTATGAAGACAAAGAGAACAAATGCACATAAAGCCCGTGACCATGTGCTTTGTGAATGGAAGCTTTAATTTATTCATTCATTTATTTTATTATTTATTTTTATTTATTTATTTATTTTTGAGACATAGTCTCGCTCTGTTGCCCAGGCTGGAGTGCAATGGTGCGACCTCGGCTCACTGCAACCTCCATCTCCCGGATTCAAACAATTCTCCTGCCTCAGCCTTCTGAGTAGCTGGGATTACAGGTGCCTGTCACCATGGCCAGCTAGTTTTTGTATTTTTAGTAGAGACTGGGTTTCACCATGTTGGCCAGGGTGGTCTCAAACTCCTGACCTCGTGATCTGCCCGCTTTGGCCTCCCAAAGGAAGCTTTTATTTTTATTATAGTTTTACATAAGGATAAATTCAGCCTTAGTGAAGGGAAGTGACTTGCCCAAGATCATACAGTGAGACTGCTGGATCTGGGGCTCTACTTCAGAATTTTTTTTTGAGATGGAGTTTCACTCTGTTGCCCAGGCTGGAGTGCAGTGGCACAATCTCGGCTCACTGCAACCTCCACCTCCCGGGTTCAAGCGATTCTCCTGCCTCAGCATCCCTGATAGCTGGGACTACAGGCTCCCACCACCACGCCCAGCTAATTTTTATATTTTGAGTAGAGACAGGGTTTCACCATGTTGGCCAGGCTGGTCTCAACCTGCCTGGCCTCCCAGAGTGCTGAGATTACAGGTGTGAGCCACCACGCCAGTCTACTGCCATTGTCCATGATTTTTCCTACAGGGAAAATCACAATCCCAGAAGATAAGACAAAGAACAGTAAAAGGTGGCTTTTGAGGCAGTGAGTTCTACCTGAAGGTGGGAACAGCCCAGAGTGTCTGGGGACAGAGTGGTAAATTCTAATCAAGCCTTCCCATGGCTTTGTGGATGAGGATGAGTTTCTACCCTGAAGCTCGGCCTGTTCAGCCATAAAATCAGGATAATGGTGGCTGTGCCTCCTTAGAGTAGAATGAGAATCAGAGCAGAACAAGGGAAAGCTGCAGTGACTTGTCAGGTGTCAACCTTCAGCATGATGGGAGAGCCATGGGACCCTTCCCCTTTCCCTAAGAGAGCCAGCCCTCACAGCAGGCCTGGGATCCAATGCCCAGCACCCAGCTGGGAGCCCAGGGACCTTGGCCAAAATCTGGTTCTGCTTCAACTTGGTGCCCGGCCTTTGTCAAGTCACTTCCTCATTTGCAAACTGGGAGAGTTTGGATGAAACTATTGAATGAAATTATTTTGGGGGTTTCTTTCTGGCTCTCACAGTCCTCGCATGCTCACCATGTTCCCTTCAATTTCATTAGCACAGCCCAACAAAGGGTTAAGCAGTGGCAGTTCCTCTCGTTCTTTGGTTAGGACAGGAAGGTCAGGGGTGAGGCCAATACAAGAGGTAGCCGCCACAGCTGATGCTGGAAATGACAATAGTTCTTTCCTAGACTCATATTTGTCCCCTCTCCCTGAAGCTTTGCCTGCAGTGCCCTTGTAAAGAAGTTGGCAAGAAGCAGGAGTGAGGCTCAGCCCCTCTCTGAAATGGATACGCCGGTTGCTCCCCCTCATGGCTGGTCTCATTTGCCTTCTTCATTTTTAGACACATTCCAAACTTTTCAGCAAATTATAGTGTTTGCCAACTGGCCGTCTGGGGCCCAGGAGAGATGCTATTTATAGCGATGCTGGGATGCTGCCATCCCAGAGCAGCCTGGTAAGAAACGGAGCCAGAGTGCCTGGGAGTGGCGTCCTGCACCCTGGGGAGAGGCCAGGGCCCTGGAGCAGGGTGGCAAAGCTGGTGGCCCGTGGCAAGGACCACTGGCACATCCCCTGCCTGCCTGGGCCCTGGGGTCTGTGCCCATACCCCACACGGGGGGCTGCTTCCGTGCTCCTTGGAGAGACGATGGTGCTGTGGGGCCACTGAGCACAGTAAAGGCTAAGACCCACCATAGGTCAGCCCTTGCTCATGCTGACTGTTGCCCCATTTCCCTTCATTCTCTCACTCGTTCATTCCTCAGAATCTGCATCCTGGTTTTGTCACTACCTGGAGTTGTAAAGATACCACCAAGCTCACCTTGTGGTGTGAGCCTTGATTTTCCCCATCTGTGTAAAGGGTGGATCTGAGCTCCAAAGTTCCTTCTAGTCATATGCAGAGTGCATAATAAATGTGTTTGTATTCCCACTGTGCTCAGTGGGCACTGGGGCATGCAGAAGAGAAATTGGAATAAATGTGACCCTTGTCCTCCAGAGGCTCAGTACCAGACTGGAACCAGGACCCAGATGAGGGGCCTACCCAGAGAGGGCAGCGTGCTCTCCTATTTGTGTTAGGCGTTACCATTTACAAAGGGCTTTACGGCTTTGAAGGTCCCCACAACGCCCTGAGGAGGTGAAGTGTGGCAATGCCCGTTCACTTGGGAAAATACTGCATCTCAGAGAGACCAAGGGACTCGCTTAAGGTCACACAGATACAGTAAGTAAGTAGGGAAAGAGCTGGGGCCTCTGGGCTCCTTTTCCGGGGCTCTGGCCTCGGTTTTAACCCGTTCTCCTAGACCTCTCAGTCTCTGGGCCTCCCCTCTGTGTTCCCCACCCCCACTTTCCATCAAGAGCTCAGTTCTCTTAAGTTCTATATTCTCTCTTCCCCACCCCTAGAAATCTCTGCCCGCTTCCAGAAAAGGCTTTGATTCCGTCATTTTTGGCATTTCCCACCCAGGAATCAAGGCTGCCTCCTCTGTGAGGAAGGCGTGTGGAAGGCGAGCAGCTGAGGACACCTCTTTTTAAGAGAAGCTTCTCCATGTTCTTAGCCAGGTTATATAACTTCTTTTGCTTCTTTCTTTTCCACATTCTACATATTTTTCACAATGAGGATGTGTCACTTCTATAGTTAAAAATGGAAATCTTCATTTAAAAGAACAATCAGACACAAGGCAAGGTATGCTTACCTTCCCAATGACCAAGGAGCAGGGAGACATTGGTCGTGGAGGCCATAGGTGACCAGCCTTGAGGGAAGGGAAGGAAGGGGAGGTGCAGGGAGGCGCAGCAGAGGCACCCGAGTGTGCTCTACGAATGTAAGTCTGCCAGCTGCTCCTCTGTGCCTAGCACCCTGGAAAGCGCCCGCACACAGTGGGCCCTCAGCAAACTCCCACTGAGCAAAGGGCCCTGTGAGTAAGGACCTAGAAGCAGGGTGTGCTTGAGGCATGGGGTGGGAGGGCATCCAGCTTGGCTGGCGGTGGGAGCCGATGCAAAGGTGAGCTGAGACCAGACGGTAGAAGACCTTCAGTGCTGGGCCGAGGAGGGTTCCTTCATCCCATAGAGAAGAGCTGCCATCCAAGACAGAAGGCTGGGGAGTGACATGTTGAAATCAGTATCTTAGGAAAATAAAGCCACTGGCTGGGCCACTGGCTCCCCTTTGTAGAGGGGTCTACGAAGCTCCCGAGGTTTCAGATAGTCCCTGAGAGCCCTTCCCCTCGCGATGGGCTCCGTTTGAGGCATGTCCAGTGTGAAAGGACCACAGGCCACCTGAGGGACAGGACCAAGCAGAGAGCTAGTGACAGAATGCCCAGGGCTCCAAGACAGGGCTGGAGAGGTGGGAGTGGTCCCCACCTTGAGAGCCAAAGGGGCTGAGGGCTGAGGGTTGAAGGCCGAGAGCCAGGAAGGTCCAGGGGAGCAAAAGGGGGAGCAGAGGGGGAGCTGGAGGTGTTGGGGTGGTGGGTAGAGAGCCAAGATAGGGAGGGGACAAGAGAGGGGAGAATCTCAAGGAAAAGCAGGAGCATGAGACTGAGAGAAGGCCCCTGGAACACTGGCTTGAATGTGGCTGACATTGGCACTGCCAGTACTCATCCCAAACCAGGGAGCTCAGCCAGCGCCCTTTCTGCATGTCCGCTCTTTCATCAGACAGCTAGGAACAAGTTATACGAGATGATGTCCAAGTCCAATAAATGTCTAAGTCCTTTCCACTGGATCTGGCCCCAGCCTCCTCTCTGAACCATCTCCTATCACTCCACCCTATCCCTGCTGGCTCCTTCTGCTCCAGCCATACAGGCTTGCTCCTGGGCTCAGCTTGTGCCTGCCTGGGGAGCCTCGCGCTTGCTGTTTCCTCCTTGAGAAATTCCTGCCCTGGATAACTCCTTCCCCCACTTCCTTCAGATCTCTGCTCCCTTATCAGGGGGCTTCCCCTGGCTGCCCTATCTATAACAGCCCTGACCACTCTTTTCCTCTTCTCCTGCTTTCTTTGTCTTCCTGTTCTTATCACTAAGACATCACACATGTCTTAGTTGGCTTGTTTATATTCTGTCTCCACCCATCTTAGTCAGCTACTGCTGAAATGATGCTGTGTAACAAACCACCCCGATACTCAGAGGCTCCAAACAAGTGCTGATCTTTCTCATTTGTGAGTCTGTGTGTCAGCCCGAGCAGGGCAGCTCCAGGCTATGGCTTGGGTTTGGGTGGACTCCATGTCTCTCTCCATTCTCCTTGGACCAGCAGCTCCCTGGGGCACATGCTTGTCTTGGAGAATGGCAGGAACTTAAAAGCCAAGCCAAACCTCACAGCACGGTTAAGGGTGATCATGACACACCGCTAACATTCTAGTGGCCAAAGAAGTCTCATGGCCAAGTGTAATAGCAGTGGATTGGGCAAGTTTACTCTCTTACACCTGTTGTGAAGGGGAGTGGGAGGGGATGGGGGGGTGACCGTTTTCACAACAACAGTGCAAACTATCCCATCTCCCAATAGAACATAAACACCTTAAGGTTGGAACTGGGTCTGTATCCCCAGCACTTAAAATAGTTTTTGGCATACAGTAAGGGTGCAATAGACATTTGTTAAATAAATATACAGACTAACCAATTAGCATAATACAGATGACAAAGGTGTCTCTCTTCTGCCAGCTTCTGTGCCTGAAATGTTGATGATCTCCTCCCTATCTTCCTAACATCTCTCCTGTCCCCACCTGTCCATGCCCAGGGTTTGGCTGCTGTGACAGAAGTGTGAGAGCCTCCTGTCTCCCTTGGGATCCCAGTAAGAGCTTCCATGCCTCTCTCCCTGCTCACCTGGGCTCCCATCCCTGGGGACCTTCTGGAAACAGCTTCCAGGGCTCCCAGAGCTTACTTAGCCAGATTCTACATCTGGCTCCAGCTGTTATCCTAAGCTTGGCCTTGTTTTCTGATCTGACCACAGCTTCATCACTCCTACCTGACTGTGGGATTCTAGCCCCCAGTGGGGTGGGGGACCAAGGGTGACAATTACCTGGGACCTTGACTATTGAAAGGCTAATCAGGTTTGATTGGGAAAAAAGAGTTGCTAAAAAGGATTGTATTGGATAATTGGTGAGATTTGAACATGGATTTTATATTAGTATTGTGTTATTACATTTTCTGATATTAGTCATTCTTTTTTTTTTTTTTTTTTGACGGAGTTTGCTCTGTCACCAGGCTGGAGTGCAATAGTGTGATCTCGGCTCACTGCAACCTCTGCCACCCGGGTTCAAGCGATTCCCCTGCTTCGGCCTCCTGAGTAGCTGGGACTACAGGCGGGTGCCACCACACCCAGCTTGTTTTTGTACTTTTAGTAGAGACAGGGTTTCAACATGTTGGCCAGGATGGTCTCGATCTCTTGACCTCGTGATCTGCCCGCCTCAGCCTCCCAAAGTGCTGGGATTACAGGCATGAGTCACCGCTCCCGGCCGTTAGTCATTCTTATAGGTATGTAAGAAAATGTCCTTGAGGTATTTAGCAGGGAAGTTCATGATCTCTGCAGCTTACTCACAAATGGTTAAACAGAATGAGACTAAGAACAGACTAGTAAGAAAAGACTGAAGAATATAATTATTAGGCCAGGTGCAGTGACTCACACCTGTAAATCCCAACATTTTGGGAAGCTGAGATAGGAGGATCACTTGAGGCCAGGAGTTTGAGACCAGCCTGGGCAACATAGTGAGACCCCATCTCTACAAAAAAAAAAAAAAGTAAAAATTACGTGGGCACGGTGGTATACGCCTGTACTTCCAGCTTCTTGGGAGGCTGAAGTGGGATGATCAGAGGACCTCAGGAGTTTGAGGCTGCAGTGAGCTATGATTGCAGCACTGCACTCCAGCCAGGGAGACAGACTGAGGCCCGGTCTCTAAAAAAAAAGGAATCTATGTGAGTCTATATATTCGTGCAACTTTTCTATAGGATTGAAACTCTTTAAAATAAGCTTAATAATAAAAACAAAAGCTGGTGGGTGAGACCTTTCATGTACTCTCCAGGAGAGTTAAGCCCCCCAACATTCCTGTCCCCTTGTTTACTCTCAAGCACCCCCTCCCCCACCCAAGGACCAGGTCTTTGTTTACTGAGCATCTCAGCGATGAGCTCTCACCCCCTGATTTCATCAATTATAAATGTGCTCGCTACTCACCACACGGCAATTTGTGACGGACTGTGGTTTGTGGTGAGAGTAGCACCATCCAAGTTCACCGCAGCCGCGAGTAGAGATGAGGGTTGGGGCCAGACACAGGGCTGTGGGGGCGGCAAGGGCACGCAGGCAGCCCTGCCACCTTCCTGTTTGTCAGCCAAGTGAGGCTTCCGAGGGCAGCGGGCGAGCGGGTCACTACTCAGGGCCAGCTACTGCGGCCAGGCCAGGCTAGTCAGGTCTGTGCAGCCAGAACTAGAGGCTCCGCCAGGATGTGAGGTCTCCCAGCTCCTGGGAACTGAAGCAAACACTCTGACTACCCCTTCTTGAAGTGCCTTACGGTGTATACATTTGTTTAATCTGCACAACAAACCTAGGAGCAGTTATTGTTACTGTCCTCATTTTGCAGATGAGGAAACTGAGGCAAAGAGAAATTAAGTAACTCCTTCAAAGTCTGGTAAGTGACAGAACCAGATTTTACCCTCTTACTCATTGTCCATATTGCCGAGTAACTTACATTAATAGATACTATGCATGTTTATTTTATTTTTTATTTTTTTTTAGAGATGGGGTCTCATTCTTTTTTTTTTTTTTTTTTGAGACGGAGTCTCGCTCTGTCGCCCAGGCTGGAGTCCAGTGGGGCGTGATCTTGGCTCACTGCAAGCTCCGCCTCCCTGGTTCACTCCATTCTCCTGCCTCAGCCTCCCGAGTAGCTGGGACTACAGGCACCTGCCACCACGCCCGGCTAATTTTTTGTATATTTAGTAGAGTCGGGGTTTCACCGCGTTAGCCAGTATGGTCTCGATCTCCCGAACTCGTGATCCGCCCACCTCGGCCTCCCAAAGTGCTGGGATTACAGGCGTGAGCCACCGCGCCCGGTCCTCATTCTTTCACTCAGACTGGAGTGCCGTCGTGCAATCTCAGCTCACTGCAGCCTCAACTCGGGGCTCAAGCAATCCTGCCACCTCAGCCTCCCGAGTAGCTGGGACCACAGGCAGTGCCACCACACCCAACTAATTTTTGCATTTTTTGTAGAGACCGGCTTTTGCCATGTTGCCCAGGCTGGTCTCGAACTCCTGAGCTCAGACAATCCACTTGCCTCGGCCTCCAAAAGTGCTGGGATTACAGCACCACGCCCAGCCGATACTATGCATGTTTAACTGACACCTAATGATTAGGTAGCAACAATTTCTTGGCTGCCTTATTCACCTTCATGACCCCCAACATTGAAAATGTCTTTTCCCATGTGAAAGCATTTGTGGGCTCCTACTGCCAATCTATAAAGTAGAAATCCTTCTGTGGTACAAAGCCCTCTTTCTTATCTAATTTCCCATTTCCCGTTCCCCCTTCCCCCTTCTGCTAAGAGCTCTTCCCTACCCACATTGTAAGTAGGGCCGGGGAGCTAACTCCACCTTGCGTACTCCAAATCAACCACATGACCCAGGCCTGACCAATCAGGGCTCCAAATCCTCTAGCTATAGTGATTGGTTTAGGGAGGGACATGTGACCCGCCTGAGCCAATGAGGATCTGTTCTGGGACTCCTGTTTGAACTCTTGGGAAAATAAACTCCTTATGTTGGGTGGCTGAGGGGATGAATGTGAGCTGGGAGCTGCAAGCAGGCATCATGCTATTCCCTTCAGCTTTCAAGTAGTGTTTTCACTGCTGTTAACAATTCCAAATCTTAAGTGTTCCTTGCATCTTCCTCTCGCCAAAAATATTACAGTACTGGAGGGCTTACGTGGTGTCTCAAATGTCTGGAGTTTAAATCTGCCTTGCAGCTTCCATGGCCACAGTGAGTGTCTGAGTCCTGGCCGCTTTCTGCTGATCCCGGGGAGAGTTTAGCCTGCCTGCCCTTCCTCCCTGGTTCGTTCTCATGTACTCAGATCCCTGCCTCACTCTTCTCTCACACAGACAACAAAAGAGAGTCAGATTGTGGTCTTAAGTGCACAGGACTCTGAAGTTAGGACCAGAAGACCTTGGTTAGAGTCTAAACCTTGTCAGTTACCAAATATCATTAGGCACATTAGTTAATCTCTCTGAGGCTTATTTCCCCATCAGTAAAGTGGGTACTGCTGAAGATGTAGTCTTTAGAAGTGTTCTCTAGATTGTAAGCCCCGTGCTTCCTGGTTATTGACTAAACAGGGATAAAAATGAGTTTCTCCTCACCTGGGTGTCATTGAGTTTCTGGTCATTGTGAGATGGGTGATGAAGCCAAGGGCATCAAACATCCCAACAAGGCTGTTTTCTGCATCTCCAGGGCTATCCCAGCGTTAATCACATATGGACCTTTAATCAGAGTTTGCAGAATAAGTGAGAATTGTGTCAGAGTATGAATGTAGATATTATCTTGTTTTAGTCATTGTTACTCTAGGGGACCATTCTTACTACAGGAATATTGCACAAAACCCAGAAATGTATTGACTTTCTCCTAACCAAGGCCTAAAGAGCTGGTGTTAGACATAGGCCAAGGCCAGCCAGAGGCCCAAAGCCTGTTTCCCAGGGTAGGACTGCCCTGGCCTCCCCCTCTTTCTCCCCAGGCTCCACCCCAGAGAGCTGAAGACCAGGCTGGGTACGGCACTGCTGAGAAACTGAGGAAAATGCCACTGGCCTCCTCTCTCACTGCAGGCTGCCCACCCGGGAGGGGGAAAGCTTGTCACTAAATCAGGTTCAGTTTTGGTCACTGTCTTGGACTGGATATTCTAGCATCAGAACTGAGATGTTTCTTGTGACTTAAAGTAACTTCAGGACTCTATTCTACCTAGGATTGGGCAGAAAAGTTATGGGCCTGCGGGAGTTCCAATTCAGAAACAGGGGAGATTACTTGCACTAAAGAAAGTCTAAAGGAAGGTAGGAGACAAAAATAAAGTTGTGTATTGATGATCCTAGGAGTTATGCTTGTTTGACATACCAGTTATACCTGCTGTCACGGTAGTTATGCATTAGGGGACCCAGGTGTCTGAAGTTATATCCAGAAGACTTCTGAGGGTGCACCGGGGGGTCCCTTGGCTAAAAGTGTGATTTAAACCCTAAGAGCCTGCCCAGACTATCAGTCCCAGTTTCTACGTCCACTGTCCCTGAATCTCGCTGCTTCTTCCTTAGGCTGCTGGGAGTCTGAACCCTCCCCCGCCAACACCCCTCCCCCATGCCTCAGTCGTGGGAAGGGGGGGCCCTTGAGCAGTAGGGCCAAGCCCTGTTCAGCCTGGGACCAAGTTCCCATCAACAAGGTGGTCTGGGCAGTGGCCAGCCAGAAAGCAGTAATTACTGTCGAGGTGCAGGGACCCCAGGTAGGGCCCCCACCTCCCACCTCTGTGTGGGCAGTGAATGGGCCTGCCCCTGGGTAAGGCTGTGTCAGCAGGCGCCTGCCCACCCCTTGCTGGGTTCCCAGGCCCCTAGAGCCCTCTCGTAATAGGAGCCATTTGCGCTGTAACCAGTGGGTGACCAGATTTTTAATCTTGGAGACCCCTTGGATCCCAGGCGGGAAGTGGGATTTGTCAAATGGGGAGAGGCGGGGCTGTCTGGGAATGCCAGACGGGGTTGTGCTGGGGAAATATGTCTCCTTTCCATACAGCCCCCTTCCCATACCTCCAGCCTCCCTCTACCCCGCAAGTCAGCTCTGTAGCTCCTAGGAGGTATCTCCAACATGCTTAGCTGTTGAAAGTAAATGAATGCCGGAAGTTGAAATCTGAATGGCTTGTTTTGCACTAACTCAGGTGCATGCCAAATAGGGGTGTCTCTTTGCTTGATCCTAATCCTTCCTCCTCTGAAATCCTTTCTGACCTGCTGCCTATCAGCAATTGCCCTGCAAAGACCCTCTAGCTGGCCGCGGGAGAAGCTGTGTTCTTGGCTATCAGGAGTGAGAACACTGGACCCAAGCTTGCCTATTCTCTGCCACAACTCACTGTGTGATCTTGGACAAGTCACTTCCTTTCTTTCAGCCTCAGTTTCAGGAGACTTGGCACTTGCTGAGTGCCAATGTGTGCCATGTTCTTGACAAGTATGGTCCCACACAACCTTGCCAATGACCCTGTGACCTATGTCTTCTTGTTCCCAGTTTACAGGAGAGAAGATGCAGCCTGGGAGAGATGCAGCAGGTGTCTGAGGCCACACAGCAAGTCACCCAGGGCCAGGATCTGAAGCTGGGTCTCTCCAGCTCCACTGCCTGGGCACTTTCTCCTCCACAGCGACCTTCAGGTCATCATGAGGAGCCTTTCGGACTAAAGCTAGAGAGCTGGGATTCCAACAGTTCAGCAACCCATGACTTCTCCATGGCAGCTGCTGCCTGACCACCTAGTGCCTTTCCACTAAGATTGTTCCTTCCCTCTCCTGAAGATTATCCTCCTGCCCCTCTCTCCCAAACATCTGCGGTGTGCACCTGCTGCCCAAAGTTGAACTTTTTTTTGTTAGAGACAGGGCCTCACTGTGTCATCCAGGCTGGAGTGCAGTGGCGTGATCATAGCTCACTGCAGCCTCCAACTCCTGGGCTCAAGTGACCCTCTCACCTCAGCTTCCTGAGTAGCTGGGACTACAGGCATGCACCACCACGCCTGGCTAATTTTTAAATTTTTTGCAGAGACAGGGTCTAGCTATGTTGCCCACCCTGGTCTTGAACTCCTGGGCTCAAGCAATCTGTCTGCCTTGGTCTCCCAGCTCGCTGGGATTACAGGCATGAATCACCATGCCCGGTCCTCCAAAGTTGAACTTTTGAGACTCAGTTTCCTTCTTGGTAAATTCAGGCTCCTAGGTGCTACCTCCTCAGAGACATCCTCCTTGACCACATCACATGACCTCTCGCAGAGGCCAGATTCTTTAATGTATTCATTTGTCTATTATCATGTTTCCCCAGTAGAAGTTGCACAAACGGCAGGGGCTTCATCTGTTTTGTTTGCCGTTATGTCCTTAGCACCTAAAATTGTGCCTGGCACATATAGTACTCAGTATGTATTTGCTGGGTCAATGAGTGAGTGAATTTATACTAATAACAGCAGCTACCATTTCTAGAGTGTTTACCATATATTGGGCACTGTGTCAATCTTCCCAACAACCCACAGACGAAGATCAATTATTACACCCATTGTACAGATCAGGAAACTGAGTCAGGTTAAGAAACTTGCCCTAAATCCTACAGTCTCACTTAGAACTTCTGACTGCAGTGCTCATCAGAATGCATTGTCAACCCAAAGGTCATTTCCAGCTCAGGTGGCTTCTATCAAAAGAGCTCATCCTGGCCTTTCCAAGAGCCAGACCTCCGACATCGGTGGAGCCCTGTGCATAGCTGGCCTCTCCTGGGCGTCTTGTCCCAAGTACAGAGACCTGGATCCTTTCCCACTCATGTGCAACAGCCCAAAATTAAAAACAAAAGCCATATTAAAAAACAAAACCAACTTTCTGCCTTAAAATATTGTGAGCCAGGGGGCAATTAGCAATTATGCTGTATTTTATTATGAGAAGATAGAATTCTAATTGGACTGATTTGAATTCCACACACCTCCACAGATTGTTTTGGGAATTAAGGTATCAGTTGTATCGGTAATTATGGTTTACCATTCAATTACCCCCCCACAGAAAACTGTTAAATTGTCTGTGACGGGGCTTAAATTTAGCTCAGACCTATGTCCTATGAAGACTGCGCGAGTCAATACAAGCCATCCGGAAACCACCGGGTGCCCTGTGCCAGGCGGTAATTAGGGGTTGAGGTTTCCAAAGTTTTACCTGAGACAGCAGGGACAAGTGCCTGGGCTGGGCGTGCTCACGTGGGGGGGCTTGGATGCTCCCCCAGCACAGTGCTCTTGGCTCCTGCCCTGCGTTGCTGGTGCAATAGCTGATCATCTGGAAGACAATGTGGTTTCAGCCGCAAGTGACATTTTGGCGAGGTGCACCAGCATAGAAGCCCTGAGACAGCGAGGGACCATGTAAAACTCACGGACATTGTAATTGGACACATCTGGGATTGAATTCCCACTCTTCCACTTAGGGAGTGAACTTGAGAGGGCCACTTAATATCTTTGAGCCTCTGTTTCCCCACCTGTCAAATGGGTACACCTCCTGCCTCACACACGGGTTATTGTGAAGATGGATGGAGAATAATAATGGTGCCTGGCCCAAATTGCATTTTTTTCTCTTTTTTTAGTACTCACTACATGCCAGATACTTTACAAACATCTCTAAACCTCCTAAGCCCTATAGGGCAGGCACTGTGGTTATTCTCTGTTTTATGGATGGGAAAACTGAGTCCCAGAGAGGTTAAATAACATGCCGAAAGTCCCATGACTATGAAATGGGGCAGCTGGGATCCAAACCCAGGTGACCTAGGGCCAAACCCTAAGCATGAAGCTGCCCTGCTGGGTGCCTTCTGTACCTGTCCCTCTAAGTGGAAGTGCCTAGAAATGACCCAGCCAAAAGCAGCAGACTGTATTTTATCATTTCAACAATTCTCTCTGTCCATAAAAAGTTCTATGCAGCTTGGCCAGTTCCTTTTTCCTGAATACAAAACTGAGAATGGTAACAGGGAACTGACTTTTTAATGTCATGGTGCAAAGGAGCTAGCTCTGCCATGACCTCCTTGAAGTGACCTGGTAGAGTGAGGGTAAGACAAGCCACACTCCCTAGGCTATGGAGGCCACTCTCCATGGAGGTAGGGGAATAGGGAATCCTGCAAAATACAGTCTCTGGGGATGGGAAGGATCAGGGAAGGGGCCAGGTGCAGTAGCTCATGCCTGTAATCTCAGCATTTCGGGAGGCTGAGGTGGGAGGATCGCTTGAGCCCAGGAGTTTGAGACCAGCAGTTTGAGACCAGCCTGAGCAACATATCAAGACCCTGTCTTTACAAAAAATTAACAAAAAGGCCAGGCGTGATGGCTCACACCTGTAACCCCAGTACTTTGAGAGGCCGAGGTGGGCGGATCACCTGAGGTCGGGAGTTTGAGACCAGCCTGGCCAACGTGGTGAAACTCCGTCTCTACTAAAAATACAAAAATTAGCCAGGTGTGGTGGCTGTAATACCAGCTACTCGGGAGGCTGAGGCAGGAGAATCACTTGAATCCAGGAGGCAGAGGTTGCAGTGAGCCCAGATCATGCCACTGCACTCCAGCCTGGGAGACAGAGTGAGACTCCGTCTCAAAAAAAAAAAAAACAATTAACAAATTAGATGGGTGTGGTGGTGCACAGCTGTAGTCCCAGCTACTCAGGAGGCTGAGGTGAAGGGATCACTTGATCCAGGTGTTCGAGGCTATAGTAAGCTGTGATCACCCCACTGCACTCCAGCCTGGGTGACAGAGTGAGATCTTGTCTCAAAAAAAAAAAATTTTTTTTTTTAAAGGATCAGGGTAGGTACATGGACTCCTCCTATTCCTTCTGGCACCATCAGTGGTTGAACACACAAACTTTGGTTCAAATCCTGCCTCTTCCAATTTGCTAGCTGTGTGACCTTGAAAAAGTTACTTAACCCCTCTTATCCTTAGTTTCCTCATCTTCAGAATAAAAATAGTGCTTGCCTGATGGGGGAGATGATGGATGTAAAGGGCCTCATAGAGGGCTTGGCATTTACCAAGTGTTTGAGAAATATTGGCTGTTTTTATTCAAGGCCTGCTCATTGCTAGCATGAGCTACCTGCAACAGCCACCTCTAGGCCTCTTTTGCTTCCTATATTCCAGCCACACCAAGAAACCATGATGGCCTGAATCCTCTCTGACTTTGTCAGGCCTCCGTGCCTTTATACATGCTGTTCCTTCTGCCTAGAAGGCCTTTCTCTTTTTTCAACCTCCTTGAGTCCATTTTAGTCCCTGCCAGATGGTCACTTCTCTGTGATGCTGCCCTAACTCCTTGGCAGCCATGCTGCTCCCTTGACCATTCACTAGCCCCTTTAATTCAGCCCCAGCCACAGTGAGGATTAAATGGGATGATGTCTGAGAAAGCCCATGGGCAAGAACCTGGCATGGAGTGGTGCCCCATAAATGATGAATGGAGCTGGGGTTGCTTTCTCAGCCAGCTGCCTGGCAGGGGCCTGGCTTCCTCATCTTCACACGTCAGTGCCTAGAGTAACACCTGGCACACAGTGAACACAATCTCAGTAACTGTTAGACATTTGTCTTTTGGGGAGCTGCTCAGCCTCCCACATTGGGGTGTGGGTTTTTTGTTTTGTTTTGTTTTGTTTTTTGAGACGGAGTTTCATTCTTGTTGCCCAGGCTGGAGTGCAATGGTGCGATCTTGGCTCACTGCAGCCTCCGCTGCCTGGGTTCAAGTGATTCTCCTACCTCAGCCTCCCGAGTAGTAGCTGGGATTACAGGCACGTGCCACCATGCCTGGCTAATGTTTTGTATTTTTAGTAGAGACAGGATTTCACCATGTTGGTCAGGCTGGTCTTGAACTCCTGACCTCAGGTGATCCACCCGCCTTGGCCTCCCAAAGTGCTGAGATTATAGGCGTGAGCCACCACGCCCGGCCTAGGGGTGTGGGGTCTTTTACCGAGTAGGCCTGGTGGGGGAAGTCAGGGACCCCACCACAAAAGTTGGAGAGGCCACATCCTCCCACCTCCATCTGGGGTTAGACATGTGACCCAGGCTTGGCCAATCGGATGTTCCTCCATCTTGCCCAGAATTCACACTCAGCAGTGGTCTTCACGAGGGGTGGTAGTGGTGGCCAGTAGGAGCAGGGCTGGGCAGCCTCCCTAACCCACGTTCATGAGACTTGAAGCTGGCTGGTTTCCTGTCCCCTGGCCTCCCTTGCCCATTCCCATCCTGGTGCTCCCTCCCTATGGACTCCTTTTGCTCATAAATATCCTTCCAATTAATTGCTTTGCTGCTTCTTAGCTAGTGTTGTTTCTGTCACTTGCAACCAAGAGCCTATTCAGGTGCAGGAAGGGTTGAATGAACAATGGAAATGGATCAACACATGTTTCTGAGCATGTGCTGACAGGCAGGCCCTGGGCGGAGTACCACGGTGTTCAAATGATGTGTAAGATGTGGGCAGTGCCCCGGGGGGTCTATGGGGAGACAGACCATGCATGACATCATAAACAAGACCACATTATAAAGTGGGGTTTAGTTGGACCTTGCAGACACCCAGAGAAGACGACTTTGAGCCCTCATTGGATGGTGCCATCGCAAAGTACAAAACGAATTGGGTTGTAGGAACTGGAGGCACTGGGACAATATTCCAGATTAGGGATTGAGCTGAAGGGGTTGGAAATGGCTGAGTAGGGTGGTGGAAAGGGATGCCTGCTAGTAGGCAATTGTCTTAGTCTGTTTTGTGCTGCTGTAATGGATTACCACAGACTGGGTAATTTATAACAAACAGAAATTTATTTGGCTCATGGTTCTGAAGGATGGGAAATCCAAAATCAAGGAGCCGGCATCTGGTGAGGGCCTTCTTGTTGCATCATAACATGCCAGAGGGTGTCACATGGTGGAAGGGCAAAGAGAGGGAGAAAGGGAAAGAGAGGGAGCAGGAAAGGGCAAACCCACTCCCATGATAATAAGCTCACTCATATCATGAGTCATTCATCCATCGTGAGGGCAGGGTCCACCTCCCAATACCATCACAATGGCAACTAAACCTCAACATGATTTTTGGAGAGGACAAACATTCAAACCATGGCAGCAGCGTTTGTGGGAAACACGAGCCAAAGCAAGAAAAGACCAACCTAAGAGTGAGTGACTTGGCTCCTCATTCTACATTCATTTTCATCCAATGGGGCCCAAGGGCATGTACCCATTACCCATCTGGGCAGTTCCCTTGAATGTGGGCTTCTGTTTGCCCGTGGAGGTGAGGAACTTCAAGGAAGAAACCATGAAAGACCTCTTGAGGCTGAGGGCTGGCACCAGCACCAAGATCTCCAGGCAGCTGGAACAGTGATGGCTCCTCCGTCCTCGCAGGCGGGGCACCCAACAGGGTGTGACCGTCACCTGAGGGGAGACAGCCAGAGGCACAGGCCTGATCCTGGGACTGAGGTTGGCGGTTTGGGTGGAGAGGTGATTCTGAGTGTGACACCCTCCAGTGATAAAGTGGGGGGCTTCCCAGCAGCCCCTGGGGAAACAGGCTGCATCTCTGGAGACAGGAGATATGTGGAGGCCTGAGGGGCAGTGGAAAGCCCTGTGTGTCTGGGTCAGGTCTCTCCTTGGCAGGTAATGGTTTGTCCCAGTAGTTTTCAGACTCCCCATCCTGCCCTGTCCTTCTCCTGTCTGATGCTCAGACCTGTCACTCCCAGCTCAGCCCCCACCTTACTGTCTACCCCTCAGAGTCCCTCCCACCAAGGGCACCTTCTGTCCCACATCTCCATGGTGCAGTCATGGGAGGAGAACTTGGGAGCATAAGAAACTCCACCAAGTTGGGGCCAGGCATGGTGGCTCACGCCTGTAATCCCAGCACTTTGGGAGGCCGAGGCTGGTGAATCACAAGGTCAGGAGTTTGAGACCAGCCTGACCAACATAATGAAATCCCGTCTCTATTAAAAATGCAAAAAATTAGCCGGGCATGGTGGCAGGTGCCTGTAATCCCAGCTACTCACGAGGCTGAGGCAGGAGAATCACTTGAACCGGGAGGCAGAGGATGCAGTGAGCCAAGATCGCGCCATTGCACTCCAGCCTGGGTGGCAGTGAAAGACTTGGTCTCAAAAAAAAAAAAAAGAAAGAAAGAAAAAAAAAGAAACTCCACCAAGGGCTTTTGGGTCCTAGGGACAGCAATGATGTGGCTGGTCCAGCCAGAACCTCATTTTGTCAGTAAAGTTGGGACCCATATTCCCTAAGAGATTTGTCCCAAGAACACATGGGTTGCTACAGCGGAGGAGAAATCAAGTCTGTTTTCCCTCTGGTGAATTGTCCCCTGAACGTGCTTTCTTCCTACAGTGTTGCCAGGAAAGTAAAAAAAAAAAAAAAAAAAAAAAAAAAGTCCACGATGTCAGCTGGGGTGATACCAAAACAATTGTGGGAGGAACAACATCCGCAAATTGAATAGTGTGAGGAGTGTGGACAGAAGATGTTTTGTCTTTGGCCTCATCTCCCAGACTTGATCTTTGTAAATACAGAAGTTTCCACCAGAGCCGAACCTGGCAATGACTTGAGGAGCAGCTGCAAGGAAGACAGCCTCTCCCAGGGTATCACCTGGGGGCACACCCCAGCTTCCCCTCCTGAGCCTCATCGAGGGGTTAGTGCTACCTCTCGGGAAAACATAAAGATGACAAGAAGCCAAAGGTGCCAATAGTTCCCATTTAGTATAAAAGCTGGCTCAGCAAATCATGCTATTTCAGGGCCTAGGGTGGGCCAGTTCCCAGGCAGCCCTGGCAGGAAGGACTCTGAGAGGCGGACAGTAAGGTAGGGGCTTGGGAGTGATAGGTCTAAACATCTGATGGAAGCAAAAGGGAGGACAAGGGAGGGAGTCAAAAAATCCGGGAAGCCTGTCCTTCCAGAAAGTACCGACACCAGGGTGAGGTGGATCCCAGCACCCGCACCTCTGAATGGCCTTTCCCCTGCACCCCTATCCCGCCCCCACTCGGAGCTACCCCAAGCACCTGTTCCTCTGGGCCCCAAGGTGACGCCCTTTGTGTGTGTATAGGAAAGGACGGTGTACACATTTGGTTAGTTCCTTCTTTTACACCATAAATTATCAGAGACAACCCTTTTGGAAAGCAATTTGGCAATAATATCAAGTGACATAAAGATGTTCATAGCCTTTGGCCCAATAATCTTCCTCCTGGGAATTAATCCTAAGAAAATAATTCACAAGGAAGAAAGAACCATTTTGTATCTACAAAGACATTTATTGGGGTGTTATTTATGATAGGGAAAAACTGGAGACACCCTCCCCAGCCAACATAGAGGGATGGTCCTATAAATTATGATACATCCATCCAATGAAATGTTACCCTGCCAGTAAAAATGGTAAATTGAAAATTGTGTAGCAACAAGAAAGAGTGTTCAGAAAATAAAAGCAAGTGAAAAAAGGAGCACAGGATTGTCTATATGCTGTGATCAATGGCAATGCTGACAAATCCATGTATGTGTAGATAGTTGTAGTGTTACCTGTAAGGCACGATAAGGCGGATGTAACTGTGCTTCAAATGTTCTTTTCCATAGCTGTGGAGTCCTTCTAGTATGAAATCATTTTTGTAAAATCGCAATTTGTCACCAGGGGTTTTGACTTTCCTTATTGCCTCGTGGGAGGTGGCAGAGGCAGCACATCTCAGACCGAGCCTCGGTTCCTCCCCCTACCTCCCACCGCTGCGCTTGAAGAAAGATGCTGCAGCCTCCCCAGTCCCCATGCCAGCGCTCCCACTTTTCTCTGAGCTTTCGGTGGCAGACAGCGCCTTGGGCACTTTTTCATGCTCATAATTCGAATTACCTGTTTAAGTCGGTCAAATGAAAAAATACCAGCTCCGCCCCCACGCGGGCTGGCCGGGGCGCCTGGAGCGCCAGGGCGGCTGCAGCGCGCTCTCCGCGGCCGTCGGCCCTGAGCTCATTTCCTGGGGCGCGCGCGCCGGGCTATTTCAGCCTGGCGCTGTGCAAACAGGACAATTTACTGCGGCCAAAAGGGACCCAAATTACAATCGTATCACAGACAAATATCCGCCACGCCAGGTCTCCAGGGGCCAGGAGGGGCCTCTCTCCCGGCGCGGGGGGCGGGCGCGGGGTCAGGCAGGTCCGCGGGGCTCGGCTCGGCCTCGCCGTGCCCTGATCGGCGTTTGCCACCGAGCTGTGCCTGCTCTCTGCAACAGGAAGGGGCCCAGCTCCCCCGGGCGACCGTTCCTATCTGAGTTCTCGTTCCTATCTGGGTTTTCGTGCAGAAAAACTTCATCTCTTCCCAGGGATTTTCCCCTGATTTAGGGTCCCCTTTTATTTGGTTTCTTTTCAGCACTTGGGATGAAAACATCCCTCCATCCAGCCACTCCAGGGCTCAAAGTCATATCTCCTCGTTCAGAAACCTCAGTGCCTGTCCACCACTCTTCCGGAAAAGTCGGAATCCTTAGTGTGATGGTCAAAGACCGCTCTTGGTCCAGTCCACCTGTCCAGGGCCAGCCCCTGTACCCAGATGCTCCAACCACGGAGAGCACATCAGACTTTCACAATTTTATCCTTGACAATTGCCTTTTCATCCTGCCTAAATGTTCCCTTGTTTCTTTCTGCCTAGTGAGCTCTTATTCCTTCTTTAAGACCCAGATACACATCACCTCTTCCATGAAGCCTTCCCAGACTTCCCCTTTCCCTGCTTGACATCTGCCTTCCAAGCAGAGTCAGCCCCTTTTCCTTCCTAGCACCGTGCAGAGGTAGATGGTACTTCTCACATCCTGTAATTAATTGCTTGCATGCCTGTGGTACACCGTACCATTGCTCACAAATATTTCCTCTTCCTCTCTGGAGAAGGATTACACTTCCTTGATCCATTGGCCTCACTCAGGCTTCGCCACATGACTGGTGCTGGCCAGTGAAGTGGGACATGTGAGTTACTGGGGAGCAGAAACTTTCAAAGCCAAGCATGGCTCACCTTGTTCTCTCTTCCCTCTGTTACAAGGATGGCAGTGCCCCAGCCAGAAACCACACTGCCAGCCTGGCATAGGAGTGGAGCAGGGCACACATAAGTGTGAGAGAAATGAACTTCACCTCAGTGCTCGAGGCCCCTGGGACCATGGACTCATTTGTTACTGCAGCATAAACTAGCTGGTCTTGACTTCAGCTTCTGCCTCTCTTCCCTGGCTTTGCCTTCACAAAATCAAGAGTCTGATCTTACTCATATTATAGAGCTGGTCTTCAACCATGTTCTTTTTTTTTTTTTCCTTTTTTTTTTTTTGAGATGGAGTTTCGCTCATGTAGTCCAGGATGGAGTGCAATGGTGCGATCTGGGCTCACTGCAATCTCTGCCTCCCTGGTTCAAGCGATTCTCCTGCCTCAGCCTCCCAAATGGCTGGGATTACAGGTGCTTGCCACCACGCCTAGCTAATTTTTGTATTTTTAGAAGAGATAGGATTTCACCATGTTGGCCAGGCTATCTCAAACTCCTGACCTCAGGAGATCTGCCCGCTTCGGCCTCCCAAAGTGCTGGCATTACAGGCATGAGCCACCATGCCCAGCCCCATGTTCTTCGAATGGCCAAGAATATCAGTAGGTAAGGTTTGTTGAGCATGGATTGTGTGCCAGGTGCTGTGCTATGCCTTTGGCAAGCGTTATCCCATTACATCCTTTAACAGCACTCTCTGGTGGGTACTGCTCTTATACAAGATTTACAAAAGAGAAAAGAGACTCAGAGGAATGTAGGGGCTCACGTGAGATTGTAAAGTAGTGAGAAGTGGAGCTGGTCCTTCAGCTCAAATCCCTCTGATGCCAAAGAACTCAAACTCTGCAGTTCCATCATGTGCATCCTCACTCTCTCACTTCCTGCAGAGGATCTGTGGAGGTTGTAACTATTGTTTTCACCTGTCTCTTCCACTGGGCTCTGAGCTGCCCGAAGACAGATCTTTTTTTTTTTTTTGAGACAGAATTTTGCTCTTGTTGCCCAGGCTGGAGTGCAATGGCACGATCTTGGCTCACCACAGCCTCTGCCTCTTGGGTTCAAGCGATTCTCCTGCCTCAGCCTCCCGAGTAACTGGGATTACAGGCATGCGCCACCATGCCTGGCTACTTTTGTATTTTTAGTAGAGACGGGGTTTCTCTGTGTTGGTCAGGCTGGTCTTGAACTCCCGACCTTAGGTGATCTGTCTGTCTCGGCCTCCCAAAGTGCTGGGATTATAGGCGTGAGCCACCACGCCCGGCCCCGAAGACAGATCTTAATCATCTGATTTCCCATCCATTAATTCAGTCTTTCACCAAGGATGTATTGAGTGCCAATTATATGCCAGGCATCATCTGATGTGTTGGGGACAGAGAAATAAAACAGATAAAAATCCCTGCTGTTAATTCTAGCCTATGGTGACAAGAAGCAGATCCGTGGCTGCCTGGGGTGAGTGTGGGGTAGGAAATGGGAGAAATGGGGATGACTGCAACTTTGGGGGTAGTGGAAAATGTTCAGTATCGTGGTAGTGGTGGTGGCTGTACAGGTATATATATCCGCATACATCCCACAGTTCAGAATTATACACTTTAAATGGTAAATGGATACAGTTTATTATATGTAAATGATCCCTCAATTAAGTTGATTTAGAGGAACCTGGCCGGGCGTGGTGGCTCACACCTAGTATTCTCAGCACTTTGGGAGGCCGAGGTGGGCGGATCATGAGGTCAGGAGATAGAGACCATCCTAGCTAACATGGTGAAAACCCATCTCTACTAAAAACACGAAAACAAAAAATTAGCCGGGTGTGGTGGTGGGCGCCTGTAGTCCCAGCTACTCGGGACACTGAACCTGGGAGGCGGAGCTGGCAGTGAGCTGAGATCGCACCACTTCACTCCAGCCTGGGCAACAGAGCAAGACTCTGCCTTGAAAAAAAAAAAAAAAAAAGAACCCTTGCTCTTATGGAGAAGCATTCTACTGGGGAAAACAGACAATAAACACATAGATAAATAAAACATATGTCAGAAAGGGGTAAGTGATGCTCAGAAAAATAGGACAAGGGATCAGAAGTGCTAGGCGTTGCAATTTAAAATAATGGGGTCTGGAAAGCCACCCTGAGAAGGGCCAATGGAGCTATGCCCAGCCTGTGGTATCCTTCCTCAGGCAGGGGACTGTACCCCCAGCTTACAAGCCTTTTCGAGGCACCTTCAGGGTTTGAGCCCAAAATGCACTGCACATTAAGTGTTATTGATGGGCTTGTGGAAATCTGCTCTCCGTCAGGCTCTGATGAAACTTTTCCAACAGGAGACTGAACTCAGTACTGGGCATGGCCCCCTGCACATAGTAAGTCCACAGCAAATGTGTGTGGGGTGAATACTGTCTTCTTTATCCTCCCTTTTTCTACTCCAGTCCAGGTAGACGGTGTATCTACCCACCCAATTTTGCTGTTTCTGGTACCCTCAGTGGGTCTTGCCTGCTCTTCCTCCTTGAAATCATTACTCAGAGGTCTCCGTGTCAGCTCCAGACAGATGGGCCTGGTGCTCCTTTATCTCAATACAATTCCCCCGCTCCCAGGCTCCAGGGGAAATCCTGAGCTAACTTTGGTCTTTCCTAAACTCCACACTTCCCTTTGGGCACCTCTTTCCCCATTGCGGGGCTCCCTTTCAGAATTTGCTGCTTTATTTATTTATTTATTTTTGTCAGAGGTGCATTAATGATGCTTTATTTAAAAACAAAAAACTTGGCCAGGCGCGGTGGCTTATGCCTGTAATCCCAGCACTTTGGGAGGCTGAGGTGGGCGGATCACAAGGTCAGGAGATCAAGACCATCCAGACCAACATGGTGAAACCCAGTCTGTACTAAAAATACAAAAAAAAAAAAAAAAAAAAATCAGCCGGGCGTGGCACATGCCTGTAATTCCAGCTACTCAGGAGGCTGAGGCAGGAGAATCACTTGAACCCGGGAGGCAGAGGTTGCAGTGAGCCGAGATTGGGCCACTGCACTCCAGCCTGGGTGACAGAGCGAGACTCCATCTCAAACAAAAAAACACCACAAATAAATAAAAAATAAAAACAAAAAACCAAAAACAGTCCATTCCATGTCGTGTTGAAACTGATCAGTGTAAGTTAAATGGTGGTTTTTAGGCTGGACCCATGATTTAAGCTGTACCCATCCAGCTCAAACTGAAAAAAAAAAAAATCATTTGAATGTTAAAGCAATCGTTCAGAGTCTTCAAGAAGAAACCAGGCAGGAAAATGCCAATAATGATGACTGGCAAAATCAAAATCTAAAACAAATAAACTGTTTATCAAGCTGCCGACAGAAAAAGAAATCTTGCATGGAGACTACAAGTCTGGATTTTCTGGGATGAAATTGTACAGGAATCTCAGTCTACAGTTTCCTCAATCGCTGTGGAGATGGAGCTGTCACTGAATCTGACAGAGCCCTGCACTCCCCAGTCCGCCGACCCTTTCTGTAATCCAGTCTTCACTGTAGCCTGAGGAACTATTTCAACCTGCTCCTTTTTTATCTTCTTCTTTGGCACAACCTCAGTGGACTTCTCTGATTCAGAACAAGTTCTAATTGATCTTCTCTGTTGCTTCTTTTCTACTGAGCCTGTAGAACCAGATGTTGCTTCAAGAGATGATATATTCTGCATTGGCTTTTCATTTCTCTGGTTTGGTTTAGAAATTATAAGCCTGTCTTGCCCCCTGACACTTATTTCTGTTTTGTTACCAATTCCCTTTGTTGAATAAACAAATTAATTTCCCATCCTCTGTAGCATTCTGAAGAGCAAACACTTCTTCAATTTTCACAGCTGGAGACATGTTACACTTCTGCAAATCCAGGCTCCCTTTGTGCATTGTAATGGAAGCTGGTAGGATTTCCTTGCTGCCACAGTTTTCCAGGCTATTTTAACAGGAGGTGGCTCTTCCTCGTCCGCGCTTGTGTGCTGCCTCGGGCTGTGTCTCCAAATGTCAGTACTTGAGAGTGAGGAGGCCACCTCCCCTGCATTGATCTGTTCTGGCTGAGTTTAAAGCACAGATCTTGGTCATCAGGTTTTTTTAACTTCGGCTTTGGAGACAACATTCTTTTTTTTTTTTTTTTTAGATGGAGTCTCGCTCTGTCGCCCAGGCTGGAATGCAGTGGTGCGATCTCCGGTTCATGCCATTCTCCTGCCTCAGCCTCCCAAGTACCTGGGATTACAGGCGCCCACCACCATGCCCGGCTAATTTTTTTGTATTTTTTTAGTAGAGACGGGGTTTCACCGTGTTAGCCAGGATGGTCTCAATCTCCTGACCTTGTGATCCGCCCGCCTGGGCCTCCCAAAGTGCTGGGATTACAGACGTGAGCCACCGCGCCCGGCCCCAACATTCTTTTTTGCTTGGGATAAACCCTCTTCAGGCTGTTAATCAATATAGATAAAAGTATACTGTTCTATTCTTTCTTCTCAAGTCATTTTCAATGCTTTCTCTGCATGGGCAATGCCAAAATCCCATTGAGCATGTTCTCTCTGAGGTCAGGGTTTCCAAATCTTTTGTTTCTCAGAGTGATTGCTGGCTTGTTTGGTTGCCTCAGCCAGTAATTCTTCATACCGCTTATGACCTTTATACTCCTGTACCCATTTTTCATGAACCCACACCCTCTCTGGCTGTTTGCTAAAACACTGGACATGATATTTTCGGGCACCTCCTGTGTTAATTTTGGTATGAACCTCCAGCTGGGGATCACTTCAATCCATACAAGGCCAGCACGGATAGGTTCCCACCTTGGACCACACAAGATCACCAACTTGAAACTTAACACCAGTGGACACTTCTGTTGTTGGAACAGAAGATAGTATTGGCTGAACTGGGGCTTCCTCTTTTAGTACTGGATCTTCCCTTGGTTTTTCTGATATGGTGTGAACCCTCTCATTTGGTCTATTTTGTTCCTCTGGTTCTAATTTGGGGATTTTGTGTGACTTGCGCTCTTCAGATCTTGATGAGTCATGCTTTTTGGGTTTTTTCCTCTTTTCTTTTCTGCTTTCATGCTTTGACTTCGTGTGCTCACTTGCCTGTACTTCATTTAAAAGGTCTCCACAAAGGGAAGACTTGAACAATTCCCTGCCATTCTGGATAGTTTTGGTTATTTTTAGTTTAACTTCAGGTGAGCCACTCTTCTTTGGAATCACAGTTTGTGGTACCGAAGTGGTGGCTGTGGAGGGGAAGGGTTTTCTAGAATTTAATGTGGTCTTCTGTTTAGAATTTCTGAATGGTAATAGTCAGTGGGGCTAAAGTTTCTAGCTGCGCCAAAGTCATTGGCTGACCCATTAGGATATTGATTATGCGACTGGTATTTGGTTTGAATTTCATACATGCTGATTGATGGCAGGTAGCCATTTGTGAGTGGAGGAAGATCTGTTGTAGGTGAGTATTGAAAGCTTTGCTGCAAGGTAGCTTCGTATGGTGTCTGGCCACCATCTTCAGCAATGTCAATTTTGTTATCAAAGGCATCCTCCTGACGGATGCTGGCGGAGTCAGTGAGTTGAGGTGGTTGTTGAACTGTGTTTCCCGTGATCCCTTGCATGAAAGAGAAAGAGAAATCCATTGTTCTGCTCCAGCATTCTTAACTTTCCCTTTCTCTCATCGGGCCTTCAGTTTGTCCCGTTCTAACCGCCCGGCCGTCTCAATGCGATCACAGGAGGGACACGGAGATCGAGGAGGGCCACAGCCGGACCAGGCCAGGCGTGCTGCGGCAGGAGGAAGGCTCCGGAGGTGGGGTGGGAAGGGGAGGCCGAGAGACGGGTGTCGCCGCGCCCCCGCTGCCGCCAGAGAGGAGCCTACGGCTGGCAGCCTGGCCTGGGCAGCAGGGTCCTCGGCGCTCGGCTGGGAAATCGCACGTCTCTCCGCGGTGACCTGTGCACAGCCCCTGGGCCTCCGCCTCCGTGCTGGCAGCCTCCGCCTCAGCGCACAAAGCCCCGTCACCCCGACTCTCGGGGCGCCGCCGCCGCCAAATCCTCAGCCCCTCCCTCATTGGCCGCGGCGTCTGCCGGGAAGTGCAGTCCCGGGTTTGGGGCGATGGAGCCCAGGAGGAAGCGGCGAGTCAGCGCGGCGGAAAGGGCGGAGGGGACGGAGGGGGCGGAGGGGACGAACCACGAACGCCCGCGGCCGCGAGGGTCTGGACGACAAAGGAGAGACTAGGCGAGAGGGCTTGTTGCTTTTTTTTTTTTTTTTTTTTTTTTTTTTTTTTTTGAGACGGAGTCTCGCTCTGTCACCCAGGCTGGAGTGCAATGGCGCGATCTCGGCTCGCTGCAACCTCCGCCTCCCGGGTTCAAGCGATTCTCCTGCTTCAGCCTCCGAGGAGCTGGGATTACGGGGGCGCGCCTCCACGCCCAGCTAATTCTTTGTACTTTTAGTAGAGATGGGGTTTCACCATGTTGGCCAGGCTGGTATCGAACTCCTGACCTCGCGATCCACCCGCCTTGGTGTTGCACTTTTATAACTCTTTTTACCTTCTCACCAAACTAGCATTTAGGAAAAAAAAAAAATCAACAAAAACAAAACAAAAAAACCAAAAACCTCTATCAGTCATTTACACGTTAGTTGGAAATAATTTAGACCAGTGTGGCTCTCCTTCGCAGAACACATTCAGTCCTCTGTGATTATTAGAAGCAAGGTTCACCTTTTGATCTTGGTTAAAGAAATTTCAGGCTAAATTTCTGGGGAGGAGATGTATTTCAGGTTCCAGGATCCCAGAATTGCTCTGCACAAGTCACAGCCATCCTTGTTCCCTGAAGTCTCTGTTGGCTGCACCATGTCTGCTGCTCCTTTATGAGTGGTTTTGGGAGAGGCCAGGCTGAGCTCTTACTAGCTCCTTGCAACAAAACAAGCGAATGTGAAAAGTCTTAAACACTCAGCTTTCTGGTCAGAGGAAATCCCAAAATCAGCATGACTCAGGATTTTAAGTGCCCCATAGAGTGTCCAAGAGAAGAAACCTAGGAGTCTAGGGTCTTTCAAAACCCCAAAGTTAAAACCTTTTATCACCCTTTCCTGACCTTCCTGGCTTAGGATTTTAGGCAGCCTCTTGGAGGCCTCCCTTGCCTGGGGCACACTTGGCCATAAACCCATTCATTCAGCCCTACTGATTTAGTGCCCATTATGTGCCAGGCAGAGGAAAAGTAGAAATGGTAGGATCTATCTTCAAGGGGCTCAAAGTCTGCAGGAAACAGGATCCGCTAACAAATTAGAGCACAAGGGTGTGCCGAGTGCTATAATAGCAGTGTGGGTTGCTGTTGAGAAAATACAGAGGAGGGTACCACCAGGGAGCTTCTATGAGTTGAGCTGAGCCTTGAAGGTTGAAGAGGCATTTCTCACATAGAGAAGACGAAATAGTGCCCTGATTGTATACTAGGAATGAAAACACCAAGTGCTTACCAAGCTCAGATAGGTAACGTAAATGAATGGAGTAGGTGAGTAAAGTAGCAGGGATTGTCAGCGGTGGTGGGGAAGTGGAAGGCCTGCATCCTGCCTACAGGGCTTCTGCTGGAAAGACAGCCTGGCCTGGATTCAGCCTCCATTTGCACCTTCTGCTAGGTGCTTTTGTGCAGTGCACAACTCACACAACCTCACATGGCTGCCCTGCCTGCCTAAGCTGGCCATCAGCTGCTTGTTGCCATACTGAAAAAGAGGGTTTGGTTTTGCCTCGCCTTGCTTTTTCAATAGAAGCCAGAAACTTGAATTTTTATGTAAAAATTTCCAATTTGTCAAATGCCATTGTAGCCAAACAAAAATCTAGCCTCAGGCTGGATCCACCATAGAGTTTCAGTTTGAGACCCCGATGGGAACCAGTCCCCTGGGCACATGCTGCTCTCTCTCCTCCATACCATGCAACACAGTCCTTTGCTGAGATTTGACAAGGGAAACACAGTCATAGATGAAACCCCCTACAGCTGCTGCAAAGCCCTTCAGAAACATGAGATTGGCCTCTGAACCAGAGGAAAGTAACGTGGGGCTGTACAACAGCAGCCAGCCTGTGAGACTGATGGATAAAGCTTTAATTTATCGGTGCACCTTGTTTGGAGAAAGCTTCCCTGCCCTCTTGGCTGCCCCCACCTCCAACCCCTCCTGTTTTGCTAATGATAAATGACAAGCAGTGGACATTTATTAATTAAACCACCCGCTGTAGCCATTGGTAAAACCCAAGGCCACATGCAGGGGAAGCATTCAAAGCATTCCTGCTGCCCCTGCCCAGGGCACAGGCCCCAGGGTTATCCTTTGCTGGAGAGAGCAGGCCACGGCGGCCACAGCCTCACATGATGGGCCTTCCTAGGATCTGTCTGGGTTCTGGCTGATAAATGGAAATCACCTCCATGGGCCACACAGTAATTAAACTCCTGGCATTCTTTTGACAAAAAAAAAGTTCCTCATGGGACATTCCCACAAGCTGCTGAAGGTCTGGGCCCTGCAAGCTCCCAGCTGATTACCAAGGAGTTTTCGAAGTTGGCCTTGACTGAGGATCAAAGGAGGATGGGAGTTCAGGGAATGAGGGTGGGGGTGGGAAATGCCTTAGAATTAAGTTGATGATGGCCTGTTGCGGTGGCTTATGCCTCTAATCTCAGTGCTTTGGGAGGCTGAGGCGGGAAAATCACTTGAGCCCAGGAGTTTGAGACCAGCATGGACAACATGGTGAGACCTTTTCTTAACAAAAAATTTAAAAATTAGCCTGGTGTGGTGGCACATGCCTGTGGTCCCATCTACACGAGGAGGCTGAGGTGCTAGGATTGCTTGAGTCCAGGAGGTTGAGGATGCAGTGAGCTGTGTTTGCACCACTGCACTTCAGCCTGGTGAAGGAGGAGACCCTGAGACAGAAGGAGACCCTGTCTCAAAAAAAAGTTGATCATTTGGATGTTCGGCCTGAAACACCCACATTTATTTCCCCAGGACCGAGATGGGCAGAGAGATAAAAGCAGGCCTTCAAGGCTCATTTATTTATATTTCTACTGTTTATTTGTTCCACTGATGTACCCCAAGTACCTAAAACAGAGCCTGGAACATAGTAGGTGCTCAGTAAATATTTGTTGACTGATTAGCTGGAGATGTGCTCATGTCTTTTTAACGAAAGCAGTAATCAGGAGAAATTCCTAATTAAGGTCCTAGAACCAGTGGCTTCTAATTGTTTGCTGCCACAGGATTGTAAACATGTTGAAGATGAGGCCAGTGTCTTATTCAATTGACTGTCCCCAGAAGCAGGCACAGTGCCCAGCCTAGGGCCTACACACCGTGGTTTCTCAACGATATCAATTGTCTGAATGACTCAGGGGTAAACCATTTTTCAGTGCTGGGTCAGGCAGAGCCCCACTGGGACGTGACCTGCACACACTTTGGCAGTCCCCTGGGATGCAGTGGTAGCAGCAGCAGAGTCATAAAGCCTGGGGATCAGAGCCACACTGGATATCACAGCTGGAAAGGCCTGAGATCTCAGCCAGTCCCTTGCTAAGCAGAAAGAAGAAATGAATTAGCTACAAATCTTGGGGCCTCTAAAAACACAGCTTCATTTTTCTGTTTCTCCTATAGACTCCCCATTCTGTCCAACTGCCAAAAACATTTAAGTTTATTTAATAATCAATGTCAGCTGAAGTTGGTCATATCAGACTTAAATTCAATCTATTCCCAGTTGCCTCAACTTCCCTTGTCAGGTCATCTACTTAGTTCTAGTGGCTTCTGTGCCATAGGAGGGGGAGCTGGAGGAGGGGGAGAGCCGAGCCATGGTCATCAGTATCTGTCTTCACTAACCTCTTGGGCATGGTCACCCCATTTTGTTGGTGTCTGCTAAATCCACATCTTTTTTTTCTGTAGTAATTAGCCCACACACTCTGTGTCCTCCTGACTCTGCAGCTGAGGCCCTCCCAGCCCACCAGGCCCTGCCCAGCACCTTCCATGCCTTCCTTGGAAGTGTTGGAAAACTAGCTGGCCCCTCATACTATAGGGACCCAGGGAAGTTCTGATTGACCCTGGGTGCCATGATAGAACAGGACTCCACCCACTCAGCATTCCAGATAAACAGTGGACACAGTCTCCTTTGCACTCCTATTTTCCCAACTGGTTGGGAGGATTCTGTTGGTGCCTGCTCCCCACCCTATTGGGATCTCTGTCTCCCTGGTGAGCTGTGTATGTGCATGATGGTGAGGGTCTCCAGCAACAAGGAAAGGAGTTACATTTGTCCATATTCACACTGCTATAAAGAAATACCTGAGACTGGGTAATTTATAAAGAAAAGAGGTTTAATTGACTCATAGTTCCACATGGCTGGGGAAGCCTCAGGAAACTTACAATCATGGCGGAAGGGAAAAGGCATGTCTTACATGGTGGCAGGTGAGAGAGAGTGTGTAGGAAGTGAAGGGGGAAGAGCATCTTATAAAACCGTCAGATCTCCTGAGAACTCACTCACTATCACCAGAACAGCATGGGGGAACCACCCTCATGATCCAGTCACCTCCCAGCAGCTCTCTCCCTCAACACCTGGAAATTACAATTCAAGATGAGACTTGGGTGGGGACACAAAGCCTGACCATATCAGAGGTTGATCTTGCAGCATTTTATTCTCTGAATGTCACATGGGGAAACGGAGGTCAAGAAGGTGGAAAAGACTTGCCTAAGGCCACACAGCATGAGTGAGTGTGCCTAAGGCCACACAGCATTGGGCCAAGAGCCTGGGACTTGGTAAGCCCCTCCTGAGCCCTCCTCCTGAGCCAGGCCCTGTCTCAGGTTCTAGCACATGCAACTGCAACCAGCAGGGTATGTGTCATAGTCTTAAAATATGGCCACAAATTCTTTGATGATCTTCCCATTGAGCTGTGGGGTCTATTTCTCTCTTTTCTTTGAATATTCGCAGGGTTATGACTGCTTCAATTAATTGAGTACAGAGAGGTGATGCTGTATGACTTCCAAGCCTAAGTCATCTCAGGCCATCAGCTTCTGCCTTTGTTAATGGAACACTTGCCTTTGGAGTCCTGAGCCTCCAGGTAAAAAGTTCAACTATCCCAAGGCTACCATGCTGTGAGGAAGCCCAAACTACACAGAGGGGCCATGTGAAGGCACTCTGGTTGACAGTCCCCACTGAGATGTCTCAGTCCAGGCACCAGGCATGTGAGGGAAGAAGCCCCCAGGTGATTTCAGCCCTCAGCCTTTCCAGCCACCTCTAGCCATTTGAGTCTTCACAACCCTGGCCCTAGACATTGGAGAGCAGAGACAGGCCACCCTGTTGGGCCCTGGCCAAATTCTTAAACCTCTGAATCTGTGAGCCTAATAAAATGGTTGTTGTTTTATGTCACCAACTTTGGGGTGGCTTGTTACACAGCCACAGATAGCTGTGCCATCTTAACCTGCTGGATTGGTACCCCTTAAGTCTCTGATATCCATGCTTCTGCCCGGCCACTAATGAAGCCACATCTGTTCCCACCAGAAGACCACTGAGAAGGCCAGTGAGTGTGTGGTGGGGACCCTTGTTTGAAGGAAGTTGGGTGAAGGAAGTTGCTGACATGCATGACTGCTAACAAAAGAATATACATCTGCGGAGGTTGTTCTGGAAGTATCTTAGGGAAGTAAAGGAAAGGAATTAAGACTCATCGACAACAGACTCCATTCCTTGCCCTGCCCATCCTTATTCATTTATTCAACAAGGGGTCTATGAGCAACTACGAGGTGCCAGGCCCTGTGTTAAGATTCTGGGACATGGACACAGGCCTGGCCCTAGTGGTTCTCCTAGTCCAGCTAGAGACAAACATTAAACGATGATTAATATACATACTTTGAATGAAAAACTTAGGGTGTTCTGAGAGTGCGTGGAGACCTATTTAATCCTCATAATATCCTTCTGAGGTAGGCACCATCCTTTCTATTTTGCAGGGGAATACTAAGGCTCAGAGGGGTTAAGAGACCTTCCCAAGGTCACCCAGCAGGGGAGACACCAGATTGCAAAGAAGCAGCCCCCACCCACCTAGTGAGGCCAGGAAAGCAGAGGCATAAATGTCCAGCTGAGCATGAGACTCCTTGGGCCAACAGGAGCACGGTGGGGTCAGCACCCTCAGACAGGCAACCTCTGAGGGAGCAGCATTAACCCCTGGGAAGCCAGGGTAGCTTGTTAATCCAGCAAACCTGCACTTCTCAAGAAAAAATGGCCCTCTGTTGGGAAGGAATGATTGAGCTCTAATCATCTAGCAGTCCCTGGGCAGCCACACTCACCATCTCTATAATGAGGGCAGAAATAGAAGGCAAGAGGTATGGTAACCATCCAGAGGCAGTGACTGGGACTCCTAAACCCCTCCTTGATTCTGAGTCCCCAGGGGCCAGTGGAGGGGCATTGGGAGGTGAGACAAGACATGCAGACAACCCGCCTCCAAGAGATGTCATAGAGAAGTGGGCTTCAGACCTTGGGGTGTGGAAGCACCTGGAGAATAGGTGAAAACGCTGATGCTTGGCCCCACCCTGAGGGATTTGGGTTCATTTGGTCTGGGGCGAAGCCCGGGCATCTGTGGGTTTTTTTTTTTTTTTTTTTTTTGAGACAGTCTTGCTTTGTTGCCCAGGCTGGAGTGCATTGGCATGATCTGAGCTCACTGCAACTTCTGCCTCCTGGGTTCAAGCGATTCTCCTGCCTCAGCCTCCTGAGTAGCTGGGATTACAGGCACCTGCTAACACACCTGGCTAATTTTTGTATTTTGAGTAGAGACGGGGTTTCACCATGTTGGCCAGGCTGGTCTGGAACTCCAGAACTCAAGCGATCCGCCTGCCTCGGCCTCCCAAAGTGCTAGGATTACAGGCATGAGCCACCGTACTCTGCCAAAAATATATATCTTTAGATTAGCTTTTAATAGAGTTCTTCAAATACCCAAAAGATTAGGGAAAACTAGGATGCTAAAAGATGAAATAGGTGACTAGGCAAATAAATCATTAGGGAAATTGGTTTCAGGCTCATGGTATTGTTCCCCACAATGCTGGGCAAGTTACTTGTCCATTCCAAGTTTCATTTTCCCCTACCTGAACAATGGAGCTAATAAAATTGATTTCGCCGGGCGTGGTGGGTCATGCCTGTAATCCTAGCATTTGGGAGGCCAAAGTGGGGATGGATCACCTGAGGTCAGGAGTTCGAGACCAGCCTGGCCCATGTGGTGAAACCTCATTTCTACTAAAAAAAATACAAAAAATTAGCCGGGCATGGTGTGGCATGTCTGTAGTCCCAGTTACTCGGGAGGCTGAGGCAGAGAATTGCTTGAACTTGGGAGGCGGAGGTTGCAGTGAGCCGAGATCGCATCACTGCACTCAGCCTGGGTGAGTGCAGAGTGAGTGAGACTCTGCCTAAAAAAAAAAAAAAAAAAATTTCACAGTGTAGTTTTGAGGACGTTGTAAGAGGGCGTGAGTTATGTGCCAGGTGGGTGGTAAACGTTCAATAGATGCTACTTTCCTTCCTTCCTGAGCATTTGGACCACACAGAGACCTCCCTGCTCTTGGCTTTGGCTTTAAGGAGCTTGTGGTCACTGAGAGGATTTTGCACTGGAAGTACATGCATTCAAAATGGATACCTAAGTGTATATTTTCTGGTGTAAACTATATGTCGACTCTAACTTTAGCCCGGGGGAGCTTTATTATTTGTCTCCCTTTCATGAAAGCTATAATAGAGGAAGAGAAAACCCTGCCTCGCACATTCCGATTCCTAAATACATAATTTATAATTTTCTGGGATATTATTTAAGTTTATTTTAGTTCTGGATACACACCATCCCCGTGGGGTGCTTATTTAAGTATCGGGTGGGCTCTGGAAAGGCCTGGAATGCCTCAAAAGGAGGGAAGAAGATTCTTTCCATTCATTAAACAGCAGGGCCTGGGGTCTTTGCAGGTTCTAGGGCTTAGAAGTTTCCTTAACACCAACTGAGGAGTCCCAGGGTGGGAGCTGAGCTCACACGAAGCTCTACTTCGCGTGTCCTGAAGCTTTGACAGTTGGGCCTCTTTCTGGCTTTTGCATCCTCTGCTCATACTAAGGCCAGCAGAGCTACAGGTTGGACCATGGTCTGGCCGGGAGCTCCAGCTTCCTCTTTTCCTCTCAGTAGTCATCGGGCCAGCTGCCCATACCTGGTGCCCAGGTATGAGAAGAGACCTTTGGCTTTCACCAGGTTCTTGAGAGGGTCAGGGACCTCCAAAAGGATAAATGCCATTGGTCAGATAGTCACTGTCTACCTCCCTCCCATCCATTTCCTGCCTTCAACCCCTGTTCTTGGGACAAGGCCTTCGCTGGCATTCAATGGCGGGTCCCTGAGGAAGGCCCCAGCCTTGCCGAACATCCTTCAAGGGAGACTTCAGCCCCTGGCCCTGCAGTGAGTGTGTTGTTAGCAGCAGAGGGGCTGAGTGAGGCAGTGGGATGGGGCTTTTCTTTTTTGTTCTGGTTGCAAATTATAAACCCCCAAATGCTGGAGTTCCAGACTGAGGTTCACAAACTTTAGAGGGCAGAACTAAAGTCAAATGTGCTTTTAAAAGCACCCCAGGAGATGCTGATGTGGGTGGACACTTGAAGAAACACTGGTTGATAAAGTTTCTCTCTTTCTTTTTTTTTTGAGATGGAGTCTCGCTCTGCGGCCCAGGCTGGAGTACAGTGGGGCCATCTCACCTCACCACAACCTCCACCTCCCGGGTTCAAGCAATTCTCCTGCCTCAGCCTCCTGAGTAGCTGGGATTACAGGCGTGCGCCACCATGACCAGCTAATTTTTGTATTTTTAGTAGAGATGGGATTTCGCCATGATGGCCAGGCTGGTCTCGAACTCCTGACCTCAGGTGATCCGCCTGTCTCGGCCTCCCAAAGTGCTGGGATTACAGGTGTGAGCCACCACGCCCAGCCATGGTTGATAGTTTCTAGAAAGCTGTTCCAAGTTACTGGCTGTTTTTGAATTGTTCAAGCTTAAAAAAAAGTAGGCACCCTTTAGGAAGGCCAGTAGAAGTCCCATTCCCAAGGAGGGCAGGCCTGTGAGCACGTTAATGGCAACAGTGGCAGCTAACAACCACTTTTGTAGCCCTACTGTGCCCCAGACACTGTTCTAAGCACTCATAAACATTAATCTAAACCTCCCAAGAGCCCCACATGCCAGGACACTCGTGCCTCTATTTCAGGAAAGGCCATCTGGATCTTGCAGGACGGCAAATGGGAGAGGACAAACAGAGCCCCATAGGTGAAAAGGAGGAACGAGAGGCTGGAGAGGAATGGGGAGCATTAGAGATCACAAAATGTGGTAGACAGAATAATGGTCCCCAGATGTTCGCATCCACATCCCTGGAACTTTTGAACGTTACCTTATCTTACCTTATGTGGCAAAAGGGACTTTGCAGGTATGATTACGTTAAGAATCCTGACATGTGAAGATCATTCTGGATTATCCAGATTAATCCAGGTGGATTGGGGGAACCCAGTGTCATCACATTTAAGGGTCCTTAGATGTGGAAGATAGGGGTAGAAGGGTGAGTCAAGGGAGTGCCATGAGAGAAGATGGAAGGGGTCACAAGCCGAGGAATGCAGGCCACTTCTCGGATCCGCAAAAGGCGAGGATATGTGGTCTCTCCAGATAGGAGCACAGCCCTGCTGGAACCTGGATTTTAGCCCCATGAGACCCATCTTACACTTGTGACCTTTAGAGCTGTAAGGTCATAAATTTGTGTTGCTTTAAGGCTCTAAGTTTGTGGTAATTTGTTGCAGCAGCCATAGAAAACTAGTAGAAGGAAGAAAAGGAGCATTAAGAGAGATTTCCCACTTTGCTTTGAAAAGTGGCTAGAAATAGATGGGGAAACGGGGAGAAGATGGCCCAGAGCGGAACGGGGGAGAAAGTCTTCTTCTATGACTAAGGAAGAGTGAGGCTTCTAAACGGCCCTCAGGAAAGTGTTTGTGCCATGATGCTTTTCAGGAGAGAGTAGAGATCAATTGATCTCTGTGCTGTGTTCTTACATGAAATATTTGGGAGGGAAGTGTTGTGGTGAGTCACTTGTATTTTTTTTTAAATACCTGCCACTCCCAGTTTTCCAGATAGCTGAGGAAAGGCTGGGGTTCAAATCCCATAAAAAACCAACATCATTCAATTGGTACATTCTCTAAAATGTACATAAGACATCTAGGAGGACTTCATAATGATTAAGAGCAATCAACTGCTAATGCAGTGAGTGCTTATTTTTTCCAGGCACTGTACCAGGCATGCTGCTTCATTTAAATTTTGCAGGGACTTTTGAAGTAGGTCCTACCTTGATTTCCATTTTGCAAGTGAAAAGCATCACATTGAGATGTGGCCCTTCAGCCTTAGCCCTTTGATATGGTTTGGCTCTGTGTCTGCACCCAAATCTCATTTTGAATTGTGCTGCCATAATTCCCATGTGTTGTGGGAGGGACCTGGTGGGAGATAATTGAATCGTGGGGGCAGTTTCCCCCATACTGTTCTCGTGATAGTGAATAAGTCTCACGAGATCTTATGGTTTTATCAGGGGTTTCCACTTTAGCGTCTTCCTCATTCTCACTTTGCCTGCTGCCATCCATGTAAGACGGGACTTGCTCCTCCTTGCTTTCTGCCATGATTATGAGGCTTCCCTAATCACATGGAACTGTAAGTCCAATTAAACCTCTTTCTTTTGTAAATTGCCCAATGTCAGGTATGTCTTTATTAGCAGTGTGAAAATGGACTAATAGACCCTTCTTCCTCCTTGCTAAAATACTTTTTTGATGGTGATCATGAATTGGCCTTTGCGTGCAGTGAGTTTTGACTGGTCTGCCAATGCCTTTCCTTTCCAGCTATGAATGGTTTTAAAAAATATCAATGACAAGGCCCCACCTCATAACCATTAAATGCAAAACTCTGGTAGGGGCCCAGGTGTTTCTTTTCTTTTCTTTTCTTTTCTTTTTTTTTTTTTTTTGAGACGGAGTCTCTCTCTGTCGCCAGGGTGGAGTGCAGTGGCACAATCTCAGCTCACTGCAACCTCCACCTCCCAGGTTCAAGAGATTCTCCTGCTTCAGCCTCCCAAGTAGCTGGGACTACAGGTGCGTACCACCACGCCTGGCTAATTTTCTGTATTTTTAGTAGAGATGGAGTTTCACCTTGTTAGCCAGGATGGTCTCAATCTCCTGACCTCATTATCCTCCCACCTCCGCCTCCCAAAGTGCTGGGATTACAGGTGTGAGCCACTGTGCCCAGCTGGGCCCAGGTGTTTCTTAAAAGCTCTCAGGTGATTCTAATGTTGCAGCCAGGGATGAGACCATTTGTCTAAGGCAATCTGGATAACTCCTTTCCCATTAGCCAGGGATTAGCCTGTGAACTATTCTGACCAAGGAGGCATGAACTTTTCTGTTTCTGGATGTTGTCATCTGCAAATAACAGGAAGGAACCTAGGATCTGAAGATGCTGCTGAGCTGCCTGAGTAGCTCACCTGGATCCACCCTATTTCTAGACTTCTTGTTATATGGTGAATAAATGTCCTCCTGGTTTAAGACAAGGGTTGGCAAACTATGACCCAGGAGCCAAGTCTGGCCCACTGCTTGATTTTGTAAATAAAGTTTTATTGGAATACAGCCATGCCCATTTGTTTATGTATTGTCTACATATTGTTTAGTGCTACAATGGCAGGGATGCATAGTCACGACAGAGACCTTATGGCCTGCAAAGCCTCAAATATTTACTCTCTGGCCCTTGGCCCTTTGCAGAAAAAGTTTGCCAGCTCCTGGTCTAAGGGTCTTTTTGTGGGCCTTTCTATTACTTGCAGTTGAGGGTATCTGTTAATTTGGGAGTTTAGCTTCCCCAAGGTGGCATTGTTAGTGATGGCAAGTTTTGCCCCCTTTAAGCCATTTTTTCATGGGAGAATAATTACAGAATGATCTTTAAGGGATTTCAATAATATCAGCCAATCCTACTGCCCACGGGGAAGTGGGATCACACAGGTTGGGGCTTCAGATAGGCCTGGATTTATGGCCTGGTTTTATCATATAGATCCAATTGTCTTTGAAAAGTGACTTCATCTTCTAGTCCTCAACTTTCTCATCTAAAATGAGGACAGTTATATCTACACGAAGGATGGGTACCCTCATGGAGGCAATTCCAGACAAAGGGATCAGTGCAAGCAAAGGAAGCGAGGTGAAAAATCTCCAGGTCCACATGGAGAGCCGCAAGCTGCTCTGCCTGACCTAAGCCAAGAGCATAGAAAAGGGGTCATGGGGCACACTGTGGTGAAGATAGGCTGGCATTTGTTGCATAATAATTTCTCCAGTTGTCTTGGGTTTCTGAGAGGTAGCTTCTAAACCCTTGGAATTTCCCAAGTGATAGGAATGTCTTTGTTATTCATAGTGAGCCACTGGGACCATGCCTGAGTTTATACTAACAAGGTGACTCATGGTGGGCCCCTAGATAGTTTCAAGATGGGGACTAGCCATTAGGAACCAACCAAATGATTAGAGGGTTGGGGTTTTGAGCCAGATTATATCAGCCTGACTTCCAGGGAGGTTAGAGATTGAGTTCAATCACATGGCCAATTATTTGATCAATCATGCCTCGTGATGAAACACCAATAAAAACTCTGGACCTCAAGGCTCAATTGAGCCTCCTGGTGGGTGAACACCAGTGTGCTAGGAGGGTGATACATCCTGACTCCATGGGGAGAAGATATGGAAGCTCTGTGTTTGGGATCCTCCCAGACCTCACCCTATGGATCTCTTCATTTGGCTGGTCCTGATTTGTACCCTTTATAATAAAAGTGTAATGGTAAGTATAGCACTTTGCTGAGTTATGTGAGTCATTGTAGCAAATTGTCAAATATGAGGGGTTGTGGGAACCCCCAAATTTGTAGCCAGTTGATCAGAAATGCAGGTAGCCTGGGGACCCCATATTATGTGGGGTCTCTGAAGTGAGGGCAGTCTTGTTGAAGACTATGTCCTTAACCTGTGGAGTCTGTACTAACTCCAGCTCCAGGTAGTTGACACTGCAAAAGTATATACTGCTGTATTGCAGAGCTGGATTCATGAATGCCTGTTTCCAGACTTGGATTTAATTTGGTTGGTGGTGGGGAGCCATAGAAGGTTTATGAGAAGATGAATGACAGGATCACTAACTGAGATTCTGGAAGAATAATTGGGCAGAGATAAAGGCTATCTAGAGCTCTCCCTGAGTCACAGGATCTTTTGGTCATGCACTCTCAACTTTGACATGTGATGCTGGTCACCAAAGATGCTTCCTTTCAAAAATAAACAGCAGCTATAAAGGAACTCACATATATTGGTAGGGTTGGAGCCATCCCAGGGCAGGCCAGGCCTAGGAGCTACAGGAAATCCTCACTTCTGGAAGCAGAAGGTCAGTTGCTTCTTCCTGGACCACACCCTCTGCAGACACTAGGGCTCATGGAGGAGTCCTGGAGGGATACACAGCCCAAGCCTTTGCTTTCCACCGTAAGAGGATGGCAGTAGAATCTGGGTACAGCTTCCTCTTGGAGGTTTGGGGAACCCAGTGACATTCAGGAGCCCCCTTTTTTAAACCTTCTGTGCCCTCCAGCTTGCTTCTTTCCAGCAACAGCTAGCCACTGGGGCATTGTATTTCAGCCTTTCTGGGGCATCCCCTGCAAGATAGGCACCGGCACTGCCTGCTCTCTCTCTCCCTGGATCTGATTTAGCCTTCACTGAAACCCTGCCCAAGATGATGACTTAATCTCTGGGCTGAGCGAATGCAGCCAATATGTTCAGATGGATTTTGCAAGACAAAAGCTCAAATCTGTTTTGTGGCTGCAGATACACATTCAGACTGAACCACATCCGTGGTCATTCCAGTCACAAACACAAAGGGTGCCATGAATTCTTTCCATGAAAAATAATTTCCATTGTATTGTTTCTGTCATCATTCATTTCATGATAAGTCAGTTAAAACAGCCGGTCCGAGTCTGTCATTGATTCCAAGAGCCCCATTGTCGTGTCCTTAACTTACTGATAGTTTTAGGTCTTAATTGTTAGTAGCAAAGTTTCTTTTCAGGAATTCTGTTTTCTCATTGACTTTGATGAGAAAGAAAATGTAGAGAGATGCTAGCGAAAAAATTTAATTGCCCTCAAAGAAGTAGCAATCTTTTTTCTTTAATATATATTATGCATCAAGCAAAATCATTTTCTGAGAACTAGTTCCAGATTGCGTCCAATGTCATGGGTTGTGTGTCTTATTTATTTATTTTCTCATTGAGATATAATTCACATACCGTAAAATTTACCATTTTAAAGTGTACAATTCAGTGGTTTTAGTATATTCAAAAGACTGTACAACCATCACCACTACTTCCAGAACATTTTCATGACAGAAAAAAGAAACTTCGTCCTCATTAGCAGTTACTCTCCACTTCCACTGTCTTACATTCCCTGACAACAACTAATCTCTCTTCCATCTCTATGTACTTGCCTATTCTGGACATTTCATATAAGTGGAGTCATATAATATGTGGCCTTTTGGTCTGGCTTCTTTCACTTAGCATGTTTTCAAGGTTCATCCATGTCGTGCGATATATCAGTACTTCATTTCACTTCAGAATTGCATAATACTCTATTGTATGTGATGCAGGGCAGATGAACCCCAAATTGGGACTTAGTCCATGAGGATTTTTGGCTTTGCCCAGGAAGGAATTCAAGGGCAAGCCAGAGGTAGAAGACAGCTTTATTGAAGCAGCAGTGGTTACAGCTCTGTGACTGCTCCTGCAGAACAGGGCTACCCCATAGGCAAAGAGTAGCAGCTCAGGGTATTTTGCAGTCATATTTATACCACTTTTAATTACATATGGATTAAGGGGTGGTTTATGCAGAAATTTCTAGGGAAGGGGTAGTCACTTTTGGGTCAGCGGGTCATTGCCATGGAAAGGAGTGGTAACTCCCAGGTGTTGTCATGGCAATGGTAAACTGACATGGCTCACTGGTGGGCATATCTTATGGAAAGCTGGTTCTGCCCCTTCCTTGTTTTAGCTAGTCCGCAGTTTGGTGTCTGACTTCATCTCTGGAGTCGAGTCTCACTTCCTACCTCATATGGATATACAATAATGTGTATATCCATTCATCAATTGATGGATATTGGATTGTTTCCAATTTTTGGCTATTATGAATAATGCTGCTATGAACATTCATGTGCAAGTTTTTGTACTGACATATTTCCAAATCTCTTGGGTATATACCTAGGAGTGGAATTGACGTGTCATATAGTAAACTCTATGTTTAACCTACTGAATTAGAGTATCTGGGACTACGGCCCAGCAATCTGTTTTAACAGCTCTCCAGGTGATTCTATGATCACCACAATTTGAGAGGCACTGCCCTAGAGTAAGGGGCAGTAAACAGCTAGATAGTAAATATTGGGGTTTGCAGGCCAAGAGTCAAAACTGAGGATGTTAGGTAAGCACTTACTTGATAAGACTGTAAACAAATTTCCAAACATTTTTATTGACAAATTGAAAAATATAATAATAATAATTGGTAACAGGGTTGTTTCTGTTTGTTGGTTTTTGGTTTTTTGAGACATGGTCTCACTCTGTCTCCCAGGCTTGAATGCATAGCTCACTGCAGCCTTGACCTCCTGGGCTCAAGTGATCCTCCCAAGTAACTTGGAGCTACAGGCATGCACCAGCACACTGGCTACTTTTTACATTTTTTGTAAAGATGAGGTCTCCCTGTGTCGCCCAGGCTGGTCTCAAACTCCTGGGCTCATGCGATCCTCCCACTTCAGCTTCCCAAAGTGCTGGGATTATAGGCATGAGTCACTTGAGTCCTGCCAGGAACAGTTTTTTGTAATGCAGTTTTACTAATGAGAAGAATGTGTTTGGTTTTTTTGTTTGTTTGTTTGTTTTTTGCTTTGTTTTGTTTTTTGCAGGGTTGGGAGGGCAACATTTTACTTAATTGGGATTCAAAGTTGGTGTTCCCTGTCATCAAATCAATTGCAGATATTCATCTGTAAAAACCATTCTTCCGGCCAGCGCAGTGGCTCATGCCTGTAATCCCAGCACTTTGGGAGGCCGAGGCGGGCGGATCACCTGATGCAGGGAGTCTGAGACCAGCCTGACCAACATGGAGAAACCCCGTTTCTACTAAAAATACAAAATTAGCTGGGCGTGGTGGTGCATGCCTGTAATCCCAGCTACTTGGGAGCTGAGGCAGGAGAATCATTTGAACGCGGGAGGTGGAGGTTGCAGTGAGCTGAGATTGCGCCATTGCACTCCAGCCTGGGCAACAAGAGCAAAACTCTGTCTCAAAACTACAACACCAACAAAAACCATTCTTCCTTCATGGGCTGTAAAGTAATAAGCCGTGGGCCAGATTTGGCCTGTGGCTCTATGGTTTCAACTAGTTCTGGTGCATAGCAGCCCCCAAAGTTTTAGCAGCGTGGTTAGTGGAGAGCTGTGGCTTTTGCCTCCATCTAAATTTTTCTTTGAGCAAATTACCTCTCTCCTGACAGCCCTGTTGGGGGTGTCAGTTGTGGGGTTCTGGTACCTCCCATCCCGGCCCCAGCTAGAGCAGGCAGGCCCACAGGAATTTGAATCTGGAGGGAGTTATCAGTGGTGGAGCGTAGAGGCTGCAGGAATCTTCATATAAGTGGAGTCATATAATATGTGGTCTTTTGGTCTGGCTTCTTTACTTAGCATGCTTTCAAGGTTCATCCATGTCGTGGGATATATTAGTGCTTCATTTCACTTCTGATGGCAGGGTCCTGAATTAAGTCCTGCCCTGAGGATCACACTGTTACATCTAGGCCTTGTAGGATTCCTGAGAATTGCATCCCATCTGCCCTGCTCTAAAATCTACACAGCCTTTGCCATATCCATTTATCGATTTGGCTCAGCAACATCTACTAATGATGCTTAAATCCTGGGCAAGTGTATTTGAAGTGGCCCCAGAGGTTAAAGATCTGGATGTTCTCCCTCCAGCAACAGCACCACTGCCCCACAGCCTGGGGATTTTCTGTTCTGCTTGCTATTAATCACTTACTTATTGCATACTTATATGTGCCAAAAATGGGATCCTCTCTTGCCCTATTGTAAAGTGATACCCATCTTCTAGAAACCAATCCAGCAATATATGAGAAGAGCCATAGAAATGTGCCCCCTTGGGGAAAAGAAATAATCCTAAGTAGAGAAAAATGTATTTGAGCAAAGTCATTCATGGCCACATTCTGCCCTTCCGTGGCCAGAAATGGATAAAAGCTGAATCTACTGCCAGCAAGTATCACCTCCACTCATTCATGATGCAGAGCGTCCCCACCCTTCCCACTGGGTTGCCTTCCAGAAAACAGCTTCCATGATGCCCAGTAATCTCTGTTTCCCTTGATCTCTCTCATCTCCTTCCTTGTCTAACCTTCTTCTCTTAGAAAAGGAGCTTCATCCCCTTTGGTCAGTAGCCAGCAAATCTGGATTGCTCCCTGTGGCCCTTGTGCTCAAGGCAAATAGAACCACCTGCTCCACATCCTCCCATCTTCTGAGTGGAGGGGCCTTGAGATAATCCACTTCTCTGCTTAGAGTGGATTCTTGATGTATCACTCTAATGATTTATGAGGTTAAAAGGCTCCCTCCTCAGTAGGGGTGAGCTTAAAATGTTCCCTCCTCAGTAAGGATGAGCATAGAGAGGGAAAAGGAGCTGACAGAACCAGAGAATCCCATCCACCACATTTACGATAGTGAAAACATTAGAAGCCATCCAATGTTCCAAACACCTCTGGTACCAGCCAAGGGGGCTGACCCAAGGCAGGATCCCAGGAGCTAGGGTTGAGTGGGTGGGGGAGGCACTCCAGGCAACAAGGCATCAGATCTGAGGACAGGTGCCAGGCTCAGCCTGACAAGGTAGGCCAAGGGACAGTTCTAGAGAAGCAGCCAGGATAACCTGTTTTATTTTGTTTTTAATTGGGTGCAGACACAAGGGGAGTATGGAAAGCCATTGGCTCAGGTCTCAATGGGTCTCAAATTTAGACTTCTGCTATTTTTTTCTTCAAGTGCAATTGCATATTTAGTCTCAGAGAGTGACTCTGACAAGACCCAAAGAGAACATTTGTCATTTGGCCTTGACCTTGTCTCCACATCTGGAGAGTTGGTATCACGTGTGGTACCTTATTTGTACATTTCTTGGGGGTTCATAACAATGTTATACCACATTACTGGTGAAAGGAATATTAATTTGTTCAGTGTAAACACTGAAATAGCTGACAATCTTTTATTTTTAATTTTAATCTATTTATTTGTTTTGAGACTGGGTTAAGAGATTGGCTAATATTTGTATTTTGGGTAGAGGTGGGATTTTACCATGTTGCCAAGGTTGGTCCTGAACTCTTGGGCTCAAGAAATCCACCCCCCTTGGCCTCCCAAAGTGCTGGGATTACAGGTGTGAGCCACCACACCCAGCCTAAAATAGCTGACAATCTTTATAACCCTCTTTAGGCATATTTACATTTTATAGTATATTAGGAACCTCAAAAACTGATGGCAATTCAGGTTTTTCCAGTATTCAAGAAGGCATTATCTAAGCTGTCAGATCTAGGGGGGTGGTGAGTGTGATACATAAATTGGGAGGTAAATCAAAAAGTCTGGAGCAGGCAGAAGAATGCAGGAAGAGGTCAGGGAGTGAAGGACTGGATTGAGAGGGCCAAGATTTGGGGTTTGAACAGGGCTGACTTCAGGGAGCGGGAGTCTGGCCCCAGGTAAAACTTAGTGTCATTGTGTGGGTCAGAAGACAACAAAGGATCCTTAAGGAAACTATGGCCCATCATCTCAGTAGACCAGGCAGCCTTTGGGAATGATGGTCACAAAGACTCTGTGGCAACATAGAAAATGCTAATGGTGTCATACAGAATACAGAACTTTATGGACCTATGGTACAAACAAACACATGCATGTGCCTGCACACACACACACACACACACACACACACATACACAGAGGAAACAAGACTGGAAGGGGATACACCTAAATATAAGTAGTGCTTGTGTCCATGGGGTGGAGTGATATTGTGGGTTTATTTGCTCTGTATTTTTAAATAAAACAATGGCTCAACTCAGAAGATAACTGAGTCAGCGTCTCATCCAGCAGCCCCCGGGGCCCCTGGGAGAAGCCACCTCCCACCACCTGGCCAAGAAGATCTAGACAGGCTGAGAGGCTCCCTCTCCCTCTCCTGGGGTCCCGAGCCACAAATCTAAAGCCACATTCCTTGGGTGACCAGGCAGGGACTGGGGGCAGATGTCGAAACTGGCAAGGCCCCACTCTGTGGTACCCAGCCTGCTGTGGCTCCTGTCCTAGTGCCAGCTCCTCTGCTGTCATCCTGTCCCCACCCCACACATCCCCACCTCCCCAGCCAGTTGGGCCCAAGGTGCCCTCACTGATATGTTGGAGGAATAATCTGCTTCTCTCCAGCTCCTCAGGAGACCCGCGTGGGAGGTCCTGCGTCACGGGCTACTGAGGCACATGCTGAGTCCCCTCCCATGGGCCTCAGCACACCTACTATGGCTTAGCTCTTCCCACCCAGGACCTCCTCAGGGCTTCTCGGCATTCCAGAAAGACAAGAAGATTTTCTTGGGGCCAAGGCGTTGCTGGGCCTCTCTGTCCCGGCCAGGCCCTCGGCAAGCTCCATGCCTCGACTCTACTGCCTTCTCTCTGGTCCTCTCTGTCACCCTTCAGAGACTTTTAAATCCCATAGTCTGGGCTTCAGGGCCTCCAATAAAAGCAGAATAAGACCTATAAGGACTTAATAGAGCTTTTATCTATAAAAGAGACAGACCTTCTAATCTAACTAGAAACTAAGGTTAAAAAAAATGAAAAGAGTTAGACTTAAACTCTTAAAAAAATAAAAAAAGATTCAGCTCTGTCAGAGTCAGCCTGATGTGGTAGACAAATTGCTCATGAATTACTCACAGTGTTTGCTAAAAAATGCTGGTTCCTGGGAGTCTCTGAGCCTACTCTGGCTCTAGAGGCTGCCCAATTTAAAAAAAAGAAAAATGCAGGTTCCTGAGTCTAGCTCCAGAACTACCAAATCAAAATCTCGGGGAGGTGAGGACTGGGAATCTGAATGTGTAACACGTTCCCTACGTGATTCTGAAGCACACTGCACCGGTGGTTTAGTGGTTTCCATGCCAGGAGGGCATTGCGCCCTCCTTGAGAACCCTGCCTTCCCAGCACTAGCTGCTGGGAGGCTGGCCAGCACAGACACAGTCCTCCTTCCCAAGAGATTCCTAGCCCTGGCGAGGAGGAAGACTCGGTGGGTAACAGGAGTTGCAATGTGGGTTTGTACCCAGTTCTTGGGGAGCACAGAGGAGAGGGGAGTTCTCAGAGAGGGAAGATGTCTCAGGGAATGAGTCTCTGGGGCCAGATCCTGAGGGCTCAGTAGCATTGACTAGCTAAAGAAGAGAGCAGAGGTATCCCAAATTGAGGACATAGCATGGGCAGAGGCACAATGGGGAGCTGTAAACAGTTTAGGGCCTGGGCACAGGTAGGGAGTAGAGGGGAGGAGGCCAGAGAGATGAGTGGGGCTGGTCTTCCTGCTGGTTTGTGTTTTGTCCATTTGGCTAATCTGGGAATAATACTTCCCAGAAACCCCTTCTCCAGAGGGGTCTAGGGTAGAGTTGGTCAAAAGAGGAGCTTGCATGAGATTTGGAAAATAAAAGTGAAGCAGCATCCTGACTCTCAGGGGGTTGTCACGGTCATGTGCCGTGATGACACTGAGGCAGAGATATGCCTGGCCAATCCACCTCTCGGGCTGCTGGCTCCCTGTCTGGCCCGTGTTCTGGCCAGCTGGGCTTGCTGAGCTACAGCTGCCTGCAGACCTGTCCACCGGCTCCCTTCACGGCCTCACTCAGGCAGCTGATGTGCTTGCTTCTTGGGCTTCCCTGCAAACTCTGACTTGTCACCCGTATTAGGCCATTCTTGCATTGCTATAAAGAAATATCTGAGACCAGGTGCGGTGGCTCATGCCTCTGATCCCAGCAGTTTGGGAGCCCAAGGCAGGAGGATCACTTAAGCCTAGGAAGAGGAAGTTGCAGTGAGCCAAGATTGCACCACTACACTCCAGCCTGGGCAACAGAGGAAAACTCTGTCTCAAAATTAAAAAATTTAAAAGAAGGAAGGAAGGAAGGCTGACTGACCTGAGTCTGGGTAATTTATAAAGAAAAGAGGTTTAATTGGCTTGTGGTCCTGCAGGCGGTACAGGAAGCATGGTGCTGGGCATCTGCTGGGTTTCTGGGGAGGCCTCAGGAAGCTTCCAATCATGTCAAAAGGTGAAGGGGGAAGCCAGCACCTCACATGGAGAGGGGGAGCAAGGGAGATAATGGGGGAGAGGAGGGAAGTGCTACACGCCTTTTTTTTTCTTAGACAGGGTCTTACTCTGTCACCCAGGCTGGGGTGCAGTGGTGCAACCACAGCTCACTGCAGCCTCAAACTCCCAGGCTCAGGTGATCCTCCCACCTCAGTCTGCCTAGTAGCTGGGACTACAGGTGCACACCACCATTCCTGGCTAATTTTTTTTTTTTTGTATTTTTTGCCATGTTGACCAGGCTGGTCTTGAACTCCTGGGCTAAAGTGATCCACCTGACTCAGCCTCCTAAAGTATTGGAATTACAAGCATGAGCCACCATGCCCAGCCAGGAGTCCCTTTTTGTTCTTTTTTTAAATTTTATTTTAGACAGAGTTTCACTCTTGTTGCCCCGGCTGGAGGGTAGTGGAGCGATCTCGGCTCACCGCAACCTCTGCCTCCTGGGTTCAAGCAATTCTCCTGCCTCAGCCTCCCGAGTAGCTGGGATTACAGGCATGTGCCACCATGCCCGGCTAATTTTGTATTTTTATTAGAGACAGGGTTTCTCCATGTTGGTCAGGCTGGTCTCGAATTCCTGACCTCAGGTGATCCACCTGCCTCGGCCTCCCAAACTGCTTGGATTACAGGCATGAGCCACCATGCCTGGCAGGAGTCCCTTTTTAAGAGCAGGAAAAATATTTTCCATAAGCAACTCCTCCAACACACACACACACACACACACACACACACACACACACACACACTCAGAGTCCCTCCATGGCTCATCGGGGTAGACCTTTTAATATCCAGGGCTGGAGAAGGACAATCCCTTCACACTTGAACGCTGTGAAGTCTGTGCCCTTGTCCAGGGCACCTGCCAGGAGGAGTAGGCAGTGGGTCCGGTCTTTCAGTGGAGGGCTTCTGCAGCTTCAGATCGTCTCTAGGAGTCTGGAGGTCTATCTTATGGCTTGTATTTCTGGAACCGAGTCATGCCTGCTTGAAGATAAGAAGATCAAACAACAGGATGCTGTGGCTTCTCCTATCCCAGGGGCCTCGAGGACAAATCAGTTCCCTTCCTGGGGGAGCAGATCCTCCTGGCTGGGATCTTCAGTCCAAGTTGGTTCAATTTATATCCTTCACGTCTGGCTTCTCCTGCATGTCCAAGTCACAGGAATTTTAAGTCAGGATCTTCTCTGCACCCCTGAGCATGACAGCCAGCCTCTGCCCTCATGAAGCTCCCAGTCTAAGGGAAGAAATAATAAATTGGTGGCCGGGCATAGTGGCTCATGCCTATAATCCCAGCACTTTGGGAGGCCAAGGTGGGCAGATCACTTGAGGTCGGGAGTTCGAGACCAGCCTGGACAACATGGTGAAACCCCATCTCTACTAACAATACAAAAATTAGCCAGGCGTGGTGGCATGTGCCTGTAGTCCCAGCTACTCAGGAGGCTGAGGCAGGAGAATCGCTGGAACCTGGGAGGCAGAGGTTGCAGTGAGCCAAGATCATGCCACTGCCCTCCAGCCTGGGTGACAGAGCAAGACTCTGAGATTATTATCTCAAAATAATAATAATAATAAAATAATAATAATAAATTGGCAGTTAGAGGGCACTTCGCCAAGGCAATATGAGGGAAACTACAATCTGTCAGGAAAACACAGGGGAAGGCCCTAACTGGCCCAGGAGGTTCAGCGGGGCATCCAGGAGGATGTATGAGAGCCGAGGAGGGAGTAGAAGGTGATGTAGGAAAACCACTTAGCTGAAAGACTCGCTGCCCAAAGGCCGGAGGTGGGAGAGAGTGCGGGACTTGCAGGAACTAAGAGGAGCCCAGAGAGGCATCTGAGAAGAGAAGGGCTTGGAGAGCTGGGAGCATCAGATCGGGTTTAGCCTGGGGGCCTGGCTGAGGTGAGTGCTCTCCATCCTAAGGCCACAGGAAGCAGAGGAGGGACAGGATCAGATTCTGCGCCCAGAGGAAGACTGGCTTAGAGGAGGTGAGTCCAGAGGCCAGGAGAATATCAGAGGCCAGGACAAGGGAGACGGCGGCCAAACCAGGGAAGTGGCACTGGAGAGAAATGGATGGATTCAAGAGACGTTAGGCAAATGGACAGAAAACAGAAACCGCGCACGTGGTGGTTGGTGAGTTGAATGCATGCAGGAGATAGGGGCCCAAGGGAGAACCATAGGGGGTTGATTCCAAGGGTCTGGTGGAGCCCCTGAGGGGTTGGAGACACCCAGCTGGTCAGCCACACAGTCTGGTATTAAATGACACACGGCTGGTCAGCCACACAGAAGCTGGGCCAGTGTGAATGGGTCCGGTACCGACTTCAGAGTGTGCACCTCTGTCTCCCCAGACAGCAACAGAAGGACCAGGGAAATTTAAAAGGGAGTCTATGATGATATTGTAATATAAAATCTCTAATGAAGATGTGACTACTAGAAAAAAGGGAAATAAAGCGATTGAGGAAAGGAAAACAACTTGTGCATAAAGAAGAAAAGAATAAGCAACTGAAAGCTCAAAACATTTTTCCAGGCCTGGGGGATGAGGTGGAGAGAGTCTCTTGCTCCCACTCCAGGAGGAGGGCTGCCTGGAACTAAAGTTGGTGCTTATGATCTGGTATTTAAATGACATTCTTAGTGGTGGTGTTAGCGGTAGCAGAGCAATTGTGCCAGGGCCCACCGACCCCTTGCTGGTTCACTCAGTTGCCAACATATACTGATATACTGAGCACCTGCTGCAGGCCAGGCTCTGTGATCTCAGATCTCAAGAACAAGCCAGCTCAGTCCCTGTCTAATAGAGCTTACAACTGGGCAGCGGAGGCAGACCTGCCATGAGACAAATATAAAATGACAACTTGTGACAAGGGTTAGGAAAAAGAATAGTGGAATCCTGTTTTAGATGGGATGGTCAGGGAAGGCCTCTGAGGAGGTGATATTTGAGCCGACATCAGATGGATGGCAGAGAATGCAAGAAGAGTGTCCCTGGCAGAGGGAACAGCATCGTCATAATTGGGAGCTGGTGCTTTCGAGGAACTAACAGACAGGCAGGGTGGGTGGAGGGTGGGAGCCAGGGCTGGGCTGGGGGTTGTGAGGACACTGACAAGAGACCAGTTGGAGAGGGGGCGGGGGCTGACCATGCAGGAATTGGAATCTTTCAGTAAAGTCCAGACCAAATGATTCTTCAGGGTCCTTGTTCCCCCAGGTTTCAATGACACTTTAAAGGTGTTGTCGTAAAAGGCTGGGGAGTCTGTTTCTATGCCCCCAATCTCATTTAAGAAGGGGGGCATCCAGGCCATCATGGAACAGGTGACCTGGAAGATGTTCCTTGGTCCAGTTTCTGCAAACTGCCCCGCAGCATTTTTAGAAAATGTTCCCTTTTAGATTCGATTTATCTTAGCCAAATTGACCAGGGAAAATAGGTGCCTACAAATAGCGATCACTGGCAAACAAGGAGAGTTATTATCTTAAATTAAGGCTGGTTTCTAACAACAAAAAAAAACCCACCAAATGCCACTGGCCACCCCCCACCAACCCCGATCCCCAGCGCATACGTGAGGACGATGGCTCCACCACCCTCCCTGTAAGTACCAGGCTCAATGCCGGGCTCTGTGCAAAGGGAAGGAAACAGACAGAGGAAGGAAGGCAAGAGATTAGAGAAGCTGACAGATGTAAATAGCCTCAGAGGAGCCACACTGTCCCGGCATTTCTCCCCAGGGAGCCTTTTGTACCAAGGAATCTGGTTGCCTGAAAGAAAAATGTTATCATTTATTTCTTTAGTCAGAGCTGAGCTGTTTTCTTCAGACATAGAAATAACCTAACATCACACACCAAATTGTTGGCCAAATGACAGAGATACCTGTAATGTGGGTGTTTAATAATGTCCAGGGTAAACAATCATGGACTTGGTTTCTTGGGAAGGGCCCCGTTCCCCGCCACGGTTGCAAAGCTACAGAGGGTCTTGAATGAAATAAGTGCTTTGGAAAAGTTGTCCCAAAGTTCTTGCCTGCTGCTGAGCTGGGAGGAAGCTGGGCTTTTCATTTCTGCTGCTCAAATCATGCCCCAGCAGCCAAACATCCATTAATTCAACAAATATTTATGGAGCCCGGATTCTGGCCAAGCCCTGTGCAAAAGCACTGAGGCTACAAATGTGCAAAGGCTGGGGTCCTGTCCTCAATAGCCTCATAGTCCAGAGGGGAGACGGCCACGTTCAGCCTGTGTGTCAATCTTGTAACACAGCCTGGATGTGGCGTGGTGGTCAGCTCTGTGGAGGAGGCAGTCTCCTCAAAAGGAGACTTGAAGGGGAATTTCCAGGCCAGAGGAGTTGGAGGAGGGGATCCTAGACAGACTAAGGAGAATGTGCAAAAGCAGAGGCTTGAAACCCCCTGGGCGATTTAGAAATTAAGAGAAATACGATATTGCAGAGAACAAAGTGCTAAGGAAGTCAGCGGTCAAATGCGTGGCTGGACAGGTAGATGGATACCAGATCATGTACTTGTAAGCTAAGGAGTTTAGAGTTGACCTTTTAGGTAATAAATTCCATGGAGGAATTTGAGCGGGGAAATAGCATGATTAGATTTTTGTATTAGAACACTCACTCCTCTCTGTCCTGAAGAAACTCTAGCATATGTCGCGTCAGGAGACAAATTCGGGCATCTTCCTTAGTGCATTGGGTTTGATGGTGAAAACACTGGAAACAAACTAAATCAGTAGAAAAATAGATAAGCAGGCCAGGCGCAGTGGCTCACGCCTGTAATCTCAGCACTTTGGGAGGCCGAGGCAGGTGGATCACCTGAGGCCAGGAGTTCGAGACCAGCCTGGCCAACATGGTGAAACCTCGTCTCTACTACAAATACAAAAAATTAGCTGGGTGTGGTGGCACATACCTGTAGTTCCAGCTACTCAGGAAGCTGAGGCAGGAGAATTGCTTGAACTCAGGAGGCAGAAGTTGCAGTGAGCCAACATTGCGCCATTGCACTCCAGCCTGGGTGACAGAGCGAGACTCTGTCTCAAAAAAAAAAAAAAAAGAAAAATAGATAAGCAAATAGTGGTATAGTCATAAAATATAATACCATTCAAGATTTTAAAATAATCCAACATGGCTAGATCTTAAAAGCATAATTTTGAGTAAAAAAAAAAGGTGAGTTTCAGCATATGTATGGTATGATAAAATGCGTGTGAAATTTAAAAACGCACGTTTGTATATTGATTATAAATAATATATGTAGGACGGTATGAAAACATGGATTGTTGCCTTTGGAAACAATCCATGGAGGGAAAGGCATGGAAAGAGAAATACATAGAATTTTTCTATTGGTTTTATATCTAAAAGAAATATGGGCGGGGCATGGTGGCTTACACCTATAATCCCAGCACTTTGGGAGGCCAAGGCAGGAGGATCACTTGAGCTCAGGAGTTTAAGACCAGCCTGGGAAACATAGTGAGACCTTGTCTCTAATAAAAATAAAAAACATTAGCTAGGTGTAGTGGTGCACACCTGTAGTCTCAGCTTCTTGGGAGGCTGAGGTAGGAAGACCACTTGAGCCCAGGAGATAGAGGCTGCAGTGAGCTATGATTGTGCCACTGTACTGCAGTCTGGGCAACAGAGTGAAACCCTGTGTAAAAAATAAAGAAATACTGTAGATGGAGCTAAAATGCTAACGTATTAAATTTCCTGTGTTTAAAATATTTTTTGAACTTTGCTTTTTAAAAAAACAGAGAAAGTAAAATCCATCTGGCAGCGGCATAGCAGATGGAAGGGAGGGGATTGGGGAATGGGACCCCGAGCCAGTCTCTGTCTCCACACAGCAGCTCCTGGGTGGAGGAGAGCTGGAGGCCGATCTTGGGGGACCCAGGGAGTAATGCATGCAGAGAACACTTCACCTTGTTGGGCTGCTTTTGGCCTCTGGGCAGAGCGGAGGCGTGGTCCTGGCATCTTGTCTAGTGTCCCTGGAAGATACGGGGCTCTGTCTTGATCGGAACTGGCGACCATTCTGACCTGGGATGTCAGTATCATTTTTGGACATCTGCCAACCAAGGGTCAGAAACAGGAGGATTTTAGAATACCTGGGAAAGCTTGGCATTGTATATTCAGAGTAAAGATGGTGTGAATGTGTGTGTGTGAGTGTGTGTGTGCATATGCAAGCACATGTGCAAATCCAGAAGCACAGTGAAGGTGAGTGTTCCCCAAGGGGGTTTGCAGTGGATGCAGTGACGAATACATTCACTGATGAGGATGCTCTTCTATAGTTCAGAGAAGTAAGAATGAATCATGAATCTTTCCAGAAGGAATTCATTTCTAGACTCCTTCTTACCTTTCAGATCTCCATCGCCTGACCTAGAGTCTCGGCTGAATAGCATAAACCTGTATCCATCTACATATATTTATACATCTGGCTTAGAGCCACAGCAGGGAAGAATTCACAGCAGGATCTTATAGGCACACAGCCTATAGGATCTTATAGATTACAGCCTGGATCTTATAGGCATCCATTAAAGAAAACTACAGGCATTTCCGCAACTGCATATGAATTGTGTCACATCTGTATGTGCTAGAAGGAGTTCAAGGGCATCAATATTCCTATTGTAATACATCTGCCCAGTGCTAGCAGCATTACTTAAGCAAACCTATCAAAAGCCTAAAGAATAAAGATGTGGCGGGGTGCGGTGGCTCACACCTGTAATCCCAACACTTTGGGAGGCCGAGGCGGGGGAATCACGAGGTCAGGAGATTGAGACCATCCTGGCTAACACAGTGAAACCCCGTCTCTACTAAAAATACAAAAACAAATTAGCCGGGCGTGGTGGCACGTGCCTGTAGTCCCGGCTACTCAGGAGGCTGAGGCAGGAGAATCACTTGAAGCCAGGAGGCAGAGGTTGCAGTGAGCCGTGAGATCGCACCACTGCACTCCAGCCTGGGCGACAGAGTGAGACTCTGTCTCAAAAAAAAAAAAAAAAAAAGAATAAAGATGTGCACCAGCTTGGGCAACAAAGTGAAGCCCCATCTCTAAAAAAATACAAAAATTAGCCGGGCATGGTGGCAACTGCCTGTAGCCCAGCTACTCAGGAGAGTGAGACAGGAGGATGGCTTGAGCCTGGGAGGCAGAGGCTGCAGTGAGCCATGATTGCTGCCACTGCACTCCAGTCTGGGTGACAAAGCAAGACTTTGTCTCAAAAAAAACATGTATAGCTACATAATTAATAATATGCAAATATTCTTCTTTAGGGTCACTTAGGTTTTCAACATACAGACCCAAGAGAAGGTACAGAGACTCATTCTCTCTCTCTTTCAATCACACACACACACACACACACACACACACACACACACACACACCCCTCTTCACTATAATTATAATTACTATGTTGGCTTCCAGATCAGGGGTTAGAGCCTTGGCATGGAGACGCCTGAAAGGCACCCAAGGCAATTAGTGGTGTCCCTTCTCCACCCCCTACATACCTTCAGGCCCTTTGCACTTGCTGCTCCCCCTCCCAGTGCACACACCCCCAGATCCTTGTGTGGCTCCCTCTCCCACCACATTTTGGTCTTAGCTCAAATGCCACCTCCTCAGAAATGCCTGGCCTGGCCGCCTTCAGGGCTGTCTATATGCTCACCAGCTTTAATTTTCTTTCGAGAACTTTCCATTCCCGGACATTGTACTAAATGTTTATTTGTTATCCGTCCATTATCCATCTCCTTGCCAGCACTCCCTGTGAGCTCCATGAGGCTCCAAGATTACAACCACATGCCCAGAGCTAGGGTGGTGCCTGGCTCACAGCTGGCATCCAGTCAGTAGCAATGGAATGAATGAATGATCACCCTCTCTTCCTCTCCATCCCCACCCTCTCCTTTTTCACTTCCTCTCCCGCCCCATCTCCCCTGCCTCCGCCTTAAATCTGCTGGCATGACCAGCCCTCAGGAAGTTGTCAGGCAGGGGAGGTGTGTGCTCTGCACCCCTCTCCTTCCATCTCTCTTTCCCACCTCCCTTATGGGTACCTATCTCTCCTACCTGCAGCTGCTCGCTGCCAGCTCTGGCCCTCTTGGTGGGCAGAAGCTTAGGCACCCCAGACAATTGTAGGGAAATTGGGCATTGGAGGGCAGCCGTAAGAAAGGATTCAGTACCTGCCAAGGAATGATGAATTTAGTCTCTCACCCATGAACAGGCATGCACTTTCAGGGCTCAGGTTCGGTCTCTAAAGCAGAACGTCATTCAGGGCACCCTTCAGTACCCATGACCCAGTGTCTCGCCTTTCCTGCAGGAGTCGGTGCTGCCACTATGGTGACTCAGCCCCTCTCTTCTCCTCATTCATTACCTGGGTTCTTCCTGCAGTGATTGACAGTATCCTTTTTCTTTTGAGATGAAGTCTTGCTCTGTTGCCAGGGCTGGAGGGCAGTGGCACAATCTTGGCTCACTGCAACCTCTGCCTCCTGGGTTCAAGCCATTCTCCTGTCTCAGCCTCCCGAGTACCTGGGATTACAGGTGCATGCCACCATGCCTTGCTAATTTTTGTATTTTTAGTAAAGATGGGGTTTTGCCATGCTGGCCAGGCCAGTCTCTAACTCGTGACCTCAGGTGATCCACCCGCCTTGACGTCCCAAAGTACTGGGATTACAGGTGTGAGCCACCACGCCCAGCAAGTTGCAGCTCTTAATAGCATGGGCACCATATAATTTACTGCCCAGATTGGGTCATTTTTTAGAGTAGAAGTGGGAGCTGTTAATAATTACGCTTGGCCTACAGGTGTAAACGAGACCACCCTGGGCAAACCAGGCACATGGTCGCATTGACTAAGAGGAATATTCCCCTGCCTCCTGCATCTCCAGCCACAAAAGGAGCCTCAGCTGTTGGTCAAAGCTGCCCAATAGCTGAGCCCTTGCCTGCCCTTGGACAAGGGAGAAGACAGAGGGCAGGTTCCAAGAATGGGGTGGGGATGTGGCAGGAAGGACGGTGCAGGCCCCAGAGCTATAATCAATGATCTGGGAGCCGGGTTGTGGAGCACAGGGCTGTGTCAAGGAGCAGGTGGGAGGTGGGTGGGTGTGGGACATGGCACCAGCTTTTGGTGTCTGTGACTCTGAACTTGGCTTACTCGCAGGTGGCTTCTGCAGGCTCTCCACCCTCCCAGCTGCGTAAGTCCTGCCTGATTCAAGGAAAACAGGGAATTTTGGGGTCCTGTGGCTCCTCCAACGTTCTTTTCCTTTACCTCCTTGTGTAAATGTGGCCTGATTTGTACTTGGAGCATAAGTAGACCCCTACAGAGCGTGTGTGTGTGTCTGTGTGTGTGTGTGAGAGAGAGAGAGAGAGAGTGAGAGAGAGAGAGACAGAGAGAGAGAAAGGGACCTATTTCCTTCTATCCCTCTGTCTGTCTTACTCTCAGACTATTAATACAAGCCCTGAGTCTGGCTGTACCCCCAGAACATGTGCCCCGCCCCCTACAACAAAATGCTGCCCCTCCCAGCTAGGTCTGTTGTTTGTTCCTTTTCTGATTGGCGCCAGGCTTATAGACCCCATGTAGGTAGAATATAACTTTCCATAAATAACCTCTAACCCGACCTACAATTTAGCCTTCAGGTTTTTTTCCCCCTCGTGGTAATGGGATTGCAGCCTGGGCTGATCCATCCTGTATCTTCAGGTCCCAGAAAGCAGACCCTAGGTTTGGACATTGCTTGGAATTCCTGGTACCCCCATGTTGCCTTGCACATGGCAAGGACTCGGTACATGTTGAGGAATGGTGGATTCTCTTCTACCCATGAGCAGCCATGCACTTGCAGTCTTTGCTTGGGCTATGCCTTCTGCCTAGAAGCCCCCTTCTCCACCTGGAAAATCTCTAAGCAGCACCCACTTTGTGAAGCTTTCCCTAACCACTATCCCTCATCCCCTCCACAGAGCAAATTACTCCTATCTTGGATTCCCATAACACTTGGTACAAAACAGTGTGACCTGGTTATTGCCCATGTGCCCACCAGGTTCTAAGCAGCTCAAGTGAGGGGTAGGGCAAGGAACTGAGCCCAAGTATGGCTGTGGGCAAAACATTTAACCCCTTGGTGCTTCAGTCTCCTCAGATTCAAACACCAACCTGGGGCTGGGTGTGGTGGCTCACGCCTGTAATCCCAGCACTTTGGGAGGCCGAGGCAGGCAGATCACTTGAGGTCAAGAGTTCGAGACTAGCCTGGCCAACATGGTGAAACCCCGTCTCTATCAAAAATACAAAAATTAGCCAGGCGTGGTGGCACGCACCTGTAATCCCAGCTACTCTGGAGGCTGAGGCAGGAGAATCACTTGAATCCGGGAAGGCAGAAGTTGCAGTAAGCCGAGATCGTGACACTGCACTCCAGCCTGGGCAATAGAGCGAGACTCTGTCTCAAAACAAACAAACAAACAACACAAACCTGACCCAGAGCCCGTGTCCCCACCCACTGGACCGCACTGCCTCTCAGGGATGGAAGATGTCTCTGTTTCCTACCTGCTCTCATATTCTGGGCCCTGAGACACTCATGATGCATGGATTTTCTGCAGGGGCTCACTGAGGCCTCCTCGGGGGCTGGAGCCCCAGGAAGGGACCGGCCACTGATACCCACTCACACCTATCAAAGACTTGATGATGATGATTAATTCAAGTGGGTTATTGGTAGTTAAACTGACAAGTCATCAGGAGGGACCTCAGCTTTCTTTGTGGGGGTGGGTTCCCCCAAGGTAGGCTGGACTTAATTTAAAGCTTTCCAGTTGACCATCCCACCTTAGGGCAACTGAAGAGTAACTTTAGGGTTACTCTTCATCTGAAGATGCTAACTCAGCTAGCATCCAGCACTATTAAGACACCTTGGGGAGGCGAGACTTTGAGAGAAGTGCAGGAGGCTGGCCCACTTTTGAAGATCCTACATTTCTACCCAGGAGGCATCAAATCCACACTTCGAAGAAGATGAAGTTTCCTGTGAGCTGGTCCTGAATTGTACTTGGCTTTGTGTTGTCTATGCCAGTACTAAGCAGGACTTGGCCAGGCTGGTCCTCCATGAATGACTGTCAAATGGAAAACAGAATTAGGAACCAAAGTAGTGGTGTAGACAAAAGGGGCTGGAACCTCAGAGGAGAGAGGGATCATGGGAGATTGGAACATCTCTGGAAGGTTAGGGGAAGAGATGACAAGTAATGTGAATCCTAAAGAAAGAGGATTAGTTATTGGGGGTGCTAAGTGTGGATGGCAAACTAAGGAAGCAGGGATCTGCATGACCATTTGGAGTCAGTAGGAAGCTTGGTGGAGTGGGAGGTGGGAGTCAAGCAGAGAAGGCCTCCCATGTCAGATAGGGAAACTGCACTTGATCCTGGGCAAGGGGGAGCTATGGAAGGCTTTTGAGCAGGGGAGTGATACAATGAGAACAGCATTTTGGAAGCCAGCATGGAGGGGAGGCTGCTAAAAGGATACAAGGCTGAGGTTATTACCATGCCCTGGGTGAAGAAATGCGGTCTGGGTTTGGAAAGGAAGGGATAAACATGACTTTTCAAAGGAAGACATAATTGCCACAAGGGCCACCAGAGAGCAGTCAAAGGTGTGTCCAAGGTTGGAGCTCTAGTGACCAAGAGAAGGGTGTCAACTTTGACAGAAATGACGTCATGTGTGGTTGACAAAATGAGACCACATCCTTTCGGTCATGATTCATTGTCTTTATTAACAATGTCTCTGGACTCTGGAAGAACAGACTGTTAATTCATAAAGCAATATTAACATTGTCATTCTCTACAAGAAAAACTTTTGCATAAATAACTTAAGTGAGAAAATAAATATGTAACTTAACTCTTTAAAAACCACTACTTTCATTCTTGTGGACAAGTCCCACGTGGAAGAATTGCCAAAAAAACGACCAGTCCTGCAGGCTTTCATATGTCATGTGCTTCTGTTTAAAACTTTTTTTTTTTAACAATTAAAAACTACACAGAAAGTAAGAGGTTGTCTGGAAATGATTTTCAAAAAGATTTTTGGGTGGCAGTATTATGCTCTGCAGTTTCTCAGCATATGTACAGCACTTGTAGTTTTTCCCCCAATAATATTCTTTTAGTGTAAGATATGCCATCACATGTAAGAGCAGTAAGAAGCTGTTTTCTAGGCAGAAATGTGTCCGTGAGTGGTGGGCAGAAGGCGGTGTCTCAAAAGGGATGTGCTGGTCTGTGAGTTTGTGATGGCTGCTCCCTCGGGCCTGCAAGGCCAGTGTCCTTGAACCTTTCACTTCTCTTCGGAAGGTGACTTTAAAACATGGCTATGGGTCGGGGGAGGGATGCTGCTCTTTGGGAAGTTGGGGCGGATGTGATTTCTATCCCTCCCACCACCCTCGGACCCTCTCCTTTTCTACCCCAATGGATGATGTTATTTCTTTGAGATGGAGGGGTGGAGGTAGCCAAACATCCGGGGAAGCCAGGCTGGGAAGCAGCATAGCTTCTTCCAGGAGTTTGTCAGCCGTAAATATGTCAGCCATAAATAGACTCTTTACTTTTTTTTTTCTGTTTGTTTTTCATCTTTGGCTGTCAGAAGAGAGCATCACAACTCTGAATTCTGGAAGTGACCTTGGCACTGAATCAATGCAACTGCATTCATTCTCTCTCTTTCTCTCTCTCTCTCTCACCTCTGCCCATTCAAAAGGCACTGGAGTCCTTGGAATCATATGCCAATAGTCTCCTCGAGATCCTATTCCCACCTCCACCCTCATTTTACAAAGTGGAAATTGAGGTCCCGAAGGAGAATTGTGTAGTTCAAGGTTACACAGCAAGTTAGTGGCAGAGCCAGGACTAGAAACCACATCTACAGTTGCCCCCAGTCTTGTGCTCTGGGCACGCCTCAGGCTTTCTGATGGGCAGCGAGGTGCAAGGGGGAATCTTATCCAACTTTCTTAACCAGTCCCTGGACTTTCCCACTCCCACACCGCTCCCTTAAAACCCCAGGGCGGTGAAAATGCTTCCATTTCTGCCTCCTCTGAAGTGGGACCAGCAAAGGTAGGCGGCCCCAGAGGCGGGGCTGCGTGGCTCAGTGTCTGTGACTCTCAATTCCCTCCCCTGCCCCGTGGGACCCCTCAGCTGGCGGGCTGAGGGGGGCCTTGCCGGCGCCCGGGATTCCTCAGGGCCTGGAAGGTCTCAGCCCCCTGCCCTGGGTTGCAGGCATTTACAATGAAATATAAACAATCAAACCACGCGCAGAGGACAGAAATGTGGGGCGCGGGTTCAGGGCCGGGGCGCCCGCCGGTGGGGAGGGGCGCGGGCGGGCTCTAGTAGGCGTTCTCCAGCTCGGCCTGGTTGGCTTTGGCGCTCCGGGCGCGGGGCCGCGGCTTCCGGCCCTTCTGCGGCCGAGCGGCCTCGGTCCCGAAGTCCTTGAGCTCCGACTGGTTGTGGAAGCGGGTGAGGCGCTTGCACTTGCACGAGGCCACCAGGCGCACCTTGCGCGCGCGCGGCGCCTCACCACCGGGACACAGCAGCTGCACGCGCTGCGCGCGGTAGCGGTCGGGGATGCAGCGGAAGTCGGGCCCACTAGGTCGCCACCACTTGCCGCGGCCGATGGCGTTGGGCAGCAGGCGCGCCGGGCCGCACTGGCCGGAGCACACCAGCTCGGTGACCGGCTTGGCGCTGCGGCACGGCCCATCGGTCACGTAGCGGGTGAAGTGCAGCTCGCGGCAGCTGTACTCGGACACGTCTGTGGAGAGAGGCGCGCGTGAGGGTGGCCGCCCGCCTGGCCACCCCTGCCCTGGACCGGCCCGTCTCTCTCCACCCCAGCCCTGCTTTTGCCAAGCCTGTCTCCAGAGGCTTTTGCCCCTGAACATCTATTGCAGGAAGGTCCCAGATGCTCTAGAGCTGGTGGAAAGCTCTCCTGCGCACCCTGTCCCCTCGGAGCCAAATGACTGCTGGGGTTCAAACACCAGGGCTCCATCGCTCACTGCAGGTGTCATCTTGGGCAAGTTCCTTAACCTCTCTCTTCTTCCTGTCTGCAAAATGGGCCGCCCCAAGCATTGCGAGTTAATCCATTACACACGCAATGCAGAAAATACCATTTGGCACATATAGCTGAAAGCGTCGGCTGTTATGTATTATTATTATCATTTCTCTTCTGGGGTCTTCTTATGATTTAAGCCACACTTGTGCCGCAGGGTCCCTGGCCTGGGCAGGGTAAGTACTCAGCACACCTTCTGCCTGGCTCTGGCTTCTCCCAAATTCCTTTTCCAGCCACTTGGGAGGGGTGGACAGGGGATGGAGAAAGGAGTAGAGGTTAATTGAAGGTAATAAATCAGGGCAGCTGCTGTGGAGGCGAGGGACTGAAGGGGAGGTGATCAGGACAGGAATTCATTAGACTTGAAAGGAATCAAAGGCAGTGTGTCCAACCCCCTCATTATCAATGAGAATACTGAGGCCCAGCCAGAGAAAAGAACTTGCCCAAAAGGCTGGGCTGCATCTCCGGACTCCACTTCCCTGGGGTCCCAGCACCTTTTGGCTCCGGCAAGAGTGGAGGCTCTGCGTTCGAGCATCCATGGGAGGCTGGGCTGGGGGATGGAGCTGAGGGCTGCTTTTTACTGTCGTTACTTTCCTACCATAGGGGCCCTGAGCTCTGACCCAAAACCTACAGGTTCAGCTGCCACAAACATTGACCTGGCTCTCTGCTGGGCACATTTCTTGTTCTGTGTTATCTGAATGGGCGCCTCATGGTGATACTCCCTGGGCAGGCAGAGATTGGGCTCCGAGGCCTGGCCTGATCCCCTGCACACACCTTGACCATGTCTCCTATGGTGGACTTAGATGGGTGGGAGCTTTTTAAATAGCTGGTCGTCGTGTGAGTACCAGTCCACCCCCAAAGGTTTCATGGGGATAGTTCCAATGTGACAAGAAAGAATGAAAAATAGTCTTAAGACCAAACCAGAGAGGGGACAGAGAAGGCCACCCCCCACCCCCACTCTGAAGAGCAAGCACAGCAGGGGAGATGTGGCCACTGCCATCGTCTGGGGCTGCTTTCTGGTCTGTGGGCTGGTTTGCATCCTCACCTCTGCAGGGCTGGAATGTGTGTGTGGTCAGGGGGGCATTTGCCCAGGGAAGGGGGCATTTTGCGGCTTTTCGAGAATAGCGCCCCTAGGCCAGGCACTTCCTCTGCAGATCATGACTTTGTTTTGAGCATGTGGCTTCCTCAGGGGCTGTGGCCTCTCGTGGGAGTCCAGCAAGGTGGACATTTTGTGTTTGGGTTCCTTACAGCCCTTCAGGCAGTCGCTGGAGCCCAGCTGACCTTGCCTAGAAGGGGAGCTGTGGGGGGAGGCGCCCTTGTCCTCCATTTTGAAGACGGAGGGTCCTGGCTGGCCTCCCATGCAGTTGCCCTTTTTAGCACCCCATAGTCCCAACAGGTTGTGAGGCGGGGAGGGCTGGGGTCCAGGAGCCTGGGCAGTGGACTTCTCTGCCACCTGGATAATGGCCAGAGGACAGGGAAGCTCTTAGTCTGAAGTGTCATTTCAGACGCCCCCATGGCCTCAGGATTCCTGCCAATTATAGAGCCAGATGCACACTGTCACCTGGGCTTCTCTGTGCAGGCCTGACCAGGAACCCAGGGTTCCTCTTCCTTCTCCCTCCCCTGGAATGAGGCAAGGTTGGGACTGGGGTGGCTGCTGAGGACAGATGTCCCTACTCCTGCACAGAGGATGCTGCTCTCCCCTCCAGGGCCTGGACTCAGCTGCACCCATGTCAGGGGCTAAAACTGTGCCGAAAACTCCCATTCCTTCAAGTGCCAGCTCCCTGGGCAGGCCGTGGGCAATGCACACTGCAGGGGTGCCTCTCTGGCCTTCCTCCCCACTGCTTTGTGGAGATCTGTCCCCCACACCCCCCCACACACCAGGGCTATCTTGCAGTTGGATCAAACCAGGTTCACACCTCAGCTCTTCTCACTACCAAGTTACTGAGTGCCTGGAACCTGTTTCTTCCCCTTCGAGCTGGGGGTTCACCTCCTGGGGATTCCATGATGTGGGTCTGTGTGGTGGGGACAGCCACCACCAGCATAGAGTGTCCGGTGCCCCACAGGTGCTGTTCTGTGGATGGGAGGCTCCCTTACCTTGTTCCCTTCCCAGTGGTACCAGCAGCTGGACGTGGCTCCTATATTCCCAGGAGGAGATTCTTTGAAACCTTTTCTTTTCTGAGCCCCTGAGCCTGTTCTGATGCCCTGATGCCATACCCTCACCACCCCAGCGTCCTCCCTGCCCTGGGCTCTCACCAGCGTCTGTTGCCTCATGCCTCTGCACCTGAATTTGAAGGCTGCACCAGCGAGCCATTCTTCCCCCACCTCCAGGCAAGACTGTTCCTCGACCAGTGCTGGCAGAGGCCAGCAATCTTCACTGGGTCTACCCCAGTCTTCCAAGCCTCCCAAAGAGAAGTTTCTAAAACCTCCCCAGGATCTTTTACTAAGAATTCTCTCCTCCACCCCATACCTTTGGTCTCAAAGGGGTGGTGGGGAGGCCGCCCTCCGTTCTCCGCCCGGTTCATGGTCTTGTTGTTCTCCAGCTCCGGTGGAGGCTCGGGGTACTCTCCGAGCTCGGGGATGATTTCCGTGGCATCATTCTTGAACGCCTGCCACCCCTGGCCCTCCACTACACGGAAGGCTGTGTGTACCAGCAGGCAGACGAGACACAGGGCCAGTGGGAGCTGCATGGTACCAGCCAGAGGAGGGCACGCCACCTTCCAGTAGCACAGGCTCTGGTCTCCAGCCGAGACACGGTCGCCTTTTTAAAGCCCCTCTCTGCTTCATGCCAGCCAATGAGGACAGGCTGGGGCAGGGCTGGTCCCATGTTTCCCTCAGCCCCGGAGGGAGGGAAAGGGGTGTGCTCAGAGCAAACCCTCCCCAAAGACTTCTCCTCTAGCTCAGCAAACTTCCAAATTGCTGCTGGCACTCCCAGGTGACCCAGAGAGAGGGGGCGTGTGAGGCAAGGCCCAAGCCTGCTCTCCGGCACCTCCCACGTGCTGGCGGCTGTGGTTTTCAGATATCAAAATGAGCTCCGGCTTTTAATTGTCTGTCTCCCTGGGCCCTCGGGCATTCTCAAAACAAACTGTGGACCCGCTCAACAAAGAAAATGTGCAGTTCTGAGTGCTTCGCGGGGCTGAGCCCGGCCTATTCCATTTCTCAGGCCAAGTTCATTTGTCACCCCACCAACAAATGGCCCAAGGCGTTTCTGTTTGACCCCCATAGACCCAGCCAGAGGCAAAAAGATGCTTTTAAAGAAATCCCATTGGTCCCAACTCCACAAGTCTCAGCATTCATTGTCCTAACCAAGAAAGCCTCTCTTGGTATTCTCTGGAAGGCAAGAGAGAGAACTAGAGGGTCAGAGCAAGGGTGCCCGCTTGGGAGAGAGGGCAGGATTCTGGTTACAAATCGAGGATGCGCTGGTCACTCAGGCTCCTGTGGTGGACAGCACAGAGGAAATCCCAGCTCATGCTCCTCAGGGATCCTGTGCACTGTGACAGGCACTTCTGAGCCAGGGCACTCACTGTGGCTCGCAGGGTGATGTGCTGAAGACAGTCATTTCCCCAACCAGTCTGTGTGTGTGAGAAGACAACACCAAATTCCTTTCCTTAGCAAAAGCCACAGCCAGCGTTTTTAGTGCTGACATTTTATTTTCTTGTCTTCCAGCTGGTTACATTTTTCAAAAACAGTTTTGAGTCCTGTATGGAAAGCTTCATTGGTGCACACCACAGGATGTGTTCCATGAAGCCATCCCAGGACCAAGTGGTCACAAAGAAGCTAAGAGAAAATGCTGCCTTGGCCCTGCATATAATGAGCCACACAGGGCCGGGGCGGGGGGCGGGGGGGCAGGTAGAGGCGTGGGGGAGAAGGATTCACACCTGAGGTGCAAGAAGAGAAAGGAAGGCCAGAGGAATCTTTCATTGAAGACAGATTGTTTGAGGACAAGCAGCTCCTGTGAAGAGGCTGCCCAGATCCTCTGGTATTTTAACTGGGCAATGAATCAGCATGCCCCACCTGCAGAGCCTCTGCAAGTCCTTTGCCACCTGCCTCAACTTGCAAGTCGCTGTGTCCATCTGCAGCCGACTGTCCTCCTTTCCATCATCCATCATCCGACACATGAATGCAGCTGCTCTGACAGTTTTACAAGCCAGACAGAAGCCCCCTCAGGAAGGGCCCTCTCTGATACCTGCTTCCTAAGTCAGTTTCCTTCAGGGCAGATGAAAACAGCTGTGGCCATTGTTGGGGGTGATCTATCTCTCCCAGCAGAGCCGGTAGTGTTGTGAGAAGCTGGCCCTCCGCGCCACCTCCCCTTGTCTATGACCCTCCAGCCTCCTTTTCCCTTGCTCTGGAATGTGGACTGTTAACCCTCTCATGACCAGACGACTGCCTTCTTGCAATGGACTTGGGAGAGAGCAGTTCTGATGCCTGGGTTCCTTGAGCAGGTAGGATGGATGCTTATAGCCCCACCTGCTGTTGGGAGCGGCTGGACCGTCTGCATTAAACAGAGGCAGTGGGATTCATCCCTGGAACGCGTCTGCCACCTGCTGGAGACAAAAGGAGGGGTGACTGCAGGATGGCAAGTCTCAGGACTGGACGTGATTTCCTTTCCTTTCCTTTCCTTATTTGGAAGTGAAGTAATATTAAAAGGAAAAAGAAGAATCCAGTGGACTTGAACCTCTAAATGATCCACACCCCTCTGAATGGCTCAGCGAGAACCTGCTGTGACATCTTCTGCTGTTTCATTTAATGTTAAGTCATTGACAGCTGTTTATTTTTACTCAGTCCACAAACTTGTCATTGTTCACAGTACTCCCTGGAATTAAACCCCCAGGGTTTTAGCTGATTCCTATTGTGAGTAGTTTAGGTTATTTCCAATTTTTTTTCCTATTTCCAGCAGGGTTGCTATGAACATCCTTGTACGGCTGAAATTTTTTTTTTTTTCTTTTTTTGGCAGATTCTCTCTGTGGCCCAGGCTGCAGTGCAGTGGCACAATCTTGGCTCACTGCAACCTCCACCTCCTGGGTTCAAGCAATTCTCCTGCCTCAGCCTCCCGAGTAGCTGGGATTACAGGAATGCACCACCACGCCCGGCCAATTTTGTATTTTTAGTAGAGACGGGGGTTTCTCCATGTTACTCAGGCTGGTCTCGAACTTCTGACCTCGGGTGATCTGCCCAACTCGGCCTCCCAAGGTGCTGGGGATTAGAGGCATGAGCCACAATGCCCGGCCTCAGAGTAATTTTTTAAATTAAAATTTTAAAATGTGGATATAATTATAAATTTAAATATACTTATAAGAAATAAAAGCCTGGGCAACATGGTGAGGCCTAGTCTCTACAAAAAATTTAAAAATTAGCTGGGCATGGGGTCGCACGCCTGTGGTCTTAGCTACTTGGGAGGCTGAGGTGGGAGGTTCACTTGAGGTTGAGGTCGAGGCTGCAGTGAGCCATACTTGGGCCACTGCACTCCAGCCTGGATGACAGAGTGAGACCCCGTCTCAAAAAATAAAAATAAAAAAAAGAAAATGCAGACTCCGTGTATCCTTTATCCAGTTTCCCACAACAATAACACCTTGCGAAACTATAGGACAATATCACAACTAGGATATTGATATTGACACAATTTACCAATCTTACCCACATCTCCCGTGGTTTAACCTCTACTGTGTGCGTGCACACGCATTCACGTGTGTGTATACTTAGTTCTATGCAATCTTGTCACGGGTAAATTTGGGGATCCACCACAGTCAAGATAAAGCACAGCTCTGTGACCACAAGTCTTTCTCCTGTTGCCCACCTCCTTCCCTCCTTTTCCCTCCCTCCCACAACTAACCCCTGGCAACTACTCATCTAATCTCCATTTCTGTCATTTTTTTTTTTCACTTCAAAATTGTTACATAAATGCGGCCAGGTGCGGTGGCTCACTCATGTAATCCCAGCACTTTGGGAAGCCAAGGCAGGCAGATCACTTGAGGTCAGGAGTTCGAGACCAGCCTGGCCAACATGGCGAAACCCTGTCTCTACTAAAAATACAAAAATTAGCTGGGCATGGTGGCACGCACCTGTAATCCCAGCTACTTGGGAAGCTAAGGCAAGAGAATCGCTTGAACTCAGGAGGCGGAAGTTGCAGTGAGCTGAGATCGCGCCACTGTGCTCCAGCCTGGGTGACAGAGTGAGACTGTCTCAAAAAAAAAAAAAAAGGTTATATAAATGGAATCAATTAGTATGTAGCCTTTGGGGATTTTTTTTTCACTCAGCATTATTTCCATTATCCAAGTTGTACATATCAGTAACATGTTCCTTTTTCTTTTCTTTTTTTTTTTTTTGGCTGAGTAGTATTCCACAAAGTTTAAAAAAACAAAACAAAACTTTAGAGTTATTTCTGGAAGTGAATGCTGTGTCTGAGGGAGTGTGAAGAGTTTGGTGGTCTGATGAGGGTATTGCAGGGCTGTTTTCCAGAAAAAGCCCAGTCCCCGCCCTCACCTGCAAAATAGAGGCTCCCATAGGTGGTACTTTGATGAGGCTGCCGTAACTAAGTACCACAAATTGGGTGGCATAAACAACAGAAGTCGTCTCACAGAGCTGGAGGTTAGGAGTGCAAGTTCAAGACATTGGCAGAGTTGGTTCCTTCGAGGACAGCGAGGAAGGCCTTTTACCTGCCTTCTGCTGGCTGCTGACAAGCTGTGGCATTCACTGGCTTGCAGAAGTGTCACCCCCAATCCCTGCCTTCATCTTCACATGGTGTTCTCTCTGTGTTCGAATTTTCCCTTTTTTCTAAGGAGGTCAGGCATATTAGATTAGGCCCAGCCTAATGACCTCATCTTAACGAGTTACATCTGTAATAGCCCTATTTCCAAATAAGGTCACATTCTCAGGTACTGTGACTTAGGACTTCAATATATGCATTTGGGAGGAATGCAGTTCAACCCATAAATAAGACTGTCAACACTGGGTTTGGGATGTTGATTTTTTTTTTTTTTTTTTTTTTTTTTTTTGAGACAGAGTCTCGCTCTGTCACCCAGGCGGGAGTGCAGTGGTGTGATCTTGGCTCATATAACCTCCACCTCCTGGGTTCAAGCAGTTCTCCTGCCTCAGCCTCCCGAGTAGCTAGGACTACAGACTCCCGCCACCACACCCAGCTAATTTTTGCATTTTTTTTATTTGTTTTGTAGAGATGGGGTTTCGCCATGTCGGCCAGGCTGGTCTTGAACTCCTGACATCAGGTGTTCCCACAATCCCATAAAGTGCTGGGATTGCAGGCGGGAGCCACCGCACCCAGCCGATTTTTTTAAACATTGAATTTAACAGTTGAAACTTAATTTCCAGAAAAGCTGCTTTTCCATGTGATTATTTACCAGCTTTTGTTTCTGTCGAGTTGCTTCTTCCGATGTTCACTCGCCAAACGTTTAATAAAGCAAGGGGGACACGCACTCCCTCTCCAGGAGCTCGCATACCATGGAAGAAATAATTTCCGCATCCAAACAACTCCACTACCAGATGGAAGGTGATCAATGCCACTGAAAAAAAGGTTCAGATGCTTTTTTCTAAAAAAAACTTTATTTTTTTTCTGGAGCACTTTTAGGTTCACAGCAAAACTGAGTGGATGGTACAGAGATTTCTCATTTATGTCCTGTGCCCACACATGTACAGCTGCCCCCGTTATCAACATCCCGCCACCAGAGTGGTGCATTTGCTATGATTGATGAGCCTACATGACACATCATTATCACCTGAAGTCCATGGTTTACATCACAGCACTAGTGTTGTACATCCTATGGCTTTGGACAAATGTATAATGACATACATCTACCATTATAGTATCATACAGATGGGCAGTATTTTCATTGTCCAAAAAAACTATCTGCTCTGCCTATTCATCCCTCCCCGACTTTCCCCAACCCCTGGCAACCACTGATCTTTTTACTGTACCTTTATTTTTGCCTTTTCCAGGATGTCATATAGAGTTGGAATATACCCATACATAGTCTTTTCAGATTGGCTTCTTTCAGTTAGTAATATTCATTTGGGGTTCCTCCATGTCTTTTCATGGCATGAACAGCTTATTTTTTTTTTTTAGCACTGAGTAATACTCCATCGTCTTGATGTATCACGGTTTATCTAGTCACCTACTGTCATCTACTGAAGGACATCTTGGTTGCTTTCAAGCTCTGGCAATTATTAATAGAGGTGGTATAAACATTTTGTACAGGTTTTTTGTTTTGTTTTGTCTTAAGACGGAGTCTTACTCTGTCTCCCAGGCTGGGGTGCAGTGCCGTGATCTCAGCTCACTGCAACCTCCGCCTCCTGGGTTCAAGTGATTCTCCTGGCTCAGCCTCCCGAGTAGGTGGGATTACAGGTGAGCACCACCACACCTGGCTAATTTTTGTATTTTTAGTAGAGAAGGGGTTTCCCCATGTTGGCCAGTATGGTCTCAAACTCCTAACCTCAAGTGATCTGCCCACCTCAGCCTCCCAAAGTGCTGGGATTACAGGCATGAGCCACCATGCCCAGCTGTGTGCAGGTTTTTATACGAACGTTAAGTTTTCAAATCATTTGAATAAATACCAAGGAGCATGACTGCTGGATTGTGCAATAAAAGTATGTGTAGTTTTGCAAGAAACTAAACTGCAAACTGTCCTCCAAAGTGGCTGTACCATTTTGCATTCCCCACTGAAACAAAGAGTTCCTGTTGTTCCACATCCTCACCAGATGCATTTTTTCAAAAGGACAATTTTCTTATGGGCCTTCAAAGGAGAGAACAATCTCTTTCCCCTGGGGAGGATCTGGGATCCTTATGGTAAGATGTGGCATTTGGACCAGACTTTGAATGACAGGCCAAATTTGGAAAGTATATTATGCTCCTTTGACTCCTTGGGATCATAGAATCTTTGATCTGGAAGGACTCTCAAAGGTCATCCGGTTTCATTCTCTACTTGGTTCTGGAGGAGGCCCCTATCTCTAATTAATGGAAACTGAGGATTCTCCTTATTGGCTGCATTTTAAAACAGATTTTGCTCCCACTTGTAGGTGGTAAAAAGGAAATATCTGGATTAGGAGGGCAAACTTCTGCTTTTAGGCAGTACCCTGCATTGAGGGATGTCCAAATCACCTTGTCTTTATTTACACATCCATACACAATGGAATGCTATGTAGCTGTTAAGATGAAGGGGGTAGAACAATAAAAACAATAACCATAATATAAGCTAAGCAAAACAAACAACAAAGCAGAGATATCTCTGTATATACACACGTATGCACATATGTGTGCTTATATATGCTTGACATTTTCCTTTAAGGATATGATGCTTATGGGGAGACAGATTGAAGGAGCAAGTGACTCACTTTTCCGTATAAGCCTTTTGCATTGTTTAAGTGTATTACTATGTACATATAGTATTATTTTTAATGAAAAATTTTTTAAAAATTATACTTAAAAACTTTTACCTGTTTTATATTTTAGTGCTCTGCCTTAAGATTTTGTGTAGAACCATAAAGATTACATTGTCAGAGTCTTGACAAACAGGAAGCGAGTCCAATTGCTTCATGTGATAGAGGGAATGGGAACCTCGAGAGGCTTTCTCTGCCCAGACTTCTGTCTGGGAGGAAAAGGCAACTACTTTCTCTAAGGTTTTTTATTCAAAGGAACATAGCACCAATAGTGGAATTTAAGGCATCTGGGGGAAGGGGATATGTTTAGGGACTGTTCATTTGCAGGATCACTCAAATCTCAAAATGTCACCCAGTCATCACGTGAGGCTACCTTGAGATGAACACCCTAGTCCCCTGCTTTCTTAGAAGCACAAACCTTACCTCCTTCATTCAGGACCATTATGGCCATTCTACCTAAGAATATTCCTACCAGAACATTTCTGGTACTGGAAAGGTGTTCATCAATATCTACTGCATAAACAGTGCCATCATGGAACCTATAACTAGCTCAGAACGGCTATGTTTTAGATGATTATTTTTAAAAAGTTAGAAATCGCAAATATAAAAGCTAAGCCCAAACAAAAAAAGCTAAGCATAAAAACGTAAAAGAATACCAACTGTGATAAGAAGGACAAAAAAACAATACCTTTGTAATGTAAGACATTTATTTTGGCTAAAGTTCTGGTGTTTTAACACTGATTTGTGATACAACGGACATTAAACTTCCTTTTAAAAAGAAAAAAACAATTTGGTAGCTCTCCCTTTTCTGTCCAGAAAAATTCACTCTTTCATAATCAAATTACCCTAAAATTTGGTGGCGTTAAGAGGCAACAAAAGTTAAGCTTCCAACGAATCTGTTCTCTCAACCGGAAATGTCTTCTATTTCCAATCAGGATAAAACCTTGACTTACTTGCAAGGACTATCACGGTTAGCCCTTCAGTGATTCCTGACACCAGTTCTGTGAAAAAGAAAATTTCCTGCGAGAAAAGCTCATGTCTTCATATTGAAGATCAGTACTTTTTTTTTTTTTTTTCCTTTAAAACAGTAGCATCTTAACTTGTGGCACAAAAGGCACCAACATTCCCTTTCCAAACCATCCATCACCATGGGTGGAAGGCAGCGCCACCTGCTGCCCATCATATTATGGCTCACATACCCATAATTTCCTTGCGGTGCTGAATTCCAAGTGGGGATTATTAGAGACCCCTCAGAGCCAAAAGGGGACCTTAGAGGTCTTCTAGATGAGTCCCCTCATTTGTAGGTGGTGGTTTCTGGATAACTCAGAGTGGCAGGGACACAGACGAGCCTGTGGAAAGGTATACTGCTTTAAGATTGAGAAGAAAACCATTTGGCGCTCTAATTTTGCCTGGATGGTGCTCTGTCAGTCAAAGAAAGGGAACAGGTCTGGGGAGGGGGTAAGGGCACCCTGAGTTCCTGTTCCATCACTTCCCAGGCAGTAGAAGGCTGTCCAGGAACAGCTCCCATCCGCAGCTGGGCATGTGTTGGCTCTTACACAAGAGACTTTAATTTTACTTGAAGAACTAAGAGCTAAATCTTGTTAAGTAAATACGGGGTTTCAGGGGTGAAGGACTATCAAGAAATCCCAAGTTATCAGCATAAAAGTAGTCCCAAAGTAAAGGCAGTAATTCTCCCAATGGCCTTTTCTCCCTCATGCCCCCACAGAGACTTTCGAGAGGTCCTAGTTAGCCAGCCACACCAACCTGCTGTGTTCGCGTAAGTAGCTGTGCCTGTCCCATGGGGTGACCACTGCCTGGTCATGGGAGGGGAGCCCCAGCCCCAGCTCCCTAGCCTTTTCCAGGAGCAGAGCAGAAAGCTCTACTTCGGGGTGCTACATCCCACCTGGAGAAAGAGCTGCACATTCTAGCCTATGAGGGACCCACCCTTTTCACTTGCTTCTCCGGGGCTGGATTGAGGGTAAGTGCAGTACACCTGGAGATCCCAGGGAGCCCCCTTCTTGAGAAAGAGTATCGTATGAAAGAATCCAGCTTCAGGGAGCAGCAAACCCAAAATCTTGCCCAGCTCCACCTTATGGAGCTGGACAACCCTGGGGGCCAGGCCCTTAATCATTCTGAACCTCAGTTCCTTTTTTTTAAAAAAGGTCACAATACAAGAACAAGCTCTACTAACTTTACAGGGTTACTGTGAGGCTCAAGTTAGATTAAGTTGGAAGGCTACCTAGAAGCTGTGCAGTGAGGTACCCAGTTTAGAGGATGGCCATTTCACTTAGGTGGGTTTATCTGGACACCTTTTTCACTATCTGGAGAAGAAGACACATACTGGTTGTTCAGGGCTGCTGTGGTCACAGAGAAAAGCGGACAGCAAATGACCAGGCTGGGCAGGGCTGCTTCTGTGTGATCAGAGACCTTCCCAGCCGGGAGTGAGGCCTTACGCCACACCTGCCTCTCCGTGTCCCAGCCAGGAGCTCCTGGCCAACTCTGAAAAAGGCACATTCCCTACCTTGGCATATTAACACTGCCTGAATTTAAATGTAAAACTGAGTTGTAAATAGTCAACAAAAGTCCCTGATATTTCTTTCGTTTTAGGTAAGACTCCTTCACAAGGCCTTGCGAGTGATCCTACCATGAATTCAGTCTTCTGGGAGCGTGACACACCCACCAGAACAATGCCCTATATATATTTGGTGCTCAAAAAGTGTTTACTTTCTTAAACTTTTATCAGACACCTATGTGCAAGGTGCTGGGGGCATGGCTGAGGACCTTCTCTTTGCCCAGAGTGACCCTGAAGATAAATAGCATCACAATCACTTTCCATAATAACAATAACGTAAAATCCTAACAAGACTGTATTTAAAACAAAACTCTTATATTCTGGCAAATGTGCATACACATGTGAGGGCTGGTGCATTCCAATATCATCCTTAGAAAGTCTTTTGAAAGGTTTATCGTGTTTGGGTTTTTTTGCTCTACCACCAATAAAGGATCCATTTGGACACTCCGCCATGTCTCATGTCTGCCTGGCTGAGTCACTTCAGGGATCCCGTGCTGGCACCAGAGAGCTGTAAGAGCCACCTGCAATGGGCAGGGTGTGTGCCTGGGACCTTTCACTTCCCTGCTTGTCTTCTGGCCGCGTTTCTGAGAGGCACGCCCCCCACACACATCCATGCACACACGCTGTAATTGGCCAACTTCCTCCTTCTGTTCTTGGAATAGCAACCGAGACAAAAAGCAGTTAGCACGAGTGGCTTGGGCTTGCCAACACTACAATTCAGGACAAAACCCTTGTAATTCTCCAAATGGTGGGGTTTTTAAATAGGTTGGACTTCAACTCCCTGTTTTCTAAAAAAGAAAAAAAAAAAAGCATGCCCAAGGCATCACTCTTCTCAAAAACGAAGTGACTGAGATAAGATCGAAGGGAAATATTCCAGAGCAGCAGATTCTGAACTCAAGGCTTCCAAAGATTCACATTTTGAAAACTCTATGGATTTAGGAGGGTTCTCCAGGTTTGCCCACAAGGCCTCTTTGTGTAGGGACCATTCATCCTAAGGAAATCATTCAAATGCAGCCTTGCTGTGGGAATCTCCATCCACTAATAACTGACGGACACCCCCACCCCAGCTTCGGACCTCAAGACGTGAGAGGGCTGCCTATGCACAGGGTGTGGAAGGCTGTGGGGACAGTGCAGGGCACAGACGTGGTGGGGAGAGTGGCCTGCATTTGCATAGTTCCTTTACTAGGGCTCAAGGTGTTGAGGTCCACACTCAAGAGAGGATTCGGGAGTTGGGGAAGGGAGGTCATGAGGGACCTCTGTGAGCATCTTAGGCCTTACACTTCCACACACCTCCTGCCGTGGGCCATCGGGAAGCATGCAGGCCACAGGCCTTCCCCCTCTGAGCCCCCATCTCAGGGAAAAGACATCATAAGTTACAGAAACAGGACAACTGGGGAGCAAGGACGCCCCCCTTGGCAAGCTTCTTTATGTGCTCCCCAGGGTGGGGAAAGTGGCCCAGGACTGTGTTGGGACACACTTGTAGACAAGTGCCTTGTGATGCTGGGAGCAGGGTACAGTGTGTTTCCTAAACATGGCAGCTCGGGACACCTTTGCCCACGGCCTCCCCCACGGACCTCTCGAGCAGAGGTGGTGGGGGTGCCCTAGGGTTTCAACTTCCCCTCCTTGGCTAGTCTGTCATTGAGCTGGCAGAGCTGGGCCAGGAAGCCATCGTTGGGGCCGATCTCACGGTTCTGCCTCACGATGCTCAGGGCAGACTTGACGTCCATCTTCTGCCGCATCATGAGGTAGGCGATAACTAGCGTTGGGGAGCGGCTATAACCTTCCCGGCAGTGGACGAGCACCCGGCCTGTAAGAAACAGGGGAGACGTGGTGAGCTGGGGGCGTCCCATCACACCATGGCGTTGGTCAAGACTCTTCCGTGAAGTGCCACTTAAAAGCACAATGTCACGCCACTGTGTGCCTGTCAGAATGGCTAAAATGAAAAGGATGGAAAACCCAAAGTGCTGGTGAAGATATGGGGCAACTGGAACTCTTCTGCGTGGCTGGGGGAGGTGAGGCGTGAATTGGCACAACCACTTTGGAAAGCTGTGCGGCACGGCGGTATCTCCTCAAGCTGAACACGTGCATCCCCTCTGGCCCAGCAATCCCACTCCCAGGCCCAGGTCCAATAGAGATACGCATTCACATTCACGAACATGGGCCAGAATGTTCACAGGCAACACTGCACATCATGGCCCACAGTTAGAAACCCCCAAAGGCCCATCCACAGTAGAAAGGACAAATACAAAGAATGACCAGACTGCCACTTAGCAGAAGCAACACGGAGGCAGCACACACATATGAGGTGGATGAGCCCACAGAGTAGGAAAGCGGGCAAAACCATCTGTGCTGTCAGAAGCCTGCAAGGGGCTGGGCACAGTGGCTCACGCCTGTAATCCCAGCACTTTGGGAGGCCAAGGCAACTGGATCACAAGGTCAGGAGTTCGAGACCAGACTGGCCAACATAGTGAAATCCCGTCTTTACTAAAGATACAAAAAAATAGCTGGGTGTGGTGGCGCGAGCCTATAATCCCAGCTACTCAGGAGGCTGAGGCCAGAGAATTGCTTGAACCCAGGAGGCAGAGGTTGCGGTGAGGTGAGATTGTGCTGAGATTGTGCTCCAGCCTGGGTGACAGAGCGAGACTCTGTCTCAAAAAAAAAAAGAAGCCCGCGTGGCAGAGGCCCTGGGAGCTGGGGATGGGGGTGGTGGAGCATAGAGACTGGGGGTGCTTTCCAGGGTGCTGGTAGTGTTTTGTTTCTTTTTTTTTGAGATGGAGTTTCCTTCTTGTTGCCCAGGCTGGAGTGCAGTGGCGCGATCTCGGCTCACTTCAGCCTCCGCCTCCCGGGTTCAAGCAATTCTCCTGCCTCAGCCTCCTGAGTAGCTGGGACTACAGGCGCATGCCACCATGCCCAGCTAATTTTTTTGTATCTTTTAGTAGAGGTGGGGTTATTTTAATATAGTGTGTGTGTGCGTGTATATATATGTGTGTGTGTGTGTGTGTGTGTGTGTGTGTATGTGTGTGTATATATATATATATAAATAGACACCATCTCTCAATATCCACAGGGCAGATTGGCTCCAGGACCTCCTGCCGATACCCAAATCCACAGATGCTCAAGTCCCTGATTATAAAATGACATCATATATGCAAATAACCTCTGCACAGCACATCCTCCCCTATACTTTAAATCATCTCCAGATGACTTATGATACCCAAGACAATGTAAACATTTATTAGATTATATCATCTAGAGAATAATGACAAGAAAAAAAATCTGTACATGTTCAGTACAGACATAACATCTTTTTATGTTGTTTTTAATATTTTTCAGACTGAGGTTAGTTGAATCCACAGATGTGGAACCCACGGATATGGAGGACCGACTGTATATTCTATTGGTTCTGTTTTTTCTAGAGAATCCTGACCAATACACTGGTTATTAACTCATGATCCACCTAACCTCAAGGTGCCTCAGTTTTCTTATCTGGCCAATAGTACCCATTGCACAAGGTGGTTAGATTAAAGGAGAGGACACATGAATCCTCTAGGTTAGCACCTGGCATCCATGTGCACTCAATAAATGTTACCCAATACTGGGCATCCTCTGGTAGCACCTAGTACACCCTCAACTACAGCAGCCCTGGTCCTGTGTCATTGCCAGACATGCGCAGATTGACTTTTCTCTCCCAGAGGACGAATTCTTTAAGAGCAAGAAATGGCCGGACACGGTGGCTCACACCTATAATCCCAACACTTTGGGAGGTCGAGGTGGGCGGATCCCCTGAAGTCAGGAGTTCGAGACCATCCTGGCCAACATGGCGAAACCCCGTTTCTACTAAAAATACAAAAAATTAGCTGGGCATGGTGGCACATGCCTGTAATCCCAGCTACTCAGAAAGCTGAGGCAGGAGAATCACTTGAACCTGGGAGGTGGAGGGTGCAGTGAGCTGAGATTGAGCCACTGTACTCCAGCCTGGGTGACAAGAGCGAGACTCCGTCTCAAAAAAAAAAAAAAAAAAAGGCAAGAAATGTGGGGCATTGATTTTTGGATGCGTTACAATCTCTAGCATACACTATGTGCTCAATAAATATTTGCTGACTAGCTGAGTGAATTATTACCTACTAACACCTCTATAAGGCCATTGTTTGGCAAGGAATCTGCTAGCCCAGAGTCCAACAGAGTCTCTTCTGCTCCTATCACCCTACCCCCAAAACACCACTCTATTTTCCCAATGCCTTCCAAATCAGGAAGCAGGAGTCCTCCACTTTCTTGCCCATTCACCCTCCGGCCTGTATGCCCGAAATATTCAGAGTGGGGCTTCCCCTGCCCCACCCTAGGAATGAGACCCTCTGCAGAGCAGCCACCTTACCATCTAGAACATACTCTGCATGCCCAGTGCACACAGAGCCTACTGGGAAAGGGGCCAGTTCAACCTCCCATTCCTCTAGGCTCAGCCCAGATGCCACCTCCTCCATGAAGCTGTTTTCCCAGCTAGAAGTGACTGCTCCCTCTTGAGTACCCTCAGCCATCCCACCCAGCTCTCAGTGATGGGTCCCTGGGCCCCACACACTGTTGGAGGCCAGCATGTTTCTGTTGACTCACTTCGCCACTCATTCTTAGAAGCATTTATACTTGGCATTAGAGCCCATGGAATTCTTCATCACTTGCTCATTCATCATTTGCAGTGTACCTACTATGTGCCTGATGCTACATCAGGTGCTAAGGAGACAGACAAGGAACAAAGTAGACCCAGCCTGAGGGCAGGCTTCATGGAAGAGAGGACACCATGCCAAGGACAAGGTGGAGTTTGCCAGAGGAAGGGGTAGGGAGAGGCAGAGAGAACTTTTCAGACTAAAGACCCAGCACACCTGGACTGAGACAGGTCAAAAAAAGGGCGTGTTCCTAGTTGTTTGGAAAGAGGAAACAAAGTCAGAGAGCTTGAAATTCCCTGAATGAATAACCAATTGCTATTATACGAGAACAACAAAATCCTTCCCCTTCGCCCAGCCTATGTTTACACAGGGTGAGGAACTCAGTACAGCTGGAGTGGAGGAGGTGAGCAGGGTTGGGGGGTGACAGTGACCAGGAAGGACCATGAGGGGCCTGTCAGCAAAGTCTGCAGATACTCCACAGTAAAGCTTCTCTCTGAGCCCTGAGCGTTCACTGTCCAGTGGTCTAGAAAATTCTGTTTACTGGAAATCATTCAGACAGTGAGCCTGCTGGGCCCAAGAGTCATCAGTGTAGTACAGCCAAGGCTGTTCACACCTCATGGGGGTCCCCTCCGCTGGGAGGGTTTGGGGTGGGGAGAGACGAAGAGGTAAAGGGAGGAGCTGAGAGAAACAGCTAAAAGCAGAAAGGGAGAAAGGGCAAGTGGCCCAGCCTGCTCAGCTGATGTCTGCTTTGTGGCCTTCTAGGGTTTCTTGCTGGAATGCCTTGGTGACTGCCAGCGCCTTGGTAGTTCTCCTTCAGTCTTATCTTATATTTGGGGGCTGCAGGAAGTGTTTCGTAAGTGGCTGGAAGATTTGGCCAGGGGGGCTGTGGTTTGCTGACTGCCAACCTAAGCTGACCGCAGCTACCCCTTTTCTCCTTGCCAGGCAATCACGTGAATCTCTAGCCAATGAGATGTGAGGGGTATTTCTGGGAAATGTTTTACTTGTTCTTAAAGAGAGAGACTGGGCATGGTGGCACGTGCTTGTAGTCCCAGCTACTCAGGAGGCTGAGGTGAGAGGACTGCTTGAGCCCAGGAGTTGGAGACCAGTCTAGACAACATAGCAAGACCCTGTCTCTTTAAAAAAGAGAGAGAGAGTGGCCAGGCGCGGTGGCTCATGCCTGTAATCCCAGCACTTTGGGAGGCAGAGGGAGGCGGATCACCTGAGGTCAGGAGTTGGAGACCAGCCTGACCAACATGGTGAAACCCCATCTCTACTAAAAATACAAAATTAGCCAGGCGTGGGGGCGCATGCCTGTAATCCCAGCTACTTGGGAGGCTGAGGCGGGAGGCTGAGGCAGGAGAATCGCTTGAACCTGGGAGGTGGAGGTTGCGGTGAGCCAAGATCGCGCCATTGCTCTTCAGCCTGGGCAACAAGAGTGAAACTCCATCTAAAAAAAAAAAAAAAAAAAAAAAAGGAGAGAGAGAAGAGGAAAAAAAAGAGTGGGAAGAGATGGCTGCAGGGCCTCATCTGCTGTACTTTGTCCTGCTTGGATGTGGTGACTGGATCCCATCTTGGGACCATGACGGGAGCACCCAACACTGAGGTGGCAGAAGAGAGAAAGGGAAAGGGCCTGGTCCAGAGGCCACCATGGAGCTGCTGAATCAAGCAGCCCCTTAATCAACCAGCCCCCATGCTCCTTCACCTCAGGACTTCTTGCCATGCACATTAACACATTAACACATCTTCCTCATCGTTACAGCTGTTTGAATGGGGGACGTGTAAGCAACTGGAAACCAACCTCCAGCCAAAGTGCAGTCAAACGCGAGGACCCTGGGGCTGCCATGGTGTGAATGAGTTGCACATCCTGTGACACACGGGGCCACTTGACAGCCAGCCAGGTGAGCAGAGAGAGACCTACAGCTCTGTCGTTCACCCCAGAAGATGGGAAACAAGGGAGTTTCTAAGAAGAGACCTGTTGTGGGCCTGTTTTCCAGAGGGACAGTCCAGTCAGAGCTGCCTCCCATCTTTTCCTGGTGGGAGGTCCCTTACCATTCTTTTGAGCCAAAGCCTGGTCAATGAAGTCGGCAGCCCTTTCAAAGTAAGCGCTGAGGTTGAACTCCTGTGTGTCGTTGGCCTTGATGCCCAGGTATGTGATGCCGGAGTCCTTGTAGAAGTTGGCATTGGTGTTGACGTGCATGAAGGACCTGCCCTCAGCCGCGTTCAGCACATGGGTGATGCCTAGTTTCTGCAGCTTGGGGATGTCCTGAGCCACAGACCTGGACAGGAGACAGTGGTGGGGATGATTAACCAACCAAATGGCAGCCCCAGGGGGAGGAAGATGGAGAAGGATTTAAGCCTCTTAGCAAAGCAAGGAAACCCTCCATGCTCTGGCCCCTGCCAGCTTCTCCTGCCTCATCTTATGACCTCTTCCCTCACTCTGGCCATATCGAATTGCCAGCAGCTTCCCCAAATAGACTGGTGGTTTCATAGCCATGCTGTCCCCTCTGTCTGGAATGCTCTTTCCCACCTTCTCTGGAGAAATGCGCCCTCTCATCTTTCACACCCTCCGCAGTGTTTGTCTCCCCTCCATTCCATTTGGCCCCATGCTCCCTAAGCTGTGGTGGGGGTGTACATAGCCAACTGGTTACAGATGGGCTCTGGAACCAGACTAACTGGGTCTGCATCCTGCCCAGGTACTAGCCAGGCAACCTTAAGCAAGCCATTTAACCTTTCTGTGCCTCAGTTTCCCTCTCTGTAAAATGGGGATAACAGTGCCTTCTCCTTGAGGTTGTTATGAGTATTAAATGGGCTATTCCATTGACAGAGCTGGACACGGTAGTGAGCACTATGATTCTAATGCTTGATTGTGCTTCTGTGTTTAGACATCCAGACTGTGAGCTCCTTGAGAGAGGAACCATGTCTGCTTTAAGTCTGTTTCCCCACCATCTGCTATAGTACCTGCTACATAGTAGGTGCTGAATAAATAAGCGGTGAATGAGTGCAAAAGAATAAATTTGTCACGTACCAGGCAGCCCCCTCCCTGCCCCCAGAGGGATCCTACCTGCCACATTCCACTGGCTACGTTTCCAAAGCTCTTTTGGGTGATTTAGTACTTGGGGAGTAAGTGGCCCCAACAGAACTATGGGAGGTTACAAAATAATTTATCTAAGGTCGGGTGCAGTGGCTCACACCTGTAATCCCAGCACTCTGGGAAGCCGAGGCAGGTGGATCACCTGTCAGGAGTTCGGGACCAGCCTGGCCAACATGGTGAAACCCCGTCTCTACTAAAAATACAAAAGTGAGCCGGGTGTGGTGGTACATGCCTGTAATCCCAGCTACTCTGGGATTACAGAGGCTGAGACAGGAGAATCACTTGAACCCGGGAGGTGGAGGTTGCAGTGTGCTGAGATTGTGCTATTGCACTCTAGCCTGGGTGACAGAGTGAGACTCCGTCTCGAAAAATAAAATAAAATAAAATAAAAATAATAATTGGTCTGAATGGTGAAAAGGCCCCTTTATTTCATCTCACAAAACATCCCAGTCCAAATAGCAGTTTATACTTTATAAAATGCCACCTCCTGTGTGATCTTGCTTGCCCACTGCGAGCAGCCCTGTGAGGAACAAGGATGGCAATATCCCTGCTTAACAGAGCTTGAACTCAGGCCCAACAGGATGAGCAGAGGGATGGGCACAGGCCCCGTGTGCTGCTGGTGGCAGATCTGGGAGAAGACCTCCTTTCTCCCGACATCCAGCCCTGCTCTATCTTCCACCTCACTCTGCCCCTCATGCCCACATCTGCTGCAAAACCCCCAAGGCCTGGCACATGTGGCTCACACAGGCTCTGGCTCTGCCTTGTGAGGACGTGGCTGCGGCCCTGATTTTGTTAAGGGAATGGAGCCCAAATCCTCTTGGTGCTTGGTGCTCACTGATCCTCCCTGTTGAGGAACCCCCACACCCCTGGCCAAGTCAAGGTCAGAGGTGCTTAGAGGGCAAGGGATGTATTTTCTACAGTGGCCATCAGCAATTGCCACTCTGGCTACACCAGACGTGTACAACCTTGGTTTCCACTTGGGAAGTGATGACAGCTGAATGGCCAACCTGCCCAAGCAAGCGGGATTCCTGAGGCTAACAAGGCCTGCTTGCTGCTTGGTGCAAGAGGAAGGGTGTCTCTAGAGCTTTCCAATTCCTGAAGCCTTTGGCTGACACTGTGGGACTCTGTTTATTCCTGCTTAGGACACCGCGCAAGACTGTGAAGCAGTGGCTGATAGAAAAAAACACTTTGAAGAGTCACTCCCATTCATCTCCCTTCTCTAATACTTTTTTTTTTTGAGATGGAGTTTCGCTCTTGTTGCCCAGTTGGAGTGCAACGGTACGATCTTGGCTCACTGTAACCTCCACCTCCCGTGTTCAAACGATTCTCCTGCCTCAGCCTCCGGAGTAGCTGGGATCACAGGCGCCAGGCACCATGCCCAGCTAATTTTTGTATTTTTAGTAGAGACAGGGTTTCACCATGTTGGTCAGGCTGGTCTCGAACTGCTGACCTCAGGTGACCCACCCGCCTCGGCCTCCCAAAGTGCTGGGATTACAGGCGTGAGCCATCGTGCCAGGCCTCTAATACTATTAATAATTCAACATTCAAAAAATTTACAATTATCATTATTACTATCTCTACTATGAATGAACATTGTACAGTGCCTGACATAAAGCAGGTGCTCAGACTGGTGAATGAATGATGGAATGGATGAGAACTGTCCCCATGAGGCTGGGGCCTGATGGACCCCTTCTAGTTCCATGATGACCCCCATTTCCGTGGCAGTCCTTGGCAGGCTAAACAGCAGGTCATAGCGGAGGTCAGGAAATACATACATGAACAAGACATTGACCCTGTCCTTGTAGTCCCTCACACACTCTGAGCCACCATTTCCTCCTCTGTAAAATGGGAGGAGGGTTAGTTTTGAGTTTTCAACATGCCATCCTTGGGCTGAGCCATGAAGCTTAGGATTTTGGTAACTGGGTCCTCAGAGTATCGTGAAAATCCAACTTGAGGCTTTCCAAGGCTGTACAGGCATGCTAATATATTCTTTCTTGAGGCTCCTATTTCACATCTCAGAATGTTAACACTGGTTCTTTCCTGCTGATTAGACATTCTTACTAGAAAAAAAATTTAAAATTTAAATTAAAAAAAATCTCTTACTGTCCGGGTGCGGTGGCTCACGCCTGTAATCCCAGCACTTTTGGAGGCCGAGGTGGGCGGATCATGAGGTCAGGAGTTTGAGACCAGCCTGGCCAAGAGACCAGCCTGGCCAATATGGTGAAACCCCGTCTCTACTAAAAATACAAAAAGTAGCCAGGCGTGGTGGCGGGCGCCTGTAATCCCAGCTACTCGGGAGGCTGAGGCAGGAGAATTGCTTGAACCCAGGAGGCAGAGGTTGCAGTGAGCCGAGATCTCGCCATTGCACTCCAGCCTGGGTGACAGAGCCTGGGGGTGAAAGGTCAAGAGCCTTTTCTAGGTGGTGGCTCAGGTCCTTAGGGGGGTTATCACTGGACCGTTCTAGAATCTCCTGTAAATCAAATCACATCTGGAAGGTGGGGGCCTGGAAATCCCGGCCCAGCTCCCCGGACTCGCTCATTTGGGGTGTTTAGGTTCCCTGATCCGGGACTGCCGGGCCGGGAAAATTCCATGCCCGAATTGTGACGTCGGCCCGTTGCCATGGCGGCGAAGGCAGACATTCCGCGGTGACCTCACTGCAGAACCAGGCAGCTGTCACATGACGCGCGGGCAGGAGACCGGCCGGGCGACCGAGGGTCACCTGTTAAGTGAACATGGTAGCCCCGACCCCGCCCAAGGCCAAGCCCCAAGCGGGTGGCGGCTGGGACCCGGGCAGGCGCCACCCGGGCTCCGTGCACCCCGCCACGGGGAAGGGCCGCGCCCGGCCAGGCAGGGTTCCAGTTCCTTGGCCCCACGCGCGGGGGTAGGCGTCGACTCCAGGCCCCTCCCAAGCCCCCGCTGTGGCTCCCGGAGGGGCCATCGCGCCCGGGCTCCCCCAACCCAAGACTCGCGACACCCCGACCCCAGCCTCGGGTGGGCGGGGCGTCCCGAGAGGGACGGCGGGGCCGGGCTCGCGAAAGGGACTCACGCGTTGCCCACGTAGATCCGCGGGGTGACCTCGTTGCAGGGCTGGCTCGGGAGGCTGTAGCAGCCGCTGCCGTCCGAGAGCAGGTCGTTGAGATCCTGCACCGAGAGCTCGAACGAGCCCGACATGGCGGCGGCGGGGCCCTGCACGCCCGGCAGGAGCAAGCGAGGCGGAGAGCGGCGGATCAGCTGGGCGGGGGCTCGCGCCGGGAGCCGCCCCGTCCCGCCCCTGGGGCGGGCCCGCCGGGCTCCGGGAGCTGCGGAGCGCGGGCGCCGTGACGCGGGGGCCCCGCGCGCCACTCCTGGGCGCGTCCCGGGGGGAAGACGCCACCGCCCTGGAGTCTCAGGGGTCCTCGCCCCATCCCGGTCCAGGCCGTTTGTGTATCTTTGTAAACTGGCAAGCGCGGTAACTTCCTTCCCTGAATTAAATGCAGGGCCCAATAAACATTTCGTGGCGGAGGTACACCTAGGGGTCGCTTCAGTCTTTCATGATTACAGGGACCGCCGGGTTCGGCTCGTGAGCGGCTCCCTGCAGTGGAGGCACCACCCGGGCGCTTGACAGAATCCCCGCCCCAGCCCAGCCCTGCTGGATCAGAGTGGACATTTTACGGACCCCAGGAGGTCCCTACGGTCAAAGTCTGAGAAGCCCTACTCTGGGGCGCATCTGCTTTCAACATTCATTGAGAGTCATCGTCGTGCTTAAAAGCAGTCAGGTTTGGAATTCTGAGGAATTACTTAACCTGAGCCTGTTTGCAGGGAAAAAAAAAAAAAGCGGGATAGTAATGGTACCTAATTCTAGGGTTGCTGGAAGGGTTAAATGTGACATTCAAAGAAGGCACCCAGCACTGCATGGCGAGCACTCAATAGGTGTTAGTCCTTCATCAACAAATGCGTTGAGCACCCAGTGGGTGCTATACCCTGTGCTGGGGTGGAGATAAATCAGACTCCTGCAGCCCTTCCTGGAGCAGATGCCAGCCCACCATAAGCCACTCAGCATTTCCTGAACTCCCACTAAGTACAAAAGATAGTCTCTGTACTGGAGGAAAGCTGCCCTCCCCTACTGCCATGAAAAACTGGCAGTTTCCTTCCTGCAAAAGGGCAAATTTGGCCTTGAATTCAGGAACCCCACATCCTGAGCCCAGCCCTGCCACCAACTTGGTTCTTGAGTAACGTTGCTGCTGCTGTGGTCTTCAGTTTCCTCATTTGCAAAAGGAATTGGATCCGATTATCATTAGGGTCAACTTTCTCCTCCTCCAAAACTTGTGGTCTTGCACCTTCAGGGGAGCTATTGCAGTGGAGACTACTTAGCTGATAGCCCAAGATGTGTAACCAAGGCTGGAATTTCTGTATCCCTCACCCCACCCCGTGCCTGCCCACCCCTCCCGGTGCACCACTTCTTTCCTTCTGGTGTTGGCTGGCAGCATCTGCATTCTAAGCAGCGGGGAAAGCTTTCGAGTTCCTTGACCTTCATCTTGACTTGAGCCGAGGTTAGCATTAAAAACACAAGCCCAGAGGCAGCCAGCCATGCTCTGCTGCTCCTACTCCCTTCCCGGGACCTGTCCCTGATGTCATAACTGGGTAACTATGACAGCTTGTCATGGGGACAGCTAGGCACCTCACAGAGGAGTCTGGGTACCTCATTTCTGAAGTGAGACTAGGAAGAGAAGATGAACAATTCCCTGGATTATCTGGCCTACCCTGTTATCGTCTCTAATCACAGGCAAAGCACAACCTTCAGAAAGAAACTGGACTTTGGCCACTACGTATCTCACAAGAATAGAATACAAATAGGTATGTGGGCAGTTTGGGCTGGACACTGCTATTAGGGATTTTGGAATGGTACCCCATAAAGAGATCAACAGGAAACCAGACCAGGTCACAGCTTTGGGATGATATGGCCTTATCTGCTGAGTTTGGGGAAGAGGGCATTAGCACCAATAACAAAATGTATCTTCCACCAGGGAGTTCACTGGATGGAAATACTCCTTTAAACTCCTTAAAGCCGAAGTACGTTAGAAAGGGGATAAGACTTCAGAAGCCAATAGACAGGCTAATAATATTGGAAAAAGATTGGAAGAGAAGCTCTTTCATTGGATTAGAAGGACATTTATCTCTGTAAATTTTATTTTCACTATTCTTTTGTTTCTGCTCAAAACTCTCCAGAGATGTTCATTTGATAAATCAAACCAAACTTCTTGAGTCGCATTAAGGTCCTAATTCGAAATTGTTCATTAGTCAAGGACATTGTCTAGTGCTGGTTTTCTGAGGCCGCTACTGGAATTCCTGTGATGTAACATTGTTCCCTTTTATCCCCCTTCTCTAGCGAAGCCTACTGTTGATACCAAACCTCCAGTGGCGCACACAAATCACATTTTAAAATTGAGCAAACTACAGGTATTTGTTCTTGCTGCTTGCAGATGTGCAGATGTATTTTATTGACTTCCAGTCTGTTTCCTAAAGAGGTTCAATTTCCCAGAGCCTTCTAAATACCCATCTACTCAAAGATTTGTTAATACTCCTCCTCCCCACGCGTCACCCCCAGTCGTTTTTTTCCCCCCTGATACGGAGTCTCGCTCTGTTGCCTAGGCTGGAGTGCACAATCTCGGCTCACTGCAACCTCCGCCTCCCAGATTCAAGCAATTCTCCCGCCTCAGCCTCCAGAGTAGCTGGGATTACAGGCATGTGGCACCATGCCCAGCTAATTTTTCATATTTTTAGTAGAGACAGGGGTTCACCATGTTGGCCAGGATGGTCTTAGTCTCATTACCTCCCGCCTGCCTCGGCCTCCCAAAGTGCTGGGATTACAGGCGTGAGCCACCGTGCCCGGCCGCCCAGTCTTTTAAGTTCTGCTTCCAGTCTCCACTGTGGCCCTCAATGCACCCCTTTCCCACGATCTCAGAGGAGGGGAACACTAAGTCATTGTGTGTTGGGGCAGTGCACTGATGGTGTCACCATGGTGAGGTGTGGTTTCTTACCAGGGTGAACAAAAGAAAATCAACAAAATCGAGTATGAAAACAAGCAACTGTGTCAGAAAATCGCAAATGCCCATCGCGGCCCTGCCAAGGTGGATTGCTGGAATGAATATTTTTCCAAGAGGTAATGTTCTTTGTCTTCATTTCAGTTTTGAAAAGTCAAAATTGACTTTCCTCTTGGGTTTTAGTGTGAGGTTTTCCCAAGTCAGAGAAGTACTTAAGGGAAGTTATCTTGAGGGAGAACCAAACAGACCATGTTACACAGAATGAAAACTTTAAAAATGGGGACCTTTCTCTAGCATTAAAGAGCTTTTATTTCATCGAAGAGACTTTTCAGAGTCCTATTCAGTGTGTCACAAGAATGCACTGCGCACTTTTATAAAATGGTGGCCATGTGTCTTAGTCCATTATAGGGCGCTATAGCAAATTGCTATAAACTGGTGGCTTATAAACAACAAAAATTTCTCATAGTTCTAGAGGCAAGGAAGTCCAAAGATCAAGGTGCCAGTAAATTCGGCATCTGAGGAGGGCCTGCTTCATAGACAACCATCTTTTCACTGTAACCTCACGGGGCAGAAGGAGAAAGAGGCTTCTTTCATAAGGACACTAATTCCATTAGGGTGACCTAATCAGCTCTCAAAGGCCCACCCCCTAATACCATCACCTTCATGGTTAGGATTTGAACATAAGAATTTTGGGGGACACAGGCATCTGTTCCATAGCACCATGGCTGGGGCTATGATGTGACATTCTTAAAATCAGTTCCAGAAATCTTTCCTGAGCAACTACTATGTGCTAGGTACCAGGAATAATAAAGATGAAATGAGATGTATATTTCCTTACCTCAAAGAACTCAAGGTCTTGTAGGGGAGATATTTATGGAAATAATGACAATGCAGTGTGATTAGGGATACAAAAGAAGCTCATGCAAGAGAAAGAATTTGCTGGGGGCGAGGAGATGGTCAAGATGCCATTCTATATCCTGGTATATTCTGGTATAAGTTGAAAGCTGAGAGGAGTGAGGTGACCCAAAACTTGTCGCCAGCCGTTTGTGATTTATTCACAGGGAGACCTTCCCCCAACCAGAAGTTCTCAATCCTGGTTTTACATTATAATCCTTGGGGAATTTTAAGAAAATGCCAGTGTGCACGGTTCACCTCAGATCAATGAAGTAGAATCTTCTCATGGGCAACAGGGTTGAGGACCACTGATATAAACCTGCGAATGCGGTGCATGTTTCCCGGAGTGCAGTGCAGACCAACAGGCTGTCCCAGGGGCCTGTGGGCTCAGCAGGACAGTTTACTCCCTGCACTTAGACAGTCTGGCATTTATGATCTCATGACTTCATCTCCCCCACTCGTCAAGATGAGCATTTCCTTCTTCACCCATTTCGGGGTTTTGTGTTTTTCAGCTTAAACAGAGAAACAAGGAACCGCGAGCTAGTGAGAATCACCATGGAAAACCAGGGCATTCTGAAGAGGCTTGTTGATCGCAAACCCCACTATGACCGCAGGGCATCTGAGATAGACTGGCAGGCACGTGGGCACTCATGTTATACTCCCAGACACACACAGAGTTTGTCGGTGTTCAGCCTAGAGAGAGTCTCAGAAAAATCCCTGAACAGCTAGAGTCAGATCACATGAAATGTAACAATCGTTAAAAGAAAAACCATCCAAAGCAAACAAAGCTAACAGGCACAAACCATCAAACAAACAGCTAAAACAGCTTGGTAGCAAAGCCATTATGTGTCAGTTTCATAACATAACAATTATGTGTCAGTTTCAGAAAAATAATCTAGTAGCGTCTTCCCTCACCCCTTAATTCATTAAGAAAGGCTGAATGTACAGGGATGAAGGGTATAAGATTCAGTCAGTATGCGGTTGGTTTGCTTCATTTAGGAATGACCCTTAAAAAGGCCAGGGGAGGGGAAACCATCTGTGGTGTTTTAAAAAACCTCCACTTACCGACTTTGGTCTTTAAATCTTTTCTAAGTCATCCCTGGGATTTAGAACTTCAGTAATAGCACCAATGCCCTGGCATTGACATAAACCAATTTTTTTCCTTCAAGAATTCAAGGCGCTATATCAGAAATACCACGAGATATCTTCTCTCCCAAAATGAATAGGTATGTCTCTCTTACTATCAAACACTGTGACCACAGCTGATACCAAAGCCCTGAGAACCCCATAAATGGCGAATGAGGGGCCCAGTTAAGGAGACGGATTTTGCTCTTCTCATATAATATTGACTAGTCTTCCATTCGGGAAACTTGGGGCTCTCTGACTTTATTTCTTCTCTCCATACAAGAAGGAAATGACATTGTCTTTTGTCATCATCTTTGAGGCTTTGTGGGAGTCTGAGGGGAAGTGATTTGTTCCAATAAGACATAAACTGGAAGACCTGTGGCTTTAAAATTGTGCCAAAGTTACATTCCAGGTCTCTGTCAGTATTCAAAAGTACCAGCATGTTGTCATTTTGTATTATTTAACATTATTAGTGATGACTAAGTGGTTTCCCCCACCCAAGGGAGAAAGATAAATGGACACTTAGGCGTTCCAAAGAATAGTTCTGTATAATTGATGTGTCTCCTTCTCTCTTCTCCACTGAATACAAGGTTACTCACCATGGAAAAGATACAAGAGAAGGCCCTAGGATTTCTTGGCTGCTCAGGATCTCAAGACACTCCCGACTGGCTGAATGCTCCATCTTCAGATGCTTCAATAAAGCTTGGAACATAAAATGCGTAAGTTACATTTAGGGGACCCAAAGGCTTTATGTTCTCATTCCAAAATGGGGCAGGCAGAAGGAAAGATGCAATGAGCATTTTTATTTGGGGCTATGAAAAGAAGTTTTAACGAGAGAGAGAGAGAGAAATCTGAGAGAACTCTTTAAAACATACACCATCATCACCATCCCGTGGAAGAAGAAAAGCTGGGGTGAGATCATCCAGCCACAAGTACAGCACTGTCAAAATGGAAAACGAAATCACATGACAACATCAAGGTTCAGAAAACACAAGGAACAAATGCCATTAGTTCCTCTGTGAATACACACGATCGGAAAAGAATGCCTCATTGAAGTTTCCATGGACTCTGTTCATTTATAGGGAGCAGCAGCAGTGAAAATGTCTCAAAACATACGGTGAGACAATGTTGCAGGCCTGCTATGATTGGTCATGCTAGTTTTCAGCCCAACTATATTAGTCAGCATTTGCCAAAGAGACAGACTCAATAGGAGAGAGAGAGAGAGAGAGAGAGTGAGAGAGATAGATAGAGAGTGAGAGAGAGAGAGAAAGAGAGAGAGAGAGGAGAGGATTTATTTGGGGAATTGGCTCACAAGATCATGGAAGCTAAAGAAGTCCCACCACAGGCCATCTGCAAGCTGGAGACCCTGGTGGAGCAGGGCAGACAACCCCCAAAGTGGGGCTTAGCCTGCGAGTGTTCTTGGCTTCACCCAGGAAAGAATTTAAGGGTGAGCCAGTGGTAGGGTAGAAGAAGACAGTTTTATTGAAGCAGCAGTGTTACAGCTCCATGACTGCTCCTGCAGTACAGGGCTACCCCAAAGGCAGAGAGTTTTGCAGTCATAGTTATACGTACTTTTAATTACATGTAGATTAAGGGGCGGTTTGTGCAGAAATTCTAGGGAAGGAGTAGTAATTTTTTTTTTTTTTTTTGAGATGAAATCTCACTCTGTCGCCCAGGCTGGAGTGCAGATGGCGCGATCTCAGCTCACTGCAACCTCCGCCTCCTGGGTTCAAGCGATTCTCCTGCCTCAGCCTCCCAAGTAGCTGAGACTACAGGCACTCGCCACCACGCCCAGCTAATTTTTGTATTTTTAGTAGAGACGAGGTTTCACCATCTTGGCCAGGCTGGTCTTGAACTCCTGACCTCGTGATCCGCCCGCCTCGGCCTCTCAAAGTGCTGGGATTACAGGCGTGAGCCACCATGTCCGGCCTATAGGAAAGGGTAGTAATTTTTGGGTCCTTGGGTCATTGCCCTGGAAAGGGGTGGTAACTCCTAGGTGTTGCTACGGTAATGGTAAACTGACATGGCACACTAGTGGGAGTGTCTTATGGAAAGCTGCTTCCACCCCTTTCCTGTTTTAGCTAGTCCTCAATTGGATCCTGTGTCCAAGCCCCGCCTCTGGAGTCAAGGCCTGCCTCCCACCTCACTGGGATGCTGGTAGCATGGCTTGGTCCAAGCCCAAAAACCTCAGAACCAAGAAGAAGGTGGTGTAACTCTCAGTTCGAGGCCAAAGGCTGAGAACCCACTAGGGGGGACAAGGGTGCTGGTGTGAGTCTTGGAGTACAAAGGCCAAGGAGCCTAGAGTTGTTGTCCCAGGACAGGAGAGGAAGAGTGTATTCCAGTTCCAGCAGATAGATTGACATATTCGCCTCTTGTCTGTTTTTGTTCTTTCTGAATCCACAGCAAGTTGGATGATGCCTCTCCACATTGAGAGTGGATCTTCCCACATAGTTCACTCAGACTTACATGCTAATCTCCCCTGGAAACACTCACAGACACACCCAAAAATAATGCTTTACCAGGTTTCTATTCAGTCAAGTTGGCACCTTAAATTAACCATCGCACTGACTTTTTAAACTTTCTATTTTGAAATAATGAAAATTCACAGGTAGTTGCACATAAAGGAACAGGGAGGCCTCCTGCACCCTTTACCCAGTCTCCACCAATGTTAGCATCTTGCGTAACTGGAGTACAATATCAAAACCAGGAAACTGACATTGGCATGATGCATGGAACCTATGCAGGTTTCATCAGTTATACATGCACTCATTTTTGTACATATATGTATAGCTCTATGCGGTTTTTGCCACATGTATAGCTTTGTGTAACCACATTCGAGATACTTAAAACCACTATTATCAAAAGACACTCTTATTGCCACCCTTTTAGCCACAGTCACCTCAGACCCTCAAGCCTAACTCTTGGCAATCACAATCTGTTTTCCACCTCTCTGTTAGTTCATGGTATTACGTAAATGGCGTCATGCAATGTATGTTCATCCTTTTGAGATTGGCTTTTTTCACTCAGGATAATTTCCTTGATGTTCATCCAAGTTGTGTGTGCCTTTTTATTGCTGAGTAGTATTCCATGGTATGGACATGCTACAATATATTTAACCATACATCCATCAAAGGACATTGGGGTAGTTTCTAGTTTTTCAAACATTATTATTATTATTATTATTATTATTTTGAGATGGAGTCTCATTCTGTTGCCCAGGCTGGAGTGCAGTGGCACGATCTTGGCTCACTGCAACCTCCACCTCTGGGGTTCAAGCGATTCTCCTGCCTCAGCCTCCTGAGTAGCTGGGATTACAAGCATGCATCACCAGGCCCGGCTAATTTTTATATTTTTAGTAGAGACAGGGTTTCACCATGTTGACCCGGCTGGTCTCAAATTCCTGACCTCAGGTGATCCACCTGCCTCGGCCTCCCAAAGTGCTGGGATTACAGACATGAGCCACCACACCTGGCCTGATTTTTTAAATAGCAAATTTTGAAAGTTATTTACATATTATAGGAATAAGTCCTTTGCCTGCTATGCGCCTTGCATGTATTTTTCTCCCAGTCTATAATTTGTCTTTTCATCCTCAGGGTCTTTGACAGAGTAAAATATTTTTATTTGGATGACATCCAATATATCAATGATGAAACTGTTCTATATCTTGACTCTATCAATGTCAATATCCTTGTTGTGATACTGTACCATATAGTTTTGCACTATGCTACCACTGGGGGAATCTGGTAAGGAGTTTACAGGATCTCTCTGTATTATTTCCTACATGCATGTGAATATACAATTATCTCAAAATAAAAAGCTTAAAAAAAACAACATGCCTAAATACAAATTCATTATTAACTGGTTCCAGTTAATCTCAGTTTGAGGAACAACCATTCTTCTAGACACCCAGGTTAAAAACCTGAGGTCATCTTTTACTTCATTCCTTCTCTTTCCTCCTATCCCCCTCCCTACATATCTTTTTTTGGTTTTTTGTTTGTTTGTTTGTTTAAAGACAGAGTCACTCTCTTGCCCAGGCTATGGTCTATGGAGGTGATCTTAAAGCTACAAGTCTTATGTCTCAATCTCTGTATGAGCTACTGCCATATTTCAGGCACTTGTGATTTGCAACTTGCATTACTAATGCAAAAATACGCCCATATCACTTTCTAGCTTAATGGCTTCCGTGATTTGCCATTCTTGCATAATGGGCTGGAGCTTTATATAGAGCATACAAGGCTTTTCATGATCCAGCCCATGAACTGCTCAGGTTATATTAGTTATAGTTTCAAATGTTTGGAGATTTTCCAGTTATCTTTCTGTTATTAATTTTTAATTTGATCCCATTATGTCCAGAGAATATACTCTATCATTTCAATTCTTTTAAATTTGTTAAGGTTTTTTTAAATCAAGGTGAATATTTTATGGACATTTGAAAAGAATGTGTATTGCACTGTTATTGGGCAAAGTGTTCTATAAATATGTTAGGTCCCGTTGGTTGATGGTGTTCAGTTCTTCTACATCCTGATGATTTTCTCTCTAGTAGTTCTATCAGTTGCTAAGGGTGGGGTGTTGAAATCCCCAACTCTAATTGTGGATTTGTCTATTTCTCTTTTTAACTCTGTTTTTGCTTCATATATTTTGAAGCTCTGGTGTTTGGCACATACACATTAAAGATTGCTATATATTTTTGGTGGATTGATTTATTGATTTTTTTTTTTTTTTTGAGACAGGGTCTCACTCTGTCACCCAGGCTGGAGTGCAGCACACTGCTGAGTGTGATCTCAGTTCACTGCAACTTCCATCTCCTAGGCTCAAGCAATCCTCCCACCTCAGTCTCCCAAGTGGCTGGGACTATAGGCACGCACCACTGTGCCCAGCTGATTTTTGTATTTTTTTTAGTAGAGATGGGGTTTCATCATATTGCCCAGGCTGGTCTCGAATTCCTGGGCTCAAGCGATCCGCCCACGTTGGCCTCCCAAAGTACTGAGATTACAGAAGTGAGATCTCTTTATTATTATATAATGTCCCTCTTTGTCCCTAGTAATTTTCTTTCTCTGAACTTACTTTATCTGATATTAACATACTCAGTACTGCTTTCTTAAAATTAGTGTTTGCATGATGTATTACCTTTTATCCTTTCACTTTCAGCCTACCTGTCTCATTATGTTTGAAGGAACATATACTTGCAGACAGCAGATACAGACAGTCTCTGACTTACAATGGTTTGACTTAAATGATTTTTTTTTTTTTTTTGAGACGGAGTCTCGCTCTGTCGCCCAGGCTGGAGTGCAGTGGCGCAATCTCGGCTCACTGCAAGCTCCGCCTCCCGGGTTCACGCCATTCTCCTGCCTCAGCCTCCCGAGTAGCTGGGACTATAGGCGCCCGCCACCATGCCCAGCTAATTTTTTGTAGTTTTAGTAGAGACGGGGTTTCACTATGTTAGCCAGGATGGTCTCTATCTCCTGACCTCGTGATCTGCCCACCTCGGCCTCCCAAAGTGCTGGGATTAGAGGCGTGAGTCACCGCGCCCGGCATGATTTTTTTTTTTTTAACCTTATGATGGTTCAAAAGCAATATACATTCAGTAGAAATCATACTTTAAGTACCCATACAACCATTTCTATTGTTCACTTTCAGTACCGTATTCAACAGATAACATGACATATTCAATACTTTATCATAAAATAGGCTTTATGTTAGGTAATTTTGCCCAACTATAGGCTAATGTAAGTGTTCTGAGCACATTTAAGTTAGGCCTGGCTAAGCTATAATGTTTGACAGGTTAGATGTATTAAATGTATTTTTGACTTTGAATGTTTTTCAACTTACCATGGATTTATTGGGAACATAACCTCATCATAAGTCAAGAAGCATCTGTACGTCTGTTTTTATGTATTGTGTTGTTTCTTTCTTTCCCTCCCTCCTTGTTCCCTTCCCTTCTCTCCTCCTCCTCTTCCCCCTCCCATTCCCTCCTCTCCCCTCCCCTCCCCTTCCCTTCCCTTCCTTCTACCTTCTTTCCCTTTCTTAGGTCCCAGCCTCCTTCTGTTAATTTATTTCTGTATGGAGAGCTTCCTTTAGCCATTCTTTAAGGGTAGGTCTCAACAAACTGTTTCTCTTCATCTGAGAATGTCTTCATTTTTCCCTTTATTCCTGAAGGCCAATTTCACCTGATAACAGGATTCAAGGTTGACGGTTTTGTTTTCAGCACTTGATAAGTGTTGGACCACTTCTAGATGGCCCCCATCATTTCTTTTACAGGTAGTGCAAAAATACAGTTTGAATTAGCATTCCTTCCTGGTTGTTTCTCCCTGACTGTTTTAAAGATTTCTTTTTTCTTAATCTCCAGTTTTTAGAAGGTTAATTATGATGTGTCAGTATGGCTTTGGACTGTTTTCTCTATTTGGAGCTCAATCAACTTCTTGAATCTGTAGGTGTTTGTCTTCCACCGGATTTGGGAAGTTTTCAGCCATTATTTCTCCGAATACGTTTTAGTCTCACACTTTCTCCTCTCCTGCAAAGACTCTGATGATACAAATGTCAGTAGCTCTATCACAGGATCCTTAGGGTGTCACTTCACCAGCCAGAAACCTCTGTGGCTAGTGGCATCTTCTGCCTGAGTATTGCTTGTGCCCGCTGGGCTTGTTCTGCCCACTCAGCCCAGCAGGCTGCGCTCAGCTCACACTACAGGCCCAGATCCCACACTTGCCAGGGGTGAGCCAGGCATGGAGTGGCAAGGCGTGTGTGGGCAAGTGAGCGCAGGGTCTGGCCACTATGCACAGCCAGGCATGCTGGCTGCTGTGGTGGGGTGGGGAGCTCAGGTGCTGGCACAGGTGCCAGCTCCATGCAAGGCTGTGGCTGGACCAGATGTACTGCACACGGCTTCCACTGCAGGCATCCACGCCTGGATGAGGGGAACGCAGTGGCACCCGGAAGCTTGGAGACGCCAGAAATCGCAGAGCCCGAAAGAGGGTGTCACAGCCCTAGCTCAGGGAGCTGCAGCTCTTCTCTCCTTGTCACCCACAACATGGAGAGTGGGGGTGGCGGCAGGGGGGTGTTTCAGCCCTATTTGTGTTACGGCTCTTTTAGCCCTGCCATTTGAAGAGGAGGAAAAAATGATTCTATACCGTCTTGTTCTGAAACCATAAGCCTGATGTTTAAAGGAAGTAGTGGTTGGTGGCTGTATTCAAAGGGCAGGAAAAATGGAGTAAGAAACTGATCAGTGGCTGGGCACTGTGGCCCATACCTGTAATCCCAGCACTTTGGGAGGCCAAGGCAGGTGGATTGCTTGAGGTCAGGAGTTCAAGACCAGCCTGACCAACATGGTGAAACCCCGTCTGTACTAAAAATAAAAAAAATTAGCCAGGCATGGTGGTGGGTGCCTGTAGTCCTAGCTACTCAGGAGGCTGAGGCAGGAGAATCGCTTGAACCTGGGAGGCAGAGGTTGCAGTCAGACGAAATCATGCCATTGCACTCTAGCCTGGGCGACAGACACTCCGTCTCAAAAAAATAGAAAGAAAGAAAGAAAGAAATCGATCAATATTAACTCCACCAAATAGAGAAATGCTGCTCATTGGTTCTTAACTATCTGATTAAAAATGGGCTTTGTGCATATGCTGAACTCTGCAGTTATTAAAGAAATCATGAAGTGTTATTGTTTGGATGCATAGTCCTGTGATTGGTAGCATAAATGATGTGATACTGGGTAAGTGGATACAAAATTTGATTGGCCACATGTTTTAAAGCATGTATTTGAACATACAATTGGCTAATATATCTGAGCACTGCCTGTAAATGACAGATGGTTCTAACTTTCTTGAACCCATCTTCCACAGGGAGTGAAGTGGATAGCAGGGAAGGTTACAAATCAGTGGATTGAGAATGGCAAACAGGAATAACTCACTACTGATTCTGCCCAGCTGCTACTGAACACTGTCCTGAAAGAGCCAAAGACATTACTAATTGATCACAGCACTCTCCTGTTGAGTTTAGTTGATCACAATAAGAGTGCTGTGATCACAATAAGAGAGTGCTGTGATCAATTAGTAATGTCTTCCACCGGTTCAGGAATGGGCGTTGGCTGCACATATGCCACCTATTTAACACTTCCGACCTAGAAAATTCCTCTAGAGAGCACATCCTCTCTGGCTGTAGATACAGGCAGCCAACTTATCTGTTTGAAGACCCAAGGATTAAAAAAGGTCCATCTTGAGGGGTTTGTAATAAGGAGATTTATTAGTGTTGGGCCCAGAGTAATGGATGGAGTTTTTCCAACATTTTGCCCAGGGGCTCAGAACATATGGACTGCTAGTTGAGATGGGGCTTGGAATTACATTTACACACATTCCACCAATAAATATTTGAACACAGGTGCATTTTTTAACAATAGTTTTCTGCATGAACTGCAAAAATGCCTTCCAAATGACCTCTGTCTCTGGGGTCCTACCCTTCCTACTCCCATAAATCTGGTAGCCAACAAACAGCTGTAGACACAGCTTGTCTTGGGGATTAGGGGCTGCCTTGACAGGAAATAAAGCAAGGATCACTTTTTTTTTTTTTTTGAGACAGGGTCTCACTTTGTTGCTCAGGCTGGAGTGCAGTGGTGCAATCAGAGATCACTGCAGCCTCCATCTACCTGGGCTCAAGCAATTCTCCCACCTCAGCTTCCCGAGTAGCTGGGACCACAGGGGCACACCACCATGACCAGCTAATTTTTTTTTTTATACTTTAAGTTCTAGGGTACATGTGCACAACGTGGAGGTTTGTTACAAAGGTATACATGTGTCATGTTGGTGTGCTGCACCCGTTAACTCGTCATTTACATTAGGTATATCTCCTAATGCTATCCCTCCTCCCTCCCCCCACCCCACGACAGGCCCTGGTGTGTGATGTTCCCCACCCTGTGTCCAAGTGTTCTCATTGTTCAATTCCCACCTATGAGTGAGAACATGCAGTGTTTGGTTTTCTGTCCTTGCGATAGTTTGCTCAGAATGATGGTTTCCAGCTTCATCCATTTCCCTACAAAGGATATGAACTCATCCTTTTTTACGGCTGCATAGTATTCCATGGTGTAAATGTGTCACATTTTCTTAATCCAGTCTATCATTGATGGACATTTGGGTTGTTCCAAGTCTTTGCTACTGTGAATAGTGCCGCAATAAACATATGTGTGCATGTGTCTTTATACCAGCATGATTTATAATCCTTTGGGTACATGCCCAGTGATGGGATGGCTGGGTAAAATGGTATTTCTAGTTCTAGATCCTTGAGGAATCGCCACACTGTCTTCCACAATGGTGGAACTAGTTTACAGTCCCACCAACAGTGTAAAAGTGTTCCTATTTCTCCACATCCTCTCCAGCACCTGTTGTTTTCTGACTTTTTAATGATCGCCATTCTAACTGGTGTGAGATGGTATCTCATAGTGGTTTTGATGTGCATTTCTCTGATGGCCAGTGATGGTGAGCATTTTTTCATGTGTCTGTTGGCTGCATAAATGTCTTCTTCTGAGAAGTGTCTGTTTATATCCTTTGCCCACTTTTTGATGGGGCTGTTTGATTTTTGCTTGTAAATTTAAGTTCTTTGTAGATTTTGGATATTAGCCCATTGTCAGATGAGTAGATTGCAAAAATTTTCTCCCATTCTGTAGGTTGCCTGTTCACTCTGACGGTAGTTTCTTTTGCTGTGCAGAAGCTCTTTAGTTTAATTAGATCCCATTTGTCAATTTTGGCTTTTGTTGCCATTGCTTTTGGTGTTTTAGTCATGAAGTCCTCGCCCGTGCCTATGGCCTGAATGGTATTGCCTAGGTTTTCTTCTGGGGTTTTTATCGTTTTAAGTCTAACATTTAAGTCTTTAATCCATCTTCAATTAATTTTTGTGTAAGATATAAGGAAGGGATCCAGTTTCAGCTTTCTACATATGGCTAGCCAGTTTTCCCAGCACCATTTATTAAATAGGGAATCATTTCCCCATTTCTTGTTTTTGTCAGGTTTCTCAAAGATCAGATGGTTTTAGGTGTGTGATATTATTTCCGGGGGCTCTATTCTGTTCCATTGGTCTATATCTCTGTTTTGGTACCAGTACCATTTTGTTTTGGTTACTGTAGGCTTGTAGTATAGTTTGAAGTCAGGTAGCATGATGCCTCCAGTTTTGTTCTTTTGGCTTAGGATTGTCTTGGCAATGCGGGCTCTTTTTTGGTTCCATATGAACTTTAAAGTAGTTTTTTCCAATTCTGTGAAGAAAGTCATTGGTAGCTTGATGGGGATGGCATTGAATCTATAAATTACCTTGGGCAGTATGGCCATTTTCACAATATTGATTCTTCCTATCCATGAGCATGGAATGTTCTTCCATTTGTTTGTGTCCTCTTTTATTTCGTTGAGCAGTGGTTTGTAGTTCTCCTTGAAGAGGTCCTTCACATCCCTTGTAAGTTGGATTCCTAGGTATTTTATTCTCTTTGAAGCAATTGTGAATGGGAGTTCACTCATGATTTGGCTCTTTGTTTGTCTGTTATTGGTGTATAGGAATGCTTGCGATTTTTGCACATTGATTTTGTATCCTGAGACTTTGCTGAAGTTGCTTATCAGCTTAAGGAGATTTTGGGCTGAGATGATGGGGTTTTCTACATATACAATCATGTTATCTGCAAACAGGGACAATTTGACTTCGTCTTTTCCTAATTGAATACCCTCTATTTCTTTCTCTTGCCTGACTGCCCTGGCCAGAACTTCCAACACTACGTTGAATAGGAATAGTGAGAGAGAGCATCCCTGTCTTGTGCCAGTTTTCAAAGGGAATGCTTCCAGTTTTTGCCCATTCAGTATGATACTGGCTGTGGGTTTATCATATATAGCTCTTATTATTTTGAGATACGTCCCATCAATACCTAGTTTATTGAGAGTTTTTAGCATGAAGGGCTGTTGAATTTTGTCGAAGGCCTTTTCTGCATCTATTGAGATAATCATGTGGTTTTTGTCTTTGGTTCTGTTTATATGATGGATTACGTTTATTGATTTGCATAGGTTGAACCAGCCTTGCATCCCAGAGATGAAGCCAACTTGATCATGATAGGTAAGCTTTTTGATGTGCTGCTGGATTTGGTTTGCCGGTATTTTATTGAGGATTTTTGCATCAATGTTCATCAGGGATATTGGTCTAAAATTCTCTTTTTTTGTCGTGTCTCTGTCAGGCTTTGATATCAGGATGTTGGCCTCATAAAATGAATTAGGGAGGATTCTCTCTTTTTCTATTGATTGGAATAGTTTCAGAAGGAACGGTACCAGCTCCTCTTTGTACCTCTGGTAGAATTCGGCTGTGAATCTGTCTGGTCCTGGACTTTTTTTGGTTGGTAGGCTATTAATTATTGCCTCAATTTCAGAACTTGTTATTGGTCTATTCAGGGATTCAACTTCTTCCTGTTTTAGTCTTGGGAGGGTGTATGTGTCCAGGAATTTATCCATTTCTTCTAGGTCTTCTAGTTTATTTGCATAGAGGTGTTTATAGTATTCTCTGATGGTAGTTTGTATTTCTGTGGGATCAGTGGTGATATCCCCTTTATCATTTTTTATTGCGTCTATTTGATTCTTCTCTCTTTTCTTCATTAGTCTTGCTAGCGGTCTATCAATTTTGTTGATCTTTTCAAAAAACCAGCTCCTGGATTCATTGATTTTTTGAAGGGTTTTTTGTGTCTCTATCTCCTTCAATTCTGCTCTGATCTTAGTTATCTCTTGCCTTCTGCTAGCTTTTGAATGTGTTTGCTCTTGCTTCTCTAGTTCTTTTAATTGTGATGTTAGGGTGTCAATTTTAGATCTTTCCTGCTTTCTCTTGTGGGCATTTAGTGCTATAAATTTCCCTCTACACACTGCTTTAAATGTGTCCCAGAGATTCTGGTATGTTGTGTCTTTGTTCTCATTGGTTTCAAAGAACATCTTTATTTCTGCCTTCATTTCGTTATGTACCCAGTAGTCATTCAGGATCAGGTTGTTCAGTTTCCATGTAGTTGAGCAGTTTTGAGAGAGTTTCTTAATCCTGAGTTCTAGTTTGATTGCACTGTGGTCTGAGAGACAGTTTGTTATAATTTCTGTTCTTTTACATTTGCTGAGGAGTGCTTTACTTCCAACTATGTGGTCAATTTTGGAATAGGTGTGATGTGCTGCTGAGAAGAATGTATATTCTGTTGATTTAGGGTGCAGAGTTCTGTAGATGTCTATTAGGTCCGCTTGGTGCAGAGCTGAGTTCAATTCCTGGATATCCTTGTTAACTTTTTTGTCTCATTGATCTGTCTAATGTTGACAGTGGGGGGTTAAAGTCTCCCATTATTATTGTGTGGGAGTCTAAGTCTCTTTGTAGGTCTCTAAGGACTTGCTTTATGAATCTGGGTGCTCCTGTACTGGGAGCATATATATTTAGGATAGTTAGCTCTTCTTGTTGATCACTTTACCATTACGTAATGGCCTTTTTTGTCTCTTTTGATCTTTGTTGGTTTAAAGTCTATTTTATCAGAGACTAGAATTGCAACCCCCGCTTTTTTTTTGTTTTCCATTTGCTTGGTAGATCTTCCTCCATCCCTTTATTTTGAGCCTATGTGTGTCTCTGCACGTGAGATGGGTCTCCTGAATACAGCACACTGATGGGTTTTGACTCTATCCAATTTGCCAGTCTGTGTCTTTTAATTGGAGCATTTAGCCCATTTACTTTTAAGGTTAATATTGTTATGTGTGAATTTGATCCTGTCATCATGATGTTAGCTGGTTATTTTGCTCGTTAGTTGATGCAGTTTCTTCCTAGCATTGATGGTCTTTACAATTTGGCATGTTTTTGCAGTGGCTGGTACCAGTTGTTCCTTTCCAGGTTTAGTGCTTCCTTCAGGAGCTCTTGTAAGGCAGGCCTGGTGATGACAAAATCTCTTAGCATTTGTTTGTCTGTAAAGGATTTTATTTCTCCTTCACTTATGAAGTTTAGTTTGGCTGGATATGAAATTCTGGGTTGAAAATTCTTTCCTTTAAGAATGTTGAATATTGGCTCCCACTCTCTTCTGGCTTGTAGAGTTTCTGCCAAGAGATCCGCTGTTAGTCTGATGGGCTTCCCTTTGTGGGTAACCCAACCTTTCTCTCTGGCTGCCCTTAACATTTTCTCCTTCATTTCAACTTTGGTGAATCTGATAATTATGTGTCTTGGGGTTGCTCTTCTCGAGGAGTATCTTTGTGGCATTCTCTGTATTTCCTGAATTTGAATGTTGGCCTGCCTTGCTCGATTGGGGAAGTTCTCCCGCATAATATCCTGAAGAGTGTTTTCCAACTTGGTTCCATTCTCCCCATCACTTTCGGGTACACCAATCAGACGTAGGTTTGGTCTTTTCACATAGTCCCATATTTCTTGGAGGCTTTGTTCATTTCTTTTTACTCTTTTTTCTCTAAACTTCTTTTCTCGCTTCATTTCCTTCATTTGATCTTCAATCACTGATACCCTTTCTCCCACTTGATCAAATCAGCTACTGAAGCTTGTGCATGCGTCATGTAGTTCTCATGCCATGGTTTTCAGCTCCATCAGGTCATTTAAGGACTTCTCTACACTGTTTATTCTAGTTACCCATTCGTCTAATCTTTTTTCAAGGTTTTTAGCTGCTTTGCGATGGGTTTGAACATCCTCCTTTAGCTCGGAGAAGTCTGTTATTACCGATCATCTGAAGCCTTCTTCTCTCAACTCATCGAAGTCATTCTCTGTCCAGCTTTGTTCCATTGCTGGCGAGGAGCTGCATTCCTTTGGAGGAGAAGAGGCGCTCTGATTTTTAGAATTTTCAGCTTTTCTGCTCTGGTTTCTCCCCATCTTTGTGGTTTTATCTACCTTTGGTCTTTGATGATGGTGACGTACAGGTGGGGTTTTGGTGTGGATGTCCTTTCTGTTTCTTAGTTTTCCTTCTAACAGTCAGGACCCTCAGCTGCAGGTCTGTTGGAGTTTGCTGGAGGTCCACTCCAGACCCTGTTTGCCTGGGTATCACCAGCGGAGGCTGCAGAACAGCAAATATTGCAGAACAGCAAATGATGCCATCTGATCCTTCTTCTGGAAGCTTTGTCTCAGAGGGGCACCCAGCTGTATGAGGTGTCAGTCGGCCCCTACTGGGAGGTGTCTCCCAGTTAGGCTACTCGGGGGTCAGGGACCCACTTGAGGAGGCAGTCTGTCCGTTCTCAGATCTCAAACTCCATGCTGGGAGAAGCACTACTCTCTTCAAAGCTGTCAGACAGGGACGTTTAAGTCTGCAGAAGTTTCTGCTGCCTTTTGTTCAGCTATGCCCTGCCCCTGGAGGTGGAGTCTACAGAGGCAGGCAGGCCTCCTTGAGCTGCAGTGGGCTCCACCCAGTTCCAGCTTCCAGGCTGCTTTGTTTACCTACTCAAGCCTCAGCAATTGTGGACGCCCCTCCCCCAGCCTCGCTGCTGCCTTGCAGTTCTATCTCAGACTGCTGTGCTAGCAGTGAGCGAGGCTCAATGGGCATGGGACCCTCTGAGCCAGGCACGGGATATAAACTCCTGGTGTGCCGTTTGCTAAGGCTGTTGGAAAAGTGCAGTATTAGGGTGGGAGTGTCCCGATTTTCCAGGTACCGTCTGTCACGGCTTCCCTTTGCTAGGAAAGGGAATTCCCTGACCTCTTGCACTTCCAGGGTGAGGTGACGCCCTGCCCTGCTCCATGGGCTGCAGCCACTGTCTGACAAGCCCCAGTGAGATGAACCTGGTAGCTCAGCTGGAAATGCAGAAATCACCCATCTTCTGCATCGCTCATGCTGGCAGCTGCAGACTGGAGCTATTCCTATTTGGCCATCTTGGAACCTACCCCCCCAACTAATTTTTAAATTTTTATTTTATTGTTTTTATTTATTTAAGACACAGTCTTGCTCTGTTGCCCAGGCTGGAGTGCAGTGGCATGATCTTGGTTCACTGCAACCTCTGCCTCCCAGGTTCAAGCAATTCTTGTGCCTCAGCCTCTCGAGTAGCTGGGATTATAGGCGTGTGCCACCATGCCTGGCTAATTTTTGTATTTTTAGTAGAGACAGGGTTTCACCATATTGGCCAGACTGGTCTCAAACTCCTGGCCTCAAGTGATCTGCCTACTTCAGCCTCCCAAAGTGCTGGGATTACAAGCGTGAGCCAATGCTGCTGGCTCTAATTTTATGTTTAATAGAGACAAGGTCTTGCTATGTTGCCCAGGCTGGTCTTGAACTCCTGAGCCCAAGTGATCCTCCTGCCTCGGCCTCCCAAAGTGCTGGGATTACAGGCGTGAGTCACCACACTTGGCTAAGGATCACTTTTTAATACTCTGCTTCATAATACATGTAAAGAGAATTACCATCATTTAATCTGACAATTGTGTAAAAATATTATGTAAGCAGCAGAAAATGCCTGTGGAGTGGTATAAAATGCAGAAAGAACATCATTGGGTGCCCAACCACTGTGTTCCCACACTGGAGGGAAAACCACCTACATGGGGCTTTGAGACTTGATTAGGATGTCCACCATGATGCCTCCTGAGGGGATCTTCAAAAGTAATTTTTAACGTATGTGGGTTTGTTTTGCTTTTGCCTGTGAGCAGACTTCAGATCCCAGCTCTCCTGCATAACAACTTTTTTTTTGAGACAGAGTCTCATTTGTCACCCAGGCTGGAGTGCAGTGGCACGGTCTCGGCTCACTGCAACCTCTGCCTCCCAGGTTTAAGTGATTCTCCTGCCTCAGCCTCCCAAGTAGCTGGGATTACAGGCACCCGCCACCATGCCCAGCTAATTTTTTTTTTTTTTTTTTTTTTTTTTTTAGTAGAGACGGGGTTTCACCATTTTGGCCAGGCTGGTCTCAAACTCCTGACCTCAAGTGATCCACTGCCTCAGCCTCCCAAAGTGCTAGGATTACAGGCATTATCCTGCATAACAACTTTGCATGTGCTGGTCACACTTCAGGGGCAGCTGCCCTCCCTGGCCTGGCTCTCTGTAGATCAGCTCAAGACCAATTTCACTTGATAAGAATCCAATACTCTCTAAGTGTAAAGAAGTCCCCATCTTTTTACTAGAAAGTTCTGAAGAATGTGATCCTGTTACGTGGACCTACCAGTTCATGAGCTAGAGCGTTGCAAAGGTATCCTTGTGTAGAAGGTAAAATGGAAATTTCTAAATGGGTGGCAAACCTTCTCCCTGGTGCTTCACCTTCAACTTGGCCTCCTTTTCCTTTCATGAGTAAAAGAAGTTGAAAATGTACACGTGTATGTAGCCTCTTTTCAGTCTTAGAAGTTATGGTCACACTTCATATTATAAATTCTAGCTGTAAACACATTCATCATTTATAAGTGAATTATATTAGTGAGTAGCCTCGATTATGGGACCACAAAAGAATGAGGCAGTATAGTATAGTGGTTAACGATCATCTCTGGTATTTGGGCGATTTAGGCTCAAATACCATAGCTCTGCATTTTTTAATTTTTAAAATTTTTTGAGGCAGGGTCTCACTCTGTCACCCAGGCTGGAGTGCAGTGGTGTAATCATGGCTCACTGCAGCCTCAACCTCCTCGTTCATCCCACCTCAGCCTCCTGAGTAGCTGGGACTACAAGAACACACCACCATGCCCGGCTAGTTTTTGTATTTTTTGTAGAAATGGGGTTTTGACACATTGCCCAGACTGGTCTCGAACTCCTGAACTCAAGCAATCCACCCACCTTGGCCTCCCAAAGTGCTAGGATTATAGGCATGCACTACAGTGCCTGGCCTGCAATTTTTTTTTTAAATCTGTGCAAGCTTGGGCACATTATTTAAACTGTCTAAGCTTTATTTTTTTTCTCGTTTGTACAATGAGATGATAAGAATCCTACCTTATTGGCTTGGTGTATTTATCAGGGTAATGTATGTAAAGGCCTTAGCATAGCATCCAGCACAGAATAAAGACTGTTGCTGGCTATTAATAATAAAAAAAAATTCTCTGAGCACCTAAGATATATCATGAATCCTGGGTGATAATCATTTTTGCTCAGAGACAACCCATTAGGCCCACACTCTGGGTCTACATACTTTTATTCTTGACAGAAATGGTTTACAGTGACGTAGCCATAGTTTTGACAGGGAGAGTCATCTGGTTTCCCAAGATCTAGCACAATGGGAACCCCTATGATCTCATGGCAGGGACTGGCTAGGACCAAGGCAACTGTCAGTAACAAAAGGGACAATGGATGGAATAGAACAAATCAAACAAAGCATGGGCTCGATGTTAGGAATCTGAGGGTATTTAGAAAGGGGAAAGGCAACCTTACATTCCTCGAGTCCCTGAAGGCACCACTGCAGTACAGGATAGTACAGTAATTCATGTTGATGGTGAAGTGTGCCTCAGCCTTCCAGAGAAAATTTACGTATATTCACTATTTTAAAATAGGCAGAGAACCCGTTTTCTATTACCAGGCAAGCACTTCAAAAAAAAGGTTAAGATCAACGTTTTAGTGCTTGAAGACAGGGGAACTTCAGTTACATGTAAAATCCCCTTGGATAAAACAAGTTAGCTTCCAAAAAAACTACTAAGCGTCACTATGTTTAAAAAGCTTAAACATTCTGCGAATCAGTACTGTATAAATTAACCACTACCACCCACAAAAGACAGTGGCTACTTAACTTTGGTACAAAGAATCAGGGTCAGCTTGCCTGTGATACTTTAATAAATGAAATGTGTTGTTTTCTGATATGCCCCTTTCAAATCATGATCCAAAGAGGTGCAGTGAAAAACAACAGACAAAAACCAACAACAAACAAGACTTCCCACTTATACTCTTCTCGATGATGGAATTTGTGGAGAATTCTCTCCCTCTCTGCGCTTGAGATTCCTTGATGGTAAAATGAGGGAGTCTGGACTAGATGATCTTCAAGGTCCCGTCCAGCTTGGATGTTCTGGGATAAAGTTACCTGACCCAACTAACAGGTACCCAGTGAGTGTCCTTGCTCAGCTTCTCTAAGACCACTTTGAGCTGGCTGTAGGCACCCTGGAGATCCTCCTTCACCAGCACGGCGTCTACCAGGTGCCCGTAATGCCGGTCTATGAAGGCGGCAGAAGCGGCCATCTCTTGCTGCTGCTCATCCTGCAAGGAAAGGGGTGGTAAAAGGAGCAACTGGGTTGTTCTCCTATAACAAACCTATAACCTTTGTCTTGAGCAATGTTCCAACCTTTAACTTTTAAGTGATGAGTGGATGACTAGGTCCCACTGATAACCAACTGTGTACACAAGAACAGAGCATAGGGACAACATCATGTCAAACTTCAAAGAAAGTTAATGGGCAGTAGACACAATCACTGTTCAGTCATTCACTCACAGAATACCTCCTGAGGACCTATGAACTCAAAGCCACGATAGGAAGTGCATTGGGGATGCTGATTCTATAACTGTGTATATATGCTAATATCACACTTCCTGCCTCAGAAGTACTTCCAAAGAAGTAGTAGTATTGTGCCGCATGACATTCAGTACACAGGTTAAATAATTATAAGAAAGAACTATAAATAATAACTATATAAAAACAGAGCAAACATTTCTGCAATCAACTGGTGGAAGAAGGAGAAGAAATCATTCTAATGCCCTCCTGAAGACTCCTAAATTCACAGTGCAGAACTCAATTCACTTCCTCACACCAGAGCCAAACACTAGCACAGCAAAGTGGAGTTATTTAAGAAAGCACTGGACAATTCTAATCAAATTCCCCATTTCCTTAGGGCAGCTGATCTCTTTAATCAGATTGCTTTTCTGACACTTAACATTAAGGTATAGGCAACAACTCCATCTTACACAATGTGGGCACTGTTTGCATCTTCATTCAAAAGAACCTCTAATAAGTATTATTTCAAGTGAGTAGTTGTCTGACAATTAGCCTGGTTTTGGAAAACAGGAAAGTGGCAGGCCCATTCTAAGTAAAATTACAAAATAAAATTTGTCGCTGGCATTCACTCACTGCCCTTTTTAGTTCTCTGTTGCTGTCTCCCCTCTGCTTCTAGGGGCTCAGTGTTTTCATGCTGCCACAGGGAAAGGGTGAGTTCTGTTCTCTCCCAAAGAGACCTACATTCCAAATATTCCCCCCTCTTCTCTGTCACCAGTCAAAACCCAATTCCTACATTAGTGAGAGCATCTGAAATTTCAGGATTCGAGTCCTCAAGATCCAGGAAAAGGGTTTGGCATGCTACTTCAAAGATAGTAGAAATGTAAGAGAAGGCTGAGATAATTTCTTCTCCTTTTCTCCTCCAGGAGGGAAAAAATTCGATTAAATTGGGAGACACTTCTCAATTCTATATTCTATATAGAATATTCTTGCAGGGCTACTTTCATACTCAGAAGCCCTATCCCGTAACTGCCCCCGGATCTTCAACCCCACCTTCCCCACTCCCTGACACACACCCATCCTATAGACCTGTCTGCTGCTTCCAGTTTCCCCTCCTCCAGGCACCCACACGGTTCATCCTGGAAGCATTTGGCTATTTGAGAAATTACAGAAGGAAAATTTTTGCCACAAAGAACCACAATCTACCTAATAAATATCTGCATCTGGAAAGAACTTAAGTAAATCTCTAATGGAGTAAAAACGTGTGACATTTGCTTAGCAGTCATAAATCCCCTGAACTCCTTTCCTGGCCTGTAACGATGGAACTCGCCCACCTGTGTCTTCAGCAAGAGTCACAGTCCCGAAGATCACATAGGAAAGATTCCCCTGTGCTGTCCGTCACCCCCAGGTTGGATCAGCTTTGCCGGGTCAGAAGCCAGAAGCCCCATTAACTTGTGGTCAGCAAGGAAACAGAGGATGTTTTGGGTCCCCTACCAGGAACTCAGGTGCCAGACAATGGACAGATATTTAAAGTTACACAAAACCCATGCCTTTGTGAGGAATTTCTCCAAATGTCATCTGGGGTCTGCCAACATACATCAAAACCACATGAAAGGCTGTGTGTTAAAAATGGAGTGCCTGGGCCCCACTCCAAACCCCCTAGGTCGGAATCTCTGGGAGTAGAACCGGGGACTCTGTGTTGAACAGCCTCACTGTGACCCTGCTGCCTACTCACAGCTGCAGTGTGGTGGAGCATGAACGGGCCAGCTGCATTTCATCATCAGCCCACCTGCTTGGAATGCAGCATTCTGGTGGGCAATAAAGGAGATGGGATAGATGACAAAACCGGCCAGGCTGGAAGGACACTGGGAATAGAATGCAGCTGCTTCTCTTGAAATAACAACCATGGGCCAGGGAGGGTTCTGAATCCTAGAAAGCTGGCACTGCCTGTGGACCTGATGATTTGGCCTTGAGTCCTAGGAAGCTGCCTCTTATTCTCCCAGTGACTTCTTGACTCTTTGAAAAATGAGCCATTTCCCCCTGCTTATTCAATCCTGAAATATTTGCAAAACAAAACAAAGCCAATATAGTAAAACAAATGGGCAGATTGATCCTAAAATTCATATGGAAATGTAAAGGACCCAGAATAGCCAAAACAAGCTTGAAAAACCTGACTTCAAAACTTACTACAAAGCTAGTAATCAAAGTAAGACAGTGTGGTGCTGGCCTAAGAATAGACATGTAGACCAATGGAATGGGACTGAGACTCCAGAAAGAAACCCTTACTTTTCTTGCCAATTGATTCTAGACAAGGGTGTTAAAATAATTAAATGAGAAAATAGTCTTTTCAACCAGTGATGCTGGGGTAACTGGCTATCCACATGCAAAGAATGAAGTTGGACCCCTACTTCAGACAATCCACAGAAAATAACACAAAATAGATGACAGATCCAAATGTAACTGCTACAACTATAAATATCTTAAAAGAAAACAAAGGAGTAAATCTTTATGGCCTTGGATTCGACAATGATTTCTTAGATATGACACCAAAAATATAAATGACAAAAGAAAAAATAGATACATTGGACTTTATCACATTTTAAAATGTTATGCCTCAAAGGATGCTATCAAGAAAGTAAGGACCAGGCGTGGTGCCTCCCAGCACTTTGGGAGGCCGAGGCAGGTGGATCACCCAGGTCAGGAGTTCGAGACCAGCCTGGCCAACGTGGTAAAACCCCATCTCTACTAAAAATACGAAGGAAATTAGCCGAGCATGATGGCATGCGCCTGTAATCCCAGCTACTTGGAGGTTGAGGCAGGAGAATCACTCGAACCTGGGAGCTGGAGGTTGCAGTGAGCCAACACCGCACCATTGCGCTCCAGCCTGGGCAACAAGAACGAAACTCTGTCTCAAAAAAAAAGAAAGTGAAAAGACAACTCAGAATGGGAAAAAATATTTGCAAATCATGCATCTGACAAGGGACTTGTATCCAAATAGATAAAGAATTCTTACAACTCAATAACAAAAAATGGACATTTAAAAATGGACAAAGTATTTGAACAGACATTTCTCCAAGAAAGATATAAAAATGGCCAATAAACACATGAAAAGATGCTCAACTTCACTGATGATTAGAGAAATGCAAATTAAAACCACAATGAGATACCACTTCACACCTACTAGTAGTGCTATGATTAAAAAGACAGACAATAACAAGGGCTGGTGAGGATGTGGAGAAATGGGAACTCTTGAACACTGCTGCTGGGAATGTAAAATGGTACAGCTGCCATGGTAGAGTTAAACATAGAACTACCCTATGACCCAGCAATTCCATACCAAGGTATACACCCAAGAGAAATGAAAACATATGTTCACACAAAAACTTGTATATGAACATTCATAACATGATTCATAATAGCTGAAAAGGTAGAAACAATCTAAATGTCCATTAATCGATAAATGGGTAAACAAAATGTGGTACTCTATACAATGGAATGTTATTCAGCCATAAAAAAAGAATGAAGTATTGATACATGAATGAACTTTAAAAACATTATATTAAGTGAAAAAAGCCAGATACAAAAGGTCTTACATTGCATGAATCCATTTATATGAAATGTTTAGAATAGACAAATTTATAGTGACAGTAGATTAGCAGTTGCCTGTGGCTAGGAAGGGGCTGGAGGAAAACAGATAATGGGAAATTCTAATGGGCTCAAGGTTTCTTTTTGAAGTGATGAAAATACTCTTAAATTGACTGTGGTAGTTGCAACAACTCTGTGAATACATCATTGAATTGTATGCTTTAAATGTGTGAATTGTACAGTATGTAAATTTTATCTCAGTAAAGCTGTTAACTCCCCCTCCAAAAAACACACAGAAAACAAAACAAAATTTAGTCATGAGCCCACTATTCAGGGAGAATTGCCTTTAGCGTTTTAGTGTATTTTGTGTGTAACACAAAATTAGAATCCTGATTTTTTATTTTGATTTATTTTTTCTTGTATTTAGCTATGTCATCAAATATTCCTCCAACACATGGCTTTTATTTATTTATTTAATTAATTTATTTTTTTGAGACAGAGTCTTGCTCTGTCGCCCAGGCTGAAGTACAGTGGTGCAATCTCAGCTCACTGAAAACTCTGCCTCCCAGGTTCAAGTGATTTTCCTGCCTCAGCCTCCCGAGTAGCTGGGATTACAGATGCCTGCCACCACGCCCAGCTAATTTTTGTATTTTTAGTAGAGACGGGGTTTCACCATGTTGGCCAGGCTGATCTCGAACTCCTGACCTCTGATGATCCACCCACCTCAGCCTCCCAAAGTGCTGGGATTACAGGCGTGAGCCACCACTCCCGGCCCCAACATATGGCTTTTAACTGGCTATAATACTTCAATACATCCTGTAAGTGTCACATAATGGAGTATATTGAACTGAGTCCTGACAGTGAACATTATTTAGGTTGTCTCTGATTTTTTTGTTATATGATGGGCATACTGTATGTTTCTTTTTTTTGTTTTTGAGATGGAGTTTTGCTCTTGCTGCCCAGGCTATAGTGCGATGGCGCAATCTCGGCTCATTGCAACCTCTGCCTCCAAGTTCAAGCAATTCTCCTGCCTCAGCCTCCCAAATAGCTGGGATTACAGGCGCGTGCCACCACACCCAGCTAATTTTTTGTATTTAGTAGAGATGGGGTTTCACCATGTTGGTCAGGTTGGTCTTGAACTCCTGACCTCAGGTGATCCACCCGCCTTGGCCCTCCAAAGTGTTGGGATTACAGGTGTGAGCCACTGCACCCAGCCAATATTGTATGTTTCTAAATGATTCTAGACTTAAGTTGATATTCCCCTATTCCCCTTAGAGTTTCTTGTGTCTTTTTTTTTTTAGATGGAGTCTTGCTCTGTCACCCAGGCTAGAGTGCAGTGGCGTGATTTTGGCTCACTGCAGGCTCTGCCTCCTGGGTTCAAGTGTTTCTCCTGTCTCAGCCTCCCGAGTAGCTGGGATTACAGGCATGCACCACCACACCTGGCTAATTTTTGTATTTTTAGTATGAGACGGGGTTTCACCATGTTGGCCTGGCTGGTCTCGAATTCCTGACGTCAGGTGATCTGCCTGCCTCAGCCTCCCAAAGTGCTGGGATTATAGGCGTGAGCCACCATGCCAGCCTCCCCCTTAGAGTTTCTAAAGGAGAAAATTTTTCTTTTTTCTACATTTTTTTTTTTTTGAGACAGAGTCTCACTGTGTCATGCAGGCTGGAATGCAGTGGCATGGTCATGGCTCACTGCAGCCTTGACCTATTAGGCTCAAGTGATCCTCCCACTCCCACCTCAGTCTCCCGAGTAGCTAGGACTATAGGTTTGTGCCACCACACCTGGCTAATTTTTGTAATTTTTTTGTAGAGATGGGGTTTCACCAAGTTGCCCAGGCTGGTCTTGAATTCCTGGGCTCAAGCAATCTGCCCGCCTCAGCCTCCCAAAGTGCTGAGACACAGGTGTGAGCCACCGTACCTGGCCAAGGAGAGAATTTCTAATGTTCCTTGTATGTATGCCATTCTAAATAATTTACTGAGACCAGATACGGTGGCTCACACCTGTAATCCCAACACTTTGGGAAGCTGAGGCAGGAGGATCATTTGAGGCCAGGAGTTTGAGACCGGCCTGGCCAACACAGAGACACCCTGTCTCTATAAAAAAATTTTTTTTAATTGGCTGGGCATTGATGGTACATGCCTGTAGTCTCAGCTACCTAGGAAGCTGAGGAAGGAAGACTGCTTGAGCCCAGGAGTTCAAGGCTGCAGTGAGCCATGATTGTACCACTGCACTCCAGTCTGGGCAATACAGCAAGATCCTGTCCCCAAAAAAATAAAAGGCTGGGCACAGTGGCTTACACCTGTAATCCCAGCACTTTGGGAGGCCAAGGTGGGAGAATCACTTGAGCCCAGGAGTTCAAGACCAGCCTGGACAACATAGTGAGTCCCTGTCTTTAAAAAAATAATAATAAAATAAAAAGTGTATCAACGTGGACAGTTAAAACTGAGAATTAGTATGAACTAGGATTGCATCAAAATCTTGACTCAGCGGGAGCTTCCTGACCAAGGGGAAGGATCCGAGAAGGCCTCCTTCAGATGAAACCAGCTATATAGGACAGCAAGTAAAGTCTATTCTGGGACTGAGTTGCTTCTGACTGCCCCCACCACCCACAACAACTTCCAACTCATTCTGCTAACTGACCCTGTTAAGAACCAAAAAAGATGAGTCACCAAGCCCACACCTCCTGGAAGAACTCTGTCAAATATTTAGGTTTTGGGTGAGGGTCTCGCCATCCTGACATAGACTGGGCTGAACAAAGAATCTATGACAGTGAAACAGAAGTTCATTTAGGACACATCAGACGATCTCATCCACTAGTTTTAGAAATCCCTTCATTCACTGATGATTCAAACTGGTTTGATAGCAGTGATAATGACCTTGTTAGTTGGGGTTTCAATTTAAAATACTTGGATTTGGCCTAGGAGTATAGTTTGATGAGTACAGTCTGTCACACTCAGATGAGGTCCCTGACAGGTGTCACATTTTGCGGGAGGGCGCTTATGTGAGGGAGTGGAGGGGCGTGAGCCCAGGCAAAGCCACCTGCCTGGTTTGGGAGGCACTTCCAGCTGTTCACCTTGAGCCTTCTGGCCATGTAATCATCTTCTCTTAAGTTTTTCAATAGGCAAAATGGAAAGACAATCACATGTAGAAGGTGTGTCCCGCATCCCTCTTCAGCTGCAAGCACCCTTATGCAGCTAGAAGCGTTCCTGTAACAGCCTCCCTTAGGCCTTCAGAAAAGAAACAATCAACTTTAAACTTACAAATGGGGCTGCTGTGTCCTCACAAGCTGGGGACATAGGTGGCGTTTTTCTTTTTTCCTGAATTGCAGGCTTTACAAATATAATATAGGGTTTAAATTCTGAGGTCCTCAGTTGTTTCAGTGCCTGAGAAAGAAAGTTCAGGAATATTATATACTTTTGAAGTGTTTTGTTGTGAAATAGACTTTTGAAAGCTCAATAATCGTGTGCTTCAATACCATAACCTCAACAGCAAAGGTCCTGGTTACATGGGTCCCATGACAATGGACTTCAACTGGGCAGACCAACTGCTCCTTTTCTCATCCTTCACTTTGACGTTGAACTCAGCGGGGCCCTGAAGTCACACTCACTGCCAACAGAAGGTTCCTAAGCCTCAGCTCAGAGACAGTTGCTGTCTCTCTTAGCTCTGACTCCTCCGGCTATAATTAACCTTCTCAGGCTCCTCTCCACCTTCCATTTCTGATGGGTGAGGAAGCAGGAGTCAGTGTGTATCTATTTAGTCAAATGTCATCAATCGGACTACATTATTACAAACTTTGTGCTATTACATCTCCTCTTGGTATTCAAAGAAGAAAAGGTTTGCAAAGCAAATGAGATTACTGAACAGATCATTTAAAACTGTAGACTGTAGAAACTGCACTCTTGGGCCAGGTGCGGTGGCTCACACCTGTAATCCCAGCACTTTGGGAGGCCGAGCCGGGTGGATCACGAGGTCAGGAGATCAAGACCATCCTGGCTAACATGGTGAAACCCCGTCTCTACTAAAAATACAAAAAATTAGCCAGGCGTGGTGGCGGGCACCTGTAGTCCCAGCTACTCGGGAGGCTGAGGCAAGAGAATGGCGTGAACCCGGGAGGCGGAGCTTGCGGTGAACCAAGATCGCACCACTGCACTCCAGCCTGGGTGACAGAGCAAGAATCTGTCTCAAAAAAAAAGAAAAAGAAATTGTACTCTTGATTAATGCATTTTATCTAGAAGTAAGGGCTCCACTTGGAAACACTAGTATTAAACTGCTATATGCATTATCTGCACCCTTGATCAATAAAGTGATCAATAAAATCACTTTTCAAAGAAAATTTTGAAACTCAGACTTTTAATTTTGATCACTAACTCCCTGTAAGTCCAAATGAGTGTTTTCCTTTATAGGCATAACGTGCTTTTTGGAATATATTTCAAGCAAACTTCTTTAAAATAAAGCCTACAGTTTATAGCATAAAATCAGAGATCTGTTTCTATAGAGGGGAAAAAAAATCCCCAGATTGAGTTCAAAGCTTGGAAGTTTTTCTAAAAGACAAGGTTAAAAAGATGGTTAAGCCCCTGCTGAGTCCACAGCATGCTGGGTGTGCAGGAGTGGAAATGTTTTTGAAGCACTTCCCAGGGCCGTGTCTCCCTCCCTCTTTTTCCCCTTTAAACTGCTCTCCTCACTGCCTCCCTGAGTGGTTCTCTAAGCCACTGACTCCACCTGCCCTGGTTGGGGAGGGGGAGGCCTGGCACCGAGAGCTCAGCCCCAGTTTCACCTGGGTACTGACATCTAATTCTCTGGCACATTGCAATGGCCAGTCAGCGCCACCAACTATTGCATGATCTGTTCCACGCAGGAGTTACTAGCCTGGGTCTGTGGGCCACCAGAGTGTCCACAAGCTCCCTACAATTAATGCAGCATTTGTGGATAGAGGGGCATGTTTTGGGGTACAAGGCTTTCATTTGATTCTCAAAGGAAGACCCAAAGAAATTGAACAGCCAGTGTTCTAGACTAAAAATTCCTTAGACTGAGGTTAAGTGTTGTGTAAAATGTACAATCCCCTAGTTATAAATTCCGTTAACCAGAAATGGCCAGCAGGCCCAGCAACTCACTTCTGGCTCCACATCCACCAAACAAACTTTGTTTTTGGCCATAACAGCCTGAATGGCCTCCAGGCTGGTTCCATACAGATTTTCCTTATATTCACCATGTTCCAGGAACCTAAAACACCACCAAAGGGGAAAAGGCCTTTAGTTCCTCAGCTTTCCTAAATTAGCAAAGCAAAG